>NC_000012.12:18959650-19584650 GCF_000001405.40 Homo sapiens
GGTGTTTTGTGGTTCCATATAAATTTTAGAATTTTTTTTTCTATTTCTGGGAAGAATGTCACTGGTATTTTGATAGGAATTGCATTGAATCTTCCAATCCAGTATTGATTCTTCCAATCTATGAACATGAAATATCTTCCCATTTTCTATGCCCTCTTCGATTTTAGTTTTCAATGTGGAGATCCTTCACTTCTTTGGTTAATTTCCAGGTGTTTAATTTTATTTGTGGCTATTGTAAATGGGATTACTCCCTTTATTTCTTTTTCAGACTGTTCACTATTGGCATGTAGAAATGCTACTAATATTTGTATGTTGATTTTGTATCCTGCAACTTTACTAAATTTATCAGTTCTAATAGTTTTTTAAGGAGTCCTTAGTTTCTCCAAAATAAGATCATATCATCTGCAAACAATGATAATTTGACCTCTTCCTTTCCAGTTTGGATTTCCTATATTTCTTTTTCTTTCCTGTCTGATTACTCTAGCTAGGACTTCTGGTACTATGTTGAATAACTGTGGTGAAAGTGGACATCCTTGTCCTGTTCCAGATCTTAGAGGAAAGGCTTCCAGTTTCTCCCCATTTGGTATGATACTAGCTGTGGGCCTGTCATATATGGCTTTTATTACATTGAGGTAATTCCTTCTATACCCAGTTTTTTGAGGGTTTTATCATGAAGGAATGTTGAATTTTACAAAGTGCTTTCTCAGCATCAATTGAAATTATCATATGGTTTTTATCCTTCATGTTGTTAATACAATGTATCACATTGATTGATTTGCATATGTTGAACCATCTTTGCATTTCTGGGATAAATGCCACTTGGTCATGATGAATGATCTTCCATATTGTTAAATGATCTAATGTAACGATCTAATGTATTGTAATGAAAGGATCTAATGTAGTGTAAATGATCTAATGTAATGTAATGATCTAATGTATTGTTAAATTTGGTTTGCTAGTATTTTGGTGGAGATTTTTGCATCAATGTTCATCAGAGATATTAGCCTATAATTTCCTTTTTTTTGGTATGTCTTTGTCTGGTTTTGGTATACCCCAATACTGGCCTCACAGGATGATTTTGGAGTATTTCTCCTTCTCTATTTTTTGGAATAGTTTGAGTAGGATAAGTATGAGGTCTTCTTTAAGTGTGTGATAGTATTCAGCAGTGAAGCCATTGAGTCCCAGGCTTTTCTTTGCTGACAGACTTTTCATTACAGCTTTGATTTTACTTCTTATGGTCTGTTCAGGTTTTAGATTTCTTCATAGTTCAATCTTGGTGGGTTGTTTGTGTCTAGGAAATTATCCATCTCTTCTAGGTTTTCCAATTTATTGGCATATAGTTACTTGCAGTACCCACTAATGATCCTTTGAATTTCTGTGGTATCAGCAGTAATGTCCCTTTTTTCATTGCTGATTTCATTTATTTGGGTCTTCTCTCTTTTTTTCTTAGTCAGGCTAGGCTCTTGTCAATTCTGTTTATCTTATCAAATCCAATTTTTTGTTTCATTGATCATTAGGTATTGCTTTCTTCATTTCAATTTTATTTATTTCTGCTCTGATCTTTATTTTTTTCTACTAACTTTGGGTTTGATTTGCTCCTGCTTTTCTAGTTCTTTAAGATGCATCATTAGATTGTTTATTTGAAGTTTTTCTACTTTTTTATGTGGGTACTTACAGCTCTAAAATTCCCTCTTAGTACTGCTTTCACTGTACCCCATAGGTTTTGGCATGTTGTGGTTCCACCATCATTTGGTCCAATAAATTTTTCAATTTTCATCTTAATTTTTTCATTGACCCGTTGGTCATTCAGGAGCATATTGTTTAATTTCTGTATGCCTGTATAGTTTCTGAAATTTCTCATTATTGATTTCTAGTTTTCTTCCATTGTTGTTAGAGAAGATACTTGATATTACTTCAATTTTTTTAGTATTTTAAGACTTGTTTTGTGGCCCAACATATGGTCTATCCTTGCAAGTGATTCATGTGCTAAGGAGAAGAATGTGTATTCTGCAGCCACTGAATGAAATGTTCTGTAAATATCTCTTAGGTCCATTTGGTCTATAGTACAGATTAAGTCCAAAGTCTCTGCTGATTTTTGCCTGGATAATCTGTCCAATGTTGAAAGTGGGGTGTTGAAGTCTCCCACTATTACTGCCTTGGGGTCTACCTCTCTCTCTAGCACTAATAATACTTGCTTTCTATATCTGGTTGCTCCAGTGTTGAATGCATATATATTTATAATTGTTATATCCTTTTGCTAAATTGACTGCTTTATCACTATATAATGACATTCTTTGTCTTTTTTATAGTTTTTGTCTTGAAATCTATCTCATCTGATATAAGTATAAATCCTTCTGCCCCTTTTTGGTTTCCATTTGCATGGGATATCTTTTTCTATCCCTTTATTGTCAGCCTCTGTGTGTCTTTATTGGTGAAGGGTGTTTTTTGTAGGCAACAGATCATTGGGTCTTGTGTATCCATTCAGCCACTCTATGTCTTTTGGTTGGAGAGTTTGCTCCATTTACATTCAATGTTACTATTGATAAGTAAGGACTTACTCCTACCATTTTGTCATTTGTTTTCTGGTTGTTTCGTGATCTTATATTCCTTTTTTCCTTCTTTCTTGTCTACTATTTAGTGAAGGTGATTTTTCTCTGATGCTATGTTTTAATGTTTTGCTTTTTATTTTTTGTGTACCCATTGTATGTTTTAGATTTGAAGTTACCATGAAGCTTGCAAATACTATCTTTAACTCATTACTTTAAACTGATAACTTAATACTGATTATATAAACAAGCAAAATAAAACTATTAGAAACTCTACATTTTAACATTGTCTCCCTGCTTTTTAACTCTTTGTTGTTTCTATTTATATCTCATTTTACTATGTGTTGAGAAGTTGTTATAGCTATTCTTTTTGATCAGTTCACCTTTTCATTTTTCTACTGAAGACATGAGTCATTTACACACCACAGTTATAGTGTCATAATATTCTGTGCTTGTCTATGTACTATTACTAGTGAGTTTTGTACCTTCAGATGATTTATTGTTCATTAACATGTTTTTCTTTCAGATTAAAGAATTCCCTTTAGTATTTCCTGTCAGACAGGTCTGGTGTTGATGATATCCCCCAGCTTTTATTTGTCTGGGAAGGTTTTAATTTCTCCTTCATATTTGAAGGATATTTTCACTGGATATCCAATTTTTGGGTAAAAGGTTTTCATTTTTTTTCCCTTCAGCACTTTACATATATATATCCTGCCACTCTCTCCTGGCCTATATGATATACACTGAAAAGTCTGCTGCCAGACACATTGGAGCTCCATTGCATATTATTTATTTTCTCTTGCTGCTTTTAGGGTTCTTTATCCTTGCCCTTTGGGAGTTTGATTATTAAATGCCTCGAGTTAGTCTTCTTTGGATTAAATCTGCTTAGTGTTCTATAGCGTTCTTGTACTTGAATATTGGTATCTTCCTCTGGGTTTGGGAAATTCCCTGTTGTTATCCCTTTGAATAAACTTTCTAACTCTCTCTCTCTCTGCCTCCTATTTAACACCAATAACTCTTAGATTTGGCCTTTTGGAGCTATTAGACCTAGATCTTGTAGGCATGCTTCACTCTTTTTTATTCTTTTTCCTTCTCTCTCCTCTGACTGTGTATTTTCAAATAGCCTGTCTTCAAGCTAACTCTTTCTGCTGTTTGATCAATTCTGCTGGTGAGAGACTCTGATTGATTCTTTAGTATGTCTATTGCAATTTTCAGCTCTGGGGTTTCTGCCTGATTCTTGTTAATTATTTCAACATCTTTGTTAAATTTATCCAATAGAATTCTGAATTCCTTCTCCATGTTATCTTGATTTTCTTTGAATTTCCTCAAAACCTATTTTTGTATTCTCTGTCTGAAAGGTCTTATATACCTGTCTCTCCGGGATTGGTCTCTGGTGCCTTATTTGGTTAGTTTGGTGATGTCATGTTTTCCTAGATAGTCTTAATGCTTATGGATGTTCATCAGTGTCTGGCATTGAAGAGTTAGGTATTTACTGTAGTCATCACAATCTGGGCTTGTTTGTACCCATCCTTCTTGGAAAGCCTTTCTAGGTATTCAAACGGACTTGGGTGTTATGATCTAAGTTTTTGGTTACTGCAGTCATATGGGCATTAGAGGGTACCCCAAGCCTAGTAATGCTATGGTTCTTTCAGACTTGCAGAGATACCACGTTGGTGGTCTTGGAGAAGATACAGAAGAATTCTCTGGATTACCAAGGATAGACTTTTGTTCTCTTCCCTTACTTTCTCCCAAACAAGTAGAGTCTCTCCCTGTCTGTGCTGAGCTGCCTGGAGCTGGGGAAGGAGTGACACAAGCACCCCTGAGCCACTACCACTGGGTCTCTGCTGTGTCAGACTGACCTGAAGCCAGCACAGAACTGGGTCTCACCCAAAACCCACTATAACCACTACCTGGCTATCACCTATGTTTGTTCAAGGCCCTAGAGTTCTACAGTAAGTAGGTGGCAAAGTAAGCCAGGCTTGTGTTCTTCCCTTCAGGATGGCAAGCTTCCCCAGGCCCTAGACAGGTCCAGAGATGCCATGCAGGAGCCAGGGCCAGGAGTCAGACACCTTAGAAATGTACCTGGTGCTGTATTCTACTGCAGCTGAGATGGCACCCAAACCAGAAGACAAAGTTCTTCCCACTCTTCCTTCCCCTTTCTCCAGGCAGAAGATTCTTTCCCCATGAAAACTACTGCCACATGCCCACAGGGAGTACTGCCAGGCTACTGCCAATGTTCATTTAAGGCCCAAGGGCACTTCAGTCAGCTTGGGGCAAATGCTGCTAAACCTGGGACTCAGTCTTCATGGCAGTGGGCTCACCTCTGGCCCAGGGTAGGCCCAGAAGCTGGCCAAGAGCCAAGGCCTACAATTAGAGACATCAAGAGCCTACTTAATGCTCTTCTCCACTGTGGCCAAGCTGGTAACTAAGCTGAAAGACAGAGTCCCCTTTACTCTTTCCTATGTTTCCTCAAGAAGTCTCTCTTTGTAACCATCACAGCTTTGAATATGCTGGGTCACACCTGAAGCCAGAAAGTCTTAGAGTGTCACCCAAGACCCACAGTGTATACTACCTGATTACTGCTACTGATTATTCAGTGCCCAGGAGCTCTTTAGTCAGCAGGTGATTACTCCTTCCAGGGCTGGGTCCTTCCCTTTAAGGCAACAGGTTCCCTTCTGGCCTGGGGTATATCTAGAAATGAGGTTCCCATTCCATGCCCTAGCTCCCAGACCACATTGCCCTATTCTACTATGGCTGAGCTGGTATCCTAGTTGCAAGACAAAGTCCTCTTTCTTCTCTTCTCTCCTCAAGCAGAAGGAAGGGGTCTCTTTCAGAGTTGCAAGCTGTGCTGCCTGGGAGGGGTAGCACAAGCACTCTCTTACCCACCCCAGCTGCTGTCTCACTAGGTTATATGCCCCCCCAGTTTGAGGCAAGTACAGCACTCGGACTTGCCTAAGGGCTGCAGTCCTTGTGGTTTAGACTGCCTTTCAAGTTTATTTAGAATCCAGAGCCCTTTAGCCCACTTTGGCAAGGTTTCCTGAAACTCAGGTTCTGACCGCTGAGATGGGCAGTTGCTCTCCAGCTAGAGCTGGTCTGAATGCTCCCTCCATGGGCATCAGCTGAGTTCTGCCCAGTGTTGGCAGTATAAGTTCCAATGCAAAGTCTCACAATAGCTGTGCTCTCCCTCCCTCACACACGCAGATTCTCTCTCTGTACCATGTGGCTGCTGTCAGGAGATGGGGGAGGGGTGGTGTCAGCAATTCAAGACTGTCTTTCCACCCTCTTCAGTGCCCCTTTCAGTGATATGAAGTTAAAAACCATGTACTGTGATCTCTTACCTGATTTTTGGTTCTTATGAAGGTGTTTTTTTTGTGTAGACAGTTGTTAAATTTGATGTTCCTGCAGGAAGGATGATTGATAGAGGCTTCTATTCAGCCACCTTGCTCTGCCTCCTCTATCTAGCTTCTAATACTTACTCTCAATATCTACTCTCTTTGGATGTTATTGTAAAATACTGAATGACCTTTTAGGTTATTTATGATGTAAAATGAACTATCCTTAAAATTGTTATCCTTTAACTGACAGAAAATCCTTGCAAAGTTCAACAGATCCATAAATAATGAAAGCTAATATTCTGCTACAATATTTATGAAAAATTTTAAGGCAGAGACAGAGATTTTAAAATAAAAACACAGTATTTTTGCATTAGCAATTCAGATCAATAAAGACTGTATTTCTTAGGTTAAGGTTTTCAAGGCACAATTTCTATTTTCATCTCTCTCTAAGGGAAAAGTATTTTCTGTCATTTTATATATATCCACAGAGTCTTTGTTCAGAATTTTTCAACACAGAATATTAAAACTTGGGAGATGTAGCTGTTATCAGAATTGCCAGTGTGCTCTTCTCACTGATGTCGTGTGTATATTGTTCTCTAACTTTGGGCAACTCTTTCTGGTCAGGTCACACCTGCTTTGAGCAATAACTGAGGCCATGAGTGATGACCCCAAAGGTCTCTGAATTCCAAAGCTCTGTTGGAAAATACCCAAGACCTCCAACCTCCTCAAATCACCCTCCTCATCCTGTTGGAACCCAGGCCTCATAGCCTCCACATGCTTGATTAAATGTCTCCCTCCCTCTCTAATTTTATGATCACTGCTTTCCAAGCCAAGGTTCTCAACTCTGTGAAAAAATTTGATTATGACAGCCAACTTTCCAACCTTTGGGCTTAGATTTCTAAAAGCCCTCTGGTAGAGGAATTTATGGCTGAAGAAAAGCTTATAGGAAAAAAGAATGGATTCTAAAACTTACATCCAAATGATCATAAAAAGCTTTTTAAATATTTTTAAATCACTAAAACAGAGTGATAAAAACTAGAGTTGTTAGATTTAGCAGAGAAAAATACAGAACACCTAGTATGATATGAATTTCAGATAAGTAACACATAATTTTTTTAGTATGTTCCATGCAACACTTGATACACATTTATTCAAAAAGTGATTATTTATCTGAAATCAAATTTCACTGGGAATCCTGCATTTTACCTGGCAACCCTAAATAAAGAGAGCTTACATAAATGAGTATAGCAATAAACACAATAAATTAGCAAAGCAGGGGTCCCAAATTTCAGGATTTTACTCCTCAAGGCATATATATGAGAAAATGGGGCAGTTGGCCAACAAGCATCTATTTGAAAAAGAAAAAAATGGCTTACATGGGGGGGAGAAAACAAAGACATATACAGAGGAAGAGGAAGGGGGAGAGGAGAAGAGGGCAACATCTGCCATCTCTCCAATTCCCAGGTCTTGCCCCAAGGCCCCATTTTATAGAGACAGACTGCAGGCCCAGGCTAAATGAGAGATTCTAAAACTCACAGGGTAGAGCCAGCATACTGCATTTGGTATCCAGGTAACAGGTAACAATGGCTAACAATGTGATCCTGAGAAAGGGACAAAAGCCTCCTCCCCATTTCTAACCTTGCTGCTTGGAGACCTCAGGGTGGGTACTTTGGGAGCATCAGGCAACTCTCGCCGAGTACACTTGGAGTAGTCTCGCTGATTCAAGCCACAGTAGCCAGGCAGCAGTGGCCCCTAGGGTGGTCACAGGGACCAAAAGGACCAGAGAGGGAAAGCAGAATGTGGCAGATTTGGCATTGTCTTTAGCCAAGAGAATTTATCTTAAGCACAAGTGAGACACACTGGATATGGCCAGAAATAACTGAATAAGAAGAGAAGAACCAGGGACACCTAGACATGAACAGATGAAGGCAAGAGTCAGAGAAATGTGGCTATTGCCATCAGTATGAACCTGTGTGTGCATAGACAGGTGAGGCCCGGGGAGCATGGGTTGCAGTGCATTGGTAATGATGGCGCTGTCTTTCTCAGCTCTATTACCAATGCCTTGCTTATTAGAAACTAAACAAGCTCTCTTTGTGCAAGTTTCAAAGGCATGTTTATACACTGGGGTTTTTCCAAATGAATATTCTTAGAAATATTTTTTCTTCTACAATTTTTCTTTCTCCAAACAGTCAATGAGTTTATGAGCAGGAGTCGCTAACTCTCTAAGCCCCCACTAATTCTCAAGGTGATCAAGAAGGTATTCCAAAACAGATTTATATAGACAGAATTTTATGTCAGACGAACTTTCAGTCAGGAAAGAATTTCCTCCACTGAGCTTCATTTTGTTTGCCTTTTACTTCCTGAGAAACCCTTCATTGTTCCCAGAAACACTGTTCCTGCCAAACCACATCTACAGGCAGATACGAGTACCTTGGCCCTCTTAAAGCTACTTGCCACCTGACACTGCTTTCAGGAACTGGGACCACAGTCAGTTTCTTCTGGTTATAGTGTCTCCATCCTGCTGTCCCAAGGGCATGTGCTTCATGTCTAAGAGCTCTTTCCATCTGTTCTCCCAGGAAGCCTGGAGAGTGTGATGTAAGCGAGCCTCTTGGGGAGATCTGTTCTGAAGTTTTAGAGACAGGTGAAGCTTCTGCCTTTATTTTCAATCCCTTTTAAGTAAATAGATTTAAAAAAAAAAAAGTCCTCACACTTTGGGATCCTGAAAAGCCTGCCTAAGAGGTTTAGGGTTTGTAGATGTTAGGTACATTAAGAGTTTATCTTGCCTTCGGAAGGATATTTCAGTAATAGTGTTCTTAGATTAAATCAGATAACTGAGGTTCAGAGAATCTAAGTGAATTGCCTATAGTCAAGGGGCAGTGTGGAGCAGAGGGGAGCTAGATACATTTTCTGCCTTCCAGCTTCATCCCTCCGTACTGCACCACAGTTAGAGTAGAGCTGAAGAGTGTCATATAAATGCCTACAGCTAGCACTTCAGAAGTGAAGTCTAATCTACTAATACCAGTTTGTGCAGTGTGAAGAAAAAGCTAGTACAGAACAATTCATGGTTATTAGGAGAGGCTCCATGTTCAAAACCATTTCTAAAACGTGTTCTTGGAGAGGAGACAAATCTTAGAGGCACATTTAAGGATTTGTTATCCCACAAGACAGCCAGGGAGGCCCTCCTGGGAGACCAGAAATCCATCTGTCTCTCCCTGGCTGCATCTTCTCGGACGTAGTGGAAGTGTGCTAAATGGGCCTCATGATGATTAATTTTATGCATGAACTTGACTGGGCTGAGGGATGCCCAGATGGCTGGTAAAACATTTCTGGGGGTGTCTGTGAGGGTGTTTCCAGAAGACATCCACGTTTGAATCAGTATACTGAGTAAAGAAGATCCACCCTTACCCAGTGGGGTGGGCATCTTCCAGTCCTTTGAAGGCCTGAATAAAACACAAAGGCTAAGAAAGGGCAAATTTGCTTTCTCTTCTGGAGATGGAATATTTGTCTTCTCCTGCCTTCAAACATTGGTGCTTCTGGTTCTTGGTGCTTTGGACTCAAACCAAAACTAACATCTTGGCCCCTCTGATTCTCTACCCTCCGAGCTTGGACTAGAACTACAACACGGGCTTTCCTGGGCCTCCAGCTTGCAGATAGCAAATGTGAGACTTCTCAGCCACCATCATACAAAGAATTTTTCTGAAGAATCCTAATAGAGGTCTTTTATTATATGGCAGCAATACTCAAGGTTCTAGTTTAGGCTGGAGAAGAAGGAAGCTCCTTGGTCCTCCAGCCTGAGCCAGCAAGTCCTGCTGAGCTCACCAGAGCTTCCTCCTAGCACAGTGAGCAAAGCATTTTTTTTATTTTTTTCCTTTTTTTTTTTTTTTTGTGATGTTTGCAAACTCTTTAGGAATGCAGAGAAAAAAAAATACCTGAAAACCTGATAGGATTCATGTATTTCTATGTTGCTAACCATAATGCCATTTTACAACACCAACCAAAATTTATCACAACCGGTAACAAGGGATAACTCTGGAAGATAGGACAATGTAGGAGAGTAGGACTATACAGTGCTACTGGTCAGGTCCTTCGAAGCACCAAAGGGACAGCACTCAGGGCACAAAGTTTGCAAGGACTAGATCGGAGGGAAATGGAACAGAAGGCAAGGAAAAAGTGCCAAAAAATTGCTGAGCTGGTGCAAAAGATCAACTTTGCCTACCTATGTTTCTGATAAGGCACCAATCCCAGGAGTCTCCAAAATTTATTGAGCAAAAAGTTGTTAGGCAACCAATTTCTGAGAGACGTAGAGAATCGATATTGCAGACACACTTATCTTACCCCTGATAATGAGAAACATGTGCCAAGACTCCCAAAATGAAACTGCTTATTATAATGTGCCACATAGTGGGCTTTTTATTTAAGATTTGTTAAGTGGATGAATTAATGGTTTTTCCTTCATTGCCTCTTTCATCTTTGATTTCAAAGGAGGATATTTTCCTTTAAAAAGCTGCCAACATAACTGATATTTTTTAGTATGCTAAAATATTTTTTAAATCTCAACTTTTCAATAAAAGGTGTTCAGACATTATTTTATTGCTTGATTATTGCAACTACTGAGAATGAAACCTTTTTTGGGAAGAAGACAATGCATAGGCAAGGAAGTAAAGTCACAGAATTTTTTTTTGAAACATCGCTGGAAATCTCTAACAAAATTGATGCTTTTAATTAGAAATCAATTTTCAGAGATAATTTATCATTTCATACAGGTCATTTAAGGAAGTGTGGATGTAAAAAGGAATGAAATAATGATGTATTCATTATTTGGGAGTTGGGCAAGTCCTGAAGAGGCTCATTAGTTGCCCTATAGACCATATTCTTTCTCTATTCCATGGTAATGGAAAAATGAGTGGCAAAGTCAATTCAAGCTGGGCTGTGGGAAATGTACAGCAAAATGCCACCTTGGGAGTTATATATACATCTTCAATTACAATATTTAATTTTATTTACAATACTTTAAGCAGCTAATATCACAATTTATAAAAATACTTAAATATTTCACAAAATAAAGGGAAAGGAATAATGACACGTATGAAGAGTAGCAGCTGTTTGGTTTGGTTGTTTTTTTAATCCTGCAGCCCTAGATCTTGTCCCCCATTCCTTCTCTTACAGTATCATGCTGTTTGAAGAACTCTGCTTTTTTCTTCATGTGGTGCACGTAACTGTCAATCACAGTCCATACGCACGATAGGGGTGGGCAGATGATTCATGCTGACCAATCGCATCCTTCCCTGAAGATGGCACAGCAGTCAGGAAGCTAAACCCACACATTATTTAAGCCTTTAGATCTTTCCCGCATTTGTGAACCAATATATCCCACCCTACACCCACACCATTCTTTTTGCTTAAACTGGTTTGCAATGAGCCACTCTTTGGCCACATGCATCTGAGAGAGCACTGAATAATATGTATACTGTCTTTTATTTTACTGGAATCCCATTTACTCTGACTTTTTCACAGAGCTGGCTATTAACAGCTACCTTTAAACACAATCTTGATGAATCTTTGTTATACTTGTACTCTTTTTCTAACTTCTATTTAAAAGACATATCTCTGTTAGTTTCTGGGCATTCAGAATATGGAGCTATCCTTTTTAAGCAGTGTTTTCCAAACTTACCTAATCATAAAACAACCTTGGGGGTGGGGAAGAAGGGTCGTTGTTAAAATACAGATTTCTGGGCCCTACTGCATAAAGCCTACTGAACCAGATTCTCTCAGCGAGAAGTCTAACACTCTGTATTCTTTAACAAGCACCCCGAGAGAGCCTTATAATAAGGTAAATTTAGGAAACACTGCCCTACAGCAACGTTTGTCCCAAACATAAATCCTTCCTTTGGAAGGAAAGCCTCCTTCCTGTGGATCTTCGAACTTTTGAACCCTTTGAACTTTCCTTTGGAGTAAATCTGATTTCTTTCTAAACACTTCTGATGAAACCAGTCTCTTTGACTACTTTTCTTTTTATAAGTGCTCTGTGATGAAGTCATTCTGCCTGATTCCAAGATAATCAATCAAGCTAAAGCTGTATGAGATCATTATTTAGGAAATTCATGGAAAGAATTCCAGGCTTGGGATTTGGGTTTAAATACCCCATTTAGACACAAACCTGGGTGGGGATCTCCACACTATAGTTAATAGCCATGTGAACTTGAGCAAGCCTCTTAAATCCACTTACCCTCAATTTTATCAATCTGAGTAGTTGGGGCAGGGGATAGGATAGGATGCCCATCCAACAGTGATAATAGGATACAAGGTAGAATGCACACTTTTGCTTAATACTTTATTTGTACACATTGTTTTTTATATTTTTCTCCATTTCTATGAATGGTGGAAAGCCTATCAAGATAACATAGAAAATTGCTCAAGTACAATTGTAAGATATTTTGCGATGCGGTCTTCATTAAAAAATATATAGCAGTGCTCAACAAATGGCAACTTTATGTATTTTTAAGCATAATTTGCCTTTAAAGAGTCCCTATTACTTTTATACAAAGCCCATAGGGAAAAACAAAGACAACACTGAGCTGCCAGAGGAAGGAAAATCAAGTTGAGTCATTACTTTTCCCAACTGTTTTGAGGCTCCTATTCAAATGCCAATGGCTTTTGTTTTTTAACCTTCACCCTTTCCTTTTTCAATTCATGAACCACAACTAACGATAGGATCAATATATCCCAAAAACTGAAAAGCAGCTTGCTTTTCTACCAGTTATACTGGGTTTTATTCATCATTCAATCATAGTCACCTATAAAACCATTATGTTTATTAATTACTTTGATTCTCTACTTTTCTCTGGCCTATTGGGGTTCTTTTCCAATTGGCCTGGCTTCCAAGAATTAGCAAAGACTCATGTAGAAGGATGTGTTTAGCTGCTGGAAGCTATGTTCACCACCACTGTTAAGTCCCCACTTTGCCCACTCATGACAACCCCAAGATGTTCTTTAATGCCCAGTCAAGCATCCTAGAAAACATCCAACCTGTTCACTTAGAGGGTAAGAATTTTTGATGAGAATGTTTAACCATTTGATTCAGATGACCGTACTGGGGGCATATAAAATTTTCTTGAGAAGTGGCAAATACCTTGTTTCTGTTGCAATAATATTTTCGTATTCAAGGCAACAATTGAGAGATCTGGAACACAGACCGTTTTCAACCTTGCCATCAATTTTAAAATCCCCTCTTGCCGTCAGATTCCTATATGTTCCAGAACACATCTGTATAAGAGCTTTGCAATCTCTGAGAGGTAGTCTGAAAATATAGCTTATATATTATGTTATTATATAATTACACAGATTTAGATAGAATATTTTTACATAGAGTGTTTATATAATTATCTCGGTTGCTATGCTGCTTGCTGGTGAATGGTAGAAAGCATATTAAGATAACATAGAAAATCTCACTCAAGTAGAAATATGAAATAATTTGGGCTCATCCTCCAGTTAAAAACACAAATATTATTCTACCTATTAAAGAAAAAAACACCTCCATACCCTAAAAAGAAGTTGGTTGGTGACTTTTAAAAGAACTTTTAAAAGAAATTATTTTTAAAATACATTTAACAACAATAATAACAACAACAACAAAAATTTACTATGGATAGAAGAGTTCATTTCTACCTATAGCAGTAAAAGCCTGAAACTAGCAAAAATTTTTATTTTGATACAACACATCATAAAGTTCTATGTAACCAATTGTCTATTTCCAAAGTAAGCAAGATACTTAAAAATAAAGACACATGCCTACCTTTTTTCCACTTACTACCAATTTATATAAGCTGGTTCTTCTCTTTCTAAAATTGTTCTGTTTTGACCAATATTGGCAGTCAGTATTTCTTTAACATTGTGTTTAGAGGCACGTTGGATTTTTTGCCGTTCCCACAATTTCCATATTTAGGTGGGTGTTTCAAACCATGCTGACAGCTAGTATCTAAACACCTTTTTAGTCACAGTTGGCTAACATATTGTCTTATAGTCAAAGTGGTAATTTTATGCAGTGCCTCAAAGGACTGTGTGATGAATGATATGTTCAAAACATATAGCACAAGCACAAATGATAATAGTGCAAGAGTACCCTAAAGTTTTAAGACTTGGGTTTAAAGTAAGCAGGTTTTAATCAATTTGGTGAGCAGAACAACAGTCTACAAAGCAAAAGCCCCAACCAGCTAGGATTCACATAAAGTATTTGCAGATTCCCGTAAGAAAGGTAACGTAATGTAGCATGTACGAACTAACCCAATGGGTCAAAGCAGTAGGCACATTATGTATCATAGTTTAATTGTCTCGTTGAGAAATATTACATCAGTCATTCATCCCAGGAGAGAAATGTGAACTTTTTCTCTGCAAGCATTTTTTTCTCCAAAATTAAACACAGTTATACCTCACTTTATTAAATTATGAAAATGATATATACTGGGACCACAGGAGTTCAGCCTCTCACAGCATTGCTTTGACTGAGCTATGTTTTAATGATACCTTAAGCTTCCACGAAATATTGCTATAAGAAACAGTCAAAAGACGTTTGCCTATGCGTTTGCTGCTTAAAAAAATAGTTGGGTAGATTATCAAACCTATCACTCAATGCCTGCTACAAAGAAAAGCCCCTTCCCGAAGGTCACAACAGATAAGTAAAACTAAAAAAATTGAAAAAAAAAAATTTTAAGAAAAAGAAAAGCCCCTCAGATAAATGTATTCTAGGATATGCTGCCAGGAAAAAAAAAAAAAAAAAAAATCCTGTATTTTCTAAGACCTGTGCTTCTTCCTTTTAAAGAAGAAGAAGCATGCAACTAATTGTATTCCCCCTTTTGCACTGACTGCCAGGAATCTCACAAGCAAGTATCACGTTCAGTATGGCAGTGACTTAATCCACATGACATCATTTTGCATTCTCCATTTTTCCATAGATCTGATTTTCTATATCTATTTTATTACTTTTTATCAACATTATTGCCAGGCACAATGGCTCATGCCTGTAATCCCAGCACTTTGGGAGGCCGAGGCGGGCAGATCACGAGGTCAGGAGTTCAAGACCAGCCTGACCAACATGGTGAAACCCCATCTCTACTAAAAATACAAAAATTAGCCAGGCGTGGTAGCACACGTGCCTGTAACTCCAGCTACTCACGGGGCTGAGGCAGGAAAATCACTTGAAAACAGGAGGCGTAGGTTGCAGAGAGCCGAGATCGAGCCATTGCACTCCAGCCTGGGTGACAGAACGAGACTCCGTCTCAAAAAAAAAAAAATACATATATGTATACACATATACATATATATGTGTATATATACATATATATATACATATATACATACATACATACATATATATGTACATATATATGATACTTTAAATTATTTTGGGGAAAGGATTAGTTATCAGTAAATTCTACTGGTTATCAGTAAATATTGTAAAAGCTATTTTAAATTCTCTTGAGGAAAGGATTGGAATCAATTCAATCAATTGTCCAGATAGCAGTTATATGGCAGCATATATCTCTGAAATACAGTTAATCAAAAAAGTAAAATAAAATTACTCTAAAAAGCTCAAATCTAGTTACAAGAGCTTTGCACCAAAGGTCACACATGTTGCACCAATGGAATGTCTCTATCTTCATTTAAAGCTATTTTATTTAGACACTATTCTAACAGGCTTGGCTATTGTGTTTCTTAGGGCACAGAAATATGAAACAGGATAAACTGCTAGAAATTATTTAGCAAAAATAATTTACAAATGACAGTAAGAAGAGAGGGTAGACAACTATAAAACATAACCAAAAGAGGTCAGGCCCTTGCTAATCCAGAGTCATTTTATATAAAGCAGAATTTCTCAAGGTGTGGGCCTAAAGCACTTACATTAGAATCACCTGAGGATTTGTTTAAAAGGTAAGGTTCTGAGCCGCATATTAGAATCTTGGAGGGTGTGGCCCAGAAAAGCACATTTTTCATAAGCATATTAGGTGATTCTTACATAAAGGACAGTTTGAGAATCACAAAGACACTGACAACTCTGTAACTCAGTGGGCCTTTGGGGCCCAACCACACATCAAACCCAGAAACATCAAAAATTATTTCAGAACTTTTGTCTTTTGGAAAACGGGAAGGTATGTGGTAAATTCTAGAAAGGCTATCCTTGAAAATTGTTAATACTACACCATTTATTTAGTGTTTTTATATTGCTGTGCAACAGGGCAATTTTCAACACATCCAGATAATCGAAGAACTATGACTCTCAAGAACTGTGAAAGGATTTTACCCTACTTGCAAGCTAATAAGTTAGCCTGCCACAGTTTCATAGATGCTGGCAGAAGACATGAGACTACTGGGTCAGAGACAAAGGACTTTATTACTCACAGCACAGCAAGAAGCATGAGATTCATATTTGTCAGTTCCCTTTCCACCCTCAAGTCCTTCAAGGGCCATGCAGAGGGGCCCAGGTGGGTTTATGTCACATCTGATGGAATACAAGCATTGGAATCCCCAATCTTTTATCATAAGAGTTAACAAACCAGCCTGAACTTTGCGGTGGAGGGAGGCATTATCTTTATTATACTGGGCAATAAATCTGCTCGCCGCTACAGAGGGAAACACTATATCTTTCAAGGCTGTTCACTACACAAATATTCTTAAAGAGATAATCTGGAATAAAGGCTCTCTGTGCTCTGCCCACAGATGTGCAAAAACAAGAGACCCACAGAGAGGTGGCTCCCAACAGTGACCTTCCTCTTTGGGCTCTAGAGTGTTGTGTGTTTCCATTCAGAATGCAAGTGTTTGTTGTCACTTGGATAAGAAAGTGGTTGTTTTTCCTTCTACACCACTGGTTGCTCCTTCTTTGTTTTCTTTATCAATCATTCCTGTACCCCTAACCTCTGAATGATGGAATATTCCAGGGCTTAGGCCTTCTTGTTCTTTTCTCTGCCTACAATTACCCTTTCAGTGATCTCATCTAATCTCATACCTAAATAGCATCTATATTGTCAACAACTGCCATATTTGTATCTCCACTCCAGAACCTCCTCTGAACTCCCAACCTGTAGGACTGCCTAATTGGATTTCCACTTGGATATGTAATATATATCTTAAACTTTAGATCTACGTTCCACCTGTGGTCTTCCTCAGTTTAGTTGACTGACAACTGTAGCCTTTCAATTACTCAGGCCAAATATGTTAGAGCCATTCTTGACTCTTCTCTTTCTCTCAGATCCCATGTCTAATTCATCAGGACATACTGTTGGCCTTATCTTAAAGTATATCTCACCACCTCCACTGGTACCTGCCTGATCTGGTTTACCATCATCTCTATACGTGATTACTGAAATAGGTTTCTAAACTACCTCTCTTCTACCACCTATGGCTCCTCCCAAATCCTCCCCCAAAACACACACATATACACATAGTGAATTGTAAAAGTCAGCTCATTTCACTCCTCTGCACAACAATCTTAACTGGATTCAGGAGGGCTTCTCCATTCCTTTTATTTCTCTGACCTCTGCTGGTACCACTCTCTCCCCCGAGTCTCACTAGACTTTCTGTTGCTTGAACAATTTTGGTCAAAGTCAGAGTGTACTAATTTCCTATTACCATTGTAACAACTTACCACAACGTCTGTGGCTTAAAACGACACAAATGTATTCTCTTACAGTCTGGAGTTTAGAAGTCTGCAATCAGTTTCACCGGACTAAAGCCAAGGCTCCAGCAAGGATGGTTCCTTCTGGAGGCTCGGAGGGGAAGGTCCATTCCTCTGCCTTTTTCAGCTTCTGGTGGCCTCCTGTATTCCTTGGCTCAGGGCCCCTTCCTCCATCTTCAGAGTGCATCACTCCAACCCTTGCTTCTATCACCGCATTTACTTCTCCTGATTCTGGCTTTTCCTGTACACTCCTTCTTATAAGGAGTTAGATTACCTTGCACCCACTTCAATAATCCAGATAATCTTCCATATCAAAATCTTTAATTTGATCATATCTGCAAAGTCCCTTTTGTCATATTAAGTAACATTCACAGGTTCTGGGCATTAACAAATGAACATATTTTGGGAGGTCATTATTCAGTCTATCATATCTACCTCAGGCCCTTTGCATTGGTATTCCCTCTGCATGGGATACTTCCCCTAGGTATCCATGTGGCTGATTCCCTCAATTCCTTCAAGTTTGCACTCATGTGTCACCTTCTCAGTGAGGCCAACCCTGACTACCCTATTTTAAATGTCAATGTATTAGTCCATTTTCATGCGGCTAATAAAGACATACCCAATGCTGGGTAATTTATAAATAAAAAGAGGTTTAGGCCGGGCACGGTGGCTCACGCTTGTAATCCCAGCACTTTGGGAGGCCAAGGTGGGCAGATCACGAGGTCAGGAGATCGAGACCACGGTGAAACCCCATCTCTACTAAAAATACAAAAAATTGGGCGGGTGTGGTGGCAGGCGCCTGTAGTCCCAACTACTCGGAGAGGCTGAAGCAGGAGAATGGCGTGAACCCAGGAGGCAGAGCTTGTAGTGAGCCAAGATCAGGCCACTGCACTCCAGCCTGGGCGACACAGTGAGACTCCATCTCAAAAATAAATAAATAAATAAATAAATAAATAAATATAAAAGGAGGTTTAATGGACTCACTGTTCCACATGGCAGGGGAGGCCTCATAATCATGGTGGAAGGCAAAAGCCACATCTTACATGGCGGCAAACAAGAGAGAAATGAGAGCCAAGAGAAAGGGGAAAGCTCTTATAAAACCATCAAATCTCATGACACTTATTCACTACCATGAGAACAGGATGAGGAAACCACCCCCGTGATTCAGTTATCTCCCACCAGGTTCCTCCCACAACACACGGGAATTATGGGAGCTACAATTCAAGATGAGATTTGGGTGGGGACACAGCCAAACCATATTAGGCCATAATCAACAACTCCTCACCCCATTTTCATCATCCTATTTACTCCCCTATCTTACCTGCTCTAGCTTTTTCCCATAGTACCAATCACCTTCCAACATACTGAATAATTTATTTTTTATAGTCCATCTTCCTGCATTAGAATGTATGCTCCTTGAGGTTCTGCTGTGCTCATTGATATATCTTAAACACATAACAGTACCTGGCACATATTAAGACTTCAGTAAGTATTTGTTAAATAAATATGTCATAGATCTCACAAACCCAGACACCAAAATAAGGAAATTTTTAAAATGTCAAATAATAATAGCTCAGACTCCTGCTGCTCTTCGTTTCAGAAATTAAATCCCCACATATCTTGTCAATTATTAATGCCAGTTCCTTTATGAGAAAACTCCTCTGCTGCTATGTACACCTATCTCCTTTTGTGCTTGCATGACAACTGCATTCCTACTTCCTCAGCACGGGGGAATTCTGTCCCCAGTTCTTCACAGCTCAAAGGCAGACCAGCATTTTTAACAGATACGTGAGGATAACTAAGGGACAAACAAAACAGAGTAGCTTGAACTGTGAATGGGGTCTACTATGGCATAAAAAAATTATTTTGAGCTGATGGCATTTGAGTTACTGAGATTCCTTATCTGCCTAAAAGCAGGGCCCCCCAACAACTCAATTTTCATAAATACCCTTTCTGAGAGCAACTCTAATCTTTCCTTAGAGAAAATCGAGAAGTTGGCACCACACCCAAATAGACGTTGTTACAAAACTATCCTATCTCCCATCTATTCTAAGAACCATTCATCTTTCCAAAAAGTCATTTTTCTTTTCATAAATGCCCTTTCTCCACACCCCCTCACCTAAAAAGTCATCTTTTCTGCCAAAAGTGTCCCTTTCCCCTTCCCCATCTCTGTTTAAGATGGTATATAAGCCCCAAATTCTAACCACCACCTTGAGTCATGTTTTTCTGTGAACTTCTGCATAAAAATCTGTCTTTTCTCTTGCTGATCTGTCTTTTGTCAGTTTAACGTACAGGCCTCCAAGCACAGAATCTAAAAAGGCAGAGAAAGTTTTTTTTTCTCCAACAACTGCTATTTGAAGTGGTCACTCTTAGAATCTAAAACAAAAATTCAATTTCAGAACTCTTGCCTGGTTTTGTTACCGGAAGACGGTCTGGATCCAGACCCCAAGAGAGGGTTCTTGGATCTCGCACAAGAAAAAATTTGAGGCAAATCCATAAAGTGAAAGCAAGTTTATTAAGAAAGTAAAGGAATAAAGAATGGTTATTCCATAGGCAGAGCAGCAGCTTGGGCTGCTCAGTGATTATACTTGTATTAATAGTTATTTCTTGAATATATGCTAAACAAGGGGTGGATTATTCATGAATTTTCTGGGAAATGGGTGAGCAATTCCCAGAACTGAGGGTTCCTCCCACTTCTAGACTATATAGGGTAACTTCCTGAGGTTGCCATGGCATATATAAACTGTCATGGTGCTAGTGGGAGTGTCTTTTAGCATGTTGAGGTATAATAATTAGTGTATAATGAGCAGTGGGGACAACCAGAGGTCACTTTTGTTGCCATCTTGGTTTTGATAGATTTTGGCCAGCTTCTTTACTGCAACCTGCATTATCAGCAAGGTCTTTGTGACCCGTATCTTATGCTGACCTCCTATCTCATCCTGTGACTAAGAATGCCTAACCTCCTGGGAATACAGCCCAGTAGGTCTCAGCCTTATTTTACCCAGCCCCTATTCAAGATGGAGTTGTTCTACTTCTAACACTTCTGACAATTTCCATAATTTCTCCAGGTGCAGAGGCCTGCTCATCTTTTCTACTACAGAGGAGGTTCAGGTACCTGTCTACAAGCAAAACTGTTGTCTCACTCAAAGAGAATAACTAAATATTTGCCTCCAAAAATTTTTATCTCTCTGCCCCAGAACTGACCTCTTGCAACAGTAATTTATAAGAGATATTCCATCTCCAACCCACTGGAAGTTAGTCTTGCCCTAAGAGTTGTAAAAGGACAATCCATTGTAATTCAATACTTGCACATTTTCCTAAAGTCTATGTTATTCGATTTTAATAAAATTATTTGCAGTCCTTCAACAGAACAGTTTAGAAAAGTAAAATTTAACAATCTCAGTCAAATCCCTTTTTGAGTCCCCTCCCTGAATTTGAGGTATCCATTTGCCTGTGCATTCTTCCTACTGAAGTGGTTATCTCTCCTAATCTTTGACAAGTACTTGGACCATGGCATGAGCGAGAGTGAAGCGGCTTCATTGTCTAGGGTAAATACTCAGGGTTCATCGTCTCACGCCAAGAAAATTTAGGACACAGACACACCCAAGAAGTTTATGAGTGGAGGTTTAATAGGCAGAAGAAAAGAGAAAGGGGAAACAGCTCTCTCTCTAGTGAGAAAGAGGGGCTTTTGAGGAAAAGGCCGGGTGGAGTTCGCCGGATTTTATAGGCAGACTTGAGGAGGTGGTGTCTGATTTACCTAGGGCACACAGATTGGTTCAGTCAGGTATGATATTTACATAGCGCTGGGAAGGCAGGCCACCCAACCCTAATCTTATTATGCAAATGGAGTTTCCACTTGACCAGCAACATCTTGTCTGCTCCGCTGTACACGTGGATGGCAAAGAGAAAAGGGAAGATGGAGCCGCCATTTTTAACATGATTGGCACAACCCCCAGCAGCTATGTCTGCAGCTCGATTTTACAGGCTGCTGTTTGTTAGAAAATGATTTGGCACTACTTTTCATTAAAAAGGAAAACCTTACCAAGAACTCCAGTATCCTCACTATCTGCCTAAGTAATTTATTCTTAACTCCTGTATCAAGAGTACACATGCAATCTCCACAAGAACAATCATTTTCAGAGACTATAGGACCTACATTTAGAGGGGAAAACAAATTCTCTAAAGAAAACATGAAGGATCTACTCAATTTCATGACTATACAGAATATGATCTCCATCTGAAACATCTGCTTCCGTTTATCTCACACCACCTTTAGGCCTTCCCCAACTGTAAAGGTGGAAAAAAAAGGACAACATTTGAAAGAAGTCTTCAAATGCATATCTAAAAGCCTTAGTCAAGAGATTTTCCCAAAACAAAAGAGCAGTTTACCTTTAAAACTGAATTCAAATTGCCCCCAGAAAGCTACGAGGTTTCTAGATTGGCAGGTTTTTTAAAGCTTAAAGAAAAACAACAAAAAAAGTTGAGGCTGAGGTCCAAGTAATAGTCACCCAGTTTTACTAAAAGTTGAATAATAATTTTTCTGAGGTGTCAAAACAATGTTTCAAAATGTAAAAAGAATTCTAAAATAGCAACTTCTTTCTAAAATATTTTAAAATCATGTTTGCAGAACTCTGAGCACCTTATTTGGTGAAATGAGTGTCCATAGAACACCTGTCTCCAAAAGGACAGAAATGACAAACAGAAGAGGGAGGGCCAGAAGAGGTCTAGACCTCAAGACTGACTGGACAGTTAATGTCACCTGCTAGGTGAGGCCTTCTCCAGCCACCTCATCAAAATATTTCACCAACCACACTCCACCTGAACACACATTCACATACTCACACATACACACTTCCTAATGTAAGGAAGGAAAAAGATACCTTTTTCTCATACCTTCCTAGGTTGTCTGGCTGGGAATCTGTAAATTAGACTAACAAAAGACAGGTTAACAGAGAAAAGCATACAAATTTATTTAATATAATTTTTACAGGACACTGGAGCCTTCACAAGGAAATGAAGACCCAACTATGTGGTTAAGCCTAAGCATTTTTATACTAGGTTTGATGAAGAGTGGAACATTGTGGAAAAACATGATAGTGAGAGAAGAGAGACAGACCCTCTCATATTGTTTTATATTGTTTTATACTCAAAAGAAAAGAAAAGCGAAACAAAAGGCAGGTAGCCCAGGGTCTAGGAACCAGATTCGAAACTGAGGAACCAGACCCGAAACCAGGCCTGGGCCTGCCTGACCTAAGCCTGGTAGTTAAAGATTGACCCCTAACCTAACTGGTTATGTTATCTATAGATTCCAGACATCGTATAGAAAAGACATTGTGAGACTTCCCGATCTGTTGTTTCACTCTGACCACTGGTGCATGCAGCCCCTGTCACGTACCCCCTTGCTTGCTCAATCGATCACAACCCTCTCATGCAGACCCCCTTAGAGTTGTGAGCCCTTAAAAGGGACAGGAATTGCTCACTCGGGGAGCTCGGCTCTTGAGACAGGAGTCTTGCCTGATGCTTCTGGCTGAATAGACCACTTCCTTCTTCAACTCTGTGTCTGAGGAGTTTTGTC
Source organism: Homo sapiens (assembly GCF_000001405.40). NCBI lineage: Eukaryota > Metazoa > Chordata > Mammalia > Primates > Hominidae > Homo > Homo sapiens. Next base: position 18,982,772 of record NC_000012.12, read on the forward strand.
TGCAGCTGGTCCTGCTACAATAGGACAGAAGGGTATGACTTGCAGGATAGCAAGCTGTAGGAAATTTAACAAGATCTGTTTATTCATATTCCTTTCAGCAGTCTTCCTTCTTCAGAGATAAGGATTCTCCTTTCCTTCAGGTCCAGGGAAGGCACTCACAAGAGGGTCTTAAGACATGCTTCAGAAGAGAAGGCAAAGTAAGAGCCTTTCCCACATTTCTTCAGCTTAAGATATTCAATGTGCCAAAGCGCCATATTGTGGGGTAGTGTGTTCGGAACCCTGTCACTAACCTTATTCCTTGTGGGTTTTTTCTTCTTAACACCCATTATTATGTAATGTTCTATATGTTTCACATATTTGTTTCACTTTGTTTTTTAAGGCCTTATCCACCAGAATGTGAGCTCCATAGGAACAGGGCTTTTTATCAGTTTTACTCACTGTTTGTGTCATTAGGACTCAGGGCAGTGCTTAGCACATGGAAAGTGCTCAATTTGGATGGAGGGATGGATGAATGGATGAATGGATGGATAGATGGATACATGGATGGATGGATGGATACATGCATGCATGCGTGGATGAAAGCATGGTTGCATGAATGGATGGACAGACGGATGCATGGACGGATAAAAAAAATCCCAAAGCTCTACAAAACAAAATGTCAAATTCTAAATAAATCGAGTATGCCAATGAGAACACTTTTTTTAGCAAGTGAACACAGAATTTTGCCCATTTTAAAGTCTTTCAAATTTTTCCTTATAATATAAAACATATACTAGTAGCAGAACATTTAAAAATAAACCATTCCAATGCGTATCAATCTCTCCATGCTAATCATTAAGACCACAAAGGCAAAAACCGGGCCTTGGTAATCAGTGCTTGGTAAGTACTAAGTCCTTAATATGTAGCTAAAGAATAAATGAAGTAAAACAGGATTCTAATTCCCACCAGGGAAGTTAGCAGTGGCAAATTTGCATGGGCCTGCAATAATTTGATTCTTGCCTCCACAGAGGAAAGAATTCAGCCAAGGGGTATAAGGCAGTATAAGAGACCAAGGCAAGTTTTAGAGCAGGAGTGAGAGTTTATTAAAAAGTTTTAGTGCAGGATTGAAAGGAGGTAAAGTACACTTGGAAGAGGGCCAGGCAGGTGACTTGATGTGTCCCATCTGACCCTTGATTTGGGGTTTTTTACATTGGCATGATTCTCAGGTTTGTGTATCTTCTCCCCTGATCCTTCCCTTGGGCGTGCTGTTCACAATGTGGTGGCCTGTCAGCACTTAGGAGTGGCTGCACGCACAGTGTATTTACTAAAGTTGTGCACATGCTCATTTGAGACGTTTTCCCTTACTAGTCAAGTGTCCCTAGAGGAAGGTCATACACCAGTTAAACTCCACCATTTTGCCTCTTAGTGTGCATGCTTCAGCTCACTCACCCAAATCCTGAGATCCTATTGAGAAGTTGCTGATTACCAGTTTCAGGTGTTTTCTATCTATAGGGAGCCTGCCTTTCCCTGGTGCTGACTGTGACCAATTATTATTTTAGAGAGATAGTTTAACAACTGCCTGACCGTCACCTGATGGTTGCCTGACATTTCTGGGATGAGCGGGGCGTCAGGGGGTGGCCTGTGCTGCCCTGCTCACATCTGCCTAACTACCTACTCTAACAATAGTAATCTACAAGTTTCCCTACAAAATATCTGCTTCAGCTTCTTGAGTATGAAATAGTCTTTGAATGTAAATCATTACTTTTTAGAATTTTAAATTCTTTGAATACTGACAAAACCAATCTAAAAATATATTTATTGTTTCCAAGGAATGCATACTTTTAGACAAGTGACCTATGTGTTTTTATTTGCTGCAAATAATACCATAGTTTTAAAAACTCTTATGAGAAAAAATAATACTTTGACATGTTTACTTTAGACTTGATGCTCCTTCCCTAAGGATATTCCCTTATATTTTAAACATGTTGGAGCAATTGGGGTATGAAAATAACCACAAATTATTGTATTAAAAAATTTTCTTTCATAATCCATTTACTTAGAATAGCATTTTCAGAAATCTGTCTCATAGAAGGAAACAAAATTGTTAGACTCCAAACTGAATATGAAACAAATATGCTAACAAATCTTTAAGATGGCAAATTATAAATGGTCTACTGCCATAAGGATAGCCATACAGACAAACAGAATTCAGAGTCCAGAAACACACCATGACATTATCGTCAGTTGATTTCAATAAGCTGCCAAGACAATTCAGTAGGAAAATAATAGTCTTTTTAACAAATGGTGCTGGGACAACTAGACAGCCATATGAAAAAGAATGAAGTTGGAGTCCTACGTCACACCAGACACAAAAATTAACTCACAAACCATACATCTGGTAAAGAGTTAATTCTAAAATATGTAAGGAACTCAAACAGCCCAATAACAGACAAATAAGATTTTAAAACGAGCAAAGGACCTGAATAAACATTTCTCAAAAGATGATGTACAAATAGCCAACAGGTGTATGAAGAATGCTCTCAACATCACTAATCAAAAGAGAAACACAAATTAAAACAACAATGAGATATCACCTGACATCTATTAGAATGGCCATTATCAAAAATACAAAAGATAGCAAGTGTTGGAGAGGATGTGGAGAAAAGGAACCCTTGTACGTTGTTAATGGATATGTAAATTAGTACATACATTGTGGAAAACAGTATTGAGCTTCCTCGAAAAATTAAAAATAAAACTGCCATATGATCCAGCTATCCTGTGTATATTTCCAAAGGAAATGAAATCAATATGTCAAAGCAACATCTGCACTCCCATGTTCATTGCAGTATTATTCACAATAGCCAAGATATGGATTCAATCTAAGTATCCATCAACAGATAAATGGATAAAGATATTTGGTATACATACACAAGAGAATAATATTCAGACTTTTTAAAAAGGCAATCTTGTCATTTGCAACATCATCGATAAACCTGGAGGACATTATGTTAAGTGAAATAAGCCAGGCACAGAAAGACAAATACCACATGACCTCAGTTATATGTGTAATCTAAAAAGTGTAACTCATAGCAGCAGAGAATAGAATGGGGGTTATCAGAGGCTGTGGGAAGGAGTTGTGTCCAAAGATGCAAAATTTCGGTTAGACTGGAGGAATAATTCAAGAGATCTATTGTACATGGTGACTACGGGTTAACACAACACATTGTGTACTTGAAAATTGCTGAGAGAGTATTTTGAGTGCTCTCACCACAAAAAAGTGATAAGTATCTGAAGTAATTTATATATTAATGAACTTGATTTAGCCATTCCACAATGCATACATATGCTATGATTTGAATGTTTGTCCTCTCTAAAACTCATGTTGAAACTTAATCTCCATTGTAACAGCATTAAAAGGGTGGGAAATCTGACCATGGTATTTAAGAGGTGGGACCTTTGCAAGGTAATTAAGATAGATGAAGTCACGAGGGCGGAGCATTAGTGGCTTTATATTAGTAGCATTAGTGGCTTTCTCTTTAGAAAGAGAGACTGATCTAGCATACTCAGCCCTCTTGCCCTATGATGTCTTCTGCCATGTTGTGACACAGCATGAGGCCCTCACCAGAAACCAACCATATATCTGATATCACCTCACATCTACTAGAATGGCTATTATCAAAAACATAAAAGATAGCAAGTGTTGGAGAGGATATGGACAAAATGCAACCCTTGTACACTGTTAGTGGATATGTAAATTAGTACATACATTGTATGTATGAATATGTACGTACAGTGTATGTACTACCTACATTGTATGTATGAATATGTACGTACAATGTATGTACTACCTACATTGTATGTATGAATATGTACGTACAGTGTATGTACTACCTACATTGTATGTATGAATATGTACGTACAATGTATGTACTACCTACATTGTATGTATGAATATGTACGTACAATGTATGTACTACCTACATTGTATGTATGAATATGTACGTACAATGTATGTACTATATACACTGGAGTCCTACCTCACACCAGACAAAAAATATTTCTGCTGCTATAACAAAATGCCACATACTGGGTAATTTATTAGTAACAGAAATTTATTTCTTATAGCTCTGGCAGCTGTGAAGTCCAAGATCAAGATTTCAGTAGATTTGGTGTCTGGGGAGAGCCCACTCCCTGTTGCCAGTCACAATGGCATACACCTGTAATCCCAGCTACCTGGGAGGCTGGGGCAGGAGGATCACTTAAGCCCAGGAGCCTAAGTCCAGCCTGGACAACATAGAGAGACCTCATATCCACAAAATAAATAAAAATAAATTTAAAAGTAATCAAATAAATATTTTAAAAATGAAATTGCCTTGGAGAACAACTCAATATGAACCTCACCTCAATTCTAATTTTGTAGATTTCTACATCTTTCAACTGGAAAGAACCCTAGCAATCTTATTTTCATTTCTGTTTGAGAAAAGACAACCAGAAAACTTTCTTAGACTAAGAAAATATATATGAATTTTCCTTTCTTCTGAAGATCAGATAAGTCAAAGTGCTTTGCAAAGAACTGGCCCTGTAAATATAGTGTATTATAATTGTCACTTTCTTCACATTAAAGTTCATAAATGAAAGAATAGGAGTGTATGCTTTTTCTCTTTGGCCCCCTCGTCTAGCTTTCCACGCAGCTTTAACAGAATTTCAAACCAAGTATTCCTCTCCCTCTAAGAGGGATTTGAATATTACATGAGAAGGCTTAAAAGCATATAGGAAAAACCTGCTTCCTGAAAGTCTTCATTGATTGAACTTGCTTCAGAAGGCCACTTGCTCCCTCTCCTCCTTCAGCCTCCAACTCCCTCCCAAAAACAGAGGGGGAAAATCAATGTTTTGTTTCTCAGTGCTGTCAAAGGCTATGGCTAAATAGCAAAAACAAGTAAGAGTGATATGGATATATACTTCCCTCCTGAACTACTGAATAAATATTAAAGCAGTAATCCAGATATCTTTTTGTGCATGAGCCTTTAATTGTAAAATAGGAAGAGTGTAAACAACAGACTTTTCTACTGAGGATTTAAAAACAATTTTACAATATTGGAAAAATAGTTTAACATTAAAATTGAGAGGAAAATTTATGGAAATAGGCCTATGTGTTCCAAAAGCAATGGAAGGGAAAAAATGAGATCACAAAGTTACTGAGTTCTTAGTGAAAAAAAACATAACCTTGCAGTTCTTCACCATTCTAGTCAAGTTTCCATCAAATTCTGGTGAGAGTACTAAAGAAAAAAGTTGAATCAATCAGGTTTCTAATACACCACTCTAAAAGAAACGTTAAGATGCTGGTCTACATATCTAGCAAAAGTTGTTCAGAAGTGTTTATTGTCATTTTGTCTAAATCTGTTCCTGCTCCTGTAACAAAATACTATAGACTGGGTAATTTATAAATAATGGAAACGTATTTCTCACAGTTTTGGAGGCTGGGAAGTCTAAGATCAAACTGCCGGCAGATTTGATTCAGTGTCTGAAGGCTTGGTCTCTGCTTCTGAGATGGTATCTTGTTGCTGCCTCCTCCAGTGGTGGCAAACACTGTGCTCTCACATGGTGAAAGTGATGGAAGGGCAAAAGGATCTACTTGGTTGCCTCCAGCCTTTTATAAGTGCATTAGTTCTATCCACGAGAGCAGAGCCCTCAAACCTAATCACCATCTAAAGACCCCACCTTTTTTTAATTATTGTTATTCTTTCTTTTAGATACAAGGTCTTCCTCTGTCTCCCAGGCTGGGATGCATTGACGCAATCATAGCTCACTATAACCTGGAACTCCTGGGCTCAAGCGAACCTCCCCCATCAGCCTCCTAAGTAGCTAAGACCACAGGTGCAAGCTACCACGCCCCACTGATTTTTAACTCTTTTTTGTAACCCTCCTGCCTCACCTCAGCCTCCTAAATTGTTGGGATTACAGGGGTGAGCCACTGTGCCCGGCCCTAGAAAATTTAGTAATCAACGCAATGGCTGAATTTTATGATTTATAGTTGCAAAAAGACAAGGGGACAATTCCCAGAGGAGTAGATTTGTGAAATGTCTTAAGGAAAGTGTAGGATTTTCTCTGGAAAAAAAAAAAAAAAAAAAAAAGCGAGTTTAAGGGAAGTCCTTTAGAAGCAAAAAGACCAAGACCAAAATGGTAAGGCTGAGGCCAAATCAGGCAGAACCCTTTCGGTTAGGAAAAGCAGTTTGGACTTCATCCTGTAGAGTACACTTTGCTGGGCCACTGAAGAGTTTACCACCAGGGTAGACCATGCTAATTGCATAGTGTCACCTTTTCTGAAATTCCTATACATTTCAGCCAAATGTTATAAACTATTTTAAAGTGAGATATTTCTCACTAGAAACCTTTAAAATGTGACTGTCTGATAATTATGCTGTAAACCATTGCTCTGTGTCTTATTACACTCAGACCTGCTTGCTATCTGCTTTACAGACTCTTACTTGCTTTTGCCTTTGATGTTTTGTGTACCTGTTTATGTTTATCAGTCTAAAGTTGCTCTCTATTACTGCATTTGTAAAAATCAATTGGGGAGCTAATCATCAGACTCCAGTGATCTTGTTTGCACCATTTCAGAGTATTCATCATGTACACACATTGGTTTTCATCCAAATAAATTCTAGCCAGATACAAGCTATGATTTTTAAAATTGCCCTACTATAAACAGGAAGCCAGCTACTTAGGTAAACAAAAACAGCAAAGTCTCTTCCTTAATACAAAGAGTCGGAAATCGATTACAATCAGGCTATATGCTGGGAATCTGACCAATCTTGGTTCCCAAGTGAAGTCAATATTTGCTCGACATTTATTTAAAAGAAGTGTAAATCATCAACCACGCCTCACTTAGCCCCTTAAGTTATACAGTCATCTGTCAAGATACGTGAGGAATTAGTTCAGGACCCCGCAGGATTCGAAAATCTATGGATGTTCAAGTCCCTTATATAAAATGGTGTAGTATTTGCAGATAACCTATGCATATAGCCCTATATACTTTACATTATTTCTAGATTGTTTGTAATTTCTAATGCAATGTAAATGCTTTGTAAATAGTTGTTATACTGCATTGTTTAGGGGATAATGACAAGAAAAAAATCTATACATGTTCCGCAGAGACATAACCATCTTTTTTTTCCCAAATATTTTCAATCCCAGGTTGGTCGAATCCACAGATACAAACCTACAAATACAAAGGGCCAACTCTACTCTAGAATAGTTTGAATGACACTTAGACTACAGCTGGACATGAGCTGTAGTTTAAGAGTTTCTAATTGTGTAGAAGTCTTGCTAAAAGGATTACTCTAGAACAAACATTTTCATCATATAAATCATTCCTACTTTGTCATGACAGTATTTTATTCTGAACTTCTAAATACTTACCAAAGCTACCTCAAGGTAAAGAGAAAACATTCAATAGCTCCTTTCATTAACGAGATAAAGCAAATACGTACTACATGGAATCTGCCTATTTTTGTTTTATTTTTATCTCAAAACGAAGGAGTCATAGTTTCACTACTTGAAAGTGTCTCAAAGATGAATTACCATTAAAGTCACAGGGACAATCCACTCCTGACATTCTCTTAAGCAACACTGATTAGCTAATAAACTGGTTCATTTGCACTTGTTCCCCAGAGAACAATATTATTCTTATTTTATCTTACTCTTCTGACCCTGAGCTATAACATCCCATTGAAAATACAGGTATATTAGCAGTGTCTCACTGCAATTTAGAAGTGAGTTCTAAGAAAACTAAAGACAAAGACATGCCTATTTTCAGTAAAAAATACTGTTCAGGCAAAGCCTTTTAATCTAAACCCCTTTAAGACTGAAAGTCGTTTTAGTCTCAATTAACTCATGATTAGATTGTGTTAGAGAGAAAGCTTTCAACAAAATATCTACCAGTTCTAAAAACATAGCATTTTAAAAAAATCCTTAGCCTGACCTCTGGTCCTTTACAAGACTTCCTACTATTTATAGTTCAGTGAAAATAGATTTTGTTCATTCTATCCTAGTTCTACATAGACTATTGGTTTATAGATGTGTTTAATAAATCGCTGCAAGATTCTTTCAGATAGAAAATGCTTTGCTTCTTCTTTCCAGCATCTAATTCACTGGGTAGATTTAAAAATAAAATTGGTCCATCAAATAGCACAGCTCAGAAGAAACTGCTTTGTGGTTATAGAGCATCAGGCCCACTTTAAAAGCAATGACTGTCTGGTTCTTTTGAAGGAGACCATTCAAGTGCACACGAAGTGGATGACTCTGCAGTCTCTTAACAGGGGACACGGCTGTGAATGCAGAGCTCTGCCTGTCTTCTGCCCAGAAAGAACAGTCTGGAGCAGTTGAAATAGAAAGAAATTCTTGTGAGAATCACATGAAGACAGAAAGCCAATGTCCACAAATGAGTTCTCAGGCCCAACTACCTGTGATTGTTATTCTCCACTTCTAAACTGAATCAATACCAGCCAATAGAGATTTCTGGAGGTAAGGTCTGGTGTGGTCACATTTTGCTTCTTTCCGTTTGAAGCATAAGCTTTCTTCCTAAGAATCTTTTGATGCATTTAGTATAAAGGATACAGTAAAATCCATTAACTTTGGTCTTACTCCATTTTCGTTTTAAATGTATCGGCATTTTATTTGAAATTATATTAGGAACGTCTGATTTTCCTACAATGTACATTGGTTACTTTTATAATCAGGAAAAATAAACTAATTAAAAGAAGTTACATTGGAGGCAGTGAGGTTATCAAACTGTTCCTTAGTTATGTAATCTACTCATTGAAAGAAACAAGGAAAGACATTCATCTTCCTTGCTATATTTCAACATTTTCACCGAAACTTTATCCTTCTGTTTAAAAATACTTTCTGACAATTCCTTTTATTTCATTAAGATTGCATGATCCCTTTTAAACGTTTTTCTCTGAATAACCTGGACGGACATTTTCCCCCAGGGCCTGGGCTTAATGAACATTCTTCCATCACAAACCTCTTCGACTTGTTAAAAGGGCCCTCAAATACATAAGCTGATACTTCAGAGACAGCAGTGCTGCCCTCAGAGCTCCAGATTCAGAATAAAACTACTTAAAATACATCAATTTTCAATATTTCAAGTACATGAGGGGAAAATTGGCAATTATTGGCCTAAAGCAAAATTAATGCTGCATCAAATTTAGATGTGTTTAATTCCACCCTAAATCTGTAACAAGGTGGCACCCAGATAAACTACTGTGTCCATGATAAATATTGAAAATTCCAATTAAGAATATTAATTAATAAACTGTTTTCAGGAAGCTACAATATAAACACAGTTTTAAACATGTAGCAGACAAGTAAATAATAGTATGGCTTTTAAAAATCCATTTCATCGGACCCCAGATGCCTGATTCCTTATGTGGGCTCCTACCCCTAATTTTGGAGTTAAATTGAGATCTGGCCCTTCAACTGCCCCGGGCTGTCTGCCATGAGTAGACGAAGCATAGCTTATAGACAAGTCAGCCCTAGCACTCCCCATCGGGTACCATTCCTACCTCAGAGCATGAGCAGTCAATTTTGTTATTTAACGTTTTATTTCCCTGAGGTACTTTTGATATAGCATGCACTCAACTTTAAAGCACTGCCACCATATGAGTATCACAAAGAACCCCATCAAAGCTGCTCTTCATGGTTGTGTCTCAAGATTGGCCCTAACCCAATATTACCAACCTGCACCTGCTTTCAAGTTTGATCCAACAAACAGCTGGCAAGCTAGGGCTTTTGAGAAGCTTCTTGCTGTGCCGGACCACTTTTTGGCATTTAGGCATGTTTATTCAACAGTTTGGAAGCCCCACTGGGTAGTTGTCTGGCATTTTTTCAGAAGTCAGCAAGGTGCAAAACATCACATGAAATTGTCTTTCTTAGTATTTCAAAGGCTCAATCTGCTCCATTGCTTTTAATTAGCCTATTCTGACCCAATTAAATTCATTCATTCATTCAAAATTATATTTCTTAATTCCACTATTCAGCTTAAACCAGTTGTCCAAGCTCAATAGGCAACTAATTTTCACATTCGCCAGAGTACACAGGGAAAAGCATGAGGCTGGTAAAATCATATCTATATTTATGTCTTTTGTGGATATTTCATAGCATCAGACCAGAAAGCTCAACTGATTAGAGTAAGGCGCTAATGAGGCCAAGGTTGTGGATTCGATCTCTGCATGAGCCAATTAACTTCATTTAGACAAAACCACCATTCCACAGATGCAGACTAAACTCTTAAATCCAGCCCGCCATGTGAAAAACCTCACCAGTGAGCTCAAGGGAATATTAAGAGAACAAGTGTGGGAAGTTCAGGGCAAGTCCCCGCCACTGCTTAGAGAAAAGAGAAAAATTTGTAAGTCATTCATTCATCAATAAACATCCCACATCTACCAGTGTGCAAAGTAATGTCCTAGGCAACTGACAGGTAAAAAGAAAATTAAGATGGGTAGAGCAGCTTACAACCTGACATCCAATTTCAGGAGATGTCCTTCCCAACAAAGAAATAAAGCCTAATATTAAGGTTGAGATGTGTAAAAAGGAAACTACAATATAAGCAAGAAGTAATTAGTAGACATAATATGATGTATGGTAAGCGCCATGAACTTTAAAAAGCATCAGAGTCTTACAAAGGACAGAAAGTTCATGTTTAGCTAATACAATCAAGATGATTTTACGAAAAAAGTGAAATCTGGTCTGAAATTTATGGGAAAAATTGAGAGAAAATTCTAAAAAGATAGGTTATAACCAGATACTAGAAGACTTTGAATACAAAATAATAAGTTTTGTCTTGTAAGAAACAAAAAATATTTTAATACAGCAAATGACCTGGTCAGAACACTGAGGGGCTAAGGTGGCAGGGGGATGTAGGACACAGTGAAGACAGGCAGGTCTGGATAAAAGCAGCCAAAATGACACTTGCTTGGTATCCTGTATTCCAGGGTCAAGGAGAATAGAAACAGATTCAGGAAATACTAGGAAAATGGAAATAGATAGGACTTGGAAACTGACCAGATGGAAGAAATTATTGAAGGAAGGGAAATCAAAAATATATGAAGTTTCAAAATGTAGTGACAGGGAAAATGGTAGTACCATAAACAGAAATAGGGAATAGAATGAAAGGCTTAGAATTAACCAGGAAGAGGCAGGAAGGCAGATGATGCTGCTGAATATATGCTTGTATATGCTGAGTTTGAGGTATTGGGAAAACACTCAGCTGGATTCATACAGCGTGCTATTAGTTGTAAAAAGAAATAAGTCAATAATATCAAACATTGAAAAAGAATAATGGAGAATGAAAAGAGACAAAAATCTATCTGATTTGATAATAAGGACACTTGGTAGGTTCAACAAATGTATTTTTGTTATTTTTCCTCTGGGCACGTGGTAGGTTTATACTACCTCAACTGGCCCCATTGGTGAGATGGCGCTGTGTGACTGGTCCTGGCCAATGAGTTTGAGCACAAATTACCTGTCACATTTCCAGGCCAGAAAATATAGTTTTCTGGTGCAAAACTTGGCAGAATTCCCTTTTCCTTTGCCAAGGCAACCTGCCATGTTCCAAACGTGGGCTGCTTCATCAGCCTGGGTCTCAGAGCGAAGATGAGCCCCCAGCCCACCTGCAATGTTGTGGTGGTCATATATACAACTCATATATACAACATGCATGAGAAGCACACCTTTGAGATTTTCGGCAGTTGAGATTCTGGCTAAAATCAAGCCCATATTGACTGATAGAGGAGAATTTTTCATAACTATCAAGACAGCAGCTTCACTAAAGAGATGAGGAAAAAGTCTGTCTGCAAGGTTTGAAGTGATAGGATGGGGGAAAAGGTGAAGTATTCAGCACAGTATTAATCTAGTCTTAAACAGATGAAAAGAATTCAGCAACTTTGAAGCTGACAGAAGACAGAAATAGGCCGGGTACGGTGGCTCACACCCATAATCCCAGCACATTGGGAGGATGAGGCAGGAGGACCACTTGAGACCAGGAGTTTGACACCAGCCTGGGCAACATAGTGAGACCCTATCTCTCCAAAAGAAAATGTTTTAAAAGAGAAGAGAGAAACAGATTGTGAGAGTTGTTGTTATTACCTTAATACAAGGAAGAAGTAACAAGAGAGAAAGATTATGGGAGATAAAAATATTAATAGAGGAAGATTTCAAAATATCTGAAAGAGGGTCAAAGGTTACCTTTGGAAAGGAATAATAAAGAGAAGGATTAATTAGCCTTAAGGAAATATTAAGATGCGGAGAGAAAGAAGGCGAAGAACTCATGTCAGACAGTTTCAGTTAATAGTGCCATCTTCCTTTCCAAAGGCTAACATGCTTTAACTTTATCAGGTTTTGCCTCTACTCATGAAATACTAAATAAAAGCAAAGTCTTTCATAAAAATGTATCCTCTTTTAGTATACGTGAATAATTACAATGTTCTGAACACAACGCTAAGCATGGTGAGGGACACAAGCATCTAGGGCCTGCCCAGCAATCACTTCAGTCAACTTACATTCAAGATAGAGGGAAATTAGTGAATGCAGAAGACTGTATTACCCAGTGTTTTAGAGTTTTTCTTTTCTTTTCTTTTCTTCTTTTTTTTTTCTCTTTTAGAGAGGGGGGCTCACTCTGTCACCCAGGCTGGAGTGCAATGGCGCAATCATAGCTCACAGCAGCCTTGAACTCCTGGGCTCAAACAATCCTCCCACCTCATCCTCCTGAGTAGCTGGGACTATAGGTATACATCACCATGCCTGGCTTATTTCTTCTTCTTCTTTATAGAGATGTGATCTCTCTATGTTGCCCAGGCTGGTCTCAAATTCCTGGGCTCAAGTGATCCTCCTGCCTCAGCCTCCTCAGTAGCTGAGACTATAGACACATGCCACCATGCCTGGCTTATATATTACCTAATGTTAAGGTTTAAAGTATAGATGACAGAATGACAGTTAAGGTCCAGAAAAGTCACAAAAGTCTCTTTGAAGCAACAGAGCTTGAACGTATGCAAGACTTGAATAGAGACACGGGAAAAAGGAAGAATTTTGAAGGGTTAACATGACTGTGGCCAAGCAGATATTCCAGGATGAGCCTGGCATGCTCTTGGGATAAGAGGATTGATTGGTCTGTCTAGGGTAGGGAGTGTATGTATGTGTTCAGTCAGGATCCTTAGCTGTGTACAACAGAAAGCTCTGGCTAATTTAAGGATTTGGATAGTTTATAAAATCTTCAGGAGAAACATAGGGCCAGGTTTAGAGGCTAAGCAGCCAGAGTCAATGACCAAAATCATAATGCAAAACTGGTCTGGTGAAGGGTCTACGGTAGCTATTGATGCATAGACACAGGAGTTTGCATTGTTGACCCCAAAGTACTGTCACTGATGCCTCTGGAAAGTGGGTGGGTATTGCCACTATCACCTCAAGTTCGCTTTGCATTTTGTGGCATCCTTTCATTTTATATGTCTGTCTTAGGAGAGTCTAGATCATGTGCTATGACACATGATGGCACTGCAAGGGAGGCCGGAATAGTGATTATCTGGTATCTGCAGCCTCTACAGCACGAGGGTAGCTCTGCTTCAGAAGGTTGGAGATTCCCCATAGATAAGAAAAGAGTTCCGTTGTTGGATGGCCAAAAGTCTACTGCAGTGTCTATGACAAATAAAAATACGACTGGAATCATTATTGGAGAGTCAAGGAAATTAATATAGATATCCAAACAGAAGAATTTAGCTTTGTATTTAAGGAAAAATGGAGCTATTAAAGATTTCAGAACAGAATAGAGACATTAATCATAAACAGAGTGGTTGATTTATAAACATTTGTTGAATGAATAAATAATTACAGCACTGACCAAGATTAGATAAATCCAAAAATGAATTGAAAGGATTTGAGATTGAAACACTAGTCTGCAGCAGTCATCTAAGCACAAAAGGGAAACACCTTGAACTAGAGAAGTAGAAATGGAAATGGAGACAAAAACACTATATGAAAAATATTTTGAAGAGAAGATCAATAGGTCCTACTGACTTAAGGAGTATAAACAATAAAAGAGCAAATAATCTCCTAAATGATTCCAAATTTTTCAGCATAGGTCACTGAGGAAACTTAGACCCCAAAGGTGATGTGGCTGAATTTTCATTCTGAAGTCTTTAAACATTCTACTGCCACCCCCAATCTGCTGTTAACAACATCCAGTGAATTTTACATTGCATTAATTTAGCTCCCAGTTCTAGAATTTCTGTTTGGTTCTTTATGATAGTTTAAAATTCTTTGCTAATATATCTTTTCTGTTTTTCTTTTCATTCTTTGAACATATATATAATAGTCCATTTAAAACCATCACCTGCTAAATTCAAAATATGGGTCATTTTCGAATTGGCTCTTGATTTTGGACTACATGGTCCTGTCTTTAAAACTGTATTAGTAATTTTTTTTAGACTGGATAGTGTAGATAAACTATTGTACAGACTCTGGATTCTGTTATCTTCCTTTGAAAAATTGATGCATTTTCTAAGGCAGCTTAATTACTTGATGATCTGATATATGATGGGCTTGATGAGCTGATGTATGCTCAGTTTTATGCTTTGTTACAAAGGATCTGTGGGAAGTGAAAGATATTTTTTCCAAGTCCTTCTAACTTGGAAGAATTCAACTTCCAACGCTATCTTCCTGATCTTATCAGGGCTTGGTCATAGACTGACTCTATTATGCCAGGTGTACTCTAGGCTGTACCCTAGGCTGGGTTCTTAGAGGCCTTTCTGAGGTCTTAGCTGGATTGTAATAAATATTAGTGAAATGGCCGGGTGTGGTAGCTCACACCTGTAATCCCAGCACTTTGGGAGGCCGAAGTAGGCAGATCACTTTAGACCAGGAGTTCAAGACCAGCCTGGGCAACATGATGAAATCCCATCTCTACTAAAAATACAAAAAAATTAGCCAGGCATGGTGGCACACACCTGTATTCCCAGCTACTTGAGAGGCTGAGGCACAAGAATCACTTGAACCCAGGAGGCAGAGGCTGCAGTGAGACAAGATCACGCCACTGCACTCCAGCCTGGCCAACAGAGTGAGTGAGACTCTGTCTCAAAAATAAAAATAAATAAATAAATAAATAAATAAATAAACAAATAAATAAATATCAGTGAAATGTTAACTGGATTTCTCTCCTATGGCTGGGCTGGAACTCCAAGTCCCCAGCATTAGTAGCTCTAGTCCCTCAATCCTACAACCTCAAGCCTCAGCTCTCTGATAAGCCTTGAGTAGTCTCACCCAGCCCACATCCAGCTTAGTCCTCAATCAGGACTGGTGCGGAACCACCATACCAACTTCTGTACCTGTACACAGCTTCTTCCTCTTCAGTACCCACCTGTCCCAACTGCTTCTGCTGTCCTGAACTCTAACCTCGATCTCTTCAAGCAGAACATCACCACTGTGAATTCTAGCCCCCTGTGCTGTGGTTGGGAAATGTTTCCCAGGTACATTCAGGTCAGTTATGGGTCTTACCTTGTGATTTTTCTTTCTTTCAGGGATCAATCTTGCATTGCCTGTTTTCCACAGTCTGGAAAGCGTTGCCACATGTATTTTGTTCAGTTTCATGGTTGTTGACGGCATGAGGCTAGCCTTGTATCAGTAACTTCATCATAGCCAGAAGCAAAAGACTGAAGACATTAAGCATAAGAGGATACTGAAACAACAAAGTGAAAATTCAATAGACTTCTGGCATCTGCTTTGTCTCAGTCCTTTATTCTGAGGCCAGCCAGTCCACACTCATTCCTCAGGAAGCCCTTAAGTGCTGGCTTCAGCCAAGCACTTCTCTCTGGCATTTGTCCAGACTGTTTGCCAGTTTTACATTCAGCCTTCTTCCTCAAACCTTCAAGTTCGTTCTCACTAGGTTGGGAGGAGAGGGCAGGGGACTTCTCTCCCTAGCCCTGAATTTTTCCCAGGCTTGAAACTAGAAGTTGCGACATTGGCTGAATTTTAAGGAGAAACATCTTCCCTTCTCTATACTTCTCACTGGGCTCTCCACATAGGAAGAGAAGTGGCATCATTCATGGCCCAGCCTCGGAGAAGAGCTGTTCGAAGCAGGCAGCCTATCCTCTGTGGCTTTTGTTCTCTCATCTGCAGGCCTTCTCCCCTCCATGAAGTGCGCGGGTTGCCCTGGAGATGCCCAGCTGCTCTGCCTATCACAGGCTAAATCAGTCTGATTCCCTGGGAGAAAAAGCAGGAATCTACTTGGGCCCTGGGCACAAGGCACATTTCAAATTCATATCTATTAATAAAATAAACCCAGAGTCAAAAGATGTGTGATTAATTGGCCACCTCAAGCCTCAACAATGCCCTGCGTTGAGTCTTCCTCCTTATTTTGGTGACTCACTTAGGCAGTTTCCTTTGACTTTGAAGCTCTTTTGAGGCTCTTGATTTGAACATCTGTCCTTAGTTTTACCAAATGTAAACCTATGTAACATAGTCCTTCTGCCAGCTCCAGCCCTTTGCAACATACACTAACCCTGATTCCTCCTCGCTTATTTCTGACTGAAGATATGTGATTAGAATTCCAAAGGAAAATATCATTTTTTCCTAAATAAGCTGTGTTTGGTGTTGGAGTTTGGCCGTTGGGGTTGATTCAATACACAATATACATCATACCAACAACAAAGGATCTGTCCGCACGTGGACTAGTTAATTTAACTTTGTTCTACTCACCTTGGCTAACCACCTAACTCTTCTAGTTCTTTCTTTTTCTTTTTCTTTTTCTTTTTCTTTTTTGAGATTGAGTCTCACTCTGTTGCCCAGGCTGGAGTGCAATGGCACAATCTTGGCTCACTGCAGCCTCCGCCTCCTGAGTTCAAGCGATTCTCCTGCCTCAGCCCCCAAAGTAGCTGGTATTACAGGCACAAGCCACCACGCCCAGCTAATTTTTGTATTTTTACTAGAGATGGGGTTTCACCATGTTGGACAGGCTGATCTTGAACTCCTGACCTAGTGATCCGCCCACCTCGACCTCCCAAAGTGCTGGGATTACAGGCATGAGCCACCATGCCCGGCCCAACTCTTCTAGTTCTTTATCCAAGTGGAATCTAAGGAGAGAGCATAATGATTACTGGAATTCCAGGACCTTTAGTGGAACAATAACCTGAGTCATGCTGAATTACTAATCAGTAGCAACCTTTATGTAGACCAAGAACAGCATTATCATTGCATACATTAGCAACAGAAGATTCCTCAAAATGAAAGAACTTTCCTTCTTTGATGTTAGACACATGGACGGTTAAATGTTAAAAGAAAACACGATATAAATTTTTAATTCTCAGAGCAGTCAGGTCAATAGTTATGAATTAATTAATTATTATTAGCATCATTTAAAAAATTTACCCGGCAAATATTATATGCAACACTGTGCCTGGCACCACAATGGAGAACAGACAATGGGCTGCCTCAAGGAATGTACAAAGTAGTTGAGAAGGCAAGACACATTCATATGGAAATACTGCCAACAGTACAAAATAGTATGCAAGAAATGTCAGAATAAATAGGACAGGAAATGTGACAGAAAAAGAAGAGCCATTATTGGGTCCTGGAAACTGTTCATCTTCAGTCTCACATTGGATGTTAGGATCTGAGTTGAACTTTATGGTTTAAATAGAATTTATTAGGTTGAATTATACGAAAACATATGTCATTCTTATAGGTCAAAAATGTTGAATATCAGGAATTTTTTTTTTTTTTTTTTTTTTTTTTTTTTTGAGACGGAGTCTCGCTCTGTCGCCCAGGCCGGACTGCGGACTGCAGTGGCGCAATCTCGGCTCACTGCAAGCTCCGCTTCCCGGGTTCACGCCATTCTCCTGCCTCAGCCTCCCGAGTAGCTGGGACTACAGGCGCCCGCCACCGCGCCCGGCTAATTTTTTTTTTTTTTTGTATTTTTAGTAGAGACGGGGTTTCACCTTGTTAGCCAGGATGGTCTCGATCTCCTGACCTCATGATCCACCCGCCTCGGCCTCCCAAAGTGCTGGGATTACAGGCGTGAGCCACCACGCCCGGTTGAATATCAGGAATTTTATATGGTCCAACCCAAGAGCTAGGTGAGTCTCTTTTGTACATGAAAAAGCAAGGATGGACTCTGCAGCAATGGGGCACATTAGAAGTAGAAACCCATGGCCACGCACAGCGGCTCATGCCTATAATCCCAACACTTTGGGAGGCCAAGGTGAGCAGAGTGCTTGAGCCCAAGAGTTCAAGACCAGCCTGGCCAACATAGTGAGACCCCTGTCTCTACAAAAAAGACAAAAATTAGCTGAGCATGGTGTTGTGCACCTGTAGTCCCTGATATTCTGGAGGCTGCAGTGGGAGGATCACTTGAACTCAGGAGGTCAAGACTGCAATGAGCCAAGATTGTGCCACTGCATGCCAGCCTGGGTGGCAGAGAGAGAGAGAGAAAAACTCTGTCTAAAAATAAAAATAAAATGAAAAAAATTTTAAGTAGAAAACCATACACTAAGTTTCAGTGCCTGACACAAAGTTGTATAGCACTCTCTGTTTTCAGTTATTTACTTAAAAAAGAAATAAATGCCAGCTGGGCGCAGTGGCTCACGCCTGTAATCCCAGCACTTTGGGAGGGCAAGGTGGGCAGGTCACCTGATGTCAGGAGTTCAAGTCCAGCCTGGCCAACATGGTGAAACCCCGTCTCTACTAAAAAACAAAAATTAGCCAGCCATGATGGCAGGTGCCTGTAATCCCAGCTACTCGGGAGGCTGAGACGGGAGAATCACTTGAACCCGGGAGGTGGAGCTTGCAGTGAACCGAGATCACGCCACTGCACTACAGCCTGGGCGACTGAGTGAGATTCTGTCAAAAAAAAAAAAGGAAGAAATGTATGAAATATCACCACAAAGAGAATTACTTTGAGTCAGGAGCTCCACATCTGTCACTGAATCCTCTCAATAATCCTGTAAGGTACATATTTCCTCATTTTCTACATGTAGAAACTGATGGTCAAAAAAAAACCTTGCCAGGTCACACAGTAGTAAAGAGGGGAGTTGGGATACAAACAAATCTGACGCCTTCACTTTACGCCGTATTGAAGGAGAAAGCTAATACTTGCCTCCCTGTAAAAATAGACCCCAGCTTGGAAAGCACAGGATTCAGTTGATCAAGTTACTGTGTTTCCCCCAAATCATCTAAAATTCTGTGTTCTGTATTAGTGGGAGGTTCAGTCAACAATTGTAAAAAAAAGTGCCAATATTATTAATAAAATTAGTAATTATTCAAAAAATAACTAAGTAATCGGTGTTTGCAGATATCTTTCAGGCAAAGACAATTTTTCCTAACTTAGTACACTCAAAATTCTATAGATCCTATTCAATATATGCATGGGAAATGACATTTTCCATATCTATTCAGTATTTTGAATTGTGCCTTAGGTTAAAAAAAAGATTAAGATGAGCCCTGTAGCTTTCTTACATACTAAAAAGATCAATAGTGAGACTATTTTTGCTTTAAATTCTTTTAAAAGAATTCTCATATTGTTTCCAGCTAGGTTCTCTATCCATGTGATGTCTGGCTGGAAAAATAATCCTGCCCTCTGCAATTCTTAGTGTGCCCTCGATTGCGTAACACATTAGATAGTGTGATACTCAAGAGAAGGATTTCAAACACATCAAAGCGATTTCACTAAAATCAAGAATCCCTATGCATAAGGTTGATATGTTCTTATGCTTTAAAATAGTTTCTATTTTTCCTAGAGCTATGTTAAATGTCTTCTAACTAATTATGAGAAATTAGATTCTTCTCATCATGGTATATTTGCAATTCAACTCAAAGACACAGAAGAGCTGCTAAACGTTTAGAACTTTTTTCTTTTTTAATTAAGTTTCTTTTACATTAATCTTTTGATTGTTTTCAGAAATCTAAGATGTTTCCAAATCTTCATTTATAGTAAGGTCTATTACTTAATAAGTATTAAGACCTTGGAAACCTACTCTCTAAAAGATGATACTGAAAAATAAATGATCTAGTTAGCTAATTTTGTATTAAGGAACTAGAAATAAAAACTACCTTTTTTAACCCTGTTATAAAATAATGTAAAATTACTTTCCTCTAAAGATATAAACTATATCTTAGGGATTTCAGAGAAATCTAAATAGTGCACGCACAGGATAGAGACCATTGCCTCATTTAAAAAATATTCTTCATATATTGATTATTCTTTAACATATAGATGATTTAACTTTTCTCTCTCCACCAAAAGAATTCTGACACCAACTATCCTCTCATAGACAAATTATCTCACTACATCTGAAAACCTTTGAATAATTATTGTTTCACTGCCTCTGAAAACCTTTTAAATGTCTCATCTTGCTCACCATTGGTGAGCTTTGAAATATAAATCACACAAACTTTTAAATGCACTGATTATGCAAGGCATTTGTTCAGTCGTTTAGAAATTAGCAGTCACTGCCTCTACTTCCTCTTTACTCATTCACTCCTTATTCCAACACAAGCTGGCTCCTTTTCCCATCCAACAACCTCCTTATCGTCACTTATGACCACTTTTGGACTTTACTCAGAGCTCAACCTTTTTAATTTCTCAGCCACATTTTATACAACTGATCCCTTCATTCTTCTTTCTCTCTCTTCTCCTTTGGCTTTGATAAAGCTTTGCTCTCCTTGTTCTTCTGTGTTTCATTTGTATCTGTTCTTTCTCCCTTAACCAGCTAAACAAATTATCCTATTAGAGCTTCAGGTTTCACCTGCATCCAGAATGGCACCAAATCTGTCTCTAGCTGAGAACACTCTTAATATACAGAACCAAATATTTGCGTGCCCACCTTATTTCTCCCCCAATCTGTCCTTTCTCCTCCTTTGACTCGACATTTCCCTAGTGAGAATCCTGTTATTCTCCCCTCAGACACCCAACCCACATGATCTATTTCTGTTAATGATATACTAACTTTCCAGTCAATCTATACTAACTTTCCAGTCAATCTGACACACAAGTGCAGAGTGGTCTTCATTCTTCCTCCTTTGACCCCTACTTCAAATCAGTCAAATTCACAATATCTTTCAAACCTCTGTCTTCTTTTCTAACACTATTCCTGAACAGGGTTTTTTCTGATTTTATTTTAGTGATTTGTGTAATGCCTTTTCTTTTTTTCAAAAGTGTATGCTCTAAAAAGAAAGGGATGGTGTTTTATGCATACAGGATAATCCTTTGGCTGTGCCATTAAATGCTGGAAGGGCAGTACGCTCCAGAATTCCTACAAAGAAGGGGTTTAGAGCTGGAAATCTGGGAGGAAAGGGAGGGAAGGCATTGGAAATTTCATTTAAAAGACAATTGCATGGTTAGCATACCATTTTCACTTGGGCTACGTGGGTGGCTTTGGGATTCTGACAAAGATTTTGGGAGCTACAAAAACCCTAGATCTCTTAGCACTGCCTCAACTGGGCAGCCCATTGCCCAAAAGTAAATTTTACCAAGAGAAGATCAGAGGTAAATCCAGCTTCCGAAGATGGTAAAAGGAGCCCTTTTTGTTTTCCTAGAGGCACTGCCAGTCCCTATTGAGCCCAGCTCAAAGGGCTGTCAGGCTCTCCTCTTTGTCTCCTTCTCCCTTTCTTTCTTTCTCTCACAGTTCTCTTACTCACTTGCCCTCTTCGCCCTAGTTCCACTTCTCACTCATCTCAACCAGTGTCTCCTTTGCAGAAAGAAGGGACAAAGGGAAACTGCTTCTCTCTGCCCAGAGCCAGATGAAACTCCTTCATCTGACTGCATAGTGCTGATGCATTATTCTAAGGAACCTCAGTCTCTTATCTCCAATTTACCATTTTTCTGCTCTCCAAATTTGGAATAAATCAGAACTGCAGGAGGGGAGAGTAAGCACTTCACCCAAGAGGATTAAGGATTTTAAAAACCCATCCTACAATTCACATACTCACACAAAATTTAACATAGTGACTAACACAAATAAATATTTGATAAGCAAACTAACAGATATGTTCTCTGTAAAGGTCCATAGAAGAAATGGAAAGAGTCTAAAAACCAAATATACTAAATTCTAATTAATGTGTAATGCTTTGTAAAATACAATAAAAGAATTTAATCATTTTTCCTTGAATTAATGGTGTCTTCCTAATGAGTCTAAGTTGTTAATGAATTTGGCTTAGCTCTCGTAAAATCAATGAAGCATTTCTATCAAATCAGTATTCAGAGTGTGTGCCCATTGATTTCAACATAATGCTTTATATGTGAACTACGAAAACACAGTTATTTACAACCCAGTGCTCAAAGGTTCCTCACTTGAGAAGATTAAGAAAAATGCTGATGTTTTAGAGATAGTCCAAAATATAGAGTTCTAAATGTCACCAAATAGGATATAAAGCCGTATACCAGGCATTTTGGTAAACCACGTTCTATGTTTCCACTAGATAAACCAACTAGGGTAAATGTTACACAGTTGAGATTGGATTTGTTTGGTTGGCAACAGCCATCCCTCCTTCAGCAACCATTTATAGGGGCCAAATAGGGACAGAAGAGAACAGTTTTGTGTGTGGATGCTTGGTCCAAAAAAAAAAAACACAAAGCACAGTATCTAGTTCATTTAATACCCTGCCCTAGGGACTCACTCTGAACCATAATACAGAAAAAAGGCTGCAGAGAAAGGTTGAAGTGGCTGTTTACACAAAGAACTTTGTGAGATTAGCACCAGATTAACAATCTTCAAGGCAGAGCTGGGGAAAGGGTATTTTATCATTTCTGCAAACAACATAGCATGGCTCCAGTGTTGCAGTAAAAATGGAGAGGAATCCAGTAGTCTTCGGCAAGGTGGAGATTTTGCAGCTTGGGGAGCGCTGTAAGAAAGTATGCTGGATAGAGAAGTGCCATTTGCACAGAGGTCACTGTAAGGCAGCTTGCGCCCAGCAGCTCTCAAAAACACTTAAATGCAATAGCGCTAGAGTGATTTTGTGAATACATGTGAATCCCAGGAATGGCTAGGGAGTTTTACAGGTTGTACCAGTGGTAATCAGCCAGCTAACAAAATAAAGATATATGCTAACATGGCCTCATTTGTAACTAAAGCCGCCGAAATTTGGGGATATTTAGAATATAGTCATAAATACGTAAATGAAAGCACTTCTGATTCAAAGTTAACCATTCTAATTGGTATGTGTACAATTTCACTTAACAGTCTGAAGTTTTCAGGTATTTGGACGCCAGAACATCACCTTTAATTTGATACATATCTCTCCTTTCTTGATTATTCATCCTACCCAAACTGAAAACAGCAAAACACATTTATTGAGAGTTCTCTTTTCGAGAAACTACATTGAGCAGTGTAGAAGAATAAAAAATGGAATAAACAATGTTCCCTCAATGAACACAAAATGTATTTGGGGATACGAGATGACACATAAAAGACAATTAAAATAGGTTAAAAACATATGTTTATATGCACATAAAATACTTCTGGAAGAATTTGTAAATACAGTGGTTTTGTCTACAAAGGAGGACTTTAAGACAGGGGTAGATGTGAAACTTTCTTTTCACTCTTAGCCATTTGCACAATTGGAACTTTTTTGCCAACCTCTTTCAAGAAAAAAAAATAATTGAGTTGTATTTTTCTAAAGTACAAAATGGAGGATTATTAAAACCTAGCTGTAACCTGAACAAAAGCACAGACGTTTTGAGTCAGACAAACATGACATTGTTAACTGAGCTAAAGCCAATTGAGCCTTTCAGAATTATCTGGTTCTTTTTGGTAAATGTCTGTGATCTCTGGCACTTAACAGTAGATGAGAACTCTACCCACAGTCTTACCAAAAGATAGGATGTTATAATAAAGGCAAATCTCAGACCAAATATTGTGGCAAATGCAAATTTTTATTAGGAAACAGGCACTAAAAATGCCATACAACCTCTAAGGTTGGTGAAGTCCCATCTCAGATGTTAGGCCCTCAAACATCTGTCTTGCAAGAATGTGGGAATATTTTAGCATTAGAATCAGCTAATCTTCTACTTGAATTAGACAACGGCATTTTCCATTAAGTGGTAGATGGATTAAATGGAATCCTTGGCCTGAGGGCTTCTTCAAAGAGCTTTAGGCCAATGGGCTCCTTAGTTCTTATTAATATGTAATATTATGATGCAATATTGTTATGCAACATTTATAGAGGTGTCTTTATATGATTTTGGGTCAACAAACATATTTTAAATACCACTTATTTCACCAACTAACAATGATTTCCAACAGAGGCAGCACAGTATGATGATAAAGAATGTAGGCTCTGCAGTCAGGCTGTCTGGGTTCAAATCTGTCTGTACCACTTACTAGCCACATAACCTTGAACAAGTTATTTAAACTCTCTGTGCCTCTTTTCTCTCATCAGTAAAATAGGAATCATAACTATGCCTACCTTGTAGAGTTATTATGAGAATTAAATGAGATGATATTCGCAAATTGCTTAGATCAGGGTCTGGCATATAATAAATGTTCTATGAGTATTTATAAATATATTAAATAAGTAACCTTTATGTTAATTAGTGAACTCTCTAGCAATGATTCTGATAGTAATATCAGGTTTTCTTGCAGCCTCGTGAGATACATACAGATAGTGACACCATGTAGAATAAAGGGAAGGTATGATTACTGATCATTATGAAATTCTAGGTTTCCCTAAGAATTAGTGTTCCCTTCTGTAATACAACCTCCTGCATATGCAGGTGTTATTGGCCCTCTTAGTGTCACCCTGTGGTAACTAGATTTTGGGGAACTGCTGAAAAAATGCTGATACTTTACTGCTATTGCTGTGAGTAATGAACTCTCCATCTCTGACTGAGAGTCTTGTGTCTTCTGCAGCATCCATGAAACTATAGCAGATAAACTTAAGTTGCAAGTAGGGTAAAATCTCAGCCCTTCACATTCTTGACAATTTTAATGGTATATTATTAGCCAATGTATGCCAATACGTTAGAAAAATTAGATGAAATCAACAAACTTCTTGAAAGATACAGCCTACCAAATTGCTTCATGACATTGGGAAAAGCAGATCTTTCTTGAACACGTCACAAAAAACACTGCCCTGCAGAGGAAAAATAAATAAATTAGACTTTAAAAAATTATGATTTTTGCTATTTGAAAGACATCATCAAGAAAATGAAAGGGCAAGGCACAGACTGGGAGAAAATATTCATAACTGATATGTCTCACAAAGTACTTGAACCCAGAATACATAAAGAACACTTCCAGCTCAGCACGAAGTCAAACAACTAAATTTTTTTAATGGGCTGAATATTTAAACAAAAATTTACAAAAAGACATATGAATGCCTAAGAAGCACATGAAAATATTCCCTACATCATTAACCATCAAGGAAATGAAAAATAAAACCATAGTGGGCTGTAACTACATTTCCCTACAATGACTAAAATTGAAAAGACTGGCAATACCGTCTGTTGGCAAGAATGTGAAGCAACAGGAACTTTGATAAATTTTTGATGGAACTGTGAAATGGTATACTCACTTAGAAAACTAATTTGTTGGTTTCTTATGGGGGTTAAATGTATACTTACCATATGACTCAGAATTTCTACTCCTAGGCATTTTCCCAAGAGAAATAAAAACATTTGTAAATATGTAAACGTCTACAAAATTTTTTATAGCAGCCTTATTCAAAATAGCCAAAAAATGGAAACCAAAGAACATCAAAAGGTGAATAGGTAGACAAATTGCGCTATACCCATATAATGGAATACTATTTAGCATTAAAAGGAAAGAACTGCTAATGTACATGCTGCATGAATAAATCTCAAAACCATGATGCTGAGCAAAAAAAGCCAGAAACCAAAGTGAACATACTGTATGGTTCCATTTACACAAAATTTTATTTTATTGTATTTGTTTGAGATGGAATTTCACTCTTGTTGCACAGGCTGGAGTGCAATGGTACCATCTTGGCTCACTGCACCCTCTGCTTCCCAGGTTCAAGTGATTCTCCTGCCTCAGCCTCCCAAATAGCTGGGATTACAGGCATGCACCACCATGCCTGGCTAATTTTTTGTATTTTTAGTAGAGATGGGGTTTCACCATGTTGGCCAGGCTGGTCTCAAACTCCTGACCTCAGATGATCCACCTGCCTCGGCCTCCCAAAGTGCTGGGGTTACAGGCATGAGCCATCACACCTGACCTTACACAAAATTTTAAAACAAGCAAAACTAATCCGTAGTGACAGAAATTGGGTCATTGAGCCTGTGAGTGGAGGATTCACTGTAAAGAGGCATGGAAAAGCTTTTGGTGTTATAGAAATATCCCATATCTTGTTGGGATGATGATTATAGGGAGATTATATATACACACGTGTGCACAGACACACACTCACACATATCTATATATGTCAAAGTTCCTCAAGGACTCTTAAAATTAGTGCACTTTTTTTAAATATATTATACCCAAAGTAATTTTTCTGTGAAATCATCATCACTCTCACTAGCTATAAAAGATTCAATGGGTTTTAACCTCACTGAACTTTGATCTTTAAAATATGAGTAATACTATCTAATTTACTGTACTGGCAAAAGAAGTATATTAAATAATTCATATAGACCATTTAGCACAATGCCTGGCTCATATTAAGAATAATAATAATGTAAACTAAATAACTGCTGAGAGGGTTAAGAGTAGTATGGATGGTGTTATCCATTAAGGTTCCCTGGGAAAAGGATTTCTAAGATGACCATTAAAGAAATTATTAGAGAGAACATTCTGTATAAGAAAATCATGCAAAAGCACCAAGGAAAAATTACTAAGATGAGCATAGCAATCAGCAACCCATCAGGTGTTTTTGGCTAGGTCAGACAAGCCATGCCCAATCATAGCGAAAATTCAGAAAGAGGCAGAAAGAGGTATGGAAGGAGAGAGGAAGAGAGGTAATAAACCCAGAGATAGGAAAAATGGGCTAGAAAATAATAAGACATAGTAGAACCAAGTAGAGAAATGATGTATAGAGACTGGTGTTTGAAGTAGGCTGTTTTGAAAAGAATATGTAAAATGAATAGCAGCAAGGCATGAATTGAGACCAAGAAACGAAGTAGAAACCTATCACTCTGCCATGTAAGAGGAGACAGGCTTAAATTACAAAAGAGAGAAAAGTAAGAGAATTCAAGAGATGTTATAAGGAAATATTTGCAGAAATTGCATCTAATCAGAGGAAAAAAAAGGAGTTGTAAATAACTTCAGTCTTAAATTGGAAAAAAAAATAGGTTGTCTCTAACTAATGCTCAAGTATACAATATGTGCAGGATGAAAACAAAAAGGAAAACTTAGAAGAAAAAAAGAAGCACTTTTAAAGGAAAACAGAAGAGATGCTAGAGATTGTGACAGTCGTTAGTGCTTGCATTAGTTTACTCAGGCCGCTGTAACAAAGTACCAGAAACTGGGTGGCTCAGATAAGAGAACGTTATTGTCTCACAGCTCTAAAGATCAAAGAGTCAGCAGGGTTGGTTTCTTCAGAGGATTGTGAGGGGAACTTTGCTCCATGCTGCTCTCCTAGTTTCTGGTGGCATGCTGGCAACCTGGCATTCTGTGGCTTCTGCTGCATCACCATGATCCCTGTCTTCTTCTTCACATGGTGTTCTTCCTGTATGCATATCTGTGTTCAAATTTCTCCTTTTCACAAAGAAACCAGTCATATTAGATTAGGGGCCCATTCCTATTCAGTATGACCAGAGGAGCAGAGGAACAGAGCGGCAGAGAGCGGTGGAAAGTGGCAGGGAGGCCCAGCAGCGAAGGAGGGAGGAGGCGCGTCTCAATATCCGCCAGAACAGCGGGACTCCAGGGGATGATCACTTTCCCACTCCATACCCCCACTTCCGGCTCCCCTTCCATCTTGCTGAGAGCCACCTCTACCATTCAATAAAATCTTGCACTCATCCTTTAAGCCCACATGTGTTCCAATTCTTCGGGTACACTGGGCAAGCACTCAGAATACAGAAAGCTGTCACACTGGCCCTCTGCGCTTGCCATAAGGCGGAGGGTCTACAGAGGTGATTAACCCAAGCCGTCTGCAGCCGACAAAGCTGAAAAAGCACAGGCCCTCTTGGGCTTCAGGAGTCTCAAACACCCACCCCTAGATGCTGCCGTGGGGCTGGAGCCCAAAAGCTCACGGCCTCTGCACCTGCCTGTCTGCATGCTACCCCTAGGGGTTTGCGCAGTAGGCGATGGAAGAAGCAAGCCACACCCCTGTCGCATGTCCTGCAAGCAGGATAAAGAAACTCTCCAGTTTCAGTTGTGTTTTTTCTCAAAAGAATATTAATTGGGGAAGTGACCACCTGTGAGTCAGCTATCACTTCATGTTTTAATAAATAAAGACTAAAAATACTAAAAACAAGTGAGACCAAAAGAGCTTTGTTTCTACCATTCTGCTTTGACGAGCAATGTGGCAGATTGTTCCTTTGGTACTTCTTGCTCCAAGTGAACCATACCTTCCTGGGTAGTCCCTTCCGACCTTGACTTTGGGATTGACCATTTGGTTGGCTTTGGCCAACGGTATTTTCGTTGGCATAATGAAAATAGAGACTTGCACATCAGGGCTTGTCCTTTTAGAATGCTTGTTCTTGAAACACTCCCTCTTGAAAACCAGAGACCATACTGTGAAAAGCCCACCCTAGCCACGTGGAGAGGCCACCTTGAGGGCCATCAAGACCCTGCCTGACAGCCCAGCTTAGTCCTGGCAAGCACCAACTTTAGCCATATGAGTGAGCCTTCTAGGAACTAGATCCTTAGACACAATCAAGCTTCCAGGACGGATACCGTGTGAGATGGAAATGAACTATCCCATCAAGCCCCCTTCAAATTGCAGATTTAAAAACAAATACATTACTCTTGCTATTTTAAGACACTAATTGGTTATTTTTTAATATAGCAATGGAGAACCAAAACAATCAATAGATGCTTTTTATAATAATTAGCTGGAAAATAAGAAATTATCTTTGTGTATTAATAACTCCTTGTTCTTCAGTAAAAAAATACCTTAGCATGATAGAGCCAAGATCATCAACTCTGAAACAAGACATAGTTAGGTTAAAACTCTAGCTCTCATACAATATATACACATGGACATAGAGTCTGGAATAATAGACATTGAAGACTCCATTTGGGAGGGAGGGAGGGGAGTGAGGGATAGGAAATTACTTAATGGGTACAATGTACTTTATTCAGGTGATGATTACACTAAAAGCCCAGATTTTACCACTACACAATATATCGGTGCAACAAAACTACACTTGTACTGTACCCCTTAAATTTATACAAATAATACTTTTGTTTTGTTTTGTTTTGAAGACAAGATCTCAGTTTGTAGCCCAAGCTGGAGCACAGTGGCACCATCAACACTCACTGCACCCTTGACCTCCTAGGCTCAGGTGACCCTCCTGCCTCAGCCTCCTGAGTAATTGGGACTACAGGCATGCACCACCAAGCCCGGGTAATTTTTGTATTTTTGTAGAGATGGGGTTTTGCCATGTTGCCCAGACTGGTCTCAAACTCCTGAGCTCAAAAGCAATTCACCCACCTCAGCCTCCCAAAGTGCTGGGATTACAGGTGTGAGCCACCATGCCCAGCCAAATACTCCTTGGGAAAAAAACAAACAAAACCTCTAGCACTGTCACTTACCGTCCGGGCAACCTTGGACAAAAATCCCAACCTGTGAACTACAGTTTCTTCATTCATACAATAAACATAGAAAGAACTCCCTCTGAGACTTATTGCGAAGATTAAAAACAATGATTCCATATAAAGTACCTGAAATAAAGTCTGCATTCAATAAATGGTAATAGCAATTGTTATTATCAATTTGTTATAATTAATTATTAATCATTCATCAAATGTTTATGGAGCATCAGCTACGTGACAAGCATATGGTAGGTGATGGGAATACGAAGACAAGCCTATCCAGCACTATGCTTTCGGGGCTCTTAAAGTCTACTAATTGTAAGTTTAACAGAGCGAAGCTACAGGTTTTGTTAGAAAGCCTAACTGGGAAACCTATCTGAGATGGGTTGTCTGGGATGGTCACTATGAAAACATTTAAACTGAGTCCTAAAGAATAAGGAGGTATTCACCAGGAGAAGAATGCTGGAAAGAATGGTATGGACAGAAAGAACAGTATCTGAGACTCTGAAGCATGGAGGTCTTACGCATTCAAGGAGCTGAAAGAAGGCCACTGTGGCTTGAGTCTGGTTAGCAAGTAGAGAGTCATATAAAGGAGACCTTGAGACAGGTCTCATGTTTTTAATAGCTAACCTAGAGCCTTTGTCCTAAGAGACTGGGCATAAAAGTGATATGACCCTGGTGTTACCAATTGCCAATGATATGTAAATATTACCTAGGAAGTAAAGGCTAATGACTCGTGAAGCAATCATTTCCAAAGGTTGGCCCACAGGTTGGCGTCATGCTATGAATAATAAGTTTTAGAGTTTGGAGGTGAGATAAGAAAAATAAGCACAATGTAGAGAGTTCTTAATAAAGGGAAACATATTCCATTTTGAATTTTATAGTTATGTCCTTACATGAAATAACAGTAATAACAGTTGGTTTTATTTTCCACATTCGTATCCAGAAAAATAAAAAGGTAGCTACTCTATTGCACTCCAAAAGTGGCTATTTTCACCTGACTTTGGCTGTCTCTTTATATTCTGTGAAATCCACAACTCCGGGAGCAATTGCCTGTAAAGGTAACAGTGTCTAGATTCATTCCTATGTTAAATAGTTGGCTATTCTGAAAGGGTGAATAGTGTAGAGCATCCAGTAGAGAGAAGTGGAACCTCCTGCATCATTAAGCTGAAACTATTGAATCTTTGCTTGAAATTTTTGATTATTAAAAAAAAGTACATCAGGGATTGTAGATTCATATTCATATTCACACACATATAATATTCTTTATGTAGACAATGCATTAAGGAAACAGCACTGTAATTTTTCCATGAAATATAAATGCCAAACTCATGCATAATTTATACAACATAAAACCATCAGACCATGTACTTTGGGTGTTTAATTATGATCCCTTGGTTCTTCCTGATGAGCGCCATTAATCAGTCCAATCAGTGTCTGAAATGTCCTATTTCTATTTACAAATAAACCCCTAAATGGAGGTGTTAAAATAAACTTCATTGAAATGTGCTTTTGCATGAAGCATTTCTCAACCTAAATATAATAAAAGGAATTTAAGAGCAAATAAATGATTGACACAAACAATAATTATTTTATCCGAGATTTTTAGAGATACATGGAAAACTATATATTTAAGCATCTTAACCTTTTGCTCAAGCAAAACTTTCTGCTGTTTAATTAGTATGTGGCTCTTTCTTAGAGAAACTCTGAAGCTGCCTCTTTAATACTGATAAATTTAGAAGGGAACTTCATGATTTAATTTGATGGTGTATTAGTATAGTCTGCCCCATGGCTTTCTAAAGGCTAGAGCAACGTCTCAATGTTTTCACATTTTCTAATTCCCCAAGAACCTCCCCATGTTTTCAAAGAGAAATAAATTAGGCTAGGACAGACTGTAAGCCTTAAGAGCTGGATTTTGTTTTCTCTTTACAAATCTTATTCTACGTCTGCTCCATTGCATCACCATAACAACACAGATCTGTGGAACATTTCCAAATGGCTTGAAAGGACATTTTATCCACAAAGCCTGCAAGCATTTATAAGGTATACATTACCATCTGTTTCCTTAAAAGTAGACTGAAAACCTGATTTGAGTCTGCTGCTATCACACCAGAAGCAGCATTGTCATTTGTTAAGATGCACCATTGTCTCCTCTCTAGCAGCAGATCAGGCTCAGCCAGAGATGTCTCCAAACCACATCCACAACTCTTCGTGGCAGGACCTTCTATCAGTCACTGGGCGCTCTCAATTATGTCTTGACTCTGCAATCCCTCTGTATAGTACACTGTAGTGCTGTGCTTGATGCTTTGCAAATATCATCTGGTAATTTCATCTATAAGTGTATTTCAAATGTCAGTTAGCATATAACTATTACTACTGCTGCTCCTTATTTCCCAGTACTTTTATTCACTTTATATCCTCAATAAATATTTGCAAAATAAATGATAGATAGTAGTAGTTAATACAGTAGCATGAATCTTAAGCTTGAACTAAGTTTGAGTCCTATCTCTGTCACCTATTAGCTGTGAAACTTTGGACAAGTTATTTAAAGTCTCTAATCCTCCAGTTCTTCATCGGTAAACCAGAGATGTCAGTATCTCTTTCACAGGCTTCTCATAAAGGTAAAACATTATTATTATGGTAGGCCAAGTGCCCAACACATAATAAAGGTCCAATAGCTATTTGTTTGTGTAATTATTGTTCATTCCATTCATTCAACAACTACTTATTGAGCACCTACTATGTTCTTGGCATGTTCTAAGGGTTGAATAATGAGTGGTGAATAAGTTACATATGGCCGTTGCATTTTAGGGAGTTTACACATTTGTAGGGGAGACATATGATAAACAAATAAATCAGTATGTAATTACAAATAATGATAAAAGCTACGAAGGAGACAGGGTGCTATGATTGAGAACACCAGAGTAAGGAGAGCCTACTTAAATGGGGTAATCAGAAAAGGCCTCCTTGAGGAGCTCATGTTTAAACTGCAATGAGGAAAATGCCCTGTGAAGACTGGGAGAGAGCAGAGAGCAGAGGCGGAGCAGGAAAGCACTCAGCAAACTGACAACGACGAAGGACCCAAGGGTCTGGAGCAATGCTCAGTAAGAAAAGCTGCCAAGGCTGAAAGACCTTCAGAAGCCAGAGTATTCAGTCTTGTAGGACATGGGACGAAGTTTGGATTTTCCTCTAACTTCAGTGAGAAACCATTGAGAGGTTTTAATGAGAAGAGTGTCATGATTTGATTTCTGTTTTTAGGAAATGACTCTGGCTACCTTGTGATAATTTGAAAAAATACAAAAGTGGATAGACAAGTTAAGAACCCATTGCAATAATCCAAGCCAGAGATGATGGTGACTTGGACTTAGTGGCAAGGGTGATGGAGAGATGGAATAATTTCAAGCATATTATAAAGATTTTAAAAATCGAATCTCAGCCAGGCACCATGACTCCCACATGTAATCTCAGCATTTTGGGAGACTAAGGTAGGCAGATCACTTGAGCTCAGAAGTTCGAGACCAGCCTGGCCATCATAGCGAAACCCCACCTCTACAAAAAATACACAGAATTAGCTGGGCATAGTGGCGTGAGCCTGTAGTCCCAGCTACTTTGGGGGCTGAGGCAAAAGGAGCGTTGGAGCACAGGAGGTTGAGGCTGCAGTGAGCCAAGATCACACCACTGCATTCCAGCCTGGGTGACAAAGTGAGACCCTGTCTCAAAAAAAAAAAAATTAATTTCTTCAAGATATTAAGATATTGACTGGAGGAAAGGAGTATTTTTTGTGTTTGAAATAGACTTACTCCTGAATGTATTCACTCCTGGAACTATCACCAGTTAGCCTGTAGGCTCTCCAAAAGGGAATGTGGCAGAGGAATAATTTTTAGACATTGACATCAAATATTGTCTGATAACCATTCAGTTATTCTCTTGCAACCTTCTTCTCCATCTCAGAAACTTACTCAACACATTGTCTTATTTATATCCCTATTCCTCAAATCCTGCACTAAGACTTGGGGAAAGGCAAAAATGCTTCATCATCAGGGAAACTTTAGTCTTAGCACCAAGTTGAGCTGCTAGTAATATGTGAAGTCTTGTTTTATTCTCATCAAATGCAACAAAAATTACTGAACCTCCTTATATGAAACTTGTCTTTTGGCTTACTCAGAAGCTTCCAGAATTCCCCATAACTTAGAGTGATTTTTTTTTTAAGATTAATTTTTTGGTCGTAAATACATATGTGCTTATGCTCATTCCTTTGTAAACACACCAACAGATGACATAGAATATTTTGTTGCATAATGATTAAGACTGAATTTGGCAAGAACTCAAATATGAAGGGTTATTCTTAGAAAAACAAGTTCAGTGACGGGACTTTAAAACTTCTAATAATCTATACCAAATGAACACATAAGGAAGTCCACAATATGACTTGTAGATATCAATTTAAAGCCATATATACCTGAAATAAGAATCTTGTGCATTCACTCACAGATACTATCTCAGCACTGTGAAAGAATATGAGTGATTCCATTTTTCTCCCTTTTGGGGAGTGGATTCTGCAACTAGTATCAATCACTACTTTGTGCATATTCCATCAAAATGCATGCTACCAAGATATGCAATGAATTTTGACCACTTAAACATCTTTGCGGGAATTTTCTCAATAAGTGGGAGCAATGAAATTCTACTGCTCCTAATATGTGCAGAAAATAGGTAATAAGCGGATTCTTTAGAAAATATCACTGGGTAATTCTGATGGCCAGAAGCCCAGCATGATGCAATTCAAAAACAACCAAAGATCTAACTCATCCTTCCTATTTGTTGTAGTTCCAGAACACCAGAATTGAATTTTTTGTTTGTTTGTTTGTTTTAGAGACAGGGTCTCACTCTGTTGCCCAAGCTAGAGTGCAGTGGAGTGAATATGATTCACTGCAGCCTCAACATCCTGAATTCAAAGGATCCTTCTGCCTCAGCCTTCCAAGTAGCTGGGATTACAGGTGCATGCCACAACACAAAGCTAATTTATTTAGTTTTGTAGAGATGAGATCTTGCCATGTTGCCCAGCCTGGCAGAATTACTTTTCTAAAAGAAATTGTATATCTAAAATGAGAAATTAGAACCTTGAAAGAATTAAACCCAAATTAGGTAATTTTGAGAGCAGAGAAGAGGACAAGCAAAAATGTTGAGGACTGCAAAGCATGACATCTAGAAATATGAAATGTGGGTGTAGAATCAGACGAGGGAGAGCAATGCAAAATGATGAGGCACCTGGAAGATATGTAATGGAAGAATTCCAAAGAAAAGTTGTATCAAATAATTAAAGTAGCATCTGCCATTTTTTTAGCGTATGCCAAGGCCAGGCATTATACTGGACATTTTTTAAATTTTATCTCTAATTCTTGCAATAAGTCTACAATATAGATTTTAGTACTCTTATAGAGAAGAAAACAAACCTTCATGAGGTTATATACCACACTTAAGGCTCTTCAGCTAGTAACTGGCAGAGCCAGGATTTGATACCAGAGCCATCCATCTCTAAAAACCAGGGTTGCCTGGTAGGATTGCTCAGCCTCCATAATTATATACAGTAAGGACAAAGCCCAGCTGTTTCCACACCAAAAAAAAACCACATTTTCCAAAGTTTGATTAGGTTTTAAACAGAACTTTAGAAGCTCTAAGTCCTAAGCTGAATTTGAGAAGCCCTAAGCGTTTTACTTGGAAGAAAGACCATTTTGACACATTTTCAGAAACATGGCAGAGTAGTCAAGTGCCAGGAAACTGACAGGAAGACAAAAGCGACAAGGGACAACCAGATTCTGAGTTACCTATTTTGTCCAAAAGTACCAGTCTGAGAGAAGAAATGTAGAACTACAAACAGTATCTTACTGTGAGAAGAGAGTGGCAGATACTGGCAATTGTCTTCTAATATATATTACCTGATTCTTTTGTTTAATAATAGAACTCTTGAGTTTTAGCTGGATTTAGCTGTCCAGCTAGACAGTGTTCTTCCCAGGCCCCTTTGTAGCTAGGCTCCAACCAATGGAACTTCTGGTTTATATCTGTCAAGTTAAAAACAAATCTGGACTTTATTCAAAAGGACTTTTGCAAAGAGTAAGAGAGGGACTATTGCACAAAGGAGAACATTTGACTATAAGATCTGCAAGCTTTAGGCAAAAAGGATTTTTCTTGTCTAAAGAGAAGTAAACAAGACCAGAAAGATGTAGATGTAGAGAAGTGGGATGAAAGTATGGAAGGATCAGATAGTACATCCAGGAATGTTTTACCCTGAGACCAGTCTATTTTTTTGGCAGAGATCCTTAAGGAAGGGTTGTATGGCTGACTCAGGCTTAAAGCAGGCAAGAGTTCAGGGGACTAGAGGAAGGAGAAAATCTTAACAAAGGTTTGGTTAGTAAGCATTTTGTTTCCACTGATCGGTGGTGAGAAAACAGTCCAGCTGATAATTTCAAAGGCAAAGAATAGGAATTTGGAAAGTCTGTGTCTGGCCTTGTCATAGGAAAACAAGAGGGGCATTGTATTAGTCTGTTCTCAT
Source organism: Homo sapiens (assembly GCF_000001405.40). Lineage (NCBI taxonomy): Eukaryota > Metazoa > Chordata > Mammalia > Primates > Hominidae > Homo > Homo sapiens. The sequence continues at coordinate 19,018,997 of NC_000012.12, forward strand.
ACTGCTATAAAGAAATAACCTGAAACTGGGTACTTTATAAAGAAAAGAGGCATAATTGGCTCGCAGTTTTTGCAGGCTTTACAAGAAGCATGGCTGGGAGGCCTCAGGAAACTTACAATCATGGCAGAAGGTGAAGGGGAAGCAGGCACATCTTACATGGCTGAAGCAGGAGGAAGAGAGAGAAGGGGGAGGTGCTACGCATTTTTAAACAACCAGATCTTGTGAGAATTCACTATCCCAATAACAACAAGAGGGAAATCCACCCCCAGGATCTAATCGCCTCCCACCAGGCCCCTACTTCAACACTGAGGATTACAATTCAACATGAGTCTTGGGCAGGGACACAAATCCAAACCATATCGGGCATCCTTGATTCTTAACAAAGTCGTGGTTGAGTAAGCTGCTGTTTCCTAGAACACAATGGGTGGCAGGATTTCTTTAATCATGGCTGTTTTTCAGGATCACAGGGCTCAGGTAAATTTCAACACTGTCATAACCTTAAAAGGAATCTGCTTGCCCTGTCCTTCTTTCCCCTTCTAGTGGTTCGAACTTAAACACAGTGGCCATGAGACATCCTAAAGGATGATATAACCTAAAGATGGGAGGAGCCTGGGTCCCTGGGTCCCTGGATGACAGGAAAAGAGCTGTCTACTTGCCCTGGACAGCTCACCTACCTCTGGACTATTAAGTAAGAGAAAAATAAACATTTTTCTAGTTTATACCTCTTTATTTGAGGTCTTCAAGTTATAGCCACTTAGCTAGTACCCTAATGAACACAAATAGTCTCTGCAAACAGGAAAGTTTCTTTTTTATTTGGCATCATGGTCAAGCTGTCAAGCATCATCTTCAAATATGAGAGATAATATTAAATGCAGAGCTCCTTCCTAGTGCCAAGAACTCACATTCTCATTAATCTGTGATTGCCTAAAGCATCAAAAGCTCAATTTTGCTCTTATTTTTCTGTATCACACAGGAAACAGAATTCTGTTTCGGCTCCTAAAATGCATTAAAAACTTTTCATTTTAGGTAGCATTGGAACTCAAAGTAAATAGTAGGATGGATGGTATGTATGTATTATTGATTAAGTAATATATGTTAATGTATGTATTTGCTTGTGGTATTACTGGGGCTCTTAAAAAGTTACTAAATGGCAGAATGTCCTACAATTTGATTCAAATGGTCTTTAAATCAGTAATAGCCTTCTTTATCCATGAGAGGGTTAGAGACATGCTACCAAAAAATGTGACACCTTGGCATTTGAAGACAAAGCAGAAGCGGGAAGGTCATTCTCACCTTCCTCTCGCTCCTTCTTCACTGAAGCAGAAATTCTCTGGTCTTTCCCTAAAGTAGGTTATAAGACCTTCATTCTAGAGGGGTCCTCCCTATACCCCAAAGAGAGAAACATCCTTGTCCTCAAAGGCACAGAAATATCAAGAAGAAACTGAAAAACAGGCCTTGCTTGTTCCTGCAGTTTATTACCTTTAGATCATATCCTTTTATCTTCCAATCATACTTCTGCATGACTGTCCATAAAAATACACAGTTTTTTTCTGTTTCTTCGAGTTATCATTCATTTTTGAAAGTGCCCATATCACATAAATTTTACATTTGCATGCCTTCCACTTGTTAGTCTGTCTTTTGTTATAGGGGTCTCAGCAATGAACCTAGCAGTGGGTGAGGAAAATAATCTTTTCTCCTCTGCATCGGACATGTGGTCATAGGAAGATATGGATGGTCCATCAGGAGTGATTAAAAGAACTAACATCACCACCAAACATGCATTGCTTTTAGTCAGACTTTGTAATGCACCCATCAAAATTCCTCCCAAATGTAGCATCCACGTGGTGTACTTTGCTAAATGAACAACTATATGTATGTCTGTTGTTAGTGGCATAGCTCTTCAAATTCCAAAGGTCTTTCCTTCAATGTTCAAATTTCTCAAGCAGTTCTTATAACTTAAATATGAGATATCAATTACTCTGCATTCCTACAGTGAAAAAAAAATAATCCAATATCAAAACTGCATAGGAAGGCTGTTTGTTCAATTTGATCTAAACAAAGAATTAGTTAAAATTAATCACTGTGGCCTCTTTGATTCACTGGATCATTGAAGTCACTGTCTCAGTTGAGTTCTTAATGGTTTTCAAATACATTTTGGAGAAATTCCCTATTCTAGCAAAAAAAAAAAAAAATGAACCTTTATGGTAAGTTTTAATTCCGTGTATCTTGCCTGTTTCTTATCTGACTTTAATATGTTGTAAAATTATTCCAAATTTGTATTGTACATTGTCTCATTTTAAAAACATTTAAAAAACAGGTCCAAGAAGACATATGAGACATACTGGAACCGTAATAGGTCCATTGTCCAATATGCATGGCAAGTCAATGCCCTGAGACACCGGGTTACAGCAGATCATAGAGCTGCAGATCAAGAAGATGGGAGGAAACCTCTATTCCGTCTCCCCTAGGAGTCTGGGGCTAAGGTTGTTAAGGATTTTGGAGTGGGCTGAAGTGTAGAGATTGCTGATTGGTCAAAGATAGCAGATGGAAGTCCTAGACAGGGAGGACTGCATACAAACTGTATTCTCATGTTATTTCCCTTCTTCTGTGGGGGTCTTCAAATTGGTCGGTATCAGCTTTTTCCCTGGAATTTGAGATCTAAAAAACATTGTATGCAATTCTTAAACAAAATCCTTATGATTCTAACATCACAAATTCTATCTATGTTAAGTAAAAGCCTTCTGATTCTAATGTCAGAAATCCTGTCTATAGGAACCACAGGAATGCAAACAGTCAGTGTCAAGTGCAACACAACTTTTGGTTACAAGGAAGTGGGTCAAGTGCAACCTGGTTAATGTTTAATATAACTATATTTCTGTCCAGAATTCTTGTTAACCCTGTGAGAACGGCTTCAATACAACCAAATATATGACATCATTTTTCAACTAAGTACTCAAAGATTAAAAAGCATTCTTTCCTCTCCCAAACTCCCACCCCTGCCCCCTGCCAATAGCTTCTGAAGTGTTATACTTAAAAGGATATGCTCCCCTCTGGGTATATTATCAATTAAGAACTTCTCTCTGCTTCAGTCCTTGCATTCTCTGCAATAATCCAAAATCTTTTACATGTTAAAAACAATCTCACTCCCAAAAGATTTGATGTTTCTTGCTGATGCAAAACATCGCTAGAAAAGGTCATCTTTTTTGTACTGTGGTACCAACAAAGGAAAAGGGCACTAGCGAAGCTGTAATAAATTCATTAAAAAGTTTTATTTTCCATGCGGACTTAAAATCTGACCTATCATTACAAAATAAATAAAAATTTACCTATCATTAGACTGAATTCTCTAATAAATAAGTACTTAGACACTTTTGTAGATCCTTTACTAAGAGCAGTGTTTATTAAGGTGACTAATATATATGCTGAAGGGGTCCAGAATATACCACAGTGACATAAGGATTATTTTAAGCTAAAGACATTTAAGAATCAACAGCTGCAGGAAGAGGCTTTTTCTGAATTCCCTTTAACTTCCTAAAAGCAAAGCCTCCCCAACTGTCATAAATGCTCCCCACCCCCCGACTAGAAATTTCACAGCCAGGGAAGACTCATCACCAAAGACTACACAAAGATGAGAAGACAGCACCTGAATATGAAATCACCCAAACGGACGTTGTCCTAAAACTACCATATCCCCAATCTAGTCTCCTAAGGACCCATTTATAATTCCTAAAAGTCATTTGTTCTTCCAGAAGTGCCCCTCTTCCCCTCCTCATTCCTTGTTAAGATAGTATATAAGCCCCAAATTCTAACCATCTCACAGAGTCATATTTCTTTCTTTCTTTTTTTTTTTTTTTGAGTTGGAGTCTCTCTGCTGCCCAGACTGGAGTGCAGCGACACAATCTCCACTCACTGCAACCTCCGCCTCCCAGGTTCAAGCAATTCTCCCGCCTCAGCCTCCCAAGTAGCTGGGACTACAGGTGTGCACCACCATGCCCGGCTAATTTTTGTAGTTTTTAGTAGAGAGGGGGTTTCACTATGTTGTCCAGGCTGGTCTCAAACTCATGACCTCAGGTGATCCACCCACCTCAGCCTCCCAAAGTGCTGGGATTACAGGCGTGAGCCACCACCCCTGGCCACAGAGCCACATTTCTTTGTGAACTATCTTACAGAATTAAATATTTTTTCTCTCATTAATCTGGCTTTTGCCACTGTTATTTGTAGGCCCCCAAGAACCAAATGTAAAAGGTGAAAGGAAAATGTTTTCTCCTTAATAATGCTTTTTATTTTTTTACATAAACTTCCCATATTTTTACTTTGATGGTCTACTACTAAATGCCAAAAGAAGAAATCTTATGGAAATGTACACACAATCTGAGTTAAGCATATACCAATGTCATTCTTAGATGTTATGATTCTTATACATTCTGGATTTGGAATGTAATGTGAAATGCAACTGGGTAGATAACAATTTGAAGACCCTTTGTTTATTTTGTTCAGAAAGTAAGTTCATAAAGTCAAATGTCATTGCATTGTGCATAATACAATAATTTTTCAGGACTATGTGACAAAACTGCACTGTTTATTAGTTATTATTAACTGCTATATCCTCAGCACCTGTTTTCACAGAGCAGAACATAGTAGACACTCAATAAATAATGATTAAATTGAAAGAATGTTGGGCCTGAGTAGTATAATATAACATATATTTTGGTCTTTGTCCCTTGTTCCTGTCACGGAGCACTTAAAAACTGTGGAATTTCCTAAGTGATAGGAGATTTGTTACAATAATGAGCCCTTTTTGATCAGATTTGAGTTTATGCTAATGAGATCACTTAAGGTGGTTCCCCTAAATAGCCTCAGGAAGGGGCTGGTCACCAGAAAGACCAAGTGATTAGAGGACTGGAACTTCCAGCCCCATCTCCCAACCTCTGGGAAATGGAGGTGGAAGCCACGGAGCTCAAGTTCTATAAAAACTCTTGAACAAGATTTGATGAGCTTCCAGGTTGCCGAACATGTGGAGGTGCCGGGAGGGTGGCAAGCCCAGACTGGGCACCCTCTGGAAGTCCTTGCTTCCCCATGCCTTGCCCTATCCATATCTTCATCTGGCTATCCATCTGTATCTTCTGTAATATCATAATAAACCAGTCAACATAGTGAAGTGTTTCTCTGAGCTCTGTGAGCCATCCTACAAATCACTGAATCCAAAAAGAGGAGTCTTGAGAACACAGATTTATGGCAGGTCAGTCAGAAGCACGGGTCACATCCTGAGACTTGTGATTGGCATCTGAAGTGGGGACATGTGATCTTGTGAGATTATGCCCTTATCCTACAGGCTCTGATGCTATGTCCAGGTAGATAGTGTCAGAATTGAACTGGATGATAGGACATTCAACTGGTTTCCTCAGGAGAATTGCTTGTGGGCAGTGGGGGGAACTGCAACACATCTGGTCACAGAAGTATTCTATATGTTGAGTGTAAAGAAGAGAGAAAAAAACAATTTGTTTTTCCTTTGGAGTCTACAAGGATTACATGTATCCCTTAGTTTAAAATGCTTATTCTCTTCAACAACTGGCTCTCAAGTGAAGGAAATACAAGATTTATTGCTACATTAAGTTCATATAAAAGAGCGTTTCAATCTACAGTGTATGTTGAGGGGATGTGAACACTTTTAAATAGCTGCACCACATTGGGCAAGTTTTATAATTTCACTGAGATCATTTTCTTTTTTATAAAATGAAATTAATATAAATTATGGAGTTTAAATCAGGCAATATATACATCGTACCTATCTGTGTACCAAGCACATGCTAGATACCCATTAGATGGTAAGAATTATTTCATTTCTCATGAGTAAAAGGGAAAGTTTATTCTATCTGATGACACTGGTCTGATTCTAAGGAAAAGTAGTAAATATTTTATAATATGCATGAAATTTTCATTGTATATATAAATAAACGTTCCGTCTCTCTCTTTTTTGGAAGACTAGAATAGAAAAGAGCCTAATACCTGGCCAGAAAACAGCTGAATCCTTAGCTTGACCTTACAGATGTTAAAGTAAATTAAAATGGACAGACTGAAAAAATCCCTGAGCAGACAAAGCCAGATAGGCCTCATAAGTGAGCTAAGCCTTGCTTGATTTGCAAACATAAGCAAAACTTAACTTGAGCTATTTCTTTTAAATGCCTATATTAAAGAAAAAGAGAATGTAAGCTCAACCAATCAGAAACAGCCAACAAACTTAAAATTATATAACTAGAAATTTCCCAAAAGGATAAATCAAATATAGTATTCCCCTTTATCCTCAGCTTTGCTTTCAACAATTTCAGTTTCACAGTCCAAAAATAGATGAGTAGAGCACAATAAGATATTTTGAGAGACAAACCACACTCACATAATTTTTATTACAGTATATTGTTATAATTGTTGTATCTTATTGTTGTTGCTAATCTCTTATTGTGCCTAATTTATAAATTGAACTTTATTGTAGGTATGTATATATAGGAAAAAACAGAGTATATATTGGTTTTAGTACTATCCATGGTTTCAGACATCTACTGGGAGTCTTGGAACGTATCCTCCAAGGATAAGGGGGGATTACTGTAAGGCAACTGGATATTTTATTTGCTTTACTTCGGCGTCTCAGTTAAAAGCCTCTCCTTTGCATTCCCTCAGTGGAGTTTCTGAACCACTTCTGGTTTGGAGCTGCCCAATTCATGAATCACTGCTTGCTCAAATAAACTCTATAAAACGTTATTGTTTCCCAGTTTACTTTTTAACACAGACTATCCCGTCCCTCATCACTACCACCTTCATTCTTTTGTTGTGTTATTTCTGCAACGGTGATCTTGATTCTGCTTGGCCTCCACATGAGGCCATCTGCATGGCTTTTGTTACTCCACCTATTGAATCTCCCTTTGAGCAGGAGAAAGAAAAGATTTACAGAGTTCTGACCAAAGCAATTTTTTTCTCTCAGCACTAAATTACATAACAATAAAAGGAACATGAAACTATTTACCAACTTTACTTATAACCAATAAAAGTACCATTTACAGGGTGTTGCATTAAGTTAATTGCTTTGCTTTCTCTAAATAAGGACTTAAATTTCAGTTCACAGAAAAAACTAATACCAAAAGAAACAGTTTGTGAAATACCAGCAGAGCCTGACTGAAAATGTTTTTTTTAGAAACCAAACCTACTCTTCCTGCAGACTGGAGTGCAGTAGTGTGACCACAGCTCACAGTAACCCCAAACTCCTGGGCTCAAGCGATCCTCTGACCTCAGCCTCTCAAGTAGCTGAGACTACAGGTGCGCACCACTACACCCGGCTAATTTTTTTTAAATTATTTTTTGTAGAGATAGGGTATCACTACTGTTGCCCAGGCTGAAGAAATAAATTTGAACCAAAACTTTAACTTCACGTTTCATCTTAAAGCAATAATTAACCAAAAGCATACTAAATGTCAAGTTCCCTTTGATTATTATTCACCGAGCCATGAGGCTGCTTTTTATTGTTTCTCAGGATGATCCTGAATAGAGATATTGTACAACTTGAATTGGGGAGAAACTGGTTGCTATCAACTTTGACCACAACAGATGCAAAATAATAGACTCCAATATTCTCTCAGAAGCTTTGGCAATTTTTTTTTCTGGAAACTATAAAAAGAAGTCTTTTTTGTTGCTGCTATTTTGCTTTGTTAGGTAGTTTGTACTGCTTCCATTCAGTCTTGTTTTAAGAGAAAAGCTTTATCCAGCATGCCTACCAGCAAAGCTACATAAAAGAATTCTATGGTGGTGCCCTGCCATAGTTTGCATTTGTTCCTGGTTTCTCAGGTGACCTATCTCATAACAAACCTTTTGAAAAGATTAGGAGGTACATGTTGGGATTAACAAAGAATTTTAAAGCTCACTGAATCCAATAACCTGAGAAGTTTAAAAGAAAAAAAAAATCAAACATACAAAGAGATTGAATGGCTCCCTAAAATAAACAGACTACTTTATTAAGAATCTGCCTTAATAAAGTAGTTGACAGCTTCTCCCTCTCTATTGCAAACACTGTCCCTAACAAAGAAAAGGCTTCGTTTGCACAGCTGGTGCCTTAAGAACCGACTACCAAAGGACTGAAACTTTAAATTGAATTTGAAGAAAAGACAATTGACACCAAAAATCACTAATATCTGGGAAGTAAAAGAAGCAGCAAGAGACTTTGTGAAGTGTAAACTTCTCATGAGACTGAAGAAAACTCAGCCTGACTGTTGGAAATCGGAGTCTGAGAAAGAACATGAAGCAGAGCTCCGGAAGTCCCTATCCCACACAGCTGCTGCAGTGATGATCTGGACAGCAGGGAGAGATCCATTTCCCAGGGCTGTGGGGTGGAAAGGCATCAATTTCTTCAGAGCTCAGAAGCCGGAGATCAATTTGGTTCTCACTATGAAAGCCTGGTGTCGAGTGAGGAATAATTTCAAGAAAGAGCCTACCTGATGTGACTTCGTCTAACTTCTGGAGTCCACCCTACAATGAATCTCCATCATGGGGAGAAAGGTGGGATCTGAGAAAATCAGAAGAAGGTGGTAGTTTGTAGTCATTCTCCCCTTAAGCATATTTTTCTGACCTTTTATTTGATTTTATTTTATTATTTATTTATTTATTTATTTATTTGAGATGGAGTCTCGCTTTGTCACCCAGGCTGGAGTGCAGTGGCGTGATCTCGGCTCACTACAACCTCTGCCTCCCGGGTTCAAGTGATTCTCCTGCCTCAGCCTCCCGAGTAGCTGGGATTAAAGACACCCGCCACCAAGCCCAGCTAATTTTTGTATTTTTAGTAGAGACGGCTTTTCACCATGTTGGCCAGAGTGATCTTGAACTCCTGACCGCAGGTGATCCGCCGCCTCGGCCTTCCAAAGTGCTGGGACTACAGGTGTGAGCCACTGCGCCCGGCCTGGCCTTTTATTTTTTAAACAATATTTAAAGTCTCAAAAAGGAGAAGGTAACTAGTGTTTTACAAGTAAAGCCTCTTGGGAAAAGAAGCAATAAGCTGGCTTAGGCTATTTATTATTTATAAAGTATCAATTTCCAAAAGAGATTGAGGCATCCATACAATAGAGACTCTTAAAACATTAAAACAGTTAGAACATTAAATCAGGAGCAAGAGAACAAGATGGCAGGACCTAATGGGGGCACTCCTCCCTTGGGAGTGGCAAGCGGGAATAATTGTACTAGAAAATATAAAAGCAGTCTTCCTTTTTTGCTCTGCCAACTGTCATGTGCAGAACTGAAATTTAAATTCAACTGCAATGAATTCTGTTCGTATTTTGTCATTCATCTTCCAACTACAATAAAAAAGTGCTGAAGAAATTGCAGCTATAGCTCTCGTAGTCTGTTTCATAAATGTTTGTGGAATACCTCCTATGTACTAGGTTCCCTTGAAGGATCTCAGAGTTTAATGAGAAAGAGGGACATGAATAAATAATCCCAATGGAATATGATCAGTTTTGTTTGCATTTCTTTCTGTAAGTACTACAGTATAGGCTTTGAGCGGCTGGGGGGGAGAAAGGCCCTTAACTCAGGAGACAGAGGAAAAGGCATTAGCAACACTTCATGTAAGAGTGACATTTGGGCTGGGACTTAAAGGATGAAGATCAATTTTCCAGATGGAAAAGAAGGAGAAGAATATTCCCAAAAGAAACCATGCATGCAAAAGAACTGAAGGAGAAAGGCCACAGCATTTCAGAAAACAGTTGGGTTGATGATAAAGTTTTAAAGATAGCTTAGAACCTTGCAAGACTTTAGGGCAGGTGCTGTAGATCTTTTGAACAGGGAAGTGAAATTACCCTATTTGAGTTTTAGAAGACAACTGGGTGTTGCAATTTGAAGAATGAATGAGAATAAGGGTGAAATTAAGGTAAGGAAGGAGGCTGTACTAATTAGAGCTCTCAAGAGAAACAAAATTAATAGGGGTATGTGTGTATATATAAATGCTGTATATATGTATATATATGGGGGGAGAGAGATTTATTACAAAGAAATGGCTTGCAATTATGGAGTCTGGCAAGTCTAAAATCTGCAGAATGAGCTATCAGGCTGGAGACCCAGGACAGCCAAAGTTCCAGTTCCAATCTGAAGGCAATATATATATATATATATATGTGTGTGTGTGTGTGTATATATATTCTGATAAATATATATGCCTGATATATATTTTATATATATATTATATATATATATAATATATATACATCTCAGATTGCCTTCAGATTGGAACTGGAACATTAGCTCTCCTGGTCTCCAGCCTGATGTCATATATTTTATATCTATCTATCTATATCTATATCTATATCTATATAGATAGATAGATAGAGAGATATATATATATATATGACAGCTAAGGATCACTGGGTGTAACGAAAGCCTTGATATAAAAGTAGTGGCCAAAAAAGAAAAAGGAAAAGTGGATTACCTCTGCTTTCATAACACAAGAAGCAGAAGAAAGTGTCAAAACAAACAAACAAAAAAACCCTCTAGTATCTTCATAGAGAGAAGTTATCACATCAATGAAATAAAAACAGGATGCTTTAAAAAAAAAAGAGAGAGGAAACTTTTTGTTGTTATAAGCATTCTAATATTATTTGACCATTTAAATTATTCCTAGAATAGTTTCATAAGAATAAAATCAAATTAAAGAATAAATTTACTCCAACATAAAAGTTAAAATTCAGTAAATATTTCCAAATTTCTTCTGGCAAGGAACTTCTGCCTTTCTGTTTACCGAGTCTCAGGACAAAAGCCTTCTAATGGCTTTCTCCCCATCTCCACTGTCAGAATAGCAGTTCTCTGTCCCCATCAGGATACCTCAGAGATCCTGGACTTCATATTCAAAAGAACAGATGGGAAGCAGTCACTGTAGACCCTTCATCTTAATTGTCTCAACAGATTTTGGCAGTGTGTTGTTTTCTCTATGATCATTTCTACAGAAGCAAATTCTGTCAATCACCTAGATGTTTTTAGTATGCATAAGGTTGCCATGCCTTTGCCTGTGTCTTATTATCCACAAACATGAGGTCTTTTGATATCACACTTTCATCTATTCAATCATTCGTTCATCCAAACAATAATCCTAAATGAGCTCCTACTATGTACCAGATGCTTACTATTGCATTTTGTAAAATTATTTTTCTGCTATGCATGATTTCCCTACTTAGAGATCAGAGCAAAGAAATCCTGTGCAAATGTTCTGCCCAAAACTCTGGGAGGTGAAACCTCGCAGAGGCTCTCTGCACTTCTGACAGGAGGTCAGCAAGACAAAGGACTGTTTGGGATGCCAAGAACAGAGAGGACCTGAGGCAAAACCACCGGGCAGAATTGTGTGGAAGGCTTTCAAGTTTTCCTGTGCCTTTGCATGTCTACAACATATTTTGAAATCTTTCAGCATAACCAATGTAATATTATATAGATTTTGGTTTCAGTTGTAACCCAAGGTTCGGTTAGGTACCCAGATCACGAACTAAAATCTCAGGAGTAGTCAGCTGGCATTCCAATCAGAAAGCTCACACTTCAGAGACAGTCAATATGAACATACACTTTCTGCTATTCATGTCTCCATCAATATTAGAAGCTTTTCTACTTGGCATAATAAATGTTAAAAATGGGGTGTCATTGTGGAAATTAGTGAACTTCAAGATAACTTGTTCAATGAACAGAATGAGAAAATCCACCCAGATTTATAATCTGTCTCCTTAAGGATAACACCTGAAAACTTCACCCTTAAATGAACCTGTGTCCAATCATTGAGTCAGAAAATTCCTGCTTTCCTGATGCCAACTTATGGGCACAGGATTCTGCTGCCTCTGGCTATTGTTGCATTCAAGTAAATACTTCATGTAAACTTTTCATACAAAGAAGTAGTTGGAGCACCCAAAGAACAGAGAGCTAGGACTTCATTAATCTTACAGAACAGTTAGTATAAATATTTTGGGGTCTGCTCACTATTAAGTATTTTTTTCAGTAAGGTCTGTATTTGTGGCATAATTTTTGGAGAGTGACACTATTTCATGGTTGTTACTACTGTATACTAAAATAATCTAAGGCTGTGCAAAACCAAACTGGTTTAGGTTAACAACAGCCCCCATGGAAGGCACAGAATTAGTTGACGGAATGAAGACCTCTGAAGGAATTTTGTGGTCATGACAAGGGCGTGGTGCTCCATAAGGACCTTGAGTCATACAGCTGGGGATTAGTAAGAACATAAGTATTTCAATGGAAACTACTGGAAAGCAGGGACTAAGTCTGGAAACCACACAGGACAATCTCACAGATGACAGCGTGTACAACTACTGACCATGGCCCGGGTACCTCCTACTTCCCTGGGGCCATGAGGTTAGTTAAATTCAGTGAGGGAAAATGAAGTGAAGGACTGCCAGAAATTGACTAAAATTATGGTTACTTCCATTAGGAAGAATAGAGTCTCTAGAGAGATATCAAATTGGAATTTAAAAAACATTTTAATAATTTTCCTTCCTTACATATCTAAGTCTTGGGTTTTGAGGAATTCATACTCACTATATTCCATGCAAGGAAGAAAAATTCTGTCTCTCTTCATGTTTATCTAAAATACCTTTTATTTTAAGGCTTAACACTAACGGTTACATTTTCTCCTCCAGTAGCTCTTCAGAAGTGACTTCATGAGAATCTTTTTAGTGACCCAAAGTCTGGTCCAACAATCAAGAGAATATTAATGTCTTTTATATTAGTCCATTTTTACACTGCTTTAAAGAACTACCTGAGACTGGGTAATTTATAAAGAAAGGAGGTTTCATTGAATCACAGTTCTGCATGGCTGGGGAGGCCTCAGGAGATTTACAATCTTGGGGGAAGGCAAAGGGGAAGCAAGCACATCTTACATGGCTGCAGGAAGCAGTGGGGGGAACTGCCAAACACTTTTAAACCATCAGATCTCATGAGAACACACTCACTATCATGAGAACGGCATGGGAGAAACTGCCCCTATGATCCAATCACCTCCCACCAGGTCCCTTCCTCTATACCTGGGGATTACAGTTCAAGATGAGATTTGGGTGGGGACACAGAACCAAACCACATCATCCCACCCCTAGTGCCTCCAAAATCTCATGTCCTTCTCACATTTCAAAACACAATGATGCCTTCCCAACAGTCCCCCAGAGTCTTAACTCATTTCAGCATTAATCCAAAAGTGAAAGTCCAAAGTCTCATCGAGGCAAGGGAAGTCCCTTCCACCTATGAGCCTGTAAAATCAAAAGCAAGTTAGCCACTACAAAGATAAAATGGGGATATAGGCATTGGGTAAATGCTCCTATTCCAAATGGGAGAAATCAGCTAAAACCAAGGGGCTAGAGGCCCCATGAAAGTCAGGAACCCAACAGGGCAATCTTTATATCTTAAAGCTCCAAAATAATCTCCTTTTAACTCCATGTCTCACACTCAGGGCATATTGATGCAAGAGATGGGTTCCCAAGGCCTTGGGTAACTCTGTCCCTGTGGTTCTGCAGGGTACAGCCTCTGAGACTGTTTTCATGGGCTGGTGTTGAGTGCTTGTGGCTTTTCCAGGTGCACAGTGCTAGCTGTTAGTAGATCTCCCATTCTGGGGTCTGGAGGATGATGGCCCCTTTCTCACAGATCCACTAGGCAGTGCCCCAGTGGGGACTCTGTGTTGGGTCTCCAACCCCACATTTCCCCTCTGCGTTGCCCTAGTAGAGCTTCTCCATGAGGGCTCCACTCCTGAAACAGACTTCTGCCTGAACTTCCAGGCATTTCCGTACATCCTCTGAAATCTAGATGGAGGCTCCGAAAGCTCAACTCTTGTTTTCTGCATACCCACATACCCAACACCACCTGGAAGCCACCAAGGTTTGGGGTTTGCACACTCTGAAGCAATGACCCAACTGTACCTTGGCCCATTTTAACCACAGCTGGAACTGGAGCAACTGGGACACAGGCCGCCATGTCTCAAGGCCGTACAGAGCAGCAGGGCCCTGGGCCTGGCCCACAAAACCGTTTTTTCCTCCTAGACCACTGGGCTTGTGATGGGAGGGGCTGCCATGAAGATCTCTGAAATGCCCTGGAGACATTTTTCCCATTGTCTTGGCTGTTATCGTTCAGCTTCTCTTTACTTATGCAAATTTCTGCAGCTCGTTGCTTGAATTTCTCCCTAGAAAATGAGTTTTTCTTTTCTACCATATGATCAGGCTGCAAATTTTCCAAACTTTTATGCTCTGCTTCCCTTTTAAACATAAGTTCTAATTCCAGAACATCTCCTTGTGAACACATATGATTTAACGCTTTTAGGAACAGCCAGGTCACATCTTGAATCTCTGCTGTTTAGAAATTTATTCTACCAGATACCCTAAATCATCTCTCTCAAGTTCAAAGTTCCACAGATCTCTAACGCAGGGGCAAAATGCCACTAGTCTCTTTGATAAAGCATAGCAAAAGTAACCTTTGCTCCAGTTCCAATAAATTCCTCATCTCCATCTGATATGATTTGGCTCTTGGTCCTCACCCAAATCTCATCTTGAATTGTAATCTGCATGTGTCAAGGGAGAAACCTAATGGAATGTTATTGGATTGTGGGGGCAGTTTCCCTCATGCTGTTCTTGTGATAGTGAGTGAGTCTCACAAGATCTGATGGTTTTAAAAGTGGCAGTTTTTCTTCTGCTTGCACTTCACTTCTCTCACCTGCCACCATGTGAGACATGTCTGCTTTTGCTTCTCCCGTGATTGTAAGTTTCCTGAGGCCTCCCCAACCATGGGGAACTGTGAGTCAATTAAACCTCTTTTCTTTATAAATCACCCAGTCTTGGGTATTTCTTTATAGCAGTGCAAAAAATGGACTAATACAACATCTGAGACCACCTCAGCCTGGACTTCATTGTCCATATCACTATCAGAATTTTGGTCAAAACCATTCAACAAGTCTCTAGGAAGTTCCAAACTATCCTACATCTTCCTGTCATCTTCTGAGCCCTCCAAACTGTTCCAACCTCTGCTCATTACCCAGTTCCGAAGTCACTTCCACATTTTCAGATATCTTTATAGCAGTGCCCCACTTCTCTCAGTACCAATTTTCTGTATGAGTCCATTTTTACACTGCTATAAAGACCTACTTGAGACTGGGTAAATTATAAAGAAAAGAGGTTTAATTGACTCACACTTCCACATGGCTGAGGAGGCCTCCGGAAACTTACAATCATGGTGGAAGGCAAAGGGGAAGCAAGCACATCTTACATGGCAGCAGGGGGAAGGGGAAGCTGCCAAACACTTTAAACCATCAGATCTCATGAAAACTCACTTGCTATCATGAGAACAGCATGGGGAAAACCACCCCATGATCCAATCACCTCCCACCAGGTTCCTCCCTCAACACGTGGCGATTACAGTTCGAGATGAGATTTGGGTGGGGACACAAAGCCAAACTACATCATCTTCTAAAACATCTATTTCTTTTCAGAAAGGGTGTCTTTTTAAAATTGATACATAATAATTGTATTCAAATGTCTTCACTTCTGACAACAGACGAGTGGGATTTTCCAAGCAATTCTCCAACTCTCTGCAGACCCAACTGGTGTCCTACAATTTAGCTTCTGTCACAATCTACCTGGAGATCCACAGTTTTAAGGGCTCACTCCCACAAGACTGCCCCACACTACCACTTGATACTTCAGGTTATCACCTGTAATTTGACCAACTGGCTGTAAATCAGAGGTTCCCACGACCCCTTCCTCAGATTTGATTATTTGCTATGGCGGCTCACAGAACTCAGGAAAGCACTTTACTTACTGTTACCCATTTATTATAAAAAGGATCCAACTCAGGAAGCCAAATAGAAGAGATGCATAGGCTCAGGTATGTGGGAAGGGATGTGGAACTTCCATGCCCCCAATAGATGTGCCACCCTTTCAGCACTTTTATGTTGGAAGCTCCCCAGACCTTCTCCTTTTGAGGTTTAGGGGAGGATTCACTGGGCATCGTTAATTAAATCATTGGCCATTGCTTATTGAATCAATCTCCAGTTCTTCTCACCTCCCTTAGGTCAGGAGGTGGGGCTAAAAGTTTCAACCTTGTAATCACGTGGTTGGTTCACCCTGGCAACAAGCCCCCACTGGACACTTTCCAGGAGCCCCAGCCACCAATCATCTCATTAGCACACAAAAGACACCAACCACTTCTCAAATTCCAAGACTCATAGGAGCTGTGTGCCAGGAAACTACAAAGACCTAGTATATACTTCTTATTGTAAATCATAATATCACACTTAAAATCAGGGAGAAAAGAAAAACAGTATCTTAAGTGTGTAGGTATGTTTTGTGATAGGGAAGGACATGGTGGTGAGGAAAAAGTTATATTGAATCCATCCCTAGGAATTTTATTTCCTGAGAAAGCCTGATAAAATCAACTTGCATTCAGCAAATGCATAACTATAAGCCAGGCATTGTGTTAGGAAGACACTACTTTTATCAAGATGAATTAAAATATTTTCTGACATCAAGTAGGAAGACAGACAATACAATGTGCTAAGTGCTGTGATGGGGTTAAGTACAGAGCCAAAGTTGAGTGGTGGAGAGAGACCAGTTCTGATTGGGGAAGTCTGAAAAGACTTCCAGAAGGGATTTTAATCAAACTAAGTCCGAAATTGTCCAACAGAGTATGACCTTTCCAAGCAGCACTAACAGAATATGCCAAGTAGAAATGAATGAAAACACATGGAGTATGGGAGTACTGGAGAATTATGAGTGGGTGGATTATGTAACCCCTAGTGAGAGGTTATGTTGGAAGAATGAAGTGTGGTCAGATTATGAAGACTCATGGATGTTTGTCCAAAGAGACTGGCTTTTATGAGGCCAGCTATTTTTCATTCAATAGACTTTTAGGTTCCCAAAAGTGCCCTAATGGAAGCACAGGGTGGGTCAAAAGGTCAAGTTTCTGCACACCGCCCCCACCACTCCACCTCACTGCACTTCTTCTCTCTTATGTATCTCTTTTAGATTTTCAACTTGGAAGAAGAGCTTAGTTGTTATTTTTAAGTTTTAAAATCACTCATGTAAACAAGAGTCATAGAAATTTTTTAAGAAAATTAAATGACTGTACTTATATTTTAGAAAGCTAATTCTGGCTGCAAGGTGGGGAAAAGATTAGAGAAAGAAAACGTAAAAGGTAGAAAAAACATACAACTGTTAAAAATAGCCCATACAGGAAGGGCATGGTGGCTCATGCCTATAATCCCAGCGCTTTGGGAGGCAGAGGAGAGTGGATCACAAGGTCAGGAGTTCAAGACCAGCCTGGCCAATATGGTGAAACCCTATCTCTACTAAAAATACAAAAATGAGCTGGGCATGGTGGCACGCACCTGTAATCCTAGCTGCTTGGGAGGCTGAGGCAGGAGAATCACTTGAACCCGGGAGGTGGAGGTTGCAGCGAGCCAAGATTGTGCCCCTGCACTCCAGCCTGGGCAACAACGCGAAACTCTGTCTTAAAAAAAAAAATAGCCCAGACAAGGAATGACAAAGGGTCCAAATCAAGGTAGTGAAAGTAGGGATATGAACAGAAGTAGGAAGAGAGAACAGATTCAAGAGATATTTTAGAGTTTGAATTGATAGCTATTTGCAACTCCTACATCACATGCAGTAGTTTTTGACAGTGTTTGAGCAGAGTTGTCAGGAAACCCTGCACACATTTTCCTTTTCCATTTGTGGACTGGTACAATGTCAGCTGCTGCACTTCAACTCCAATATTACCACAGGGAGGTGAGATAAGGGCCTCTTATAACATTCCAAAGCTTCTAGGTTGATGAGAGTAACAGTTTGTTGACTGATGCGATTTTGTGGAAAGCTACTTTAAACTTAGCAGCTCATGATTGAACATGGAAAAAGCCACCAACACAGTGTTCATTTTGTTACCCAAACACCAGGGGTGAGGTCGTTGCTATGCCACACAGAAAGCCAATCAGTGAGAGGAGGATTGCCAGGAAAGAAGCCTTTTTATTCATGCGATGTCAGCCCAGGAAAATAGGAGATCAGTCTCAAATCTGTCTCCCCTACCAACTGAAATTGAGGGCTTTATGTATCAGGAGGAGGAATGTAAGTACGTGCTGGAAAACAGGAATTAGGAAGGGGAAAGGAGGCAATCCTGACTAATGGGAGGTCGGGCATCTCATTGTCTGGGTGTAGTGTTTTGGTACGTTTCAGTCCCTTGCCTGAGGGTTGGTTTCCTGAGGATGGAACTCAGATAAGACAAATGTAAGTTTCATGTTTTAAGACCTGGAGGACCAATTTCTATGTTTATTCAAAAAATCCAAAAATATCAGCTCTGTGGGAATTGGGCTGGTTTCAATTTGATTTATCCATTCCTGAAGACTGATGAGGTATTTTGTTGCCTCTTTTGTTCTCTCTCCTTCATTCTCTAAAAAACAATTTTAGTCCAACTCTAAGAAAAGAATTTGGGAAAAATAAATTTAGTAAATGAAGCAAGCCATCGATATGGTTTATTTTGTTGTTAAGCTACACTCTTTGTTGTAATGTCATGTGATAGAATGCTTGGCCAAGACTGATCCTTACAGTGGGCCAGCCTTGCAAATGTGCAGAAAGGATCCCATTGTGATTTAAGATGTGATAGTGAGATGCTCATCCCTTATTTCATGCACTCAATTATTCAGTAACTATTTTCTAAGCACCTACTTTGCAAAAGGTCTTTAATCGGTAGGCACTGAGTGTACAGTGGAATGGAACATCAAAGTGGTCTTAGTCTAGCAGAGCTTTCAGTCTTAGCAGGGGAGACAAACATTGAGCAACTAATTATACACTTAATTATTTGATCACTGTTGTGATAACTGCTTTGAAAATGAAAGAAATCTTACTTCACCCAGTCTCCACTTCCATAAGGAAGTGACTTTTGGCTTGAGAGCTGCAGGACAAGTTTCTTCTTCAGCAAATGAGTGGGGAAAAGAAATTCAGGCAGAGTAGACAGTGTAAAGCTGGAGCATGGGCACTAAACAGCTGGGAAAAGGCCACTATGGCTGAAGGGCAGAAATTAATAGGGAGAGTGGCCAGATGAATTAGGAAAGCTCAATCATACTGAGATTGGTAGGCCACGTTAAGGTTTGGTGTTAGCCTAATGTCCTAAGGAATACATTGACAGAATTTGAACAGGTTTGGGGTCAAATGATGAGGCACATTTTGAAGGACCTCTCTGACTTCTTGGTGAAAAATAGATCAGAATAATACAGAAGTGGCTTGGGAGAGACGAAACAAGTGGACTTATCGGAAACTTCTTCCAGTTTCCCAGTTGCAGGCCCTGACACCAACAGCTGAAGCTCCAGAGATGAATCTAGCCTGAGCAGGTTCTATATAGAACTAGGCTTGGCTCAGATGTACCAGGCGGCAGAGTGTGAAATCAATCTTCCTGCTCTAAGTTTGATGTCCTCTGCCTGGCATGTCCCAGGCCGCTAGACCACAGATTTGCCCACTGCAGCACTATCGTCCAGGGCCAAGTTCTGGCTACAGTTTCAGGGTTCCCTTTTGCCCTCCATTTACGACACAGGACTGGAGCCTTTTTCTGAAACCTGCCTTGATGCCTGCCCACATTCACAAGCCTCTAAATTCCACAGTCGTTCACTATAAGCCTGATTGGCCTCCCAGGAGAACAGTGTCTTCCCAAATAAAGCTCCTTTCCACTAGCTGCTGCACCTTCAGCTGTTGATTCCCTCACCAGTCTCCCCTCTGCCTCAGGTCCGAGTCCTTAACTGGACCCTCTTCTAGCCTCTCCAAAAATGCCTCTGAGCTGAGGCTGCTGGATTCATAAAAATGAGCTACAATAAATACCTCACTATGGTGAAGTATCTGTCTAGAAGAACTTCCCTTTAGCAAAAGAGAGCTTTCTTACTCTTTTGAGATCACAAGGTAAGATTTCTTTTTTAAAAATTCCACTGAAAGTACCATTCCAGTGCTCTTTAAGCAGTGATGCACGCAGTTATCAAAGAATCAGGGTTGTGTTTTATGACAAGTGTCGTAAGCTTTGCAAGCTCAAAGTTTTTTCTCAAAAAATGTTTAATTGTTTAGGTTTGTTTGCTTTTAACCAACCTGTGTGTCAAACTCCCATGTTTTTCTGATTTACTGCAATAAAAGTGATATACTTCGGTGCAGAGAGATATTGGGATGTCAAAAGTGTTATGAGTCAAGGAGCTACTGGCATTTAATCTGTAGCAGGTATGCTGTTAGATTTAATAAGCATTTCAGGGTAGTCAGGGTCTTTTTTTTCTTTCTCTATAAACAGGCCTTGTAAAATTTAAATCAAAATATGAAATATAATCCTACAAATAATTCTCCACCCTTACTTTTTCTCTACTCCTGAAAGAGTTAGAAGAGAAAAGATTTCCCTGAGTTTACTGTTCTATATTGCTTTTTCTTTTGTTTCCCTTTTTGCTTTTCCAGTTCAGGCAAGATAGGACCCTCCGTAAAAATTAACTAGCATCTCATAGGACAGAAATCTGAAAAACATGAATAGGTTTCAAGATAATATCTTTTAAAACTCTGTGTTTGTGCTTCCTTTTTAAAGACCTTTTTCTAAAAATAGAATTCTCAGGGTGACCAGAACAAATGCAGATTGGATGAAAAATGTTTCTGCCAAATTGTGAGACTGATGTGAATTGAAGTAGCTGAAATGTAACGCCGTGTTATTGTAATCTGAAGTGTTAAAGCGTGCCCTTCATCTAAGAAATGCAAAATATTTTCAAAACAAGCATCACATGACACTCAGCAGAACAGGTCATATTATTACAGCTCTCCAGAGGAGGTAACTTGTAGAGCAGAGACTTTGGGATGTTTTGCTAAAATACTTTCTTTCTTAATGCAGCTCAGAATTATCAATTTTTTGAAATTGAATTTTACATTTTATTCTGTTCGCTTGGTGGCTGTCAAAAATGCTAAACAATCGTATTTTTTTTAAGTTCCAAAGGATAGTAAAAATATGTGTAAGAGAGAATGATGAAGTTTCAGGAGTTTGTATTTGGTAGACTTTTATGCTGTTTTGGAGTTCTCAACAACACTTGAGTACTTTAGCACTTTGTACTCTGTTCTCAATTTGGGGATTTTTCTTTATCTTTTCTCTCAAGTGCTCTTCTAGCATGTATTTCATAATCTGTGGATTAGTTTAATTTTTCTGCAATGATGAAAACATCAAAGAGCTTTAGACACTTGAGCTGCCGGTTGGAAATTGCAACTCCCAGCTGTACCTAAGCAGAAATAAATAAGCCCCAAAAGGAGAGGTAGGTAGTAGCCTCAAAGAGATCCAGTCGCAAAGCCTCTGTGGGAATTATGGAAGAACAATGTTTCTGCTCACTAGATATATGAGCGTCGTGGCAGGGAGACCAAAATCTGAGGCTAGAGAAAAACAGGAGCAGTACCAGAGGCCTTGGCTTCCCATGGCACATTTGTCAGGAGAGAATTAATTGTTCTTTTCAAATAATTTCAAGAGAGCTTCCCACCTAATGATATGCCCTCCATTCAGTTGATCTTTTGTCTTCTATTCTTTTTATTTCCTTTGTTTATTTTACATAGATGTTTAAGCCTCTGGCTCTTATAATTTCTCAAACTAAAGTCAGTGATTTTTTTTTTTTTTGCTTTTGTGTATTCAATGGGTTATTCCTAGGCATCTGATAAGCTCTAGCTATGTATTTGCCTTTTGTATCCTACAGGCATGGTGTTATCTAGCCATATTTTTAAAACCAATACTGAGAGTTATCTATTTCTATAATGTAGGATTCTCCCAACGTTCACTTATTCTGTTTGAGTCCTCGATCCTGCTCCATCTCCCTGTTTTTCTGAGCTGGCTTAAAGCTCCGACTTCTCTTCTGGAGGATGCTGCCTACCTTTGGCAAAGGAAATTTCAGAAGACCCATCATGGAAGGATGGGGTGGTTAAAAGTTCTTCCTTTTTGTTATAGTTCAATTTCTGTTCATTTATAATTCAAACATACACAACATAAATGGAAGCTGAACTCACACACAAAACGGATAGAATTATCTGGTAAATATTGGAGAACAAAGCTGAGGAAGGGCAGTGTGTGTGTGTGTGTGTGTGTGTGTGTGTGTGCATGTGTGTGTGTGTTTAATTATCTTGATAATTAACAGAAAAACCATTTCTTTGTCTGAGTACTTTGGAAAAGGTGGCTCACTATACCCAGCTTTCACAGGACAGAAACATTT
The DNA here is from genome assembly GCF_000001405.40 of Homo sapiens. Lineage (NCBI taxonomy): Eukaryota > Metazoa > Chordata > Mammalia > Primates > Hominidae > Homo > Homo sapiens. Next base: position 19,041,222 of record NC_000012.12, read on the forward strand.
TTAATTTATCTAACCACAGGGAGTCAAGTTTTATGGGGCCTGAAGTGGTCCATCTTGAAGAGGTACCCTTTAAGAAAAACAACAAAAATTTACATATCAAAAATTAGAAACAAAAATGAATATATGTTTGGAAACAGAAAATAAATTGCAACAAAATACAATTAAAAAAACAATACATACATTAAGCATCACTTAAGACAGAAAAATAGCATAATATTTTATTAATTGCCCAATAAACCTCTCTAATAGATGCGTTTTCCCTATTTTTTGGCTTCATACACTGGAAAACCATACAAAATTAAGTGTAACACAAGAGGAATTCAAATACAGTTTTAAATTATTGCCATATTATATTGAGCTACCTAAATGTATAATCAAACTACTCCAATACTACATATATTGACTAAGTTGATGGGTGTTTGTAAGAATTATGTCACTTGAGCACTTATTTTCAGTGTATTGCTGCGTTGTTAGCAGTTTTGTGTGCTGTTTCATCTAGAGCCACTCATCTTTATTTTATATTATTTTTTATTTTATTGTTGAGACAGGGTCTCTCGAGGTTGCCCAGGCTAGCAACTACTGGGCTGAAGTGATCCTCCAGCCTCAGCCTCCTGAGTAACTGGAATGAGAGGCTTAAGCCACTGCACCTGGCTAATAACTGCTCAACTTTATAAGGACACAATATGTCAGACACTGTAAGTGATCTGACATATTGGGAAGTACTCTGCAGTATGCCAAGAGACATGATCGCTATTTGTAAAACTCCTAGAGTTTATAAAGTATGAACACAGGAATTAGATAAATTTTATCTTGCATGATTCTCATCCAACAACAGAAAAAATATAGTGTATTTACCTCTGTACAATCTGCATTATTAAGTATATTCCTGAGAGGAAAGAATAGCCATTTTGCTTAAGTAATGATAAGGGAATTCTCTGCTTCTAATTCCACATTTCTGAAGATTAGAAGAATTTTCCACAGACTAGTTCTCGCTTCATCTTTTTAAATCATTTCTTCTTTTCTACTGTGCGCATACCTCAGGGCTGGGTGCTTTGGGACACACTCATATCACAACATGATTTTTGGTCTTGCCCCTATGTGTCACAATGCCAGGTGAACAGCAGAAGTTTTCTAGAAGTGATTCTTTCGAAGAAATGCCTCATTACACACAGAAGTGACTGCCAACTCCATCCCCCAAATGCCAGACACCAGGGTAAGCATGAGGAGGGAAAGTCTGAGCGAAGCAGCAATCTTAACCAATTGCAGCTCAAAGTTTGCAAATTTTACAAAATTAGATGGTTGTGTGAACATCTTGCTAGGGTGCTTCCCAGGACTTTGGAATGAGCCATGGAAAGAAGGGCCATGAATCTTTAAGCTCCCATAGCTTCTCAGTCAAATTCTTCTGCACTTAACCTAACTTGATCTTTTAAAATGGAACGGTTGCTTTGATTTATCATGGATTAAATCATACATATTAATCATATAAATTAAAGGCATTTATTCTGTCTTAACATCTATAAAGGCCTGGCATGGTGGCTCACACCTGTAATCACAGCATTTTGGGCAGCCAAGGCGGGCAGATCACTTGAGGTCAGGAGTTCAAGACCAGCCTGGCCAACAGAGTGAAACCCCATCTCTACTAAAAATACAAAAAAATTAGCCTGGAGTGGTGGTGGGTGCCTGTAATCCCAGCTACTCAGGAGGCTGAGGCAGGAGAATCGCTTGGACCCAGGAGGCGGAGATTGCAGTGAGCCGAAATTGTGCCATTGCACTCTAGTCCAGGTAACAAGGGAGAAACTCCACCTAAAAAAAAAGCAAAAACAAAAACAAAATCTATAAGCATATTTGCAAACATATTGGAAAACATGGAAAAAACAATGAAAAGGCATTTCAGTCATATAGCAAAATAGCTGATGTGTGTTATGTCAATAGCTTTCTTCTCACTTTGTTCTGTCTGCTTCCTATACTTAGCAATAAGAAAATACCGTAATTATTTCACTTACCTGCCCCTCTGTTCTTAAGTATCTCTTTTTCCTCTAATTTTGTTATGTAAAAGGTATGGTTTAGAATGTGCCAATCAGACCTCAACTTTCCATTGTGGAGTATGCAAGGCCACAGAGATTTCGTACAACTACGATGGGACAAATAAATACAAATTTGTGAACAAAACTAAAGTATCTGTGAATCAGTTCAAATATCTACAAATAAGAAGTCATCTATTTTCTGAAACTACATACTAACTTAAACTTCACAGTTTTTTCTTTTTTTATTATTATTATTATTATACTTTAAGTTTTAAGGTACATGTGCACAATGTGCAGGTTTGTTACATATGTATACATGTGCCATGCTGGTGTGCTGCACCCATTAACTCGTCATTTAGCATTAGGTATATCTCCTAATGCTATCCCTCCCCCTTCCCTCCACCCCACAACAGTCCCCCGTGTGTGATGTTCCCCTTCCTGTGTCCACGTGTTCTCATTGTTCAATTCCCACCTATGAGTGAGAACATGCGGTGTTTGGTTTTTCGTCCTTGCGATAGTTTACTGAGAATGATGATTTCCAATTTCATCCATGTCCTTACAAAGGACGTGAACTCATCATTTTTTGTGGCTGCATAGTATTCCATGGTGTATATGTGCCACATTTTCTTAATCCAGTCTATCATTGTTGGACATTTGGATTGGTTCCAAGTCTTTGCTATTGTGAATAGTGCCACAATAAACATATGAAACTTCACAGTTTTTTCTACTCCTCATTTATTAATTCAACAAATATTTGCTGTACATGGACCCTACAGCATGGTGGACCAGATAGCCATGATTCAAGTAATTAAACAGGCCAGGCACAGTGGCTCATGCCTGTAATCCCAGCACTTTGGGAGGCTGAGGCAGGAGGATCGCTTGAGGTCAGGAGTTCGAGACCAGCCATGGCCAACATGATGAAGCCCCATCTACCCCATCTCTACAAAAAATACAAAAATTAGCCGGGCATGGTGGCGCATGCCTGTAATCCCAGCTACTCAGGAGGCTGAGGCAGGAGAGTTGCTTGAACCTGGGAGGCAGAGGTTGCAGTGAGCCAAGATCTCACCACTGCACTCCAGCCTGGGTAACAGAGCAAGACTCTGTCTCAAAAAAAAAAAAAAAAGTAATCAAACAAATAAGCATTATAATGGCAAACTGTGATCTGTGCTACGCAGGAAACATTGTGAGGATAAAATAACAGGGAGATCTAATCTACTGTATTTTTCACTGGGCAAGAAGAGACAAGGACAGAGAAGGTTTCCTTGAGAAAATGGCATTTAATTTGGGCCTAAAGTGTGAATTGCTGTTAACACAGTTAATAAGAGGAGGAAACAGGTATTGCAGGTAGAGGGTGTAGTATGTGAGAAGGTCATAAGAAAGCAAGGAGTAGCATCATTCGAAGAACTAAAAGAACGTTTGTATGCACAATGAGCAAGGAGGGGCACAGCACAGGACAAAGCTAGAAATCAGGCAGGTCACATCATACAGACACTTCCAGGATTTGGGACAAGTGATAACAGCGTTTTAAACAAAGGGGAGCACAGTCAGATTTAAACCTTAAAAAAACATACTCCTGAGATAGAAAGAAGATGGAAAACTTGGGAGAAGTGATACTTCCCTATCATTTTTATCACTTGGACAATTACCATGTTCATGTTTTAATATTTATAAAATAACAACGAATACATTTTATTCCTAAGAGGGAGTGCAAACTAAAACAAATGAACCTTGTTATATTTCAAAAGAATAACATAAACACGCAGGAGGGCGTAGGGGCAGGAAAGGGCAATTCAAGTACAGGCGTACTTCACTTTATTGTGCTTCCCTTTATTGCACTTCCAGATACTGTGTTCTTTACAAACAGAAGGTTTGTGGCAACCCTGACTCAAGCAAGTCTATCCAGCACCATTTTCCCAACAACATGTACTCACTTTATGTTCCTGTAGCACACTTCAGTAACTCCTGCAATATTTCAGAATTCTTCAGTGTTATTATATCTGTGTTGATCTGTGATCAGTAACCTTTGATGTAACTACTGTAGTGGTTTTGGGGCACCATGAGCTATGCCCATATAATACAGTGAACTTAATCAATAAATGTCGTGTGTGTTTTCACTGCTCCACTGATCAGCCGTTCCCTGTCTTTCTCCATCTCCTCAGGCCTCCCTACTCCCTGAGACAGGACAATATTGAAGCTAGGGCAAGTAATAACCTTGCTATGGCCTCCAAGTGCTCAAATGAAAGGAAGAGTCCCATGTCTCTCTCTTTAAATCAAAAGCTAGAAATGGTTAAGCTTAGTGAGGAAGGCCTGTCAAAAGCTGAGACAGGTCAAATGCTTGGCCTCTTGTGCAAACAGCTAGCCAAGCTGGGAATGCAAAGGAAAAATTCTTGAAGAAAATTAAAAGTACTACTCCAGTGAACACATGAATGATAAGAAAACAAAGCAGCCTTATTGAGATAGAGAAAGTTTTAGTGGTTTGGAGAGAAGATCAAATCAGCCGAAACATTCCCTTAAGCTAAAGCCTAATCCAGGGCCAGTCCCCGACTCTCTTCAATCCCAGGAAGGCTGAGAGAAGTGAGGCAGCTGCAGAAGGAAAGTTTGAAGCTAGCAGATGTTGGCTTAAGAGTTTAAAAAAAAGAAGCCATCTTCATAACATAGTAGTACAATGTAAACCAGAAAGTGCTGATGGAGAAACTACAGCAAGTTATCCAGAAGATCTGGCTAAGATCATTGATGAAGGGGGCTACACTCAACAACAGATTTTTCAGTGTAGATGAAACAGCCTTCTGTTGGAAGAAGATACCATCTAGGACTTTCATAGATAGAGGGATGTCAATGCCTGGCTTCAAAGCTTCAAAAGACAGGCTGACTCTTGTTAGGAGATAAAGCAGCTGATGACTTTAAGTTGCAGCCAATGTTCATTTATCATTCTGGAAATCCTTAAGAATTACTCTTATAAATGGAACAACAAAGTCTGGATGACAGCACATCTGTGTACAGCATGGTTTACTGAATATTTAAGTCCACTGTTGAGACCTACTGCTCAGGAAGAGTCTTCTTTCAAAATATTACTGCTCATTGACAATACACCTGGTTACCCAAGAGCTCTCATGGAGACATACATGAAGATTAATGTTTTCATGCTGGCTCACCCAACATCCATTCTGCAGTTCATGGATCAAGAATTCATTGTGACTTCCAAGTTTTTTAATTCAAGAAATATATGTCGTGAGAAAAAGCTCAATATCACTGATCATTAGAGGAATGAAAATCAAAACCACAATGAGATACCATCTCACACCAGTCAGAATGGCTATTACTAACAAACCAAAAAAAAAAAAAATAATAAAAACACAGATGCTGGCGAGGTTGTGGAGAAATAGGAATGCATTTATACTGTTCACTGTTGATGGGAGTGTAAATTAGTTCAACCATTGTGGAAGACAGTATGGCAATTTCTCAAAAACCTGGAGGCAGAAATACCATTTGACCCAGCAATCCTGTTACTGAATATATACCCAAAATAATATAAATTATTCTATTATAAAGGCACATGCATGTCTTTATTCATTGCAGCACTATTCACAATAGCAAAGACATGAATCAACCTAAACACCCATCAATGATAGAGTGGATAAAGGAAATGTGGTACATATACACCATGGAGTCCCTATGCAGCCATACAAAGGAACGAGGTCATGTCCTTTGAAGGAACATGGATGGAGCTGGAAGCCATTATCCTTAACAAACTAGCGCAGGAACAGAAAATCAAATACCTTAGGTTCTCACTTGTAAGTAGGAGCTGAATGATGAGAACACATGGACACATGGGGGAAACAACACATACTGGGACCTGTCTGAGGGTAGCAAGAGAAGGGAGAGCATCAGGAAGAATAGCTACTGGATGCTGGGCTTAATACCTAGGTAATGGGATAATTTGTGCAGCAAACCACCATGGCACAGGTTTACCTATGTAACAAACCTGCACATCCTGCACATGTACCCCTGAACTTAAAATAAAAGTTGGAAATTTTTTTAAAAAAGAAAGAAATATGTGTCATAAGCCCATAGCTGCCATAGTTAGTGATTCCTCTAATGGATGTGAACAAAGTAAATTGAAAGCATTTTGGAAATGATTCATCATTCTAGGATGCCATTAACAACATTCGTGATGCAAGGAACAAAGTCAAAAAAATCAACATTAAAAGGAGTTTAGAAGAAGTTTATTACAGTCCTCATAGATGAGTTCGAGGTATTCAAGACAAGTGGAGGAAGTAACTACAGATGTGGTGGAAATAGCAAGAGAACTAGAATTAGAAGTGGAGCCTGAGATGTGACTGTATTATTGCAATTTCATGATAAAACTTGAATGGATGAGGAGTTGCTTCTTATGGATGAGCAAAGAAAGGGATTTCTAGAGATGAATCTACTCCTGGTGAAGATATGTGAACATTATTGAAATGACAATAAAAGGTTTAGAAGATTGCATGAACTTAGCTGATAAAGCAGCAGCAGAGTATTTTCCTTTCATGAAAAAAAAACAGTCAATCAGTGTGGCAAACTTCATTGTTGTCCTGTTTTAAGATATTGCCAAAGCCATTCCAATCTTCAGCAACCACCACCCTGATCAGTCAGCAGCTATCAACGTTGAGGCAAGACCCTCATCCAACAAAAAGACTATGACTTGCTGAAGGTTCGGATGACTGCCAGCATTTTTTAGCAATAAAGCTTTTTTGTTTTTTTGTTTGTTTGGTTTTTGTTTTCTGAGACGGAGTCTTGCTGTGTCACCAAGGCTGCAGTGCAGTAGCACAATCGGCTCACTGCAAGCTCCGCCTCCCAGCTCCAGCGATTCTCCTGCCTCGGCCTCCCAAGTAGCTGGGATTACAAGTGCATGCCACCACAGCTAGTTAATTTTTGTATTTTTAATAGAAATGGGGTTTCACCATATTGGCCAGGCTGGTCTCAAACTCCTGACCTCAAGTGATCCACCCACCTCGGCCTCCCAAAGTATTGGGATTACAGGTATGAGCCACCGTGCTCGACCAATAAAGTGTTTTTTAATGAAAATACGTACATTGGGTTTTTTTGGACACAATGTTATTACACATTTAATAGACTACAGTATAGTGTACACGTAACTTTTATATGCACTGGGAAAACAAAAACTTTATAAGACTCACTGTATTGCGATATTCATTTTATTGTGGTGGTTCTGGAACCAAACATGCAATATCTCCGAGATCTACTTACAACTTTTTAACACGGCATTTTGACACTATACTTTCATTCTAAAGAAAATGAGCTGTAGTTAGATATTTAACATATGACATTTAGTGTATATATTTTAAAAGAGGGAGAGAGGTAAAGAAATAGATTAAGGGTATAGGTGTGCATATGTGTGCATACATACATATTTCTCAGCACTGTATTCTGAGAAATCCTAGAAGTAATCACCTCCCAAAAGCAATGAAAACGTGCCCAGATTTTGACTTCTAACTACAATTTTCATTGAAAAGAACCAGTGCTCTTTGGAGAAATGACTAATTCCAGCCTGGGACCCAGAAAGTATAAGATGAACCATATCTTATTATGGCAGAAAGTAAGGAATTGGTTCAAAAATGATAAGAATGTCAAAAAAAAACCACAGGAGCCAATTTGAAAATGTCTTATGTGTCCAAATCTGGAAAAAATTCAGCAGGAAAATAATTATATTAAATGAAAGCCCATTAAAAAAAATACAAATGCATGAATTCATACTAATATAGAAAATACAGGAAGAGCCTGGGCAACACAGTGAGACTCTGTATCTACAAAATAAAAAAATTTTTTTTTTAATTACTCGGGTGTAGTAGTGCATGCCTGTGGTCCCAGCTACTTGGGAGGCTGAGGTGAGAGTGTTGCTTGAACTCAGGAAGTCAAGGCTGCAGTGAGTCATGTTTGTGCCACTGCACTCCAGCCCAGGTGACAGAGTAAGATTCTGTCTCAAAAAAAAAAAAAAGAAAGAAAGAAAAGAAAAAAAGCTTTTATGTCACAAATCTGATAATCAACTTTGGCAAAAGTCGTCAACGATACTTAAACTAGTGGGTGAATCAGAGATCTACATAGTCCTACAGTATACTATCTCCCCAGAAAATACTTGCTAATTAAAAGGAGAAAAATAGAAACTTTGCAATGCAGAACACTTTCACTGAGTAATCAAAGTTAACATCACCAGTATTAAGACAAATCAAATTCGTGTGTCTCATGATACAATGCACTGAGAAGTAAGCAATATCACTTTTGTATTACAGTATTCCAGCCAAAAATGCATAACCCAAATCTAATCATAAGGAAACATCATGAAACCCAAACTGAGAAGCATTCTACAAAATAACTGGCCTGTATTCTTTTAAAATGTCAAGGACATGAGCAACTACTGCAGATTGAAGAATTAGTCCAGATAAAATGAGACTAAAGAAATATGACAACTAAGTACAGCATGTGATCCTAGACTGGGTACTGAACCCAGATTTTTTTCTTCATTTTATTTTTAAGTTTTTTCTTTTTTAAAATTTCTATTTTAGGTATGAGGGTACATGTGAAGGTTTGTTACATAGATAAACACATGTCACGGAGGTTTGTTGTACATATGATTACATCACTCAGGTATTAAGCTCAGTACCCAATTTTTTCTTTTTTAATTTTTATTTCAAAATTTAAAACGACAGCTCCTCAAAAGTCACTGTTTAAATATTTTTTTAGGCCGGGCTTGGTGACGCACGCCTGTAATCCCAACACTCTGGGGGGCTGAGGCAGGCAGATTGCCTGAGGTCAGGAGTTCGTGACCAGCCTGACCAACATGGTGAAACCCCGTCTCTACTAAAAATACAAAAATTAGCTAGGCGTGGTGGCACACACCTGTAATCCCAGCTACTCAGGAGGCTGAGGCAGGACAATCATTTGAACCCGGGAGGTGGAGGTTGCAGTGAGCCAAGACTGTGCCATTGCACTCCAGCCTGGGCGACAAGAGTGAGACTTCATCTCAAGAAATAATACCAATAATAAATAAAATAAAAATAAATAATTTTTTAAAAAGCAAAAGACTGAGAGAAAGAAAATGTTTGTAAATTACACATCTAATAAGGATGTGTATCCAGATTATATAAAGAACTCTTAAAAAGTAACAATAAGAAAACAAACAACCCAATTTTTCTTAATGGGCAAAAGATTTGAACAGCATTTCACCAAAGATGTATGATGACAAATAAGCACGTGGAATAACACTCCACATCGTTAGTCATTAGAGAAATGAAAATTAAAGCCACAATGAGATACCACTACATACCTATTAGAACTGACAAAATAAAATAGACTGTAAGAAGTGATAGTAAGGATGTGGCGCTGCTAGAACTCTCACACACTGTTAGTGAGAATATAAACTGGATCAATCACTTTGGAAACCATTTGGCAATTTCTTAAAATCTTAAATATACACTTATCATGTGATCCAGCCATTCTACTCCAGAGTGTTTACCCAAGAGAAGCATAAGCCTAAGTTCTTACAAAGACTTGTCTATAAATGTTCACAGTAATTTCATTTGTAACAGCCAACCACTTTCCACTACCTCAACTGATGTGACATCTAGTTCAAGTCACATCATCTCTAGCTTTAAGTATTATACTATCTTCCTACTTCTGTACTGTCCCCAGCCCCAACAGTGTAATCTCAAAATAGCAGCCAGAAGATTTATTTTCTTTTTTTTCTTTTTTTTTATTATTATACTTTAAGTTCTGAGGTACATGTGCAGAACGTGCAGGTTTGTTACATAGGTATACACGTGCCATGGTGGTTTGCTGCACCCATCAGCCTATCATCTACATTAGATATTTCTTCTAATGCTATCCCTCCCCTAGCCCCCCACCCCCCAACAGGCCCCCACGTGTGATGTTCCCCTCCCTGTGTCCATGTGATCTCATTGTTCAACTCCCACTTATGAGTGAGAACATGCGCTGTTTGTTTTTCTGTTCTTGTGTTAGTTTGCTGAGAATGATGGTTTCCAGCTTCATCCATGTCCCTGGAAAGCACATGAACTCATCGTTCTTATAGCTGCATAGTATTCCATGGTGTATATGTGCCAGAAGATTTTCTAAAGCATCAAGTTCTACATGAGTACTTACATGATCTGATCTGCCTTGCTTCGCCCACCCACCTATCTACCGACATCATCCCCTATCACTCTCCTTTACATTCCTCATGCTCAGCCACAGCATCTCACTGCTTTTCCTCAAATACACCAAACACAATCTTTCCCTACGGATTTTGCACTTGCTCTTTCCTCTGCCTGCACTCTCTTTGCCCACATATCCACATAGATGGCTCTGTCACTTCCTTCAGATCTCTGCTCAGATGCCATCTTCTCATTAGGGGTTCTTTTGAAGAATTCTATGTAAAATAGCTAACTTTTCACCACTACCATTGCTCCTTTTGCCCCTTCTTGATTTATTTCTCTGTAGTATTCCGCACCAACTAACATGCTATCTATTTACTTGTTTCTTTTTTTTTTTTTTTTTGAGACAGGGTTTCACTCTCGTTGCCCAGGCTGGAGTGCAATGGCACAATCTCAGCTCACTGCAACCTCCGCCTCCCGCCTCCCAGGTTCAAGCAATTCTCCTGCCTCAGCCTCCCAAGTAGCTGGGATTACAGGCATGCAGCACCACTCCCGGCTAATTTTGTATTTTTAGTAGAGACAGGGTTTCTCCATGTTGGTCAGGCTGGTCTTGAACTCCCAACCTTAGGTGATCCGCCCACCTGTGCTTCCCAAAGTGCTGGGATTACAGGCATGAGCCACCGCGTCCGGCTCTTACTTGTTTCTTTATTGTTTTCTCTTACTATTACTGCAATATAGGCACCATAAGAGTAAAAACTTTGCTTTGTCCACTGCTGTATCTCCCAGCAACTAAAGCAGTACCTGGCATATGAACATTTGATAAATTCTTTTTGATTAAATGCATTAATAAGTGCATTACCTTTAATCTTTTGTTTGACAAATTGATAAATGTTTTCTGACATATTACAAGTAATTTTAAGCGAAAACCCTTTACATTTATTTTGTCTCATATTTGTATGTGCTGTGTTTTAACATGAGTGGTCATTGTCCATTACTTACTTCCCTCCCTCATCCCTCCTCCTATCAGTCCATTCATTTCTAAATGCGACGATGCTCCCTGATCCATATCCTTGTGCTATTCCAAAGTGTTATGCCATTTTCTCTACTTCATTTCTCAAGATTCGTGCTACCTGGGGAGGGAAAGAAGTGTCAGACGCACAGTGCTCAGAATGTACAGTAGGCATTTTTCTAGTAGTTTGGGAAGGAACCAACACTTAAAACATAGAAGAAAGGAGGAAAGAAAAGAACAATGGCTCTTCCTGGCAGCACTATTTTCTTAACCCTGATTCTCTGGTTACTCAGATAGCACATGGCATTTTATACCCGCTGCTTTTATAATGTCTTAGATTATCATGATGATTGAGAGGCATAATTTGATCACCTGCTGTCAATGGTCATGGATGCATATTAGTTATCACAATGTATAACTGAATTAATAGAGCAGAAATTTGTCCCAAATAGCTGCACTGTTGTTTCATCCCCAGTCTCTGATTGCATGCTACTGGTCATTGCTGGTACTTAACTAGCACAATATAAGCTTCTTGCTGTGATGCCATTTTCTCACCCAGTCTGGCTGAGGTAACCTAGTTGCTTACAGAAAGAAAACTGACTCAGGAGTTGCTAACATGCTTTGCTTCTTAAAGAATCGTTATAATATGATCTATGTGAGGGATGTGAGTTGAGTTGAAAACAACCAAAGAACCAAAAATAGGAATAAATCCTGAGAAGGGGGATTTGAAAGCTTTTAGGGACATAAAAGAAGCAAATGTAAGAAATGACAGAGGGAAGATTTTGCTGCGCTTCCAACTGACAGTAGAGATAGAGGAAAGGAAAAGAGGAATACTAAATGGCAAAAGAGCTCACCGTCAGATAGTTATCTCCTCTGCATGGAATGAACAAGGTTGAAATTAAACAGATAGTATTTACAGAAATGACTTAACTGGTAGATATCTTTTAGATCAAACCTCACTACTGGTGAAGATGTAACACCAACTCATTTTCAGGTTTCCCCAACCTTGAGTAACCTCACCATATACCCCTCTGCTATGCTTCCTGACCTAAATACTGCAATTGTCACTGCTTCCTGAAGTGGGTCATAACACTGCATATTCCAAGACTACAAAATGAGGTGTTAGGACCCAATAGATGATTGCCACAGGTCTTTTTAATCCTAAAAAAATATTTTACACAAAACACTTTACACTACCCTTGTACTCACAGATCACCCTGCAAGATATCAGACCCCTATCCAGAGTACCAGAAGGAAAGCTCACTACTTCTTCCCTTTGATTCTCTTCCCTCTTCCTACACAGACTTAATGAAGACATCTGCCTGACAATATTCAGCTTGTCAAATTAGACAAGAAACAGCCAAATCTGCCTTGTCATCTGTGTCCAAAAAAAAAAGAATCTAAAGATGTCAGAAATATATATGCTTTATCTTGCCCTCAGCCCATTCTTGCTAATTATAAAAAAGAACAATGGATGCTAAATGGTTTTACACTTCTCTTAATTTTGATGTTCCCTTATGAAAAATGAATCTTTCTTACCACTGGAGCCCATGAACAGCGTGCACAAACTGGCTCTGATGGAGAGAAAAATTGCCTAAGAGTGGAGAGTAAAAATATGTGGCTTTTTCACTAGCTTGAATGCTTGAACCAATATGCAGAAAACCCTAGCTGCCAGAGAGAAAGATGGAAGTTGGACAGAGAAAAGGTAAAGCAGATGCTCTCAAAGGTTTGAAAAGCAATTCTAAGTTTCCACAAAACTAGAATTAGACCTGCAGATGACACATGTAAAATGCTGACACACCCATATCTGTTCCCCATGTTGCCTCTCTTGTCTTTTTCTCCCATTCAAATTTATTTCCTCTCCTCTCTCCTCCTTTTCTACATCTCAGCACCACCCTATATGTAAAATAAATGACAATGAAAAAAACAAAGAGACTATCTCTTATGCTCACTTCGGAATTCCTTGTTTGTGTATACTATTGTAAATTCTTGTTGGGCAGACATACTGTTATTTAAAATTATTTCCTTGATTATTTCCTCAAAGCCGGAGGCAGTGGCTGACACCTGTAATCCCAGGATCTGAGGAATTGCTTGAGGCCAGGAGTTTAAACCCAGCCGGGGCAACATAGCAAAACCATCTGTACAAAAATCTTAAAGAAAAGAAAAATTAGCTGGGCTTGGTTGGTAGGCTGAAGGGGGAGGATGGTTTGAGCCCAGGAGTTTGAGGCCGCAGCAAGCCATGAAGGCACTACTGAACTCTAGCCTAAACAACAAACCAAGACATTGTCTCAAAAAAAAAAAAAAAAAAAAACCAAATTATTCTTTCCTGTGATTTATAAAGTTCTCTTTAGACTCTCCTTCCCTACAATATTTCAACTGGTGAAAAAGTCAACCAAAAAATATTAGTTCCTTCATGGACGTTGGTCTTTACTGGTTGCCCAATCCATTCACCTTCCGCCAATTTCGTTCTGGGAAAATGCCCCTTCCCCATTGCATGTGGTCGTGGCAAGGAAAGCAATTGCCCGTCTTTGGAAACCAAGTGTTCCAGATCCTTTTTCTGGTAGTCCCAAGGGTCAGTTGTGTGACTTAACTCCAGCCAATCAGTTCTCTCTTTTCTGGGACTGTGAATATTGAGTGAATAATACAAGAATGAAGAAAACATTGTAGAGATGATTTCATTTCAGTGGCAATAAAAGAGAAGAGGTGCGCTAACCAGACAAGTTTTGCCATGAGATGGTTCTGTTCTTCCTGCTTCCTGGTTTTCTAAATCCCCTTTTGCTCCTCTCTGTTCCCAAGCCTTGCCTTGCTGCCTGCTAGCCTGTTATCCCCACGTAAGCAAGCACCATATCCATCCCTTCCCCTACCACCAAGGTCCTAAATAAATGTACTTTGGTTTAAGCTAACGGTAGTCAGTTTCTGTTGATCACAATTAGGGTAACTGATAGAATACTCTAGAGATGAAAGTGAAACTACAAAAGATCATTTGCAAACTATTTTTTATTGCAACAAAAATGCTTGTGAAGGGAAAATTGGTAAGATTTTTGCTATGTGGAGAAATAGACTACACAATTTGTAATGAAACATATTTTAAACAATTTTCCCTTTTAAATAATTTCAGTATGTCCTGGGAAAATGGAAGCCATCAAATTTTAAAAGAAAAATAGGCAGTTAATAATGTAAGGACTGTCCCTCCACTTTAGGACAGAGTTAGGGGGAAGGATATTAATAGAGAATACCAGAGATTTTAAATTTGACAGCGTGAAGCCTGAAAAATTCTAAAATTTATCTAGATTAGGGAGAGTGCTGGATCAAAGATCGAATGACCAGAGTAATGGCAGTGGAGTGAGCAGATGTGACAAGAGGACGTGTCATGAATGGCCCCAATTAATACTCTTGTTGACAGGCAGCTGAGTCATTAAATGACAGTGAACGAAAAACTGTAAATGAGTAGAGAGAACCCATGGGTAGGAGAAGACAACATAAGAAAACCAAATGATACACTTATAGCTTGATAATGGCTCCACTTAGTTAATGCTAGTTATTAATTTTTACTGATAAACTTCAGTATGTAAGTATCACTAACTTTATCAGGAAACTACTTTTCATATATACCTCTGCCATTTTAATTTTTTGATATGATAGGGAGAAAATGCAAAGATGAGGAATTCTGTGTTATAATGTACCATATCATGGGCAACACAGAGCTTGGACTGAATGGGTGACTCGTGTGTGTGTGTGTGTGTGTGTGTGTGTGTGTGTGTGTGTGTGTTGAGCATAAGTATACAGAAAAGCAAGAAGAATGAATGGAAATCTAAGCTTGAATTGCCTGAATCAAGATTCATGCTGGAGAGAAATGAAAACCAACATAAAGATTGTCATTGAGGCTATAAGAAATGATGCATGCTTAAGGAGTACTGGGAATAGAAAAAAAATAGCAGAATTCTGACACAAGAGTTCTGAGAGACAAACACATTAAAGAGAAAGAAGAAGCAGCAAAAAGAATATGAGGGAAACTGGCTGAAGAAGTATCAAGGGAACTAAGAAAATACACTATTCAAGAGAGAGAGATTCAAGGGAAATGCTGCACACATCAAAGAAACTGCTGATAAAGAAAGGGCCTCCAGATTGGGTTCTGCATAAATGCATTATTATAGCATTAGCAACATTTTTCTGATTTTTAATTAAAACACATGTATTACTAAATTTAGTAATATACTAAAAAGCATTTGGAATATACCAAAGATCTATTTTGACATTTTACCACAATATAATTATTTCCAGAGAACAGGGATGTCTATTTTTGTGGCATAAATTACAGTCAAGGACCAGGCGCGGTGGCTCACTCCTGTAATCCCAGCACTTTGGAAGGTTGAGGCGGGTGGATCACTTGAGGTCAGGAGTTCGAGACCAGCCTGACCAACATGATGAAACCCCATCTCTACTAAAAATACAAAATTAGCTGAGCGTGGTGGTGCATGCCTGTAATCCCAGCTACCTGGAAGGCTGAGGCAGGAGAATTGCTTGAATCTGGAAGGTGGAGGTTGCAGTGAGCCAAGATCATACCATTGCACTCCAACCTGGCCAAACAAGAGTGAAACTCCGTCCAAAAAAAAAAAAAATTACATTCAGAGACATGGAGACTGCTAGCACCAAAAAAAAAGTGTGCTTGACTAGCATCAAAGGAACAAAAGAAGTTGAGTCCAGAGTTAATCCCAGCCATAGTTCTACATATTTATGATTTGTTTTGTTACTCTACATGGCAAGAAAGCTACTTTGGAATCAAGCAAGCTTGTTTGAGCTCAGATCAGCTGCTTTCTAGGTGTGTGATCTCACAGTTATTTAATTTCTTCAAGCCTCCGTACCCTCATCTATAAAATGGAGCAAATAATATCTACTTCAGTGAGGGTTGCCTTCCTTAGTGTTCTTAATTATGGCTGATTATATATAAAGTGTTTGATATTGGAGTTATTTTTTAATGCCTGTACCTATCTGGTAAGATTTCAGAAGCTCCAACTTACGGTCAGGCACAGTGGCTCACACCTGTAATCCCAGCACTTTGGGAGGCTGAGGTGGGCAGATCATCTGAGAGGTCAGGAGTTCGAGACCAGCCTGGCCAACATGATGAAACCCTGTCTCTACTAAAAATACAAAAATTAGCCGGGTGTGGTGGCACGTGCCTGTAATCCCAGCTACCCAGGAGGCTGAGGCAGGAGAATCACTGGAACCC
Organism: Homo sapiens; assembly: GCF_000001405.40. NCBI lineage: Eukaryota > Metazoa > Chordata > Mammalia > Primates > Hominidae > Homo > Homo sapiens. The sequence goes on from NC_000012.12 coordinate 19,057,629, forward strand.
GGGAGGCGGAGGCTGCAGTGAGCTGAGATGGCACCACTGCACTCCAACCTGTGCAATAGGGCAATAGAGCGAGACTCCGTCTCAAAAAAAAAGAAAGGAAAAAAAAAAGCTCCAACTTACTTGCCTTCTTTCCTTGTCACCATCAGCATCAACGCCTCCATTCCATACTTAGATTGAAATCCAAACTTCCCACTTTAGATTAAATCCTTTGGCTAAAGAATGTCCTGGTTTAAAAGATTAAAAATACTGAAAGATAACACATTAGGCTTGTCAGTCTGCCCCAATGGATAAGTTTATTTAATTTTTGATTGAGAGTGTATTTTAATGGGGGTAAAAAGTCATTGAAAGTCCTGAATCCGTTTGGAATAGTAGTGTAAGTGTATCATCCTGAGAAGGAAAACAGGGCAAAATGGGGAACCTGGAAGCACAGAAACAAACTTTATCTTCTTTATGGATATCTCCCAGGATCTAACTTAGTTTAGAAAGTGTTATTTCAGGCAGGGTGGAGAGAGAAAAAAAAAAGATCTGTTCAATATTCAACAGTTATGACTTTCTAAAGTGCCATGAGGGTAAAATATAAAAGCTTTTATTAAAATTCAAGCATTCATAATACATTTTTATTTATAGATAGCCTTTATTCCCAAAGCTCTTGGGACTTTGCAGACACGTTACAATTCAACCTCAATTTATCTTCACAAGTATGTCACTAAAGTGTGTAAGGAGTAGGTATAACTCTATTATCTTCAGATTACAGATATAGAAATGAAAGCAGAGACAGATAAAGTAATTTATCTATGGCCTCACTACACGTAAGTGGTTGAGCAGGGAACAAAGCCAGTCATGTAATAGATACCTCTCCTGTCAGATAAGGACATCAGCATCCCATCCCAGCTAGGACCTGCCTTTTTCTGAATCCTTAGTACCAACAAATAGAAGGCTGGGAAGATGGAAGGTCCTATTCAGAGAAATAGAAATTAACAGTTCAGTCTCTGACAAATCATTGCTGATATGGTTGCTGTGGATTTGAGGCTGTGAGGTGAGCCAGAAGTTGAGGCTAGTCTAAAGGGCAGAGCAGTTTCTGGCCATTAGATGAACATCTGTGTGCCCTAAAGCCTGCTCTCCTGCACCTCCCACCATTCCTGCCTTTAGCCAGCTTCAAGCCCAGCGTGGCCGAGCAAGTCACACTGCAACTTCGGCTCAGCTGAATGGGTCCTGAACCCTAACCTAGCCCACCCACCAAATCAGCATTGCACTGCAGCCACTGTCTGTCTCTGAGGTAAAACTGGAGCATACATCACTCTGACACTGAGCCAAATTCTGAGGCAAGACTTTCACTTTGTTTTTCCACCAGTTATTTTCTTTCAAAGGTCATTGTTCAGAAGAAAATAAAGGAGAGCTGGCATGAATATTTTCAGGAAAGGATAATAAACGAGCACTCATTCATTATTTTTGTTTATAAAAATCTACTTTCCTTTCTTGAGAAAAATGAAATAAGATGGTAGAATAATTACTAAAATTGGATGTTTAACAATAAATGGTTAAGATCACTTATCTTAGGTAAAGATATGTAAAGATGTATAAAGCCTTAAGCCAAAGTTATTGCTTACGATTGTGACAAACTTGAATTTAGGTGAAAAAAAACTGGATTCAAAAATGTATGGTTGGCTTAGATACAAACTTCTCACTGTGATGCTTGAAGCAAACCAAAATAAAGCCCTCCCTCTATTTTCATAGTCTCCTTTTTTCTATTCCCCAAAGTAGACCTCTCAATATAATTAAATCGTATTATTTCCTCTTCCAAAATATGTTTTACATTTTCTTTTATCTTTGTTAGAATGTTGCTACTGCTTAAAATGTACTTCCCTTCCATCCCAATTAATAATGATAAAAGATTTTATTCATCAGGAAGTTGTAACAACTCTAAATTTATATGTGTCTAATGCTATGACCTCAAAAAGAGTAGTTCATTTCAGGACTATAAAAAGAAATTTGTGAATCCACAATAAAAGAGGCAGATTTTTAACACAACTCTTACTAACCAATAGAATAAAAAGACAAAAAATCAGTAAGGATGTAGAAGATTTGAATAACAGCATAGCAAACTTGTTCTTTTCTGCTACACACAGAATATAGTATTTATTAAAACTGGGTTCTCAAGAAGCTAAAAAAAGAAAAGGAAATTAAACCACAAATGTAAACTAAGGAAATATTAAAGCTAAGAGCAGAAACTGGGTTCTGTCACATATCCTTGTGTTTTGGTTGTTGTTGTTCTGTTTTTAATAACTCTTTCAAAATATAAAAACCGTTCTTAGCTCACTGGCCCAAACAAAAACAGGCCATGGGCCAGGTTGACCTGAGAACTATAGTTTGCCCACTCCTGCTTTAGATCATACAGACATTAAAATGATCATAACAAGATATTACAGGCCGGACACAGTGGCTCATGCCTGTAATCCCAGCACTTTGGGAGGCCAAGGCAGGAGGATTACTTCAACACAAGAGTTCAAGACCAGCCTGGGCAGCATAGTGAGACTCATCTCTACAAAAGAAAAAAGAATATATTATTTTTAAAATTTCATGTCAATAAATTTTAAAATTTAGATGACATGGCTGGGCACAGTGGCTAAAGCCCGAAATCCAGCACTTTGGAAGGCCAAAGCGGGCAGATCACTTGAGGCCAGGAGTTTGAAACCAGCCTGGGCAACCTGGCAAAACCCCGTCTCTACTAAAAATACAAAAATTAGCTGGGCATGGTGGTGCACACCTGTAATCCCAGTTAGTTGGGAGGCTGAGGCACAAGAATCGCTTGAACCCAGGGGACAGAGGTTTCCATGAGCTGAGATCATGCCACTGCACTCCAGCCTGGGCAACAGAGTGAGACTCTGTCTCAAAAATAAATAAATAAAATAAAATTTAGATGACATGGACAAAGCACAAGCTACCAAAACTAAGACAAGAATAAAAAGTCTAAATGGCCTGTTAAAGATACTGGATTCTCAATTTAATTCCTTCCCACAGAGAAAATGACAGGCCCAGATGGTTTGCTGGTAAATGCTACCAAACGTTTAAACAGACTTTTCTAGAGAACAGCAAATGAGGCACTATTTCTCTTTATTTTTGAAGTTATTATGTTAATGTTGATATCAAACCATGACAAAAATGCTTCAAGAAAGAAAAAGTCTGAGTCAGTATCACTCAGAGCACAAATTGAAAAAATCCTAAACAAAATTCTAACATCAAATTTAGCAAAATATAAAAATCTGAGTTCATTCCAAGAGTGCAAGATTGGTCAAAGATTTAAAAATCAGTCAGTTCAATTTATCACATTAGTGGAAAAGAGAAAATTCATATGATCATTTAAATAAATAAAGAAAATACTGTGATAAAATTCAAAATCTATTCATTATAAAAATTCTCATCAAACTAGGAATACAAGGTAATCTTCTTATTTTGTTAAAGAGTACGAAAAGGAAAGATACAGCAAGCATTATTCTTAGCGGTGAAACGGTGTAAGCTTTCTACTGAGATCTGGAAAAAGATGGGTATGTCTGTCGTTACCACTTCCTTTCAACATTGGAAGAAGGTAGCCACCAGTACAGAAAGGGAGCCCAGCTAATACAGAAAAACAAAAGGGAAAGAAAATGAGGAATGGGAAATGGGGGGAAAGACTGGAAAGAAAGAAATAAGAAATAAAACCCAGATGATATGTGCATGTGTTCATAGAAGTGTCAAAAGAATGACAGAAAATTAGCATTAACAAGACAGTTCATCAAAATTGCTACACAAGTAAATAAATGCATTCCTTTTCCTACTTCAGGTCAGGAAGAATATTCTCCTGTTATGTTCTAGAAGCTCCAGAGGCTCCTAAATATATTACTTTATGGCAACAATAAACAGAAAATAAAATTTTTAAATGATACTATTTATTATAAACCAAAAATGTTAAATTATTAAATATTAAATCTAACAAAAGACATATAAGACCTCTATACAGAAAACTATGAAACATTGAAAGACCTTAAAGACTAAAACAAAAGGAGAGACACACCATGTTCATGAGTTTGAAGACTCAATAATGTAATGTCAATTTTCTTCAAACTGCTGTATAGAGTCAGTACAATCCCAGCTAAAATCTTAACCCATTTTTAAATTTGTTTTATATGTGTGTGTTTACATATATTATGTGTGTGTTTATATTTATGTGTTTGTGTATTTGTCTTGTTGTTGTTTTCATGGAATTGGAAAAGCTGGTCCTAAAATGAAAATGCATCAAAATGCAATTGGACCAGTCCGGTACCAAAATGGAAATATATGGAAATGCAATAGACTCAGAATAGTGAGGATACTCTCGAAGAAGAACATGATGCGAGGACTTACTCTACAGGACATTGATACACCCTACATGTAAAAATAATTAACACAATATGGTATTGATTAAAGGACAGACAATAAAACAATGAAATGAAAACAAAATTCCAGAAATAGACCTGTTCATATCTAGATCCTGAATTACAATTAACATGGCACTTCAGAATAGCAGGGAAAGCATAACTTTACAATAAATGTTGCTGACAACATTGGAAATCCCCATAGGTGAAAAAAAAAATGGACTCTAAACTTAATCACATGCCATTCAGAGAAAACAATGCCAGAGAGATTGCAAATTTAAGTGTGAAAAAACAAAATTCTGAAGCTTCTAGAAGATGTTAGTAGAATTTCTTCATGACCTAGATAGAATTGGAAAAGACTTCATAAACAGGGCACCAAAAGCAAAATCATAAAAAGAAAGACTAATTAAAGTTACTATATCAAGTTTATTGAGACATCAATAAGAGAGTAAAAAGTAAGCCATGAGTAGGAGACAATATTTTTAATATACATAAACAATTCTACAAACCAATAATAATAAAGGTGAACAACCAAATGGAAAAATGTGCAAGAGATTTGAACAGCCAACTCACAAAAGATGATATCCAAATAGTCAATGAATGTATGAACATGTGAAAGGTACTGAACTCATTGGTTAATGTAAACTCAGGGAAAATGTAAACTAAAAGTAGATAAAGTACCACTACAAACCCATCAGTGTGGCCAAAACTTAAGACTGAAAATACCAATCATTGAGGCATTCACTATTGTTTAGCATATAAAATTAATGCAATCTGCTTAGCAGAGTCTGGCAGTGTCTAAGGATTGAATACAAGCACACTGTAGATCTAGCACTTCCCCTCCTAGGAACAGATATAACAGAAATGTGTACATATGTGCACCAAGCGCCATGTAGAAGCACGTTCTTAGCGGTATTATTTGTTTTTGCCTCAAACTAAAAATACCCAAATGCCCATTAACAGTAAAATTGATAAATGAATTGTAGCTGTAATTCTATAATGGAAGATTAAAAAATACTGAAAAATAAAAATTACAGTTAAAATAAAATCCTGAGTAAATTTCACAAATATGACGAGCAAAAGAAACCAGCCATGAAAGCATTTATATTGTGTAATTTCTCACTATATAATTCAAAACAGACAAAACTAAACTATAGAGTTTAGCAACACATGCCTAGAGATAAATCTATAAAGCAAGCCAGAAGATGATTACAATAACAGCCAAGGGAAGATGAAGGGAACGTAAGTTGGATTTCTGGGGTGCTGGCAGGATTTTGTTTTACTTTTATTTTACATTTGGGGGGTACATGTGAAGGTTTGTTACATAGGTAAACACCTGTTGTGAGGGTTTGTTGTACATATTATTTCATCACCCAGGTATTAAGCTTAGTACCCAAGAGTGATCTTTTCTGCTCCTCTCCCTCCTCTCACCCTCCTCCCTCAAGTAGACCTCAGTGTCTATTGTTTTCTTCTTTGTGTTCATGAGTTCTTATCATTTAGCTCCCACTTATAAGTGAGAACATGTGGTATTTGGTTCTCTGTTTCTGTGTTAGTTTGCTAAGGGTAATAGCCTCCAGCTCCACCCATCTTCTCACAAAACACATGATCTTGTTCTTTTTTTGTTTCCTTTTTGAGACGGAGTCTTGCTCTGTCACCCAGGCTAGAGTGCAGTGGCGCGATCTCGGCCCACTGCAACCTCCACTTACTTCCAGGTTCAGGCAATTCTCCTGCCTCAGCCTCCCAAGTAGCTGGGACTACAGGCATGCACCACTATGCCCAGCTAATTTTTGTATTTCTAGTAGAGACGGGGTTTCACTATGTTGGCCAGGATGGTCTCGCTCTCTTGACCTCGTGATTTGCCTGCCTCAGCCTCCCAAAGTGGATCTTGTTCTTTTTATGGCTGCATAGTATTCCATGGTGTATATGTACCACATTTTTCTTTATCCAATCTGTCGTTGATGGGCATTTAGGTTGAGTCCATGTCTTTCCTATTGTGAATAGCGCTGCAATGAAGATTTTATTTCTTGATCTGGGTGGTGGTTACATGCCTTATGATAAATTATTAGGCCATACGTTTTTGGTTTTTTGGTTTTGTTTTTTTTTTTTTTTCAGACGGAGTCTCACTCTGTCGCCCATGCTGGAGTGCAGTGGCATGATCTCAGCTCACTGCAACCTCTGCCTCCCGGGTTCAAGTGATTCTCCTGCCTCAGCCTTCCAAGTAGCTAGGATTACAGGCACCTGCCACCACGCCCGGCTAATTTTTGTATTTTTAGTAGAGGCGGGGTTTCACCGTGTTGGCCAGGCTGGTCTCAAACTCCTGACCTCAAATGATCCACCCACCTCGGCCTCCCAAAAAGTGCTGGGATTATAGGCATGAGCCACTGCACTTGGCCTGTATATGTTTTAATTGCAAAATTTAAAAGCTTTTTTAAAAACCTTCAACATGAACCTGTTGGTGGTATCCAGTGATACTGCTACTTGCGGCAAATGGCCTGTTAAATTCAGTCCTGGCCTTTGCATTGTGCTTTCAGTAACCATATATGAAAGCCCAACACAGCAATTCTTACTGAAGCTATCATCTCACTATTTAAATGAAAGACTTTAGAATTTTTCTTTTTATGCAAAATGAATTGTAAGGATTTTCAGAAGAGAAAGAACAGCAAACATCTCAAACCACATGTAGTTTTAATTAAAACTCTCCTAGTAGAAAAAAAAAACGTTATCATCAGCTGCTGTATGTACCCTCTAGGACCTCCATAGGAGTGCTCTGCTTTCCTTAGGAGAACTGTCAATATGCACACACACTTGAAACAGATGAGAGACTTAGCAGCAAAGATCCTCATCCTGTGTGGTAGCCCATCACAGGAAGGGGCAATGGAGCCCAGTGAGTTCTCTCTTCACCATGGAGCTGCCTGCCACCCAAGACAGGCATTTAACGTGTTGGCTCTGGCAACCCTCACTTCCCTTGTCATTCCAATTAAGCTATTAAAATCAATGCAGAAGTCTTAGCTACTTGGGAGGCTGAGGAGGAAGAAGCATTTAGCCCAGGAGTTCAAGACCATCCTGGGCAACTTAGAGAGGCCCTGTCTCTACAAAAAGAAAAAAAAAAGGGGTTTTTTTTTAATTAGCCAGGAGTGATGATAAATTATTAGGCCACTACAGGCCTGTAGTCTGAGCTACTGGAGAGGCTGAGGCAGGAGGATCACTTGAGCCCAGGAGTTTGCTGCAGTAAGCTTTGATAGTGCCACTGCACTCCAGTCTGGGTGACAGGGTAAGATGCAGTCATTAAATAAATAAATAAGTAGAAGTACTTAAAGCTAAAGTGTTACAGTAGATGTTCTTAAAGGGGTCAGAAATTTGTACCCTGACTTCTTAGCAAGATGCTTTTCCACTTTGTTAACCTCAAAAAGAAAAAAGTCTAAAGGTCACACCTATATTCCGTGGCTTCATTGATTTCTTCAGTTTCTTTTCCACTAGGTGAATGTTTACCCTCTCGATATTTTTTTAAAATTTCTATTTGATATGAGAGAGTAAAAGTTTACACTTTAAAATCCTCTCCACTCACCTTCACCCTCCCCCAACCAAACCTCAGCTTTTCCTGGACCAAAATCTCAACTAGTGTCCACAGACATGGATACATACCTAGAGCAAAATAAATCAAATGGGAATTTTAATGCACTCAATACAGTTGAGCTAAAAGTCACTTATTTTATGAAGAAAAGATAACAACCTTTCTTATGCTAGAGCACACTCGCTTCTTGAACAAAGTTCAGTGGTTAAAGCTGGTGGGGAAACGACCTATTTCGGATGACAGATAAATAAATTCCAGGTTAAATACTAGAGAAATATCTTAATGAAGATTTTTTCAGACTAGAGCAACCTCCTGAGGGAAACAGTTTGAAGTGACATCATTTGAGACATTTAAATTATAGTGGATAAAGTACTCAAACCCACCACAAAGAAACACTCTTTGTAGAACTCATGGGAAAATTACTGGGATTTATAATAGGCCTTTTCTATGAGGAGGTAAGCCTGCCTACGAGGCAGACCTGCTATTGAATAAATGTTATTTTAAATGGAGTGTGGCTGTATTGTAACTCAGTTCCTCCTTCTATGGAGAAGAGCATGAATGGGTAGGTTAGCCAAAAAATTAATAGGTTTTTTCTTTTTAAAGCAGTAGATTTCTTCACAAAGCCTACCTAATTATGTGAGTTTTTCCTCAAGAATGACATGCTTCAATGCTCATTTTCTTTCAACTATTTTTTTAAATGTTATCTACCCCAGGACTTCCAACCCCCTTTCTCTAACAAATCAGCATGTAGCAGAGAAGTTCTGAACTAACACAGCTTTGAATGTCAAATGTTTAAATTTGAATGTTCTGCCTTTTCGATAAAATGAATTTAACAGTGACCCTCCAAGGATTTTCCACTTCCAGTCTTACCCAGAACAGCCCTCATTAAGCATGTAGCACTCCACAAAGAGTAAATCATTTATTTGGAATCAGCCCTTATGAGCTAGAAAAACTACCTTTCAGAAAGCCTTCATTTCAAAGGACAATTGCCATATTCTGTAAGCCTATTGATTTTTCTTCACTGTTGGAATGAAGAATGTAAACAGAATTGCATATTTACTCATTGCCTTTTCTGATACCTTTGCTCTGAGAGCTCAACACTTCTGTCCCACGTGTATGAAAGGCTGCTCTTTCCAGAGCTGGTCCGTGTGAGATGATTAATGAATGGCCAGACAAAATTCTGATTAATGCTCCACTATTAAGATTTGCCTTTACTTCAAGAGCTTTTTATAAGTTCATAGTTTTGACCCCACAAACCTTTCTCCCCTCCCCCCCCCGCTTGGTAATTGCTAAAGTTTGACAGCCACTGTGTTTGCTGCCTGTAACATATGGCTAATTGAATCAGAGTTGGGGAAAGAACCAGTAGATTCCTAATTATGATCCACTCCACAGATCTGAAGCCTGAATAAGCAGGAAACAAGGAAAAGGCTGCAGAGCCTAGAAAACCTATTATAGCGGTGATTGTAGCAGGATGCAAACATTTCTAAAACTGACTGAATATCATTTATTTAGAAAGCGTAGTTTGCTTTCTGTCTTTTAATTACACAAAGCAAAGAAAGATTAGAGAGAGATTTGCTTTTATCTGTGTGATTTTTGCACGTCTGGACACTGGACACCTCATATTCTCATAATCATATTTTAGTAGACATTTGCATTTCTAATAAGGCAAACACGCTGGATTTTCATCTTATAGGTTCTTCTCCATCCTCAACACTCCAGTTATGAAGACACATGTATATATTTTTAAATGCGTGTTTCAATTTCAAATGAATTTTTCTACAGCAGTTAATGGTAACATATGTCCTCTGAATTGCTTCCCCCGGGGTGAAGAGTAAGGCAATAAATGAAATATTCATCGAATATTGCTGCTGAACATTTAACTAACAATGCAAGGCACATTACTAGGTGTCAGAAGGGTAGGCACACGATAAAACACAGCTTTTCCATTTGTTTTCAGTGCTTGGGGAAGTAAGCAAGATGAACAGTAGCAGTATAATGTGAGATAGGTCATGGTCTATACATAAGGAATATGTTATTTGATTAATGCCTTCCATTAGACTATAAATGAAACCTAGCACAGTGACACAAAATAGGTTTCAATAAATATTAATTATGAATGAATAAAGGAAGGAGGGAATATAATATACAGTTGTATTGGACTTTTGAGAGAAATCACTTCTGATTATGGGATTCTAGAGAGACTTTCTTAAGAAAGATTTTGGTTTCAGTCTTAAACTAATGGATAAACTTATAGTAGGTATGACGTGGGTCACTCTACTGAGATGACTCAAGCATAGGCAAAAAAGTAAGATACAGGATATATTTGGGTGGCACAATTAATCTAGTTTGTTTAAGAAAGTCATCTATAATACTTGACATTTTTTCAGCATGTTATAAATTTTATAAAGATACGTGAAAAAGAGTAGTGGGAGACAGACCTAGAAAGGTAAATTGGGAACAGATCTTGGATAACCTTGATTACAGGTTAATGATCATGACAACCATCAATGTCTGTGGGTTAATTCAACTTGTAACCATTTATTCGTAACAGGAAATGTTCTCTTCTCTGAAGTCTTTCAAGAACTCATATACTGAAATTAACATATTATAGTAGTAAAGATAAAGTAATGGCTGTCCCTGGAATCCGTTCTCAGGATCAACTTGGAAGGTAGTAGAGCTGGATAATTCCACTGAGAATTGACATCCATATTAGAAACTTCAGTCCCTCTCCCTTTTTCCTTTTGGCAGCTTGCCAGCTGTAACTAAAAATAACTCAGAACTTTAATTTAAGAGATAATATCTATGGTGTCTTTGTTAACAATCATATTTTTATTGTAAGAACTTAGAAGAAGGAATAAAATATCTCATTGAAAGGCTAGGTAGTGACAAGAATGTAGTTTCTTTGGAATTTGTGGCAAAGACTATCAATTGTTTACACCAACAGCTGTTCTTCTCTAATAGTATATTAACATTATAAAATCCATTATTTTTGACAGCAAATATAGATACCTGGAGAATTCCAAGAATACAGTCTAAGTTTCTAACTTTCCTTGCTAGTGTAATTATGTGAATAATTTCTGGCCAATAAGACAAGCAAAAGAATTGTGTGCAACTTCTGGGAAGAGAAGAGATGTGACTTCCTTCATCTTGTTCTTCACCTTGCTGTCTGGAATATGAACTTGATGGCTGGAACTTGAGCAGCCTTCTTGGATCAGAAGGCGGCCTGGGAATAGGAATAGAGCTGAAGAGAAGCCGCTGCATTCTTGAAAATTATAAAGATGCCATGCCATTTCAGCTTGCTTTCCTGTGGACTTCATTTATATGTATGAAATAAAAGTTTATATTGTTTAAGCTCCTGTGGGTTTTCTGTCACTTGCAACTAAATACAAACTTATATAATTTGAAATGTTAAGAAATTAAAGAATTTTTAGGAATAATAGCAATATATAAAGCATCTTACAGTAAATTAGATTGTTGCTAAGGAAATGTTCATTCTTCCCCTTTCCATAGAAGGAACACACTTCCCTACTGATGGATTTAGCCATGTGACTTCCTTTAACCAATAAGATGTTAGCATACATGATGAGAGCCAAGGCTAGAATGTGTCTGTGTGATTGAGTTTGCCTCCTGCACTCCTTCTTATTGCTATGAAAAGAACTTCTGCTGGATAGCTATTACTTTGTAGACCAAGTCCCAAAAGGAATATTCATGAAGGAGACTCAAGCCCAACCCTCAGCCAGAGCTTGAAGAAGCTGAACTAGAACTGACACACAAATGAATGAACAAGAAATAAATACTTATGGTTTTATGTCACTAGATTTTGTGATTGTTTGTCATCCAGCACTAACTGACTAATGTACATCCTCTACAGCGTCTGTTTAAATTTGTCAGGATTTTAGGCATTGAGAACTACAGGCTATGGTTTTCAACCCAAAAATCATCACTACAATTCACTATAGCATTAAACCAGCAGATTACCAACATTTTAGTACCACTAAAGTGACTTAAAGATACGAATACTTGGTTGGGCACGGTGGCTCATGCCTGTAACCCTAGCACTTTGGGAGGCCAAGGCAGGTGGATCACCTGATGTCAGGAGTTTGAGACCAGCCTGGCCAACGTGGTGAAATCCCGTCTGTACTAAAAATACAAAGATTAGCCGGGCATGGTGGCATGTGCCTGTAGCCTCAGGAGGCTGAGGCAGGAGAATGACTTGAACCTGGGAGGCGGAGGTTGCAGTGAGCTGAGATCACGCCACTGTACTCCAGCCTGGGCAACAGAGTGAGACTCTGTCTTAAAAAAAATTACAAATGCTTAATTCATATTTACACTACGATATGACTCTATGTAATTAAGATCAAAAGCCAAGTTATTTCTATGCTCAGTGGCTTTTACAGTTTTAAATAGAACTCATAGACTCAATTTGTCTGGAAGTGTGACAGTATCACAACCAACTGCCTTTGCCACGAGTACCAGAGCATTTGAAGATTTCCTTTTATGTTTATAAACTGAAGGAAAGTAATTTCCTTACACCATTTATTCTTGATCTCTCTCATTCATTGCAACTGACATGCCAATCATTCCTGTTGAGGACATTAATAAATGACAATAAAAGAGGTACAAATAATTGCAAGATAGGCAATCCTCAAGAGGTTTTTTCTTTCTTTTTTTTTGTTTTTTGTTTAATTATTTTGCCCAAAAAACTCTCCAGCCTTAGAATCTAATATTTTAAATTATCTTTTGGGGCTATTTGCTTAGCCACCTGAGAAAGCTGTTATCTCCTAATCTTCCTAAATAAAACTCTTCTTTATTTGTTCAATTCTCCTCCTACTTCTCCCCCAGCCCCATCACTGCATGCATGTAGACATATTTTTCCTCTAGTTTGGTTTTGCTTGCTAACCGTGGCCCCAGACACTTGGCTGTGGACCCACAGGGCTAACAGGTGTCCATAGACCTCTCCATGAGCTCACCCTTTGTTAGCTGCATGCTTGGGCTTCTTGGGCTTTTCTGCAGTCTTTGACTTGTCACCCATGTAACAGATGCACTAGACTCTCCATCACTCTCATTACCCCTTCCAAAAACTTCCAAACTTCCAAAAACTTCCAAAACCCCTTCTAAAAACTTCCAAAACTTCACTTCACCACATTCTTTCTTTTTACTTTTCTTTCTTTCTTTCTTTCTTTCTTTCTTTCTTTTTTAAGATAGAGTCTGGCTCTGTCGCCCAGGCTGGAGCACAGTGGCACGATCTCAGCTCACTGCAACCTCTGCCTCCCAGGTTCCAGCAATTCTCCTGCCTCAGCCTCCTGAGTAGCTGGGATTACAGGCGCATGCCGCCACACTCAGATAATTTTTTGTATTTTAGTAGGGATGGGGTTTCACCATGTTGCCCAGGCTGGTCTTGAACTCCTGAGCTCAGGCAATCCACTCGCCTCAGCCTCCCAAAGTGCTAGGATTGCAGGTGTGAGCCACCATGCCCGGCTGTTCTTTCTTTTTCCTCTAATAAATCCAAGCTCCTTCCCTTTTCTATAATATATCTCTTGTATCAGTAATACTTATAATGGCTCTTGATTCCCTAACCAAACCATTTGTTTTTATGCCATTTACTTTCCACGATATCCTGTTCTCCTCCCACAACCACATCATTCACTACTGCCAAATGGTACTCAAAAGCAGACCCTTCTGAGCTTTTGTGCATAAAAAGGCATATAACATGCCAGGCTCAGTGGCTCATGCCTGTAATTCCAGCACTTTGGGAGGCAAAGGCAAGAGGATCTCTTGAGCCCAGGAGTTAAAGACCAGCCTGGGCAATCTAGTGAAACCCCATCTCTACAAAAAGCTTAAAAATTAGCCAAGTATAGTGGTATAAGCCTGTAGTCCCAGCTACTTAAAAGGCTGAGGCTGAGGCTTGAACCCAGGGGATGAGGCTGCAGTGGGCTATGATCACATCACTGCACTCCAGCCTGGCCAATAAAGCAAGACCCTGCCTAAAAAAAAAAAAAAAAGGAAGGCATATAACAGCAGAGAAAGAAGTCGTCTTGGGTTTTTTGTCTCAGTAGCCTAAACCCACAGTTTGCTAGGGGCTTTCATGAACAGGCGTGTTGTGAGATATTTAAATTTTTGAATTATCGGACACCACACAAACTACCACTATTAAGTTTTTGAACCTATTTAATAAATGAAATATTAGGATTTTAGCATTTTGTTTGTTTACTTGCTGTTTCTTTCTTTCTTTGCCTTAGTTTAAGGATTCTATGAAAAAATTGACATAGTAAGGACACTATGAGACTGGAAAGGCAGGGAACCTCTGTAGAATAGTAAGGACTCATGGCACAGAAAAAATTTAGGAGAAAACATAGAGTAAGAGCAAGGCTTGCCCTTCACCTAGGCCCCTGACTACCACAAGATTCCTTGGCATGGAGAGATGGAGAAAACAAAGGGAGGAATGAGTGGACCCAGAAGAGAGGAACCCAGTACTCTTTTCCTAGAGCCCAGCTCCTTTGACATAAAAAAAAAAAAAAGTATACCTATGAAACAAACCTGCATGTTCTGCACATGTAACCCAGAACTTAAAGTATAATGATAATTTAAAAAAAAAAAACCCAGATAAATATGTTGGATCTTAGAGCAAAGGAGACTTGAGCCCTATTTTCTGAGTAGCTTCTTAGAAATTGGCAAGAGAGGGTCTTAACAGCCTCCTCAGAGCTTTACAAATATCAGCAAGACATGGGAGTAGAATGTGACTCCCAAGATCCCTAGAAAGGCATGAAAGTAGCTGAGAGCCCAGAGGATTTCATTCAGACGGGAATGAAGAATGCACCCATGACAATGTACACTGTGTTGGTCAGCTTTGGCTGCCATAACAAAATACCATAGACTGGGTGGCTTAAACAATAAGAATTCATTTCTCACAGTTCTGGAGCCTTGAAGTCCAAGATCAAGATGCCAGCAGGGTCAGTATCTGGTGAGGGTTCTCTCCTTGGGTTGGGAATGGCCACCTTCTCACTACATCTTCACATGGTGGAGAGAGAAAGAGAGTGAGCTTCAGTTTCTCTTATTCTTCTCGTAAGGACATTAACCCATCATGGGGCCCACTCTCATAACATCATCTAAATCTAATTACCTCCCAAAGGCTCCACCTCTAAATACCATCACATTGGGTTAGGGCTTCAGCATGAGAATTTGAGGATAACACAAATATTCAATTCATAACATACATGGACAAGACGGGACAATAGGTGTCTAGAGATGCATGTGTGATCAAATGTCCTCTTCAGCTGTGAAGGCTTAGAACTAAGTAAGCACGCCAGGTCTTAAATGCAATCCAAGGAAAGGGAGGTAAAAGAAATGGGGAAACTGACCACAATTAAGTCTCCACCATGCTGGAGGAGTGGGTGTTCAAATAGAAATTAAATTGGGTTATTGAAAAATAAACATACATTTCTTACATAATTTCTTCTGTGGACTGAGATTTAAATGAGCCATAAATGCTCATAAAATGGAAGTGATTTTACCACTATTGGGGCAGGTGCCATTTTCAAATGATTCTGCTTTCCTTTCTAAGACAAATGCCCTGTCTAAGCACAAAGAAAAATGTTTTTGATACCCTTGATAGAGATTGTGACTCAAAATTCACCATGCCCACTGCAACACATTTTGTAAATATTAGAGCTAGAAGGAAACACTAAGAATATTTGTTTGGTGGTTTTCAAGATTTTTAAGCTCAAATACTATCTCCCAAATAGAATATTCCAAATAGAATATTATTAGAGACCCCAAGGTATAAAATGGATTAAAAGTGGTATAATGTTAGCAAAATTTTATCCTTAATTCAAATGTATAATATGTATTAATTATACAAGTGATCAATGATAATAGAGCTGTTTTATAAATGCAAAGAAATTGAAAATTAGAAGTTATTAGTGTGAACTATAGTCTTAAATTAGACATGTAGTCTTAAACCAGACAGGATGCCCAGTTTATTTCTGTATTTTGTATTCTCCATTTCTGTTGCCTGATTCACAAGATAAATAGTTGGAAGTGGTAATAATTTTCTAATAGCTTACCTTGTTGTCTCAGATTACTCTTCAGTGTTCTATTATCTATTACAATGTAGCAAACCACCTTAAAACTTAGTGGCTTAAAATGACAATTTCTGAAATTCAGGAATTGAGGCAAAATCTGGCTGGTTGATTCTTTTGGTCAATGTGGCTGTTAACCGGAGTCACTCTTCAGTGGTACTCAACTGACAGATGACCTGGTCTGGGGTGGTCAACGTGACCATACTCACATGCCTGATGCTTTAGTGGGCACAGGTAGTAGGTAGGCTCAGCTAGGCCTGTCTCCCTCTCCATACAGACTCAGAGCCTCTCCATGAACTCATTCCAGCAGGGACTAAACTTTCTTGCATGGTGGCTCAGGGGTCCAAGAGTAGGTGTTTCAGGAGGCGTAGGCAGAAGCTCCAAGTCTTCTTATAACCTAGCTTCAGAAGCTCCAAAGATATTTTTCAACATATTCTATTACTTAAACAAGTCACTAAGGCCTGCCTAGGTTCAACTATCCCGGAGTTGAGCAAATTGATGGTGGCCCGCTTAAAGACAAGTTAACACATCTGAGGAAAGCAAAAAAGGCATTTGAAAGAAAAATGACATTTCAATATTTAATAAGTAATATTATCCACAAACATTAACTTATGTGTTCAGTGTGGAGATAATCAGTAAACAGATTTTTCAGGCTGCCATTGTTTGGTGGAAAAATAACTTTCAAACATATATTATTAAATTATGGCATGTTAAGTGATTTCTTTTCTAAAATCCCACATGCCTGAGGAATCATTTTGTCAGATATTTTCTGAAATTTTCAAAAAAAATGAGATTTATGTTAGTTTGTATATTGAGTCTAAAGTTTGTTTTCATTTCTTTACTGGCACTTTAATTTATAGCTGTAACTCATTTTGGACCTTGAATTCCAAACAAACATAAGCTTGTTCAGGTTCTAGAACTAAGTGCGCATATCACTACAAATTATCCTGAAAAGCCTACGATTGAAAGTTTAAGCTTTAATAAAACTGAAATTTGTATGGCATTATCTAATACTGTGTGCAAAGATGTGAGAATCTTTATAATCGCTAGTGCTTGTCTTATACCTCACATGATGAGTAATTAAATACATCTTGGCAACAACTTTTCCATAAGCCACCAATCCTTTGGTGCTTTTCCCCTCTACCACTGCCCTTACACAATCATTGAAGACATTCCTACATTAGTAGTATTTGCAAACTGATTTTAACTGTTATCATTGCTTTCTGGTTACCATGAGTCATCTGTTTAACAGACCTTCTTCATATCTGCTTACCGGAATATACCATAAACTAAGCGAAAATAAAAAGCATTTGCAGTATCATCAGTTGCAGTATCATCGGTTGTGCTTAAGAAGACATATAACATGCCAGGCTCAGTGGCTCATGCCTGATGTAAAGGTTTCAGGCATGAAATCTTTGTAAAGATTTCATATCATCTCAGCTTTCTGACCAGGACCTCAAGTTCTTTAGATGCATTCTTAAATCCTCTTTAGAGTGTGTTATCAGACAATGTTACTGACCTGCACCCGTGTTTGTTACTATGTCGTATCAGTTATCTATTGCTGTATAACAATCCACCCCCAAAGATCAGTGACTTAAGAAGGCAACTTATTATTTTTAATAATTTTGTGGGTTAGCTGAGCTGTTCTTCTGCTAGTTTTGCCTGAGATTACTCCTGTGTTTGCATTGATCAGGTGGCTTGCCTGGGGCCGGAGGATCTAAAATGGATTCACACATATGTCTTGGGCCTTGTTGCTGGCTGTTAGCTACGCCATTCTTTCTGCATGGTTTCTCATCATTCAGTAGCTAGGTGGCTTTACATGGTGATCAAAGCATTCCAAGAAGGAAAGGCAGGCGCTCCACTGAAGGTCTAGTGTCTACGCAATGTAACTTCAGCAACGTACTATTAGTCGCAGCAAATTACAAGGCAAGACCAGATTCAAGGAGTGGGAAAATAGACTCCACCTCTTGAAGGGAGGAGCTGCAAGATATTGATGAAAGAATCTGGAATCCTTATTTTTAGATTCACAAAATTTTATTTCAAAATGGTGTTATAACTTGCCACAGAACAGAAGTATCCTGCAAAGCAATCACATTGGAGATTCGGTCATTCTTCCTATCACAAAAGCAAATCCCAAAAGTAAATAATGCTTTCTTAAAAATTACTATGCCTTTACATTTTCATTTTCTTCCTGATACTTTAATCTGTAGCTGTAATCCACTGGGACCCTGAATTGCCAAACAAAAGTAAACTTGCATCACAGTGACTTTGAAGAGAATTTTCTGCATATGGCTTTCATTTTGCATACCCCTGTCAGTTTGGTCGATAAAATTTAAAGACACATTTAGTACTTTATAGTATGACTGGTTTTATCCTGGGCTTGATCAATACAGCATGTCTCTCTTAAAGTGTAAGCCTGATCGATATTACAATTTCCATCTTCACATTTGCTTTTTAAATGTCCTGCTTTTAACCAGCAATCCATTTGTAGTTGCAGAGGTAATTGTTCTACTTCATCTAAATATATATATATGTATATATATATATATATATATATATATAAACATAAAAGTTAAACACAAAGCATCAAAACATGTTAACAACTTTATTACAAAGGTAAGGTAACAATCATACAAAACAAAAAATAACCATTTAAATATACTGCCATATGCATTCTCAAGAGGAGACACAGAAATTGGTTACTTAGGGCAATATCACTGATGATTATGTAGTGAACGAAAGCAGGCCAGTTAGATGTGTGTTTGTCTTGCTTGTCATTTCTTTGGTGACAGACCATACATTCATTTGTATAGTTTCCTGTGAATGGGCAGAGGCAGGAGGATCACTTGAGCCTGGGAGGCAGAGGTTGCATTGAGCCGAGATTGCACCACTGCACTCCATCCTGGGTGACAGAGTGAGACCCTGTCTCAAAAAATAAATAAACAAAAAATCAAACAGTAATCTTGTTCTTATAATATACTACACCTCCTAGAACTAAAAATAACTGAATTTTCCTAGCAAGTTTGTGCACGCATACACACACACGTATAATCTCACAGAATAACATGAAATACTACAAAGAGAATGCATTGCCATTAACATTCCCTTCAACCAACATGGAGCAAATCCTCCTCTTGGTGCCTTTAGCAGCTTTAAGTTCTTAAGTTAAATAAATCACGGTGAAGAACTCTTGCTGACATAAATTTTCAAAGTCTATTTTGATTTTAGGGCTCTGGCTCTCACCAAACTACTTACTGATTTAATTTCTCAAGTACAATATCATGTAGATATAATCAAGATCTAGTCTTCCCAATTTTCAAAAAGGACAATCTTCTACTCCTTCAAAACTATAAAATTATTACTTCCTTGGGCATACTTTGAAAACTTTATGCCAAAGACTGAAGAAGAGACAATATCTAGTGTTGAGGAGGTTTCAGGAAACTAGGTATTGTAAGTTGTTACAATAGTTCTGGAGGGCAACTTGGCAATAAGTATAAAATAGGTTTTTTATTTTTATTTTTTCTTTATGTTATTTTATTTTTATTTATTTATTTATTATTTTTTCTTTTTTGAGACGGAGTCTTGCTCTGTCGCCCAGGCTGGAGTGCTGTGGTGCGATCTCGGCTCACTGCAAGCTCTGCCTCCCGGGTTCACGCCATTCTCCTGCCTCAGCCTCCGGAGTAGCTGGGACTGCAGGTGCCCGCCACCACGCCCGGCTAATTTTTTGTATTTTTAGTAGAGACGGGGTTTCACCATGTTGGCCAGGATGGTCTCGATCTCCTGACCTCGTGATCCGCCAGCCTCAGCCTCCCAAAGTGCTGGGATTGCAGGCGTGAGCCACCGCGCCCGGCTAAAATATGTTTTTTAAATTGTCCATTTCCTTCGATTAAGCAATTTTACTTCTAGCAATTTAGCTTAAAGAAACAATCTTCTTGTGTATATAAATTTTACTAGAAATCACAGTATTTTTTAATATCACCAAATTGGCAACCATCTAAATGTCCAAGAGTGTAAAACTGGTTAAATAAACTGTATTATTTCCATATACGAACCAGTAGAAGAACATAGTGACTAAAATCTCAGTATTCGTGGTTACCTAAATTTGAGTTCAAGTCACATACTACCTGCGAGACAGTGAGAAAGTTATTTAAATTTTCTAAGCCTCAGCTTCCTCATGTTAAAATAACCTTGCAGAGCTATTGTGAAGTTTAAACAGGTATTTTAAGTATTTATAGCTCTACTACACAGCAAGTGCTCAGTAGATCTTAACAATTAATATTCTTGTTGATTTAATTGAGTTGTTTGGGAGCCATTAAAAATCATTTTATAAAAAAATCCTTAATCATATGGAGACTAAGGGTGACAAAATAGTGTATTCATGATGATGCCACATTTGTGCATGCATTTATTCTTACAAAAAAACCCACTGAAAGATAATCATCAAAATGTTTAAAATGACAACCCCTAAATGCTCAAGTTCTGGATGATATTAATTTTTTAAATTTTCTTCTTTTATATATAGTCAAAATTTTCCAGAATAACCAGTTTTTGTTTTATATGCAGAAAAGAAGACACGATTTTTTAAACCACCTTTACACGAGTTTGCTACTTAAACTGTACACCAGGTTTTCTCAGTTGAGTTTTTCCATGAAGAGAAAGCAGACTTCAGGCTAAGCCAGTGTCTTTTTTTATTTTTTGTTTTTTTGAAATGCAGTCTCGCTCTGTCACCCAGGCTGGGGTGCAGTGGTGCGATCTCTGCTCACTGCAAGCTCCGCCTCCCGGGTTCCCGTCATTCTCCTGCCTCAGCCTCCCGAGTAGCTGGGACTACAGGCGCCCACCACCACGCCCGGCTAATTTTTTGTATTTTTAGTAGAGACGGGGTTTCACCGTGTTAGCCAGGATGGTCTCGATCTCCTGACCTCGTGATGCACCCGCCTCGGCCTTCCAAAGTGCTGGGATTACAGGCGTGAGCCACCGCGCCCTTGTCTTACTGAATGGAACTATTTTCCACCACCCAGGAGAGATCTTCCAGCCTCCACGTAAAACAAGTTGCAGCGCCTTTGTGCTTTTCATTACCTTTTGGCTCTTTAGACAGAGCTAGTTTTGATACTCAGAAAACTAAAAGTTTAATAATTTAGTAAATGTAAGTAGTCAAATAATCTCCAGGGGCATAAGACAAGGATCTGTTCTGCCTTTCTGTATCATTTTTCCTGCTTTCTTAATAAGCACATGTTGCTTGCCTAATCCTGTGGTGAGGAGATGGGATGTTGGAGTTCAGAGATAAATAAGATAGAGTTCTTACCGTCAAATGGTTCATCGTTTTAAAGAAATAGCATTTGTATAGCAATGTACAAAGCACTTTCTGTTTAATTCTTATAGCAACTCTGTAAAGGGTGGAATAGTATGACTATAGTGATGATCAATTTATAATTAAGACACAAGAGACGTAAGTAATTTATTCCATTGTTGGTAAGCCTGGAACAGTGCTATTCCTTGCACTAAACTACCACTAAATGTATTAGTTAGGTATATATAACTGTTATACAAGTATCAGTCTCTGGTCTGTTAGAACCAGCCCAAAGAGCCACCTCTACCTAGTACATGTATGAGAACTAATCTACATTTACTGCTATAAGTTGTTGAGGGCATTGTCTTCTGACTCATTATCAATGACACCAAATGCCATGTATTTTTTTTTCAAAATTTAGTAATAGAGAAAGTTTTATTTTCTTCAGGGAAACTATGTGTTTCCTCCTGTCTAATAATAAAAATTATGCAATTGATCATATTTCCCTTGTTAATTTGGCTTCGCAAGAAGCTCAAAGCCAATAGAACCCATTGTATGGCTAGTAATAGTAGATACATACTAAATATTTGGTGGACGAATGAAAGAATGGAAGATTGAATGAATCAGTAAAACAACTTTGTTGGGCCTTATTATTTTCATAGATGTATTCTTTTCTGTAATCCTTCCATTTCTGTTTATATTTTATTATGATTTTATGTATTCTTATTGTAATCAGCCTCAAATCTTCTGCAGAATAAGCCAGGATATAAATAAATAAACAAATATCTAGGTGGGAGGAGGGTGAGGGATAAAAGACTACACACTGGGTACAGCGTACACTGCTTGGATGATGGGTGCACCAAAATCTCAGAAATCACCACTGAAGAACTTATTCATGTAAACAAACAATACCTATTCCCAAAAAACCTATTAAAATAAAAAATAAATTTTAAAAATAAAAAATTTAATTTTAATTTTAAAAAGAAATCTAATGCATATCTTGAATATTAAGATCTTTATCCAAGAATTCCAACACAAGATCCAACACTTCTTAGAGGCAGGGCAATCTCTGAGGGAATCTAGACATTCATACATACTGCTCCCATGAGGCAGTAAATCATCTATACAATTTAGGGGGATATAACTTAATGGGAAGAAAGAGGTGATCCTGTAGAAGCTTCTACACATTTCAAAGGCCCATTTAGCCCAGGCGTGCTGGCCCACAGCTGTAATTCCAGCACTTTGGGAGGTCGAGGTGGGCAGATCAGTTGGGGTCAGGAGTTCAACACCATCCCGGCCAACATGGTGAAACCTCATCTCTACTAAAAATACAAACGTTAGCCAGCCAGGTGTGGTGGAGCACACCCCTAATCCTAGCTACTTGGGAGGCTGAGGCAGGAGAATTGCTTGAACCCAGGAGGCAGAGGTTGCAGTGAGCCAAGATCACGCCGCTGCATTCCAGCCTGAGTGACAGAGTGAGACCCTGTCCCAAAAAAAAAAAAAAAGAGATGTACACGTGATTGCAAGACAGGCAATCCTCAAGAGTTTTCTTTCTTTCTTTCTTATTTTTCAGTGATTTAATTATTTTGCCCAAAAAAACTCTCTAGCCCTTAGAATCTAATGTTTTAAATTCTCTTTGGGGGCTATTTGCTTAGATACCTAAGAAGGCTGTCATCTCTTGATCTTCCTAAATGAAACCCTTATTTGTTCACTTCTCCTCCTACTTCTCCCCCAGCACCATCACTGCATGCCCATAGACATATTTTTCCTCTAGTTTGGTCTTGCTTGCCAACAATAGCCCCAGACACTTGACTGTGGACCCACAGGACCAACAACTGTTCATAGGCTTCTCCATGAGCTCACCTTTGTTAGCTGCATGTTTGGCTTCTAAAGGCTCATTTACTTTAGCTTGAGAGCTCTCACAAAGCAGAAGAATGGATTTTCCCTTTAACTCTTCACAATCATGTGCCTCAGACAGCCCTTTGTGACTTTCTTCCTTTCTTTTGCTTTCATATACATATGAAAAAATTGCAGTTGAACATGAGGCAGTGAAAATAAAGAATTACTTATCTAGGTTCCAGATCCTTCCAAGCACTCAACCAACGACCGCCTTCACAATAACCTTCACCATGCATGTATCAAGGCTTTCCTATATCAGAGCCTTGATTCTGTACAACTTGGCTTTGTGCCATAGTCCCTGTCCACAAGGGGTGGAACTAATGTGGAAAATGCAAAGACAGACAGATACTTTCATGCAGTATTTAGAAGATATAGAGACAAGGTATTTGGGGGAAGTGACAGGAGGATTTTATGGAGGAAGAGACCCCTGAGTTTATTTTATAGGATGCCTGGAAGTTAGCCAGGTTGCAGTTAGAGCAGAGCATAAGTAAAGGTGCAGGTGAGAAACATTATACTGTGCATAGCAGGTATCTACCAGTATAACTGCACAGGTTGCTAGAATAGTGAGATTGCTAGTAGTCATTTCTTGAGCCCTTGAGTCTTCTTTGGATGCTCTGGCTGCTCAACCCTCAAGGACTCCCATGTAGGAATTCAAGCCCCTTGTGGGCATCAAGCAGGACACAACATGTTTGGACTTGTGTTTTAGTTAGATAACTGGCCTCTCTGTGAAGGACCAATTTAAAAAGATAAAACTAGAAACAAGAGGAGGGGTTGGAATTCTTTTCAGAATTCCAGATCACAGAGGATGAAGGCCTGAATTAAGTCAGTGATGATAGACAAGAGGAGGGGACAAATTCAAGAAAAGTTTAGAAATTACGATCAGTAGCACTGGTGAGTGATGAGATTGAGAGACTGAGAAAGAGGTAGTCCAAGGTGATTCCCAAGCCCTTGGCATGGGTGACTGGAAGACTGTTAATGTCACCAACCATTTAAATCATAGATGAGGGTATGGAGTTTATTTTAGACAGGTTGAGTTTCAGGTGCCTGTGAAACCTTCAGGTAAAGACTATCAGTAGGATATAAACTCTGAAATTTGGAGAAGTCATGAGCAGGTATAATAGCAGAAATCGGTGCTGATATAACTACCCAGGAAGGGATGGGATAACGAGAGTGAGAAGACCAGTGGATTTGGTGGGGCCACCAACATTTACAGCATCAGTAGAAAGACAGAAACCCATGATGGAAATGGAGAATGGTAAAGGACTATGAGGACACTGAGAAAGAAAGAGTTTTTGTTGGGTTTTTTTTTTTTTTTTTTTTTTTTGAGACAGAGTCTCACTCTGTCACCCAGGCTGGAGTGTGCTGTGGCACAATCTCAGCTCACTGCAACCTGTGCCTCCTGAGTTCAAGTGATTCTCCTGCCTCAGCCTCCTGAGTACCTGAGACTACAGGCGCCCACCACCATGCCCGGCCAATTTTTATATTTTTAGTAGAGACAGAGTTTCGCCATTTGGCCAGGGTGGTCTTGAACTCCTGACCTTAGGTGATTTGCCTGCCTTGGCCTCCCAAAGTGCTGGGGTCACAGGCGTGAGCCACCAGGCCTGGCAGAGAGTTTCAAGTCTTCATCATCAATGTGGACCACAACAGAAGACTGAGTTAAAGACAGAAAAGCATCGTGAGTTCTGGCAGGTAAGAGGCCAGCAGCGACCTAGAAAAACACTTTCATTTTCATTGTTGTGATAGAAGCCAGACTGAAGTGGAATGAATGAAAGTAAAAGGGAATTGAAAATGTGAACCGCAAATGGAGATGATGTTTTGGAGAGGCGTGTATGAAAAGCAGTGGCATAAGAGTAGGTAGCAGCTAGAGGGTGGAAGACTTGGCTGCCCCTAGACTTTGCTGTCAGTATTTCTCATAGGTGAGATAATCCACTTTTTCACCATCTAAACCTCAAGATCTGCAATTTGACTCTGTTGGCAGCGATAGTTTCCTACTTGTCCCTAATGACTCTGCTATAGGGAGTTTTTCAAATTGCTTTCAGCACGTCCTTGAATTGCTCTACTCACTGTCTTAGTCCACTCTGTCAATTTGATTGTCATCCACCTCCTTTCATGTGCCTAACCCAAAGAGTTGACGCCTGATCATCATGGCCTAGATTGTTAAGGAGTGGTTACATTCCAGGGCCTTTCTGTGGAGATGAAGTTTTCTGATTTGTCAAGTGATGCTAATAGCATTTCTGGGTAGATATATTGATAATGGTAGTAGAAGACCTATCATTATTTTAAAGAAGATTCAAGGACCCTATAGTTTTTTTTTTTCTTAGCCTGATAAAAAGTTGTACATTTTATATTGATGCAGTGTTGTTTATGAATTACATTTTTAAAAATGTATGGGTACTTCTTCAGAGTTACAAGTGATACAAACATGAGAAGACTATTCTAAAGCATGATCCATTTAATTTAGCAGTACAAACAGAAAGAGGAAAATATTCCCTAAAATTACTTTATAGGATTTGCCTTATAAATTATTCCTTTCATTAATTCAGATACTCATTCCAACATTTATTGAGTGCCTACTGGTTGCCACAGGGTATGCACAGTATTACATGGAAGCAAAGAGGAATCAGTTACATGATTTTGCCTGGGAATGTCATCGAAGGCATTGGAGATAGTAGTGCTTGATCTGAGAGTAGAAGGGTGAATGGCAGCTTTCCAGGTGGACCACTTGGTGAAGGACATTTTTTAAAGAGGGAAAACTTTTGTTCAGGATGAATCACAATGGGTAAACCAAAAAGGGAGGAAGCAGAGAGAGAAGTCAGAAAGCTATTGCAGTCACCAGTTCAGGTGAGATATGATGACCTTACTTTTTAATAATTCCTGTCAGGAGATGGACAGAGTTTTCCTTTTCTTTTTTTCTTTTTCTTTTTTTTTTTTTTTTTTTTTTGAGATGGAATTTCACTCTTGTTGCCAGGCTGGAGTGCAATGGCGCAATCTTGGCTCACCGCAACCTCTGCCTCCCAGGTTCAAGCGATTCTCCTGCCTCAGCCTCCCCAGTAGCTGGGAAGCTGGGATTACAGGTGTGCGCCACCATGCCTAGCTAGTTTTGTATTTTTAGTATAGATGGGATTTCTCCATGTTGGTCAGGCTGGTCTCGCACTCCCGACCTCAGGTGATCCACCCACCTTGGCCTCCCAAAGTGCTGGGATTACAGGCATGAGCCACCGCACCCGGCTAAGAGCTGGACAGATTTTAAAAGTGTAGTATCGGACCTCAAAAAAGCTTGCAGCCCAGGAAAGTCTGTAAATACTTCTGTAAGAGGCCAGGTAAAAGAAAAAAAAATGGGAACAGATAGGTATGGTGAGAGAAACAACTTCTCCTTTAATGCATGATGCTATTGGTTATATTGTGTTCCCCTAAAATTCATCCACTGAAGTCCTAACTCTCAGTACTCTAGCATGTAACCTTATTTAGTAATAGGGTATTTGAATGTGTAATTAATTAATATGAGATCATACTGGAATAGAATATGCCCCTAATCCAATATGATGAGTGTTCTTATAAAAAGCGGAAACTTGGGGTCACATAAACACAGTGAGAAGGCCACGTGAAGAAGAAGGCAGAGATCAGGGTGATGCTTCTACAAGATAAAGAACACTAAAAATTACCAGAAGAAAAACAGAAGATAGAGGAAAGGCATGAAATAGATTCTTTCTCACGGTCCTCAGCTAGTCCTCAACACCCTATTGACAACTTGATCTTGGCTGTGAGGTTCCAGAACTGGGAGACAATAAAATTCTTTTGTCTAAGCCACCTCATTTGTAGTACTTCATTATGGCAGCCCTAGAAATCGAATACATATGCCTTCACAACTGCTCCATAAATGGCCTTGTTTTGTCAAGTCAGCCCAATTCCATCAAGCGTGTAGGAGTGCAACTAGAGTTCATGAAGAGACCTCTAGCCAGAACATATGACCAAGTACCCTACAGTTTAAGAAAGAAGCACAACCATGTCAAAGCTAAATCATTTCTGTCTTAGAGTTAACAGGTGTAAAACCAATAGAAACTCGGTGTTCTAACATTTATTTCAAAATCTATTCTTCTTTTCCCTAGAACCATTCACAAAGTCTTCCATTTGTAATGACTCACTTGGCTCCCTTCCACTACTCTTCTTATTTTGAGCCATTTATTTTTCATCTGTAGATTCAGCCCCACCCCTAATCCAAAATTAAAGATATCCCTAGTCAGAGATTATTTAATAAGCTCTGTGCCAGTGGGTTTATCATCTAATCTGCTTGGACAATGAGCAAGCATTGTTCTAGAAAATAAGCATTGTTCTTTATGACCACATCCCCAGGTTTGGGGCCTGTCTTCAAAGACTAGGTCACATCGGGCCTCCTTACCATTAAGTCTCAATTACTGAGGCTGTTCCATGACTTTCCTGGTGACTCATTCTGTAGCTCACACCTCCCTGACCATCTGTGCCAACTTGGTGTATCTGCCCGGCCTCTGGGTCCTTGCCTTCTCTGCTCTGACATGGCTAGCCACTAACTAGACTCTGGTTCTGACCTACTTCTCTTTCTTCTAAGCAGTGAAGACTTTATTTTCCAGTTTTAAAAATACATTTGGCATAGCTGTCAGTATAAGTTTGGTTATGCTATGATAACAAACAGCCCCAAAACTCAGCACTTAAAACAATCAAGATTTCCCCCTTGCTTCTACTGTATGCCAGTTAAGAGTCTGCTGTGGTGATCTGGTCTCCTCACTCTGGGACCCAGGCTGACAAGTAGCCACCACCTGGAATATCACCACCAAAAGTGGTGGTCAAGGGAAAAAGAGCTCTAAGGAGTGTGCCTTGGCATGTAAATGCTACAGCCTAGAAGTGACTCACATGACTTCCACTCAAAACTCATCAGCTAGGAAATTCAGTATTTGATATCTTGGGAGAGAGAGGAGAACTGGATATTTATAAGTGGCACTAAGGACCACCACACTTGACAATGATTATGTATTTAACAGTTTGTATGTCATCTAGGTCCCTTTTTTCTTGTTCACAGATTTCTAAATTAAAAAAAAAAATAGCTATATAATATGCGTATGGTGCTAGACCTGACAGATACTCTGAGAATAAATATTGTATAATCAAATAACACCTGTTGGGAAATATGTTTTGTTTATCTCTTAGATATTCATTTACTGTCTATTAGCATTTTAAAACCTCTGCAATATTTTAAAAAGAAAAGCCTGTCTAATTTTACTCAATCCAGAATTTCCCTAATTTATTTAACCGCAACTTTTTTTTTCACTACAATTTATTATCAACTTGAGTAAAACACTTGGGTTCATATTGCATTATCTCTTTTAATTTTATGACAACCGTACAGGGTTAGATAAGAAAGTAAGTTTAATATTAAATTTTTTCAATTTATTTTTCTAAAGATTTCATATGAAAGAAAATTAAAATTATTGGTTTTGATAATCTATGAATTTCAAGTACATATCATTTATTTCCCACAGATAATTCAAACTTTGTAGTGAAAAACATTTTTTGAAAAGTCAAAAATATTTAATTGCATAATGAATGGATTTCCACAAATTCAAACATTAAATTGCCAATGTTTTTCTAAAAGTGGCTCTTGCAAAGTGTTATCAATGGAGACAAAAGATTTCATTGAGTTTCCATTTTTTATATTTTATTTTATTTTATTTTATTCTTTGAGAGAGGATCTTGCTCCGTCACCCAGGCTGGAGTGCAGTGACACAATCATGGCTTACTGCAGCCTCGACCTCCCAGGTTCAAGCAAGCCTCCCACCTCAGAGTCTCCCGAGCAGCTGGGACCACAGGCATGCACTCCCATGCCTAGCTAATTTTTTTATTCTTTGCAGCAACAGGGTCTCACCATGTTGTTGCCTGGGCTTGTCTCAGGCTCCTGGGCTCAAACCGTCCTCCCGTCTTGTCCTCCCAAAGTGCTGGGATTATAGGCATGAGCCACAGTGCCAGGCCTGAGTTTCAACTTTGAATATTTCTTTTTTGCCTTTTCTTTGTAATCCTATTTTAATTCTGAAACAAACTTCAAAGGATGGCTTTTTAAAGGAACATGTTATAAATTAATGGCATTTAGTTTTACCATGTGTTTTTCTATTATTAGGTATAATTATTGATTGTGAATTAATGTGACTTCACTTAAGATAAAGACTTACAACTGGATAGAAAGGTATTTACTGAAAATAAAAATAATAATAAACTTTATAACCTCTATCATAATGTGTTTTTGCAAGTTAAAAAAGCTGTCTTTTTAAATTACACAGTTGCACAAAATTCCTTAGTTCATTCACTGTGAAAAAAAAAAATTCTAATTCAACCTTTATGTAAATTGAATACTGATTTTATTGCTCAATTATTTGCAGGTTTTTTTTCTTATGACCATAAGATATGACACCATATTTCTAAGCCATATTTCTAAATCTTTACTCTTTCTCAGTTTCTTTTCCCTATATTTAGAAAAGGTTAGGTCACATTTTCTTAGCAAATTACAAATTTTCAGTGTCAGACATTTGTTTTTCCATATGTATTCTTCTATTTCAGAGTATTCTTTTTCTCCAATATTCTTATACTTTTCTAGTTTCCCTAGTGAACTTCAGCCCATGCCTTTAATTATCTCACATTTGCTAGCCAAACGCACATTTCCATGACCAAAGATATGCTCTCACTACTTTAAAAAAGGTATTTCTGGCCGGGCACAGTGGCTCACCCCTCCTGTAATCCCAGCACTTTGGGAAGCTGAGGCGAGCAGATCCCCTGAAGTCAGGAGTTCGAGACCAGCCTGCCTAACGTGGTGAAACTCCATCTCTATTACAAATACAAAAATTAGCCAGGCATGGTGGTGGGCACCTGTAATCCCAGCTACTCGGGAGGTTGAGGCAGAAGAACTGCTTGAACCCAGAAGGCAGAGGTTGCAGTGAGCTGAGATAGTGCCACTGCACTCCAGCCTAGGCGAGAGAGGGAGACTCTGTCTCAAAAAAGAAAAAATGGTATTTCTTATAAAATTCTTCTATAAAATTTATATTTCTTATAAAATTTCTTTAAAAATTCTCACTGCCATACCTACACATACACATACACAAACACACACCACAAACACCAATAACAACTACAATGACAAAAACAACAATAAAAACCAGTTCTTCCGAGCTGAGCTGCCGCTCGTCTTCCTCTAGAAGTCTAACCAGGCCTCAGCAGAACGACATTGTTTACCAGTTGTAGCTAAGCTGATTGGCAGCTGATTTAAAACAGATCTAACCAGTGTTTCTGGAAAAATGAAACAAAGCTGTAATGAACAGAAAGCAGTTGTTACACCCTAAACTTCATAAGAGAGGGTAAAGGAGAGATTCCTTTGACTTATATTCTTATTCTAGACAACAGGTACTGTTGAATTCCTGCTGAATCCCAAGTTACTCAACACAACGAGATTTCTTTGAATTATGAAACAGTACAACATGATAAGGCTAATCTGAACTAGTACTGCTGCCTTCTTCACCTCCAACAAGTGTGGCAAAGTAAAATATTCATGTGGTCTCCAGGTCCAGCGTTGTTGTGACTTTCATTGTGGATTTGGATTAAGTATGAAGAAGTCCATTTGGTTTTTATATTAAGGCTTTATGGGTAATGGCAAAGTTTGGACATCTTATCTCTCTTATTCTTTTACCTTATTTCTCAATTCGTTCAGAAGCCAGAAGGAAAAGAAGGACACTGTGGACCTCTACAGAGACCCCAAAATTTGATGTACTGGCTATTAACATTGACAAATCAAAGAGAATACATGGTGGAATTAGGAGAAGGAAAAACGCATGCAGGAGTGGCCTTCGGTAGGGTAAGAACAGGTGGCCGAGGGACTTAGACTTCAGCTTATGGCAGGGCATTTTCAGCTCAGTGGTTTGTAGAGGCTTATATTAGCCACACAGATTTAACAGATGGGCAGATGGCTTTTGCCTACAGCATGGGAGTGAAGCCTTGAGTTTTCAGTCATGTAGAAGGGTGACTATAATTCCTGGCAGCTTTGTACTGAGATGAGCACATGTTTCTATAGAAGCAGAGACTCTACTTGTATGTACTTGTATGTAGCTTCCAGGAGGCATCTCTTGACCACTTGGACCACTCAGCAAAAGTGCAGGGACCAACTGAGCCTGGCATTACCATGCAAAACTCACCAAGGTCAATGTGTAAACAAATGTGCTGGCCAGGTGGATCTCTACAAGGGTAAAAGCAGCCACAAGATGCAGACTGCGCTCTTTTTCCAGCTGGAACCATGGAGTGTGTAGAAGAGAAGAAGGTTCTTGCTGTGCCAGAAACCCTTAAGAAAAAGCGAAGGAATTTTGCAGAGCTGAAGATCAAGCGCCTGAGAAAGAAGTTTGCCCAAAAGACGCTTCGAAAGACAAGGAGGAAGCTTATCTATGAAAAAGCAAAGCACTATCACAAGGAATACAGGCAGATGTACAGAACTGAAATTCGAAAGGCGAGGATGGCAAGAAAAGCTGGCAATTTCTATGTACCTGCAGAACCCAAATTGGCATTTGTCGTCAGAATCAGAGGTGTCAATGGCGTGAGCCCAAAGGTCCGAAAGGTGTTGCAGCTTCTTCGCCTTCGTCAAATCTTCAATGGCACCTTTGTGAAGCTCGACAAGGCTTCGATTAACATGCTGAGGATTGTAGAGCCATATATTGCATGGGGGTACCCCAATCTGAAGTCAGTAAATGAACTAATCTACAAGCGTGGTTATGGCAAAATGAATAAGAAGCGAATTGCTTTGACAGATAACACTTTGATTGCTCGATCTCTTGGTAAATACGGCATCATCTGCATGGAGGATCTGATTCATGAGATCTATACTGTTGGAAAAGGCTTCAAAGAGGCAAATAACTTCCTGTGGGCCTTCAAATTGTCTTCTCCACGAGGTGGAATGAAGAAAAAGACCACCCATTTTGTAGAAGGTGGAGATGCTGGCAACAGGGAGGACCAGGTCAACAGGCTTATTAGAAGAATGAACTAAGGTGTCTACCATGATTATTTTTCTAAGCTGGTCGGTTAATAAACAGTACCTGCTCTCAAAAAAAAAAAAAAAAAAAAAAAAAGATGCAGACTGCGACAATTTACTACTTAGTTACAGTTTTCCTTATTCAGGCCAAGGAAATATTCAACTGAAGAGAAAGAACCTTAGGGTACAGACCTTTGAGATCTTCTTTTGTTTTGTTTTTTTTCTTTTAGATGGAGTCTCGCTCTGTTGCCCAGGCTGGAAGGCAGTGGCACCATCTTGGCTCATTGCAACCTCTGCCTCCCGGGTTCAAGAGATGCCCATGCCTCAGCCTCCCTAGTAACTGGGATTACAGGCATGCAACACCATGCCCTGCTAATTTTTGTATTTTTAGTAAACAGGGTTTTGCCATGTTGGTCAGGCTGGTCTCAAACCCCTGGCCTCAAGTGATCCACCTTCCTCGGTCTCCCAAAGTGCTGGGATTACAGGCATGAGCCACTGTGCCCAGCCAGACCTTTGAGATCTTAAGGGATAAAACAAATTTTGCTGTTTTTACTGCATATCTCAGCCAGGCCTAAGACTTTAAATTAGCCAAAGGAGTACCTTGCGTCCACTGAGCACTAAAGTGACTCTAACTTCAAGTAATCTGCTACTAATTTAAGAAATCTGCTGCTCCATACTCCATTCAGTATTTGGGCTGAGAAGGAATGGAACTCTGGAGGACCTAATCTTGACATCATGTGGTTTGTCCATGGGCTCAGGTCATCCCCAACCACTTGATCTCAAGTTCGCTCAGGATGTTGTAATTACATATGAGGGAGAAACTTCCTAGCAGACTAGTTTCTTAGCTCTAAGGGGCTCAAAGAAATGAGAAATTAAGAAGTTTTGAGTACAGTACAGACTGTATATGGGAAAGAAAGACACTTCAGATGAGACCAGGTAACTGAACTGCCACTATTGGCAAATTTCAGCATTTTGCAATGTCTCACATGTCCATCTCAAATAAAAGTGGCAGAATGCAAAAGCAGATTTTTATTCTAGCCATGATAAATGCACAATAGTAAGGGTAATTTCTTTCTGGGAAACGTCTAGACAAAAGATTCTAGATCAAAGTTTCCAGACTGTTGGAACTTATTCAGAGGAGAGAGTGGCTGACGCAGGAACCAAGAATCAGGAGCCCTGGCTTTGTTACCTGCAGTGATTTTCTCTTTTAACATGTAGTTTAGATTGTCCATCTATAAAACTAAGGATAGTGCTATCTTCAAGAAAAGTTGAACAATGATTCATTGAATCTTTGTGTAGTTCCTAGAACTCTTATCTGAAATATTGCAAGTATAAAAACTACACTTTGGCTGGGCACGGTGGCTTACACCTGTAATCCCAGCATTTTGGGAGGCTGAAGTGGGTGGATCACTTGAGGTCACAAGTTGGAGACCAGCCTGGCCAACATGGTGAAACCCTGTCTCTACTAAAAAAAAAATACAAAATTAGCCGGGTGTGGTGGTGGGGGCCTGTAATCCCAATTACTCGGGAGGCTGAGGCAGGAGAATTGCTTGAACCCAGGAGGCAGAGGTTGCAGTAAGCCAAGGTCACACCACTGCACTCTAGCCAGGGTGACAGAGTGAGACCCTGTCTCAAAAAAAAGAAACAAAACAACAACAACAAAAACTACACTTTGTTAAAAGTATTTGGAGCATATTTTTATATCCAGCCCTTTCCTGTGTAGTATTGTTTGTTTTTTATTATCCACCTTTCTCCTACCTTTCTTTTCCCAGTCTTTAGTTCACATTTTAATGTCAGCTCAGAAAAGTACTATACTACAGAAAAAACTGACTATTGTTAAACAAAGTTTATGTAGTACAGAACAATTGCACTGCCATACTTTTTCTTTTTAAAGGGCAGAAATTAAGCCAAGTGTGGGGGCTTGCACCTATAATCCCAGCTACTCGGGAGGCTAAAGCAGGAGATTTGAGTTTGAGGCTTCAGTAAGCTATGATTACACCACTGCACTCCAGCCTGGTAACAGATCAAGACCCTGTCTTTTAAAATTTTTTTTAAAAAGAAAGAAATTAAATGTAATGTATTCGCTACAATTTTTAATAGCACAACACTTTTTTTTTAAAGGCAGTTTAGGATTTCAAGAGAATGCATTTAGTGTTGTAGAATACTGCTGTTAGTACTTTCAAACCAACATGGCCCTATAAAACTTCTCAATAAACCAGACTACACAATTTCTGTCTTATACCAATCGTAGAAATACCTGTTGGCTCTTCTTCTGCCATTGCTCCCTTCACTCTGTAAGACTGCCATGTCCGCCCCATCTGGGAGGTGGGGGGCTCCTCTGCCCAGCTGCCACCCCGTCTGGGAGATGTACCCAACAGCTCATTGAGAACGGGCCATGATGACAATGGCAGTTTTGTCGAATAGAAAAGGGGGAAATGTGGGGAAAAGAAAGAGAGATCAGATTGTTGCTGTGTCTGTGTAGAAGGAAGTAGACATAGGAGACTCCATTTTGTTCTGTACTAAGAAAAATTATTCTGCCTTGGGATGCTGTTAATCTATAACCTTACCACCAACCCCGTGCTCTCTGAAACATGTGCTGTGTCAACTCAGGGTTAAATGGATTAAGGGCAGTGCAAGATGTGCTTTGTTAAACAGATGCTTGAAGGCAGCGTACTCGTTAAGAGTCATCACCACTCCCTAATCTCAAGTACCCAGGGACACAAACACTGTGGAAGGCGGCAGGGCCCTCTGCCTAGGAAAACCAGAGACCTTTGTTCACATGTTTATCTGCTGACCTTCCCTCCACTATTGTCCTATGCCCTGCCAAATCCCCCTCTCCGAGAAACACCCAAGAATGATCAATAAATACTAAAAAAAAAAAAAAAAAAAAAAGACTGCCATGTCACTGGGAGGTAGGCTACAGCAGAAACACCATAGAGGCAACAGAAATCATTCTAATGGCACTACTAGTCTATAGCCAATATATTTGCTCCTAATCAACCTGGAAATGGCCCGTGAGTCCATCTGTATCCTAGGTCTAGAAAGACACAGGCCTAAACTCAATTATAGGAAAAGAAGCCACCTTAGTATAATTCCATTGCTCCCAAAAAAGATTAATTTTAATTTCAAAATGAATCCAGAGTAGGCAGAAACCAATTGCATCCAGAATCATCACATAAGACTTCATCTACACCTGGTTGGAAATATTTAAAGCAAGTCATAAAACATCACCACTTTAGTGATTCATCTAGATTGATTATTGTCCTTGAAAATAAGGGGATCTCTTGAGAAAAATAGGTGGATTAATGAAGTCACTTGCCTAAGTTGGAAATCAGGTAGTATGGCTTTAGAGTTTCTGCTCTGGACTTCTGTACTAAATAGTCCCTCCCTTAGTGGACTGCTCCATTCTCCTCCCTGCTGAGGAGAAACAAACATGTCTGACAAAGTAGAGGGCCCACTTGCATCCCACTGATAATCTCAACCATTCTTCTGAAGAACTGCCACTGCCGGCTCCTCTTACTTGTTCCAAATCTGGTTTGAGAGTGGTCACCTCATTCTATGCCTTCCTCGACATTGTGGTCAAGAGTGGTATGTCCTGTTTGGAAAACAGATACTGATTTCTGCACATGCTTTCTTTGGTCTGTCATATGTGTCTCTCAATTTGTAATTCAAATTGGACTTTATAATGGTAAACTTCTAAAGGGCAGGAACGTGTTTCCTAGCTTTGTGTGTGTGTGTGCATTTCCCACCATAATGAGCAAACCATAGTCGTTTTATGATGTTTTATTAATATGCACTTAAAGTTATTCTTTTGGTATGCCTGTGTATTTTTTGCATATGCTCTTACATAATAGTAAAGTATCGCATTTAGCAGAGAGGTAATAGACTTTTTTTTTTTTTTTTTGAGACGGAGTCTCGCCCTGTCGCCCAGGCTGGAATGCAGTGGTGCGATCTCAGCTCACTGCAACCTCCGCCTCCCGGGTTCAACCTATTCTCCTGCCCCAGCCTCCCAAGTAGCTGGGATCACAGGCGCGCGCCACTACGCCCAGCTAATTTTTGTATTTTTAGTGGAGACGGGGTTTCACTATGTTGGTCAGGCTGGTCTCGAACTCTTGACCTCGTGATCCGCCCGCCTGGGCCTCCCAAAGTGCTGGGATTACAGGCGTGAGCCATCACGCCCAGCCAGACTTTTATATTTAAAGCTTCCTTTTTTCATCCTCCAAGTTGTTCTGAAATTATCTAACATGATCCTCTTACTTTACTACCAGATACTAGTTCATCAGGGTGACATAGGATTTTATTTCTTACATCCTTTTTTGTTTTTGTTTTTAAGGATGGGGACTTCCTCTGTCACCCAGGCTGGAGCACAGTGGCACAATCATAGCTCACTATAACCTTGAGCTCCTGGGCTCAGGTGATCCTCCCATCACAGCCTCCTGAGTAGCTGGGACTACAGGTGTGCACCACCATGCCTGACTAACTTTCATACATTTTTACAAAATGAATTATGTAACACAACTTCACTAGCCTATGTGGGTCACCTTTCTCTATAATTGCTAAATAAAAAGGATAAGAGCCTTCATCCAAGGGAATGCAGGGAGTCTAGTCCCACCCCTAGATTTTATGAAGATAGTAAATTCTCATGTTTCACAAATCCATCATGGGTGTTTTGGGTCAACTCCCTCTGGGCTGCTACATCAGATTTCTCCACTGATCACGCTGGCTGGAGGCTATTTAGTCTCCCCAGAATATAGACACAGATTCCGCCAAAAACATAGAAATGGATGCCCTCAGACCAGCCTGGCCAATATGGCAAAACCCCATCTCTACTG
Source organism: Homo sapiens (assembly GCF_000001405.40). NCBI lineage: Eukaryota > Metazoa > Chordata > Mammalia > Primates > Hominidae > Homo > Homo sapiens. Next base: position 19,094,709 of record NC_000012.12, read on the forward strand.
AAAATACAAAAATTAGCCGGGTTTGGTGGCGCGCCCCTGTGGTCCCAGCTACTCAGGAGGCTGAGGCAGGAGAACTGCTTGAACCCAGAAGGTGGAGACTGCAGTGAGCTGAGATCATGCCACTGCACTCCAGCCTGAGCGACAGAGTGAGACTCCTTCTCAAAAAAAAAAAAAAGAAAGAAAGAAGAAATGGATCCCCCCACACCTTGAATTCAGAAAATACTACTAACCAACATTTTAGCATATTTTACTAAGGCTTGAAGAAGTTGCAAGGGATTATAATAAAGAAAAGGAAAATATGAATGTTTATGTGAGATGTTCATCCTAGAACCTAGAGTCTATTGGCATGCCATTTCAAAGGGACTCTTCAGGCAGACTCTTTCTTTGGGCCCCAGGCTTCTGGGATGTTCACAGAAACCATTTAACATTCTCAAGATAAAAGCTCTTCTTTTCTATCTCTCCTCTCACAAATAACATATCCCCAAGCCCTGTCTTAGGCTCAGCTAGAAGAGGCAGAGCCAGGTCATGTAACCAAAGTGTCTTCCAAGAGACAGTTACCCCCAAAAGAATTCAGCAGACTTAGTATCTATTTGGGGATGACTTTATCAATGGGCTTCCCCAAAGGTAATTGTGGGCACTTAATTTACAAATACCCACCTTTAAAAATTGCTATTTACTTAATTAATTTACAGATACTTTGCTCATGATATATGAGTCCTCTCTAAACAAAGGAAGGTGGTAAACCCCAAGACAAATACACATTCCCACCATTTGTGGAGGAGTTGCAGGGAGGAATGCTTGGTGGTTTCGAATATTTTATCCCCTTTTCCAACCATCGAGAATTTCTATCAGGACCCATAGTCCTAGATTACCGCCACAATAGCATCATTAACATTTTTAAAGCATGACTATTTCTATATGAGTCTTCCCTTCTTAGACAAAAAGGCATTAAAGGCTTGTATTTCCCTATTTTCTTACATTCAAGCACTATCCTATCACAATTAAACTTATTGGCTTATTCCTAAGAGCCTTCATGTTTGTATTCTTGGAGCATTAAACTGCCGTTAAATTTGGGAGGTATTAAGTTAGTAAGGGATTGGCTTACGAACCACTTCAGAAGTAGCCTTCAGAAAGGTATTTATTGCCAGGCATGGTGGCTCAGACCTGTAATTCCAACACTTTGGGAGGCTGGAGGATCACTTGAGCCTAGGGTTTCAAGATCAGCCTCTGCAACATAGCGAGACCTCGTCTCTACTAAAAATAAAAATTAAAAAATTACCTGGACTTGATGTCATGCACCTGCAGTCCCAGCTATTCAGGAGAGTGAGGTGGGAGGATCATGCGAGCCTGGCAGTCTGAGGTTGCAGTGAGCCATGATGGCACCACTGCACTCCAACCTGGGTGACAGAGTGAGAGCCTGTCTCAAAAAAAAAAAAAAAAAAAGAAAGAAAGAAAGAAAGAAACGAAAAGAAAAGCACTTATTACCAGGAAAAAGGGTAGGGGATATGCGGCATTTTGTTAGTAAAAGAGTCACTGAAAAAAAATCTGCGAACCACTGTTTCAAGGGAAGCTTGTACTTATTCACCCATTGAACTTTGTCATCTTCTGATGGGTGTGGTAGGCTTACTCATAAAGAAAAGAAAGACTCCTAGAAATTTCTCTATTCTTATCTTGAATTCTGGTTGTTCCTGCAATACAGAGCTAGTATTTAATTATTTGGTCTACTTTCTTTGTGTACTACAAATTCTGTAATATTGGGAACATTAACCAATTCAGTAAGAGTTGAAGGAAGAGAGAATACAGAGCTAGTATTTAATTATTTGGTCTACTTTCTTTGTGTACTACAAATTCTGTAATATTGGGAACATTAACCAATTCAGTAAGAGTTGAAGGAAGAGAGGGGACTTTACATATATACATACATATATATATATATATATATATATATATATATATATAGCCTTTGAAAGATTGCCAAAGGAGGGCAAAACAGTTTGGATACAGTCTCAATAAGCTTATCATATTTTAAATCTGCCTAAGAGCTTACGTGTAAACCTCAAGTTAAACAACAGTTGACATGCATGCATTCTGATAAAACTCGATTACCTAATACACTAAATTTCAGAACTGGTGGGAAAAAATAGATTTTTACTGGCAAAGTTATGTCTTTTTTTCAGCTGAAAATTAATACATGGAAGGATAATCTTAGGAAATGTCATTTGTTTTATATGCACGTATCTAACTCTAAAACAAACTTTATTGCTCCGTGTAATTATACAAATGCTGTATATGTATGTTGCTAAGTACTTAAAATCTTCATTGTAACTATAGTTGAACTTCTAATGAATACCCAGGGACAGCAAAGACATGTCTGAACAGGTAAATCAGTGCATAATTAAATGACATGCATGTCCTGTGTATTGCAATCTTTTAAAGCTCTGAGTACTTTCTATTACGCAATTTTTTAGAGCAGCTCTTTTTTTTTTTTTTACACAAACATGATAAGGACACAAAAGACTTATTTTCTTTTCCTCTGGCCACTGTGTTATGAGAACCTCATGTCTTACCACACCAACCCCCGCCCTTGACTGGATTGCCAGTAAAGACCAGATTTTTCCAAATATTATGTTCTAGCTGGATTTGCAACAATCATAAGTCAATCATTAGGAATCCTGTGCATATGGCAAACTTTTTTTTTTTTTTTTTTTTGAGACAGAGTCTTGCTCTGTCACCCAGGCTGTAGTGTAGTGGTGCAATCTCAGCTCACTGCAACCTCCGCCTCCCGGGTTCAAGCAATTCCCCTGCCTCAGCCTCCTATGTAGCTGGGACTATAGGTGCGTGCCACCATGCCCAGCTAATTTTTTCTATTTTAGTAGAGACGGAGTTTCACCACGTTGGCCAGGATGGTCTCGATCTCCTGACCCCGTGATCCACCCACCTCAGCCTCCCAAAGTGCTGGGATTACAGGCGTGAGCCACCTTGCCTAGCCGCGAAGTTTATTTTAATAGTATTTTGAACTGAAAATAAGCAAGCTTTTTTTTGTTTTCCCCAGACAGGGTCTTGCTCTGTCACCCAGGCTGGAGCACAATGGCACAATCATAGCTCACTATAACCTCGGACTCCTGGGCTCAAGGATCCTCCTATCTCTGCCTTCCAAGAGCTGGGACAACAGGTGAGTGCCACCACACCTGGCTAATTTTTTTTTTTTTTTTTTTTTGAGACAGAGTCTTGCTCTGTCATCAAGTTGGAGTGCAGTAGTACCATCTGGGCTCACTGTAACCTCCACCTCCCAGGTTTAAGTGATTCTCCTGCCTCAGCCTCCCGAGTAGCTGGGACTACAGGTGCGCACCACCACCCCAAGCTAATTTTTGTATTTTTAGTAGAGATGGGGTTTCACCGTGTTCGCCAGGATGGTCTCGATCTCTTGACCTCATGATCCGCCCACCTCGGCCTCCCAAAGTGCTGGGATTACAGGCGTGAGCCACTGCACCCAGCCTACCTGGTTAATTTTTTAAAAAATTTTTTTGTAGAGATGGAGATCTCACTATGTTGCCCAGGCTACTTGCCAACTCCTGGACTCAAACCATCTTCTCCCTTCATCCTCCCAAAATGCTGGGATTACAGATGTGAACAACCGTGCCCAACAGGAACATATTTAAAATTGTAATATCCAAAGAATACTACCATAGCTCAAGTTTGTTTTTATTCACATGTTCCACAGCATTCACTTTAAGTAAATATCCATTATTGTTTCCCAAATCCTTTTGGGGTCAGCAAATAATACTTTAAGAAAAAGTTTGTGGGGGAAAAAAGGAAATTTTAATTACTTTCCATGGGAAAGTTCCAAATGGAACAAAAGTGGTTCTTAGATATAATTTTACAAAACCCTTATAGCACGTTGAGGCTAAAGGCATTTATGCAATTACTAAGTCTACTGTATATGTGAGCAAACATGAGGGTAGAATAAGAATAGAGCTATTATGTTACTGTACCATTATTCTAGTGGTCTGCCTTTAATACCCAGAGACATCTTTGGAGAATGTCAAAATGTTCCCTTTATTATAACATTTTTTTCTTTCTTTTTCTTCTGATTAATAAGGTGGGTTGATAATATAAATTTTTAAATTTTTATTTTTATTTTTTGGAGACAGAGTCTCACTTTGTCACCCCGGCTGAAGTGCAGTGGCACAATCTCAGCTCACTGCAGTCTTGACCTCCCAGGCTCAAGCCATCCTCCTGCCTTAGCCCCACAAGTAGCTGGGACTATAGGCGTGTGCCACCATGCCTAGATAATTTTTGTATTTTTTGTAGAGACAGGTTTTTGCCATGTTGCCCAGGCTGGTCTCGAACTCCTGAGCTCAAGTAATTCGCCCACCTTGGCGTCCCAGAGGGCTGGGATTACAGGCATGAGCCCCACGCCGGGCCTATAACTTTTTAAAATTGTTATATCTAGTTCTTTGCTAGAGAAATTTTATTTTGATAAATGAGTTAATAATTATAATTTAATTATAATACAGAAAAGGTTTCAGTGGTATCCAAAAGGAAAGATTTGACTGATATATGAATGTGCTCGCTTCTGAAATAGAAGCAACAAGAAAATATAATCATTTTAACTAAGGCCAGACAATTGAGGCAAAGTATACGACCAATGGAATTGCCATTCAAGCATGGCAGGTATTTTGTTCCAGCATTCCCCATTTTCAGGTTAATCTTCAAATTTTTTTCCCCAAATGATTTCTCAGGGCTACGTGTCCCCTGCTTTGAAACAGCATGCTGTTGTTTCCATAACATGAAGTCTATTCTCTAGGGTGGCCAGATCTCAGCTGAGGGCAAATCATTCTCAGAATCATTGCTCTGTTCCCATGACCTGGACCTGATTAAACAAATTACAGTGGCAAGCCCAGAAGTATTCCTCCAACCAGTTAGGCAGAAACTTGGGACCTAAGCAAGAGACAAGGCACAGAGGAGAGCAACAAGGTGCAGCTAACTTTTTTTCTGGCAAGAATAAGAAAAGAAGATGGACACTGCAAACAAGGGCAGAATTCTATAAACCTTGATAGTGATGGTGAACACCAGCATGAAACAAATAAAGCATCATAAAATGACAAGCAATTACAGACTCTGCAGTAAGTAGATGAGCAAACCTGATATATTAACTAGTTCCAATGCTCCAAGTACAAAATTTATGTATGAATCTAACAAAATTAATAGAATAATAACAGTGCTTAAATTTTTTATTAAAAGCTGCCCATCAATGCAACTCTATCTTTCCTATATGTTGTTTTTATAATTCATTTTCTGTATCTCTGGGTCTAATTGGCCATAGTCCATCTTGTTTTAAAAGTTCATCATTCCAAGATCAATTCCACTGGTTAAAATAGGCAATCTTTCCACAACTTGTAAACATAAAACTTGCCTGGAAATAGCCTGCTTTCCTTCCCTTTGTAGATGTTAATCAAACTTAACAGCATAGACTTGAAATTCAATTCAGTTTGGCTAGACATGAATTCAACTGACTTTAACATTTTAAATGATAAAAAATAATAAAACCAGTAATACAAAAGAGGATCTAGACATTGCCTTATCAATACTCAAAATGGATATTTACAAGTGTTTCCCAAGTAAGGCAAGTCGTAAGTATTTGATTTAATAATAGTATGCTGTTCCACAACTAGTGTATATTGAGGAATTGCATCCATAGACAACTCCAAGGTCAAAGTCCTTATAATATCATCTTTATACAGTTAAATGGATTAATTAGCAAAAAGATATTGATATCCCGTCTTGAGAATATAATAATTCAGGCAAGCTACAGTCAATCAATTTGTGTATTTGATAATTATGTATTGGGCACCAATGTGTATCAGGCCCCAGTTAGGGCCTAAAAATCACCACAGATAAAACCAATATGTTCCACACTCATTATAAGAAGAAAGGAGCTTTCAGCGGTAGAGAAAGCTTTGCTTTTCCACAGGTCTCCCATCGTTTGTGAGGAAGAGCTAGTTCTCATTTTCTCTAAATAGGGAGGCTTAAGACTGTGGAGAAAAATGAAATGAGAAGAGAGTAGATACTGATATTTCTATGTGGGGCAGAGGATGTACAAACACCTATGCCCTGCCTTTTGTCTGGAGATTCCAACAAAAATGAGGATATGGGATGAGACAATGGCACAGGCATAGAAATTAAACAGGGGAGGTTTCAAAGACTCCCATGCTTATCAAGGCAGTCCGTTGTTAAAGACCAAAATCATTAAGGCTTTGTTAACCACATTTTTTGTTGTTTTAGGGGCTCGTGTTTCTCTCAAGCCTAGTGTGCTCTCTGTTCATCTTATACATTAAAAAATAATAAGCAATAGGAAAATTGTGTCCTTAAAGATAGTACAGACCGGGCACAGTGGCTCACGCCTGTAATCCCAGCTTTTCGGGAGGCTGAGGCTGGCGGATCACCTGAGGTCAGGAGTTCAAGACCAGCCTGGCCAACATGGTGAAACCCTGTCTCTACTAAAAGTACAAAAATTAGCCAGGCATGGTGGCACACACCTGTAATCCCACCTACTCGGGAGGCTGAGGCAAGAGAATTGCTTGAACTCAGGAGACGGAGGCTGCAGTGAGCCGAGATCATGCCACTGCACTCCAGCCTGGGCAAGAGAGCGAGACTCTCTCTCAAAAAAAAAGAAAAGAAAAGTTAGTACATATTTATTTTTCCTTGAATAATTCTATCTTTATAGCTTATACCTCTAGCTCATAGTAGCCATCAACGTAGTAATGCTATTTTTTCTTAGACATTAATATGACTTATAAGCATCTTTTATTGGATAATAACAACAAAAAAACTTGTTTGTGAAGTGTCTTATAGTTTACAAAACACTTTCACCTACATTATCTCATTTGATTAATGACTCTGGCAGGTGGCCTGGGCAGCCATATTTATCTTTGCTTTGTAGAAACCAAGACTTAAAGACGTTATGAAACACCTAAGGCATCACAGTGAGTTACAAGTAGAGCTGAGATTTAAACCTAAATCATGTGTCTTCAAGCCTAGATCATGTGATCCTACTTTAATTTCTTCTTTCCGTGGTCTGTCTCCCATAAGAAGTAAATTATGGTACCATGGCATTTAGCCATCACTGCTTTAGATGTTGCTAAGGCAAATGGTTTTTATCCCATCTTTAGTTAGCATCATATAAGCAATAGGTAATAAGTAAAAAGTCGCTAGCTACTCCTATGCATTAAGGAACCTGAAAGAAAGGGTTAATCATTATGTAAAGAATATTATGAACGGCCTAAAGAGAAGAAAGAAAATAAAAGAGCAATGGCCCCTTATAAAAGGTTTATTAAGAGAAGAGCATTTAATCTGAAATTTTAATAAAATAATTATCCTCTTAGTGATTGGCTAATATATTAATCTTGCTGGAGTAATGTTTTTATCTTCTAAAAGATATCTGTTTGATAAAATGGGCTGAGGATAAAAAATTTAAGCTATTTTTAAGTCACTGAGCTTTTCAGTGACTCTTGACGCCAGGTCCCCATTTGATGCCTTATTGTACTATTCACTAAAAGCAACATGGTCAGCCACTTAGAACACCACTTCTGGAAAGTTGCCTTGGTTTCCCTCCACATTTTCAGATATTCAAATTAATAGAATAATTTTTGAAATTTTTCCTGTTTAACACAATTCACCAATAGGTATAGAGCACCAGATGCCAGGCACCAGGACATACAAAGACCAATAAAACTTATTCTATGACCTCAAGAAGTTTGCAAGAGCAACTTCTATATGTATAGCAATGTTTACTTAGGGCCTACATTTATATCTAGTCAATAACATTTTGAGCTGAATTATCAGCACTTTTCCCTTTTCTAACAATGCTTCCCACCTAGGAGATGGGCCCTGTGACTCTCATTGTCACTAATTCCAGCAACACAAGATGTGATCAGGTCTGGACAGTGGACCAAGCTGGACTAATTAGATTCATCCTCCTGCCTTTTGAATAAGGACGCAGAGAGTCTTGTAAATGAGCTCTGGGTTATGGATCAGCTAGACTCAGGAAATGAGGGCTCTGGATTGGCTAGGCATGATTTTAGAGTTGCCAGATAAAATACAGGCATGCTATATTTTTGCTTGTCAAATCTGGCAACTGTACATGATGTGCCATATAAAAGTGGAGTTAAGAAAGCTATTCTGCAAAAAGGAGTAGAAACGTAGAAATAGCAAAAATTAACAACTATGGTGAAAGTGTAGTGGGGAAGAGGATAAGTTTCAGGAAAAGAAAAAATATCCCAAGAGTTGCCTCAGTCACTGACAACTTTCCAGTCCTCAGCTCCAGTCCCTCAAGGAATGTGGCTGCATTTCTTGCCCTTGAGTTCTGTAAGATACCTTGACTGTTTATAAGAGATTTTTTTTCTTTAGATAGCTTAGAAGAAATATGTTTCTCGTATCAAACATGTCCAAAGGCATACATAATGTTGTCACACTTTGAGAAAAAGTTTTTATTATTTCACAAATGTTAAAGAATTCACAGAGTCCATGAAATAGATGAATAGGAAACTTGTTTCTTATTTACCAAGTAGGAAAGTTTGCCTCAAATACAATGAGATGTCTGGATCAGTACGTCTAAAATTGTGCATTTGGAAACCTGCATAGGTCTCCTTGGTTTCCTTAGAAGTATAGTTAATGAGTAATGTACATTCCCTAGGTGTTATTCTAAAATGTTGTCCCCAAAGTAAAAAGTATCCACAGGATAAAGTTAGACTTTAGGCATAATTCAATTTCAATTATGTTTATTCCTCCTCTTCCTTTTTCTTGTCTCTTTCTTTCTCCTTCTCTTTTTTCTCCCTTGTCCCATTCTCTAATCTCCCTGGCTAAATTCCTCCAGAGGAAAAAAAAAAAAGGCCATCAAAAAAGTCACTAACACCTCAGTGTAAATGAGTTGAAAGTGCTATTCGCACTTGTAGTATTTGCACTTTAAAAGAAGACCTTTAAGAGAGGGGAAGCCAACAGAATATTTCTGGGCTTCCCAGAACAGCAAACTTACTATAGTGCTATGGACAACAACCTATACACAACCCTATTTAATGTGGTGTTTATATTAAATTAATATTAGATCATGGGGTGAGACAGGTCATCATGGTGAATATTCAAAAAATCTTCTTGGTCTGGGTCCATCTACCCAAATTGGGACATGGCTAGGACTGGAGATGACTTTTACTGGTGTGGATCTAGGAAAAGGATCCATGGATATGTAAGCTAGGGACAGTCATCAATGTCAACGGAGCAATGGCCCAACTCCCAGAAGAACAAAGAAACAGAACTGACAGGGGACCTGAAGGAGGGGCAAGAGAGACAATCTAAAACATACACTCGGTAGTATATTTCCAAGGTTAGTTGTAAGGAGAGGCCAAGTAAGAGAACTACATTGCAAGGTTCTTGAACCTAAACAGAACACAGGTGGCTAGGCATTTGAATTTTACCCACAAGCTAATTGTTCCCTCTATCCAAAAACATCTTCCCCTGCCTAAAACTTTACTACCTGGATGTTCTTTTTATTCATTAAACAATCTCTTTTTGGCATTTGAAGGAAGATTGTAAGTCATTCATACCTTAACATAAACGATGAAGAAACCAGTCAGTTCCAAACTATATTTTAAAACATGGGACTGTTGGGTAGTAGCACAGCTACTTGGGAGGCTGAGGCAGAAGGTGTCCAGGAGTTTGAGGCTATAGTGAGCTATGATTGCACCACTGCATTCAAGCCTGAGTGACAGAGACACTGGTCTCTTAAAGATAAATAAATAGGCTGGAAGCAGTGGCTCATGTCTGTAATCCCAGCACTTTGGGAGGTAGAAGTAGGAGAATGGCTTGACTCCAGGAGTTCAAGTCCAGCCTAGGCAACATAATGAAAGGAACCCTGTATCTACAAAAAAAAAAAAAAAAAAAAATTAGCCAGGTGTGTGTGCCTATAGTCCCAGCTACTCAGGAAGCTGAGGTGGGAGAATCGCATGAGCCCAGGACTTTGAGACTACAGTGAGCTATGATTGTGCCACAGCACTCTAACCTGAGCCACAAATGAGACCCAGTCTCTGAAAAAAAAATTTTTTTAATAGAAATAAATAAATAAAATGTGGAAATGTTCTTTTTTTTTTAAGACGGAGTCTCTCTGTCGCCCAGGCTGGAGTACAGTGGCTCGATCTCAGCTCACTGCAAGCTCGGCCTCCTGGGTTCACGCCATTCTCCTGCCTCAGCCTCTCGAGTAGCTGGGACTACAGGCGGCCGCCACCACGCCCGGCTAATTTTTTGTATTTTTAGTAGAGACGGGGTTTCACCGTGTTAGCCAAGATGGTCTCGATCTCCTGACCTCGTGATCTGCCCGCCTTGGCCTCCCAAAGTGCTGGGATTACAGGCGTGAGCCACTGCTCCCGGCTGGAAATGTTCTTATGGCTAGGGAGAAGGAAGAATTAATTTTGAAATAGGGGGGTATTTTGAGGGGCAGGCAGGCCCAGTTATGACAGGAAGGCAGCATTGATGACACTTAGTACTAAAGTGCTAGAATTATGGACAAGAATTGGAAGACAAACAGAAGAAAGCCTTTAAATTCAATTTTTCTAGTTTACATTTTCTACAGTTTACCCATCCCACAAGATGACTCCCAGAACCCAGATGGAAAGAACAATATATAGTACCTTTATGCAAAGTACATCCTTTCCCCCAGGTGGTGAAGAGGCATGCCAGGATCCACAGCTCAGCGAGCAGAGGGGCTATAGATTCCAGCCCCCTGTCTGCATTTTCTTACCTGGGCATCCTTGTGCACAACTTACACAACCATATGTGCAGCATTCCCTTCTTCCTTTCCTCCTCTGCCCCCCTCATACATATGTCTACCTGGTACTTAACGAAATGTGACTCAACCATCAAGACCCAGCTCAAGTAGCACTTAGGTTGTGATTTTCACAGGAGAGGCCTCTCCTCTACTGCCTTATGCTAACACTAGAGACACATCGTAGAATAGTGACTAACAGTGCCAACTCTGGAGCCAAACTGCTTGGGTGCAAATCCCAGCTCTGCCATTTCTTAGTGGTATAACTGTGGACCCACTGCCTGTTCCTTTATCTATAAAATGGAAGAATGTAAGTAACAATCTCGTAAGTTTGTTATGGATATCTAACAAGATAATACATGTAACATACTTAGAATAATACTTGGCATAATGAGCACTCAGTAGGTATTTGGAATTGCTGTAACTCAGTTGATGCTGATAGGGTATCATTATCCCAGTGAATTTTTGTTAGGCTGATATGTGCCTAGTTTTTCTAGTCAAGGAAAAAATTTTATTCATGTTTATATTCCTAGGACCTGGTTAAAAAAAAAATTACAGGTTCTAGGCTGGGCGCGGTGGCTCACACCTGTAATCCCAGCACTTTGGGAGGCCGAGGCAGGTGGATCACGAGGTCAGGAGTTCAAGACCAGCCTGGCCAAGATGGTGAAACCCCGTCTCTACTAAAAATACAAAAATTAGCTGGGTGTGGTGGCCCACGCCTGTTATCTCAGCTACTCAGGAGGCTGAGGCAGGAGAATCGCTTGAACCTGGGAGACAGAGGTTGCAGTGAGCCGAGATCATGCCCCCGCACTCAAGCCTGGGCAACAGACCAAGACTCTATCTCCAAAAAAAAAAAAAAAAGAAGGAAAGAAAAAGGAAAAAAAAAAGAAAAATTACAGGTTCTAGAAGATACTCTGTATATTTTTGATAAATAAATGAGTAAGCCTCTGGGACTCAATAGCCAAGGAGATTCCTCTCTTGGGAAAACAGGATTCCAGAGAGAAGTCCCAAAGAACAGTATATCCCACGTTTCTGGCCCAGATGCCCCAGATCCACTTAAATGGAAAGTAGAGATAGTTTTGTGGTATGAACCTGTGACACTGCAGAAAAAGCGAACTCCCCATTGCTTGAGGGCCCAAGAGAGAAGGTCTGTGAACAGTGGGTAGAGAGAGGATCTTCCTTCCAACACTAGACTCTGCCAATCCCAACTAAGAAACCTCTCCTCCCATTTGTTTTATACAAAAGGTGACATGGATCCCTGTGAAATGAGGCAAGCCTTTGATTGGACAGGCTCAAGGATAATAGTAAACAGAAGGTACTTTAGATTACACACGTCTAGGCATTGGAAGCTCATCAGGACATTGAATGGCACCTAGAATAGTGATTGGCACAATGTTGGTAATAAATAAGTGTTAGATTGATCCATAAATCGTAGAAAGAATAAAATAATTAACAAACAACAAGGAATAAGATTATCAATCAATCAGTCCTGGTGGCCAATCCTCAGATTATATTGTGAAGGTGGCTGGTTAGCAATAGTCTACAGTGTCCCGAGGAACACTGGGTCAAGGAATTACTAAAAGGTCTGGAGTCATTTGCATTTGAAAAAGGCTGCATGCTATACAGTGGAGATTTTTTAAAGTTAGCTTAATAAGAACTCTGCTTAGCTTTGTTTGGTTAACAGCATGAAACATTTTTCCCCTGCAGAGTGTTCAATAGTCTATCTCAACGTTTAAAAAACACGTAAAACTAAAATTAAATTTATGCTTAGAAATATAAACTATAATGCACATTTGAAAACAAGAGCAATTTCTGCTATGAAGCTATGGCATTTTTTAAAATTTCTGTCGTGGTTAAATACTGTTAGTGTTTTTGTTTTTATTTTTTATTTATTTATTTTTTTGAGATGGAGTCTTGCTCTGTTGCCCAGGCTGGAGTGCAGTGGCATGATCCTGGCTCACTGCAACCTCTGCCTCCCAGGTTCAAGCGATTCTCCTGCCTCAACCTCCCGAGTAGCTGGGATTACAGGCACCTGCCACCAAGCCCGGCTGATTTTTGTATTTTAGTAGAGACAGGATTTCACCATGTTGGCCAGACTGGTCTCGAACTCCTGACCTCAAGCGATCCACTTGCCTCGGCCTCCCAAAGTGCTGGGATTACAGGAATGAGCCACCGCGCCCGGCCTATCTTTATTTTATTTTATTTTTTAATTTAGTTTTTTGACAAGAGGAAAGAGTTTTCTAATAAGCGAGAAGCAGCGGGTTCCCAGCGCAGCTGAGAGACAGTCCTTGCGGCTGAGAGTGGCAGCAGGGGCGGGCGGTCCCAGGACCTACCTGTGGCCCTGGGCACTGGCATTCCTATGGTCTCGGATGCTGATGGCCCGTTTGAGCAGACCTTCCACGCTGCAGAAGTAGACGCTGCTGTCCACCAGGTTCTTCACGGCGCGGCAGGCGTACTCCACGGTGTAGATGGCTCCCCGGCTCTACTCCTCCCAACGCTGCATGTCTGCCTTGCGCTGGGCCAGCTCCGGGGAGGGAGTGGCGCATGTGCTCCTGCAGCCGGTACGGGGCCACAGACAGCCACAGTTCACCAGGACGTAGACACTCTCAGTGAATTTGTCCGTGACTTTTTTCCCCTTGAGCTGCATCTCTGGTTCCTCCATAGCGACCGCGACCCCTTTATTTTTTAATATGTGTTTTTAACATGGTAAAATAAACATAGCACAAAATTTGTATTTCAACCGTTTTTAAGTGTTCGATTCAACGGCATTAAGTACATTCGCCACGCTGTGCAACCATCACTACCAACCGTTTCCAGAAGTTTTTTTATCATCCCAAACAGAAACTTTACCCATCAAACAATAACTCCACATTCCACTCTTCCCCAGCCCCAGGTAACCTCTATTACGTTTTCTGTCTCTATGAATTTGACTATTCCATTTACCTCTTATAAGTGGAATCATACAATCTGGCATATTTCACTTAGCATCATGTTTTGTTTGTTTGTTTGTTTTTTGGAGACAGAGTCTCGCTCTATCGCCCAGGCTGGAGTGCAGTGGCGCGATCTCAGCTCACTGCAAGCTCCGCTTCCCAGGTTCACGCCATTCTCCTGCCTCAGCCTCCGGAGTAGCTGGGACTACAGGCGCCCGACACCACGCCTGGCTAATTTTTTTGTATTTTTAGTAGAGACGGGGTTTCACCGCGTTAGCCAGGACGGTCTCAAATCTCCTGACCTCGTGATCTGCTCGCCTCGGCCTCCCAAAGTGCTAGGATAACGGGCGTGAGCCACCGCGCCCGGCCAGCATCATGTTTTTAAGGTTCATCCATGTGGTAGCATGTATCAGAATTTCATTCCTTTTTAAGGCTGAATTATATTCCGCTCTATGGAATATAATTTTATTCTATGCATAGACCACATTTTGTCTATCCATTCGTCTGTCAGTGGACATTTGAGTTGTTTTCCTTTTGGCTACTGTGAATAATGCTGCTCTGAACATTGATGTACAGGTAGGTTTGAGTCCTTGTTTTCAGTCCTTCTGGTACATACCTAGAATTAAAGCAAAATTGCTGGATCATGTGGTAATTCTATATTTAACTTTTTGAAGAACTAGTATTTTTATTATGTATTTTATTTTTAGAGACAGAGGTCTCACTCTGTCGCCTAGGCTGAAGTGTAGTAGCACCATGATAGCTCACTACAGCCTCAAATTCCTGGGCTCAAGTGATCCTCCTGCCTCAACTTCCTAAGTAGCTGGGACTACACGCTCGTGCCATCATGCCTGGCATGTGTTCTTATTTTTTATGTGACAGAATCTTTCTCTTGATTGGTAAGTTAAGAGAGTGTGAATTCTGCTATGCTACGCAGGGATGTATACTATCAATATGTAAAATGTAGCATAAGTTTTAGTTGATCATAATCATTTTACAGGAAAAAGCAGGTTATTCATAATATTTAGGGCTAAAGATTGGGATGTGGTAAGAGGAGATTGCTATAATCAAGTAACATTCCATCCAGAAGATAACAAAAATAGTAAGAATACATCTGTTCCTCATGCTCTCCTTCCTCCCAACTTCAAACATGAATCAGTGTAAAATCTTTCCCTAATGTCACTTTCTGAAGTTGGTATGCTGGCATAGAATCCAAGGTCCTGGTGTCTCTTCCATTTTCTCTTTTAATGACCATTCCTTTATTCTTACCTATCAAAGGATAAGGCTAAATTAATTATTTCTTTGAGTTTTTGTATCTTCAGTATTTCATTTTCTCACATTTTTGTTATAGTCTTTATTTATATAATTAGCTATCATTGCTTCATAGGCCTGCTGTTTGTTAAAAATCTTACCAATACCTCTCAATTTTTTCAATTTGTTCTATTAATAATGAGATCTGGGCCAGGTGCGGTGGCCCATGCCTGTAAATCCTAGCACTTTGGAAGGCCAAGGTGGGTGGATCGCTTGAGCTCAGGAGTTTGAGACCAGCGTGGGCAACATGATGAAACCATGTCTCTACAAAAAATACAAAATTAGCGGGGCATGGTGGTACATGCCTGTAGTTCCAGCTACTTGAGGGACTGAGGCAGAAGGATTGCTTGAGTCCGAGAGGTCGAGGCTGCAGTAAGCTGAGATTGCACCACTGCACTCCAGAAAAAAAAAAAAAAGAGAGATTTGAAATAAACACAAGGTTCTGAAGTTTTTTGTATGATTGGATAGATTTCATTGTTCTATAGGCCCCCTTTCTGCTTATCATCTTCCACTTAGTGAGCATCATTTATCCCTGAAAAAGTTCTCCTTGAGTTAATTTTAAGTGGAAAAATAACATTAATTTATTGAGTCTACTTTGAGCTGCCACTTCCAAAACAAAACAGCAACAAGTTTTAAAGCAAATTTCTTTTCTTCTATATTCTCTAGATCCATGGTTTAAAAAGAGGGATTTGGCAAAATTCACCAGCAGTCCTTAGGATTACATTGGTACTGAAGTAAAGCGAGGGAAAAAAAAAAGTAAAATTGGAGATGAGATAAAACTATACTAAGTCCAAAAGGATCATGAGCTCTGATAGCTAGGGAGAGAGGAGAAGAAAGATACAATGATGCTAAAAAGGGACTTTTTATTGTTGTTTGTTTTGTTTTTGCTTTTTGACAGGCAGGCAGGGAAAACTGAGGGAGAGTAATCTAACATAGATACAATTCCTAAGGCATAAGCTCATTCTAACTGTATTGTAACAAAGTCAAGTAGCTTGTTAAAACAAATACAATAGGAATTGCGTGGGTTTCAAAGAATTCCCAGGAGACCACTAGTGAACAAAAATTTTCAGAATATTTTCTAGAATTAGACAGTATGGGACCAGGTGTGGTGGCTCATGCCTGTAATCTCAGCAGTTTGGGAGGCCGAGGTGAGTTTGAGACCAGCCTGGGCAACAGGTGAGTTGAGCCCTGGAGTTAGATATCAGCCTGGGTAACATGGTGAAACTCTGTCTCTACAAAAATTACAAAAATTAGCCAGGTGGCTGGGCGCAGTGGCTCACGCCTGTAATCCCAGCACTTTGGGAGGCTGAGACAGGCGGATCAAGAGGTCAGGAGATTGAGAACATCCTGGCTAACACGGTGAAACCCCGTCTCTACTAAAAATACAAAAAAATTAGCCTGGCATGGTGGTGGGTGCCTGTAGTCCCAGCTACTTGGGAGGCTGAGGCAGGAGAATGGCGTGAACCCGGAAGGCAGAGCTTGCAGTGAGTTGAGATCGAGCCACTGCACTCCAGCCTGGGTGACAGAGCAAGACTCCGTTTCAAAAAAAAAAAAAAATCCCAGCTACTCAGGAGGCTAAGGTGGGAGGATCGTTTGGGCACAGGAGTAGGAGGCTGCAGTGAGCTATGATTGTGCCACTGCACTCCAGCGTAGGTGACAGAATGAGACTCTGTCTCAAAAAAATAAAAATAAAAATAAAAAAGAAAGAAAAAGAAAGAAAGAAAGAAAAAGAAAATATGGGTCAGATGCAGTGGCTCATGTCTATATGTAATCCCAGCACTTTGAGGGGCTGAAGTGGGAGGATCACTTGAGCCCAGGAGTTTGAAACCAGCCTGGGCAACACAGCAAGTCTCCATCTTTACAAAATATTTAAAAATAAGAAGTATGTTCTAAGCTATAGAACATAAGTTCCGTTATTGTACATTTTAGTAGTCACTGTTCTAAGAAAAAGTAATTTTACCACCATCATTGCACAATGTACTAAGTCAACTTTATGTATCAAACACTAAAAGATATAGAACAGTAGTTCCCAAACCACTCTTGGAAATATGGGGCATGGAGCAGATATAGTGCCCAGGGGTCAGAGATCAAATCATCCATGTACATATATATATATATATCTCAATAATGTTGTTGAAAAAAATATTTTTAAGTTGAGATCCACTACTGTATTTGGTGGTATTTTCAGGCAAAAACAGTAACATAGATAGCAGAATAGAAAATGGTATTTTAGGCCAGGCACAGTGACTCACGCCTGTAATCCCAGCACTTTGGGAGTCCGAGGCAGGTGAAGCACCTGAGGTCAGGAGTTCAAGACCAGCCTGGCCAACATGGAGAAAACCCATCTCTACTAAAAATACAAAAATTAGCTGGGCGTGCTGGTGGGCACCTATAATCCCAGCTACTCAGGAGGCAGTAGCTGAGGCAGGAGAATCGCTTGAATCCGGGAGGCAGAGGTTGCAGTGACCCAAGATCACACCACTACACTCCAGTCTGGGCGACAGAGCAAGACTCTGTCTCAAAAAAAAAAAAAAAAAGAAAAAGAAGAAAGAAAGAAAGAAGGAAGGAAGGAAGGAAGGGAGGGAAGGAAGGGAAGGAAAGAAAGGAAAGAAAGAAAGAAAGACAGACAGACAGACAGACAGACAGACAGACAGAAAGAAAGAAAAGAAAAGAAAAGAAAAGAAAAGAAAAGAAAAGAAAAGAAAAGAAAAGAAAAGAATATGGGATTTTAGAGTAAAGGAATGACCCTGTTTAATGCAAAAGGTCCTCTTTTAGGCAGCACACTCCTGTGGTTTGTCCAATTTCTTTCTGATACTGTGTTGTATTCAATATTACTCAAAAGGAACTGTCATCTGTAGATCTTAGAAATCTTTTATTATTATTCTGAAATTTCATTATGTTTCCCCCTAAAGATAATTAACATTAACATTTTCTTATAATCCTTCTAGAAATTTTTCTCTGCATATTATTTTACTAATAAAATTGAGATTAAAATAGCACCAGACTACCAGTGTGTGTGTGTGTGTGTGTGTGTGTGTGTGTGTGTATCTGGCTTCTTTAACTTCATATTAATTTTTGAAAGTTGTCTTTTTACTTCACAAAATGTGATGATTATAAAAATATTTTTATCTATACAATTACAAATGTAAAGATAAGTTACTGAGTGAGGTTCTGAATGGATCTATTGTCCTAGGTATTTTTATGGATAGGATTTGTTAAATAAGAACTTATAAAAAGTGCTCTGCAAGAAGTCTTAATAACGTTCCTATCCATGTTTGTTAGTTCATTTTCTGTTGCTGTAAAGGAACAACGGAGCCTGGGTAATAAAGAAGAGAGGTTTATTTGGCTTACAGTTCTTCGGGCTGCACAAAAATGGCACCAGCATCCACTTGGCTTCTGGTGAGGCCTCAGGAAGCTTTGACTTATAGTGAAAAGTGGAAGAGGAGCAGGTGTGTCACATGGCAAGAAAGGGAGCAGAAAGAGAGATGCCAGCCTCTTTAAAACAACCAGGTCTCACATAAACAAATAGAGTAAGAATTCCCTCATTACAAAGGGGATGACACCAAGTCATTCATGAGGAATCAGCCCAAGCATCTGTCACTAGGGGATCACATTTCAACATGAGATTTGGAGGGGACACACATCCAAACTATGTCACCATGCATTTCAAAATAGATTCTTGGCTAGGCATGGTGGCTCACGCCTGTAATCCCAGCACTTTGGGAGGCTGAGGAGAGGGGGATCGCTTGGGCCCAGGAGTTTGAGAACAGCCTGGGCAAAAAAATGAGATCCCATCTTTACAAATAAAATTAACCAGATGTGGAGGGATGCAACTATAGTCCCCGCTACTCAGGAGGCAAAGGCAGATCACCTGAGCCCAGGAGATTTGAGGCCATAGTGAGCTGTGATTGCATCACCATACTCTAGCCTGGGTGACAGAGTGAGACGCTGTCTGAAGTAAAATAAATTCATTAACTTAATTAAATAATAGAAAAATAAAGTCTCTGGTGAATGATGACACTAGACATAGTAAAGAGCAAATACAGTGGCCAAAAGTCAATTTTTCAATTTGAGAATGATTTTTCAAAGAGCATCTATTCACTAAAACCCACTCTTGCCTTTACCATGCACAATTACACCTAAATGACCAGTGTAGTTACCAAATATTGGTGCTGTGATTCCAGATTGGCTTCTATTGGTTATAATTTAGCTAAGATCCAGCTTTTTCATGAATAAAAAAATCTGTCTCTAAATCCAGTAAGCTTAGATCACTTATCAAGTATATTATAGATCCAAATTATACTTTAGTTGGAAGATTAGATATATGACTGGTAAGGATTCTTTCCACTATATGGGGAATATTTTAATTCATTTGTTCATGATAGATATTTAGTTAAGTCTACCATGAGCTTTTACGTGTGAAACTTAAGCTTTAATTTTTTCCAATGGTGAAATGTAGAATTGCTGGCCTTCCTCTCTAGACATTTGAGACAACACAGATTTTCATAGTTTGATACAGATAGAGCTTAAAATTTTTTATTATAAAAAGAAAATATGCTCAGTAAGGAAATATTGGAAAATACAAGTAAGTACAAAGAGAAAGACTATTACAAGAAGCTAATCACTGGCCAGATGTGGTGGCTCATGCCTGTAATCCCAGCACTTTAGGAGGCCAAGACAGCTGGATCACTTGAGGACAGGAGTTCAAGACCAGCCTGGCCAACATGGCAAAACCTCGTCTCTACTAAAAATACAAAAATTAGCCGGGTGTGGTGGCATGCACCTGTAGTCCCAGCTACTTGGGAGGCTGAGGCAGAGGAATCGCTTGAACCCGGGAGGCAGAGGTTGCAGTGAGCCAAGATCATACCACTGCACTCCAGCCTGGGTGACAAAGCACGACTCCATCTCAAAAACAATAATAATAATTATCACTGCTTACAGTTGGATGTATGTCCTCCTCTGCTTTCCTCGTTACAAACATATTTTCTAACCTGCCCCCCAAAATAGGTATCGTGTTATCCATATTACTTTAAGCCTTTCTTTTTCACCATTTATACATTATGAACATTTTCCCAGGTTTGTGGTCTTCTAAAACCACACTTTTAATGGCATGCATTGTTTAATAGCCTAGTTATACCAAAATATGCCCAATAAAACCCAAATTCCTGGGCATTTATAAGGGAAAAAAAGCACTATGGTGAATAACTCTTCACATATCACTTTGCCCACATCTCTTATTATTTCCTTAGGATGAACTCCAGGAAGCATTATTTCTGGGCCAATGGGTATACACATTTTTAGACATTTGTCTCATATGGTCAAGTTGCCTTCCAGAAAATTAATATCTATTTTAACTCCCATTAGTAGTATATGAGAGTTCCACCTTCCCTACAACCTCTATAGAAATGGGTATATTTCCCCCTCAAGTTCTTTTTCTACACCCAGTACTTAAGGAATTGTGTCTTATAACTGTTTCCCTAATTGCTAATAGTGTCTGCCACATAGTCCGTGTTCAAGAAATATTTATTAAAGAGAATGAATGAATAATAAACATTCTTCTAAGCTAAACATGAAGTGGATACGGGGAAATAATAGAATGCAGAGGAAAAAAAAGGAAAACTAAACAAGGAATCAGGAGGCTGGCTCTGCTGCTAAGCTGTTGTATCACTAAGGGCAAATAATTTAACCCTGTCTGACCTCTTCTCAGAAATGGTTTCATGGGCATTCAACCTGAACAGCCACACAGGGCCCTGTACTCAGAGGGACCTGTGATTTACTTACTGCTCTGCTGTTGCCTTCTTGAAACCCTTAACAATTTTTGAGCAGGAAGCCCAACATTTTCATATTGCAGTGTGCACTGCAAATGATGTAGCTGATGCTGCCTCTACCTTAACTGTAAAGCAAGATAGTAGAGAAAATGAGGCCAATTCATGCCAAAGCAATTTGATTCTATGAGTTTTTCCTAAATTCAACCCAAGAGGCTACGATTTAGGTACATAAACATCTCGGAACAAGTTTGAGAGCCATTCTAATTGCTTGATGAAGATTCTTCATTCTGTGAAATACTTGGCCCTTTTCTTCAACCCATCTCTATCAAGTGGTCTCCTTCAGCCATTCCTTCTAATTCTGCTTCATAATTGCATTGGATTATAGTTACTCCTGCAGCACTGCAACCATTAACCTTTAAGTATGAAGGGACTGGAAAAGAGAAAGTTCCTTTTGATGACAAATTCTTCTGGTGTGAAAAGAAAGGCTTATCCAATACAGTTTACTATAATGAAGGTATTTTTTGAGCAGAAAAAAGAAAGACTTTGAAAGATCACTTCGAGCTTCTAAGCAAGTCATAGATAATCAGAATCTTAGTACAATGTGGTTCCTTTCTATTTTGTTTAACTGTTTGTAAAAGCAACTCATTTCCATCCCCAAATTAAGTATAATTTCATAGGGGACAGTTCTCATATACAACATTTAAGAAGGAAACAAACCCTGCTCCAAGTTTATTCTTGAGTAATCATTTCGAAAATAAGTAATGAACTATAGAGAAAAAAAACACAGCAAGCTGTCCAGAGATGGGAACTGCATGTAAATTACTACTAATCTCAAGATTACCTATCCTTCTTCTCTACTCTAGAAAAATGCCATCTTTATTTTAAAACATTGCTTTTTCTTTTTATTTATTTATTTATTATTTTATTTTATTTTTTTGAGACGGAGTCTTGCTCTTGTCACCCAGGCTGGAGTGCAATGGCGCGATCTCGGCTCACTGTAACCTCTACCTCCCGGGTTCAAGCAATTCTCCCTGCCTCAGCCTACCGAGTAGCTGGGATTACAGTCGCTCTCCACCACATCCAGCTAATTTTTGTATTTTTAGTAGCAACAAGGTTTTACCACGGTGGCCAAGCTGGTCTTGAACTCCTGACCTCAGGTGATCCGCCTGCCTCAGCCTCCCAAAGTGCTGGGATTACAGGTGTGAACCACCGTGCCCAGCCTTTTTTAAAACTTTTCTATCTGAGCAGGTCAAGCTATTTTAAGATGTTATCTGTTTCAACACACGCAATGAAATGTGGAGGGCAAACATGCTGCCATTTTACAGAGATAGAAAGTGAAAATAATCTGCACAAAAGTTGCATGAAGCTTAGATCTTTCTGTCTAATGATCTTGGCTCCATCTTGAAATGTTTAATAAAAACTCATGGCCAACTAATGGACTGAAACAATTTGGGAAGTTTTTAATGGTTTTTTTTAGTGTTTACTCTTTAGACTTCATTATATATAGAACAAACCATATGATTTAAATCTTCTTGACAATTTTGTCTTATTCCTAATCATTATTATTATTATTGTTATTTGAGACAGAGTCTCACTTGATCAGCCAGGCTGGAGTGCAGTGGTGTGATCTCGGCTCACTTGCAACCTCTGCCGCACAGGTTCAAGCAATTCTCTTTCCTCCGCCTCCTGAATAGCTGGGATTACATGCGCCTGCCACCATGCCCAGCTAATTTTTGTATTTTTAGTAGAGACGGGGTTTCACCATCTTGGCCAGGCTGGTCTTGAACTCCTGACCTCGTGATCCACCCGCTTCGGCCTCCCAAAGTGCTGGGATTATAGGCATCAACCACCACACCCAGCCAATCATTATTATTATTAATAGTACTTTTCTACAGAGTATGTGTTTGGGAGAATTTTGTTAATATTGGCGTTGTTGATATTCTGAGCCTCTCACTGAGAGCTGAGTAAACAGAATTTAATCACAATATATGTCTGTCAGTGCATAGTTGGCAAAGGTCCCTATTTGGTTCAAGTTTTCTGTCAAGTCTGCTTTCTGGTTGCAATAATATATTTGTAATGGGTAGTCTATAAATAGAGTAAAGTAGTAGGAACATTTGGAAGGTCAACTAACTTTTGACTGTTCAAGTTAAATTATCAAAGAAGTTGAGAGTCTAATTACCAGAATGATTTAAAGCAGCTTCTGTGTTTGCCTCTCTCTCAGGAAACAAGGTAAGCAATGAGAAAATCTGGTTTATCTAAGACTTACTGAGGCATATGGCCACTTTTATGTATGTGATTTTGAATGTGTGTGTGGGGATTCATACGTTCGTTCACTCATGCAAAAAAGATTATTGAACACCTGACATGTACCAGTAATTGTGCTAAGTCCTGGTGAACAAGATAGATATATCAGATAAGACTAAGTTTCACTGAGTGGCGACTGCCCTCCAAATAGCATTAGCTTAATCAAGATAGAATTTGATTTGTCTTTAATTTGTAAGTCTGAAGGAAGCAGTCCAGAGCAGTTATGTTGGCTCTGCTGCCTGAAGTCCTTAGGGACCCAGGCTGTATCCAGGTGTCTGCTCTGCCATTCCTAGGGTGTGGCCCTTGTCTTCATCATCCAAGACGGAGCTACACCCTTCCTATACACATTCCAAGCAGCAGGTAAGGAAGAAGGAAAGAAGCAGGACCAAGTTATTTGCCAACCATCATTTAAGGAAATTTTCCATAACCTGCCATACATTTCTGTTCTCATTTACCAGAACACAATCCTAGGGCTCACATCTAGGTACAGGGAGCCTGGGAAATATGTATTTTGTTCAGGCATCAGTGGGTTCGTTTAAAAATAAGTGGAGGTCTAATAAGGAAGAACTGATGTTAGCAATGTCTGCCATTCATTGCCCCAGACCTCTTCCTCTTGTATCTCATATCCTACCAGAACTGGAGGAGGAAGGAAGGAGGGCAGAATTAGCTTAAAATGTAATTTATGAATTTCAAGAAATACCTGTAAAGGTGATGATAGTTAACAACACAACTCAGGTGTCACTTTTTAGGAAGATTTTCCTAACCACCTCTCCGCACAGTCAAGGATGGATGCCCTTTTTACAAGCTTTTATCTTCCATCTCGTGCAGTACCTATCATGCCATTTATTGATGATACAATAATTGTCTATTTCTCTCTTCCCAACTGTTTCTCACATCAACTTAACTATAATGGCTTCAGTTAAAACCTGAATTTATATTTCTTTGTATCTCCAGTATCTCTCGCCTAATGTATAACATACATTAGATTCACAAAAAGTGTTTATTACTTAAATTGGTTGAAAAAATTGCAAACAAAAAATCTCTACTTAAATGTCATAAAGGTTTTGTAAAGTAATAGTATAGAGAGAACTTCTCCAGCTATCAAAATATTTAGCACCAAATTTTTTGCTTATGAACATAAAAGAATCTTTTATTTCCATCAATATTAAGACTATCATCTGATCTTCTGAACATGTTCAATATTGCTGGCAAACAGAATTACCTGCATTTTGTCAATGATGAATGTTAAGACAATTATAAATATTTTAAAATCATTCTTTTATCAAGGTTGTGAAAAAAAACTCTCATAAAATACTCTAAAAAAACACAAATAGTGAATCCTATCCACTTTATGTAAATGGTAAAGTTGGGCTCAGGGTGACAAAATTTGAAATAGAATAACACATTGACTCTCCAACCAATGTTATCTCCTCCACATAATCCTAGTGGGGCAGGCCTGAAGTGGACAGCAAGACTTTCACCAAAACAGTTCCCACACAGCTCAATCTCTCCTCTTCCCTCTGTTACCCCACATGGCATTGTAAAAAAAACAGAAATTTAAGCTGATATGATTCATTTTCTCAGCCCTTTTCAGTTTAAATCTGTTCACATTTCTTATTGTAGTTATTCATAACTTTTTCTTGATTTTCTTAGGTCGGACACATATGTTCTTCAGATCAGAAATTCAACTGATAAAGATACTTCTGAATTTACAACTGCTTGGTTTTAAGAAAAATGTATCCAAGACAGAGGAGTTTGTTCAAAAGTCTCCATTTTTTCCCCTAGCACTGTACACTGTTATTTTATGATTCATTCAGTTACCAAACATTTGTTGAATACAAACTATGCACAAGGCAAATGCTATGATAATGCGCAAATTTGCATTCGCATTAAATTTTCCTTAATTTGAGCTATAAAATACAATTAACTAAAGATATTGCATTATATATTATTATTTATATAATCCCACATGTAACTGGATCAAACATTGAATTGGAAATTGAGGGAAATTGGTTAAAATCAAATAAGTGTGTGTGTGTATAATTTTCTGTTAAAAGATATGAATTGTCAGATGGGAAAAAATTTCTTGCTTTAAGCAAGTACTGACCCAAAATATTAAATAAAAATAGTCCATTTAGAATCTACTTACAGAGTACTCATGCACTGTGTAAAATGCTAATGATGAGGGAGAAAATGAGTCTCCTTCACTCTTTCACTCATCTCTTGGGCTAAGGGCATGAGATCTGATAGCCATTGTCACTTACAGCTACACACATCTTCAGCAATTATAAATTTACACGTTTTTCCCTCCAGTTAATGTAGCTAAATTTTATTTTATCTTCTAAGTACTACACATTACTTTTATCAATACTACTTTCTCTAGGAAGAATTTGTACATAAATGAAGGACCATAGGTCCCTTAAATATATATCTATATTATATATATATAATATATATAAATATATTTATATAATGCTGAATTCCTTCTGTCCTTCAGTGTCTTACTCAAAATATCTATAAATCCTTAGTAATGTTTAAGCCAGGTAGACAGCTCTATGGAAAGCAGCTATTTTCATATACTGCTATGCTGCTCTTGGGCCCATGCCATTTTTTCTCTTCTATATGGGACAGTCTATAAAAAGCTGAACGGAGTGTTAAATCTAAGAAAGGATAGAACCATAACTCACTGGCAGGTCACAGTAATACAAGCAGAAATAAGTATCAAATATGGAGTGCTTTGTAAAATATAGAGCATTATGTAAATGTTAAGTATTATTCTTCATTCACTTAAATAATGTTTATTGAATGCTAGATGATGAAGATAAATAAAATGTTTCATTTAGGAAGTTTAAGGAGGAGAAAAAGATATAAGCTATAATATTTCAGTCGTGAAGATATGTGAGTATGGTAGAAGAAGTTATCAGATTGGTCCAAAGGAATCAGGGATGATTTCATACCAGAAGCAACTTTTGGGCTAAGAATTTAAACATTGGTAGGCGTTCGTTACATAAACAGGTAAGAGGGCATTTTAGAGAGAGAGAGGGTAGCATGTGCAGAGGCTTGAAAGAAACTGGCTGGTTCAGAGATCAGTGGGCCATTCCATATGACTAACATGTAGGCTGGCAGGGCTTAGATCATCAGGAAGCACCTCAAATGACAAACAACAGGCTTGGGATTTTATCCTGTAAGTGTTTTGAGTCACGAGAGGATTTTAAGCAAGAAAGAACCATAATTAGATTTGCATTTTTGAAAAGATCATTTGGGTGGCAGTGATGAGTGCTCATATTAGGATGTGGAAATAAGGAAGAGAGAATCATGTGATATATTTAATGGATAGATAATACAATTTATTAACTGACTAGTTGTGGGGAAATGATTTTGAAGTTTCTGATGTGGGTATTTTGGTTGGATGCTGGTACCACATTCACTAAGAGGGTAAATGGAGTGTTGCAAGTATTTGGAGGAAAAGTGACTTGTTTTGGCATGTTGAGTTTGAAGTACTTAAGGAACATCCAGAAGTAATGTTCCAGAAGAAACATGTCTAGAAGAAAATTTGACATATGGTCTTCAACTTAGGAGACAGGTCTAGGGCGGAAACATAGATTTAGGAATTATAATCCTATTGGGCAGTAGTTCTCATACATTAGTATATGTAAGAATCACCAAAGTGCTTGTTAAATGCCAACTTCTCTGTCTAACCCTCAGAAGCTCTGGTTGAATGGGTCTGGGGAAGGGCTCAGGAATGAATTTAAATAAGCATCTCCAGTGACTCGGCTGCAGATGATTTATAGAACACACTTTGATAAATATTGCTACAAGAGCAAGAGAACTACAGGAAGTGATGCCATAAAACCAAAAAGTAGAGAGTTTCAAGGAGTAGGAGTGGTGACTATGTCAATACAGTATGAAGGTTGGAAAAGCTCAGAACTGAAATACCCCTGGACTTGGTAGCTTACAGCAGGGCAACTGGTGACCCAGAAGAGCAGGCACAGTGAAGTGGTGAGAGCAGATAACAACTGCAGTGGGTAGAAGAGTGACTGGGGCTGGGGAAATAGACACAATGAATGAAGCTTCACTCAGAAGGGAATGTCTTGTGGACAAAAGTTAAAACCTAATGTCTGAAGAAGGTGGTTCAAGCCCTAAGTCTACCACTTAATGGCTATGGCATATAATATATATGAGGAGCCCATTTTCTTGCTTAGAACGTGCTATAATGTCTATGTTATAGAGCCCTTTATACAAGGGAAATACAAGTGTCTGTGGAAAAAAATGTGTAAATTGCTCTTCCAAACTTTTTTATTAACAAGCCATCTAAGTGGCAGAAAATCCTAAACAATTGTATAGATCAGGCATCTTACTCGTGTCTGTTCACTGTGACAAAACATCCCCAACTTCAGTCATTGGCGTGCACAGGACTTTAGAGGGAAAAAGTGTCATATTTAATGTCTTAAATAGACCTATGGCCTCACTTTCCACATGAGGATCCAGAGGTCTGAGTGGGAAGTGGAGGTTAAAAGATTTGTCTAAAGTCACACAACTAACTAATGGCAAGGCCAAGTATAAAATTCAGCCAGACTCCTGACTCAATGTTCCCCCTCCCTACCCTGCCCCCGCTCCTGCATTATAACATATTTCTTTTCTTAATTCTCTGCTATTGGAATTTTGCTCTTTCTCTTTTATAGCAAAGAGAGGTGTAGATGATTACAGTTTCCCTGACTGAGGTAAAGAAGAGGTGTTTAATTTGAACAGGTCCAGGGGCTCAGACGCAAGCTCTTTGAAAACATTTTAAACCACCTTCTTCCTTTTATTCTCCATGCCTCCAGGCAGATGCCCTAAACTTTGTCTAGAATCCCTGCTGTAGTCAAGAGATCAGCCAGCAGCAAAATAACTAGTGCTATTACATATTTCTTTCAATCCTCCCTTTTCATAACTGAAGAGCACTCCAAAACATCAACATTAAAAGACTGTAGTTCAGGATAGACCTTGAATGGTTCATGGGACACCCTTGAAAAATAACCGTTACAGAAGATTTATAGTCTATGACAAGGACGGATATGCTACTTCCCACACTATACTTACATTACATCTCCATCTCCCTTTCTAAGCTGCCCAAAGTAAGCCGAGTCTTTTAGTTGCTATCACCCAGCAGAATGGTAGGGACCCTATACAGTCTATGGTTGTTGAATGAATGAATGAAAGAAATAATTTTATTTGTATCTCCCTGTATCCAGTTCTTAACAGAAAAAAAAGCTTTAATAAATTGATTTCCAGATTTTATTTTTGTTCTCTGCCTTAGACTCTCAGTCTCCAGTCTTTCTGCCTAGATTTCCACTAAACTAATTGGATCATATATTTTGCCCTTCACTATAGACTTCTGATGGTATGTAACACCTTACTGTTGACTAGTTAAAAGTTAGAGGAACCGTTTACAATATTCTTTATTGTCAGCTGGGTGTGGTGATCACACCTGTAATCCCAGAACTTTGGGAGGCCGAAGTGGGTGGGTGCATTGCCTGAGCTTGGGAGTTCAAGACCAGTCTGAGCAACGTGATGAAACCCCATCTCTAACCAAAAATATAAAAAGTTACCTAGGCCTGGTGGTGTGCACCTGTGGTCCCAGCTATTCGGGAAGCTTAGGTGGGAGCATCACTTGGGCCTGGGAAGCGGAGGTTGCAATGAGCAGAGATCATGCCACTGCACTCCAGCCTGGGCAACAGAGTGAGACCTCATCTCAAAAAAAAGAAAAAAAATCCTTATTTTGTGAATTAATAATGCAACATGTGATATATGAGGTATATCATGCAATAATGTTATATATGAGGTATCACAAATATATTTGGAAAGACAACCACATAAAAGTCACAAAAGTTTGTTGGTAGGTTTTAATAAACATTCATATATATACGAATGATAGATGCTTCTTAATAGTAAAAGGAATTACCTTCTCTCTCATGAGCCTCTTTCTCCATTTTCTAGAACTCATAAATTTTTCCCATTCCTTTTTAAAAAGGAAACAAATTGATTAGCTGCTTTCTCAGATGTCACCTTGTTCTTTTTCCTTTCACATATTTTAGGAAATTTAACTTTGTGTTTTTCTTGTTATTATGTGTGTTTTTCTGCTTTGTTTGAACTATAAGCTCTTTAGAACAAGGATTTTCCTCCATATATGGAGCGAGTGACGTTTATTTTTAGTGTTCAGTACTTGTTAAACCTCCTCTTTTTTTGGCTGTGCTGTGATAGTCATCGGATAATGCTGCTCCAAAAGGCAGATCATGATATAAGAAATTGAATAGTCTCATAGGATGGAAATATGAAAAAAAAAAACAATAAAAAGCAGAGGTTAGATATGAGTTTATATCTGAATCAGTTATTGAAGAGGTATGGGGTGATAAAAAAGGGGATATGTTATTGGGAAATAACTCTGTTGGGAGGTAGAAGCATTGGGAAGAAAATTAAATTCAGTAACCATTCTAGTGCTGACTCAAGGTTGCAGAGATTCTGTGATGGGAAGGGCATGATTCTTACCTCACTACAGTGAAGGAGACTCACATATACACACAACTACAAGATAAAGCAGAACTAGATAAAGACATAGTTACAGAGAGAGGGCATTCTAGAAAAATACCATTTTATTCATTAAGGATGGAAATTATTCACAGCGCCCATCTTTCTAATATTGAGGCTGCTTTTACTGGCTCTTGGAAGTCCTAAGGGCAATTATTTCCCCAAATCAGAAGCATGCCTCTTTTTGTATATGTGTCACTAAGTTTTTTATTTACTGTTTTTCCTAAATTTGGGTGCACATTATAGAATTGTACTTAAGATTCTAGACTGCCATTTAAGCACTGTGAATGTGATTTCTTAAGATACACGTTTTTATGAAGTGAATTTCTATTGATTTTTGAAATGTGCCTTGCAATAATAAATCTTGTAGTATCAAAAGATTTAGAGCTAAAAGGAATACCAGTACTGCATATGGTCAACTTACAGGCTTCCCAGTAGTACACAGTCAAAAAGTCAAATGCTATAGCTGGACTAACTGGTACTAGAATTGCAAAGTTATAATCATATTAAAAGACTAACTTTAGATTTTTTATTTGCAATGACAACATAATACAAAGTCAGTAGCTCTTGATTTTCTTGCTATATTATATCCAGTGACTACTGACGCTAATGTGGAACATTTCCTGCTAGTTATTCATTGATTAAAAAAAAGGAGTCATTTTTTTTTTTTCCAGAGACTGGGCAGGAGATAAGATGTCAAGAAGTAATAAGTAGTGAAATGAAAGAGGAGAATGCAAAGGAACCAAAAGAGAAAACATTAAAATGATGTTATTTTTTCCCCCTTGTGTATGCAGATGGACAGGAAAATTAGAGCAGTAATTGCAGACTCCTTTTCACTGAAGACAGAATGGCCTTGGGGAATCAGAGTATGGGAGAAAAAGTTCAGTGAAACTACATTCTCATCCAGGCCCCAACTGACTTGCTGGATATGGCTTTGTCCGAGGTCATTTACCCTTTCTGTGCCTTAGTTTCCTTAACTGTTGAAAAACATTATTTACCATTTTAAGTTACTGAGAAGATGAATGAGATCATGCTCCAGAAACACCCAAAACTGGTCACAAAATTAGGTGCTATAAGAATACTAAGTAGTACTATTATTACTGTACTGTGCATCCTGTTGGAATGAGTCATCTTGCTGCAAAGATGCATAAGCGATTCCAAGTGTGGTAAAAGACCAGAGACAATGAGAAGAGGCAGTTTACTCTTAGATGGCATTAAGGGAGAAGATCCCAGTCGCAGTGAAATCTGCCCTTGTTCAACGAACAAAAGCAGGAGGAAGGGAGACAAGACTCTCTTTTCTTTTTTCTTTTTTTTTTTTTTTGAGACGGAGTCTAGCTCTGTCGCCCAGGCTGGAGTGCAGTGGTGCGATCTCCTCTCACTGCAAGCTCCGCCTCCCGGGTTCATGCCATTCTCCTGCTTCAGCTTCCGGAGTAGCTGGGGCTACAGGCGCCCGCCACCATGCCCGGAGAATTTTTTGTATTTTTAGTGGAGACGGGGTTTCACCATGTTAGCCAGTATGGTCTCAATCTCCTGACCTCGTGATCCGCCCGCCTCGGCCTCCCAAAGTGCTGGGATTACAGGCGTGAGCCACCGCGCCCAGCCAACAAGACTTATTTTTTAACTACAGGCATACCTAGGAGACACTGCTGGTTCATTTCTAGACCAGCACAATAAAGTGAACATAGCAATAAAGTGAGTCACACCATTTTTTTGGTTCCTAGTGCATATATTAGTTATATTTATTATACTGTAATCCATTAAGTGTGCAATAGCATTATGGCTAAAAAACGTACATGCCTTAATTTAAAAAATACTTTAGCCAGGCGCGGTGGCTCACGCCTGTAATCCTAGCACTTTGAGAGGCCAAGGCAGGTGGATCACCTGAGGTCAGGAGTTCCAGATCAGTCTGGCCAACATGGTGAAACCCTGTCTCTAATAAAAATACAAAAATTAGCTGGGCATGGTGATGCGCACCTGTAGTCCCAGCTACTAGGCAGGCTGAGACAGGAAAATTGCTTGAGCCTGGGAGATGGAGGTTGCAGTGAGCTGAAATTGTGCCACTGCACTCCAGCCTGGGCAACCAAGTGAGACTCCATCTCAAAAACAACAACAACAACAAAAAAAAAACTTTAATGGTTAAAAAATGCTAATGGATCATCTGAGTCTCCAGCAAGTCTTAATCTTTTCGCTGGTGGATCTTGCCTCAATGTTGTTGAAGGCTGCTGACCAGTCAGGCTAGTGTTGATGCAGGTAAGAGCAGTTGTTGCAGTTTCTTAAAGACAATAGAGAAGTTTGCTGCATCGATTGACCCTTCCTTCCATGAAGGATTTCTCTGTAGCATGTGATACTGTTTGACAGCATTTTACACACAGTATAATTTCTTTCAAAATTGGAATCTATCCTTTCAAACCCTGCCACTACTTTATCAACTAAGTTTATATTATATTCTAAACTATTTGTTGTCATTTCAACAATATTTACAGTATCTTCACCAGGAATAGATTCCCTCTCAAGAAATCACTTTCTTTGCTCATCCATAAGAAGCAACTCCTCATCCCTTCAAATTTTACCATGAGATTGTGGCATTTCAGCCCCATCTTCAGGCTCTATCTCTAATTCTAGTTCTCTTGCTATTTCCATATTTCTAGTTACTGCCTCCACTGAAGTCTTGAACCCCTCAAACTCATCCATGAGGGTTGGAATCAACTTCTTCCAAACTCTTGATAATGTTGATCTTTTGGCTTCCTTCCTTAAGTCACAAATGTCCTTGATGGCATCTAGAATTATGAATTTTTTCAATTTACTTTTTCCAGATCCATCCAAGGACCCCCTATCTCTGGCAGCTATAGCCTTATGAAATGTACTTTCTACATAATAAGACTTGAAAGTCACAATGACTCCTTGATCCATGAACTGTGGAATGCATGTTGGGTTAGCCAACATGAAAACAACACTAATCTCTTGTATGTCTCCAGGAGAACTCTTGGGTAAACAGGTACACTGTCAATGAACAGAAATATTTTGAAAGGAATCACTTTTTCTTTTCTTTTTTTTTTTTTTTTTTTGAGCAGTAGGTCTCAACAGCAGACTTAAAATGTTCAGTCAGCCATGACAGATGTGCTGTCATCTAGGCTTTGTTGTTCCATTTATAGAGCACAGGAAGAGTATATTTAGCATAATTTTTAAGGGTCTTAGAATTTTTGGAATGGTCAATGAGAATTGGCTTCAACCTAAAATCACCAGCTGCATTATCTCCTAACAAAAAAGTCAGCCTGCCCTTTGAAGCTTTGAAGCCAGGCATTGACTTTTCCTCTCTAGCAGTGAAAGTCCTAGATGGCATCTTCTTTCAATAGTAGGCTGTTTTGTCTACATTGAAAATATGTTTAGTGTATCCACCTTCAATGATCTTGACTAGATTTTCTGGATAACTTGCTGCAGCTTCTACATCATTTGCTGCTTCATCTTGCACTATTATGTTACGGAGATGGTGTTTTTCCTTAAATCCCTGATAGCTTCAACCTTTTCTTCTGCAGCTTCCTCAGCTCTCTCAACCTTCATAAGATTGAAGAGAGTTAGAGCCTTGCTCTGGATTAGGCTTTGGCTAAAGGGAATGTTGTAGCTAGGTTGATCTTCTCCCCAGACCACTAAAATTTTCTCCCTATCTGCAATGAGGCTGTTTTGTTTTCTTATAATTCATGTTTTCACCAGAGTAGCATTTTCAATTTCCTTCAAGAACATTTCCTTTGCATTCCCAACTTGTCTAATTATTTGACACAAGGCCGAGCTTTTGGCCTCTCTTGGCTGTTGATACATCTGAGCTTAATCGTTTCTAGCTTTTCATTTAAAGTAAGGGACATGCAACTCTTCCTTTCACTTGGTCACTTAAAGGGCATTGTAGGGTTACTGGTTGGCCTAATTTCAATATTAGGCCATTATTATTAGACAATTATTAGTGTTTCATTTCAGGGAATATGGAGGCCCAAGATGAAGCAGAGAGACAGAGGAACAGCTGGTTGGTGGAGCAGTCAGAACACACACATTTATTAAGTCCCTGTCTTACATGGGCTCAGTTCATGGTGCCCTCAAAACAATTTCAACAGTAACATCAAAGATCACTGATTACAGATCACTATAACAGGTACAATAATGAAAAAGTTTGAAAGATTGCAAGAATTACCAAAATGTGCCACAGAGACATGTAGTGAGCAAATGCTGTTGAAAAACGGTGCTAGGACTTGCTTAATGCAGAGTTGCCACAAACCTTCAATTTGTAAGATGTGAAAGATCTGCAAACAGCAATAAAGTGAATCGCAGTAAAACAAAGTGGGCTTGTACAGCAAGGAGGTTATACAAATATACTTTTGAAATCCTACAGCCAGTTTGAATCCAGGCTTTGGCAGTTATTACTATGACTGGGCAAACTACTGTGTTTTTAAACTTCATTTTTCCTATCTGTAAAATGGGGATTTTTTATAGATTGTGTGTGTGTGTGTATATATACACACACACACACACATATATATATATACACACATATATATATAGTTGTTGTGAAGATTTAAAAATGTACACCGTCACAAGGACTCCATAAAATAAGCTATTATTGTAATCTATTGGAGACAGGGCAAGTAAAAATCCACACTGATGTTAAGTGAATCTTTAAAAACAAGTACCAGAAAAAGACGAGTTTTTATTTTATAAGATATGACCTAAGGGGCCTAGGAAGAGAAAAAACTTGTTTTGTCAAGTCTAAATCCACTCATATTTCATGGGGCCACGTATCACGTCCAACCTTTGATATCTGGCACACAACAAACAAACAGGAAAGGCCTTTCGTGTGCTTTAATAAAAACAGCTTTCCATTTTAAAACGATAAATATATTGGAAAAATCTGTTGGCTCTCCAACAGCTCTTATAAAACAAAGCTCAGACGCTGTGTTTTTGTTGTTTGAAAGAGAGAAATCAGGGGCTTGGGCATTATTAGGCTCCCTTTGATCGCGCCCTGGGATGGGAAGCCTTCGGGCAAAGCCCTGGGGGCAGGACGCGTTTTTTTTTTTTTTTTTTTTTTTTTTTAATCGATCCCGGAACCTTCGCGCGGCGGAGGGGGCGGGCGCGCCGCAGGGGCCCGAGGGAGGGGTCTGGGGCGCGGCGCCGCTTGCCCATCCCCCGAGCGCGCGGCGGGGCGGCCGGCCGGCGGCCGCCGGGATGCGGAGGGGCGGCGACGGGGGCCGGACCCTGCCGGGGCGGCGGGGCGGGCACCGCCCGAGGGGGTAGGGCGCGCGCGGGGGCGCGCCGGGCCGGGGAGGCGCGCTCGCTCCGCGCTCCCTTCGCTCGCTCGTTCCCTCCTCCCTCGGCAGCCGCGGCGGCAGCAGGAGAAGGCGGCGGCGGCGGCTAGGGATCAGACATGGCGGCGGATCTGAACCTGGAGTGGATCTCCCTGCCCCGGTCCTGGACTTACGGGATCACCAGGGGCGGCCGAGTCTTCTTCATCAAGTAAAGAGCCGGGGACGGCACGGGGGCCCGCGGGGGCGGGAGGGCAGGAGGCGGGCGGCTGGCGACACGGGGGAGAGCCCGGGTCTGTGCTCCTGCAGCCCCTCGGCTCGCCCCCGCGTCCCCTCTCACGCTCCGTGTCTGCCCCTTCTCTCACCCCTGCAGCGAGGAGGCCAAGAGCACCACCTGGCTGCACCCCGTCACCGGCGAGGCGGTGGTCACCGGACACCGGCGGCAGAGCACAGGTAACGCCGGGCCCAAACGGAGTTGGGCTCCGCCTGGAGGAGGCGGCAGAGCCCGGGCCGCCCGGCTCCCCGCAACCTGCCCCGCGCCGCGGGCCCCGGGAGGCGGCGAGGCGGGGCGGAGGCCGGGCGGGAGCGGCCGCAGGTAGAGGGGCCACGGGGACTCCGCCGCCGGGAGTTCTCTCCAGTCTCGGGGCGCCTCTTTCTCCTCAGCCTTTCATCAGCACTTGGAGACGGCGCCCTCTTCCTGCGCCTTCTCCCCCCATCCCAGCCTAGACGACCCTCGCGACCCTAGAGTGGCGACGCTCCCCTCCCTGAAACCTGGAGTCCTGAGTTTTTCCTCCGCGGCCGCTACTCACTCCCCGGTGACCCCCAGCTGCCGTCTTGCCCCCCAGCAATCTTCAGGCAGTCCTTACCCACTCCCCTCCCTGCAGCCCCGGACCCCGATCGCCCGCCGGGATAACGTAACCACATCCTCCCCCTCCTCCCAGGAGCGCTGCCTCCTGCCGTGCAGCTTCCTCCTCCTAGGTGGGACTTGTGGGTAGGTGGCTGATGAAGGAGGAGGAGGAGGAGGAGAGGAGTTCGGGGGTGCTGCGATCCTCTCTGTGACAGGGAACGGCTCGGGAAACGCTTGGCGCGTTCCCTCCTGCCACGGGAGGAGCAGCCGGAGCCGGAGGAGGCGTTCGCAGCCTCAGTTGCTGGCGATCCGGATCTAAAGTCCCCGCCAGCCGCACGGAGGTTGCACAGACTGCCAGGAGGCGGTGGGCGTGCGAGGGGGTGTCCCGTATGGGGGCACCCGGGCCCTGTTTGGAGGGAGTCCGTGGGGAAGCGGCTCTCTCGGGTGGCTTTGGGAGCTTGTTTGAATGCTAAGTGTGAGTGGAGCTGGAAAAGGCTCCTCGTAGTTTCTGTACTGGTCTGGGTTTCTTTTATCATTCTTTGTTTACATTCGTGACTTGTTTGTCTTTGAAATGTAACATGTGTTCTCTTACTGGCCTGCCTCTAGTCCTGGTGATTGGAAAGGCTTGAGAGCAGTTTGGGTCGAAGGCGAGGCCAGTTTCAGCAGTCCTCAGAGCTGGCCTCTGGGGTACATTCTCTCGGACTCTGACATTCCGTGAATCTGTTAAAGTTGCCAGGATATTGAACAAACCTGCCTCTCTGTGAAATGCTGGAGTTCACTGAAGTGACTAATGTCTCCAAATTTGCAAAAAGGTGGAGGAAGAAAGGAAAGGCTGGTGTAGCAAGCATGATGAGCTTACATTTTTAAGGCATTTCTGACTAATACACTATCATGTTTCTCAATTCCCCGGTGCAGGCTTTTGCTTCAATATACCTTTCTGGTGTTTTACACGCATATTCCAACTTTGATGGCCTCTTTGCTTTTATGGATAATGATAGATTTATTTCATGAAAGACGATATGACATTTAAATTATTTAGACTAATTATCCTATGGAATTATGAGTGATATAAATAAGTGTCCTAGTTAACCCCACAGATTTGGTAACATTCACGCCACAGAAAAATTTTATTCTTTTATGTGATTTCACTTTTTTTTTTTTCTGGTTTGGTTTTACTTTGCTTGGACTCTGGTTTTGTACACACATCGGTTGTTTTTACTTCCAAGAGGCATTTTGATGAAATCCAAACAACTTGTCATTAATAATAATATGTAGCACATAATGACCATTGTTCACCTGAATCATCCCCAACTTTACTACTTGAAACTTCACGTCTCTTAGTCAAATTTTTAGAAACACACACGGAAGTATTCGGTGTCATTTCTTTTCCATTAATTAAGTAGTTAGGAAGTTCTGCCTTCTTTTTGGTGACACTTCCTAGATGGATTCATTTGTGTAGCTGAAAAATACGGTCTTAAATAGACACAATATACCCAAGAAGAGGCAGGCGTTGCCTGTTATACCCAGCTTTTTTTTTTGCTAGTCATTCATGAGTGTTCCACCTGGGATGAGAAGGCTTCCCTTTGCTTTCTTGGGTGCCAGAACATAGTTCCTCTCCACCCTAATATATTACAGTGTGTGCTCAGGTCAGATAATCTCTAATATTATGGTTACTTTTCTGGTGGCTCTAAATTTGAATTGCTGTTTTTCAAAAAATGATATCTGTTGTATTGCCAGCTCAACACTTTTTTTGTTAGTAATCTACTTAATTAAAACAGCTAATAAATGAAAATGGATAATTAAAATGGATTGAGACTTATTTTGCTATCATTGAAGTAATACTAATTGTAATATATGTATTGTTTTAGATTTGCCTACTGGCTGGGAAGAAGCATATACTTTTGAAGGTGCAAGATACTATATAAAGTGAGTTTTTTGACTTTCATTTTTTTCCTTCGTAATTAGAATGCTGTGATTACTCCTCAGCTGAATAGTTGTATGTCCAGTCTTGATCATGATTTTCTGAAGTTTATCATATAATGGTGACTGTATTCTTTATTTTGTATAGTGTCAGAATTTTGAGAGAAGAAAATGGCACTCTTACTTTTCTAATGTTATTTGCCTGGAATATTCATCGATTCATTGATTTGGAAATTAGATCATTTATGGCCACTTTTAAAAATAATTTTGTATCTTCGTTTTTTTCTTTTGGAATCGTCCAGCTTCATCAGAATATGACCACAATTACCTTTTTTTTTTTTTTTTTTTGGTGCTTCTGTGTATATTCCTGGGTAATAGAGGATTATTGGTCATTAGCTATGTGGTACTTAAAGTTTTGATCTTTGATTATCTGTGCTGAGAGATAACAAACAAAAAAAAATCTGAGTTACGTGAACATCTTTTTTTTTTTTTTTTTTTTAGTGAACCTTGTTCATGTATATTTTGACCAGGGCTGTTTATAGGTAGCAAAAGTGATGTAAAGCTAGGCACAATTTGATAAACAATGACGGTCAGGGAGTAAAAATAGAAATAGTTACTGAATATTTCATGAGCATATATTGGAGCATTGTTTGTATTTTTGCCTCAGTTTATTTAAATATGTCTAAGTCAAGATGTTTTATTGATATGTTTGTTTAAAAAAGGCTTTTAGTAGAGCTTGAGAGAAAAGATGACCAGTCAGTCCCAATCTTAAAACCAGTTCTTTAGAATATTAAACTAATTTATGTTCAAACTTAATAACTTAGTACTACTTGGAGACAAATACAAAGCTGGAGGTCAACATCATGTAGGAAAAATTTTAATCCCCCAACGAAAAATATGGGTGGTTTTGTCTTTTTATTTTTATATTAGAAACTATTTACCTAAGAGTTTGTTTTTATTGTTTAACCTTATTTGTTCTTTAATTTTAATAAACTGAGACATGAAAGAGAATGCTGAAATGCCAAACTGGGTTAAGACTTCAGTAGTTTATAAACAATAACAGATACCTAGCTAAAGTTACCTTTATTTCATTGAGCCTAGAAAGTTATTTTTACTGTGACATTTTTAAGATCATGTTATACTTCCAGTAAATTATAATTACCTGTATGGTTCTTTAATCTTTTAGAAAGATACTTAGATAAAACGTCAAGGGCTTTTTTATAAGTATTAGGAATGCTTGCTTTTGGATGTAGAAATAGAGAAAGCAGAAGATACAGGAATGGAATAGTTTCATGGTATGGTCTTTCTGTGAATATTTTTGGGTGAAATCTTTTCTTTGGAGATTATACTATACATTATTAGATGGCCTAAAAAAATACTTGAGTGAAATGCAGTCATCAAATGTTTTTCTATTGGTTATTTCCATCCTAAATTAAAGTGAGTTGATATTGCCACGAAAAGGGATACTTCTTTTCTTGTCAAGCTAGTAGTATGGTATATGTGAAGAAAAACAGTTTTTTCATTTCAGGTCATTTATTCAATGTAATTTTGACTACTGTACATTAAGCCTAGCTCATCTTATAAAAACAGAGGTAACATTTCAATTTTCAATAACATTTTAATTTCTTTGCGTGCATTCTTGGATGAATGTTTATTTGATAGTACAAAATCTTATTCTGTGTGGGCTGAGTATGTATGTTTTAATTTAGAACTAAGCTGTTAGGAAGACATTGAGTGAGTTTCTTTTGTTTTACGAGCCATTTTGATTAGGTTTTCTTTTATGTTTACTTAAACAAATTAGAATTTTATTTGAGTGCCATGTCTAATGCCTAAGTAGGTTTCTCTGGAAAATTAAGACAATATTAAGAAAGCTATAATAATTTTA
This sequence comes from Homo sapiens, assembly GCF_000001405.40. Classification (NCBI taxonomy): domain Eukaryota; kingdom Metazoa; phylum Chordata; class Mammalia; order Primates; family Hominidae; genus Homo; species Homo sapiens. The sequence continues at coordinate 19,134,330 of NC_000012.12, forward strand.
CTTTAAAGACATTTTTAAACTTGTAGGTTTTAATCATTTTGGTATTCATAGCCAGTAATTGTGTCCAAAAGTAGCAATAAATAACTTATAATATTATGGAAGTAATTTCTCCTAAAATTGAGCATAGTGTTGCATATCACTCATTAAACTTTTAAAAAAACTAACCATTGATAAATATATGATGTACTGAATGTTAGGTGCTACTGCTTTATCTTCTGGGTAATGTCAGAAGACTAATTTCTTTTAAGGTTAGTTAAATCCCTAATGTGCACTGTAATTTCCTAGAAACTTTTTACTTGTTTGTATTGTTATTTATCATTCTAATAGGATAGGGGCACTACTTTTATCTTAAACTTTACAATTTAGAGTACCTTCACATACATTATTCATTCATGAAGTAGTCAGAGTTACTACTCCCATTGTCACACACATAATAAAACAGCAGAAACATGCCTTTGGAACTTACAGTTTGCAAAGACAGCAGGATGAGAAACCCCAGGAACATAAACTATATTTAGAATATTCAGAGTGGAGGAAAAGATAGGAGTCTGAAGTAGGAAAGTGATTCGTGTTGGTGGCTATAGTTTTTCATTGTCATTTCTTTCTCAGATGAAGAAAGGTGGTTATTGATCAAATTGTATGTAAAGGAGGTTACAGGGTTATCGGGGTGGATTTTGTTCACATGGGAAGTGGAAAGATAGGAATGCCAATAAAAGACATGTCAGCCCTTTGACTATTCCTAATCCTGTGTTCTGGAAAGTTCTCACTGCAAGAAGGGAGACCTAAAGAATTTCAGTTGTTTCTGCTTCCATTGTGAAGTGAAATATATATAACTCTTAAATTATTCCTCTCCTGGACAAATGTTGGTTGGTGTTAAAAATGGCAGGTTACCAGAAAGAATTTATCTCTTAATTATATTTTGGTATTGACACTTGCATCTCTGTAGGTGGTAAGAGGAGAGGATTGTAGTGGGGAAGTCATAGGAACTGAAATGTGGTCTTGACCTTAATGACTTTGGAGCTCAGTCTTCACGTCTTTAAATTAGGTTACCTGGAAAAGGCAACCTCTAAATTCCATTTCTAAATTTCTTTGAATTTTGTACTGTTCTGGGATTTATAATATTCTGGAAAACAAGGAACTCACAATGCCAAGCAGAGATGATGCGGGAAATATGGAAAGCTAGCTTTTCTATCCTTCTTAACTATTTTATCCTCCCTCTTTAAGCTTTGGATAGACAATCACAGATAAGTATGATGTATGTAGTGCCAGGGTTGTGTGTACTTTCTTTTGCTGCTTTTTGTGCTTACGTTTCCTTGTAAAATGTTTGTATACATATCTTCATGTAAACAGATAGTACTGCTAATGTAAACAAAGGACCTGATCAGCGTAAGAGTTGTATAGGTTTGAGTTAATCAGTTTATTTTATACACTTTGAAATTGGTTCTTTAATACAAGTTTGCAGCTAGATTAAAAAAATATGTAATATAGAGAATGTATTTTCCTTCACATCCATTTGGCCAAAAAACAGTAAAATATGAAAAATCTTACTTTGTTTTTTTTTTTTTTTTTGAGGGGGGTTTCACTGTGTCACCCAGGCTGGAGTGCAGTGGCTCTATCACAACACACTGCAGCCTTGACCTCCTGGGCTTAAGCGATCCTCCCACCTCAGCCTTACGAGTAGCTGGGACCACAAGTGTGTACCACCATGCCTGGCTAATTTGATTGATTGATTGATTGAGAGAGACAGGGTCTTCCTATGTTGCCCAGCCTGATCTTGAACTCCTAGGCTCACGCAATCCTCCTGCCTTGGTCCCCGAAAATGGGGGATTATAGGCATGAGCCATGGTGCCTGGCCAAAAATCTTTATCTTTAAAGATATTTAATACTTTTTTTCTGAATAATTTTTCTATGTGCCCTAAGCTAGCCAGCCTCTTAATTATGTTACTATGTGTTTGTGTGTGTAAATACATTACACAGAGTTTGAGTTTGATTATTGAATTTTCATATTGTTTTTATAACTTAATTTATGCTGTTATCTTTATGAAGAATGCTGAAAATAAGTGAATTTTATAACTTGTAAAGTGTGGCTTTAAATATTCCGTATTCTTATGAGAACGCAAATAACTTAGCCCATAAAGCACAGAAGAAAATCTTATACGTTTGAGTTATAAAGCTTTCTGCTTGCTCCTTGAAAATATTGCTTAATGATTCTGTAATGACAGGCCATGGTAACTTAAAATGGATGTGTCATTTACTATTCCTTTGTGCTTCAAAGCTTTAAGATGGTTAACTTAGAGTGCCAAGTAAATCTTAAGGCTCTCTGAATAGTGAGAAACTTTATTCTGATTATTTAAAGGTCATTGCAGGACTGGGTATCAAAACAATATTTGCGGGGGTAAAATAGTATGCAAATTTTTTAAGGTTATGTTTTCATACTGCTTTTTTTAACTTAAAATTCTAAGTTCTGAAAATTGAACTTTTTCTTACATAGGCAAATAGAGTATGAGGTTTTGTTTCAATATCTGCAATAGCTGGATCTAATGTATGCTAATTCCAAACTTACCAAAACTAGCGTTGCAAGTAAGGAGAAAAATCTGTTTCTTCAGATTTTCACAATTCAAAATATGAATGAAGATGGGGAATCTAACAAGTGCCATAAAAAACATTAGAATATATTAACTATGTATTTGATATTTAAAGTTGTTTTATACTTTACTTTTTTTTTTTCTTTGAGACGGAGTTTCACTCTTGTTGCCCAGGCTGGCATGATCTCAGCTCACGCAACGTCCACCTCCCGGGTTCAAGCAGTTCTCCTGCCTCAGTCTCCCAAGTAGTTGAGATTACAGGTGCCCACCACCACCACGCCTGGCTAATTTTTTGTATTTTTAGTAGAGAAGGGGTTTCGCCACGTTGGCCAGGCTGGTCTCAAACTCCTGACCTCAGGTGATCCGCCCACCTCGGCGTCCCAAAGTGCTGGGATTACCACCACCCCTGGCCAAAAACTGTTTTATACTTTCTATAATAATATAACCAAATTTTGATTACTAGAGCTATATAATTCTTTAGAACACTTTGTGGGCATTATATTTCTTTTCCATATTTATAACAAGAGTTTTGGACTGTTAATATGTGATTCCTTACATTGATAAAGCACTTTATGCTAATTCATTAGTTACAAAACAACTACGAACTATGATCTCAGCTTTCAAGGAGTTTGTAGTGTAGAGATAAATATGCAGTATATTAAAACAGGGAGATGGTTTGGGGAACATAGACTTATTTAGTGCTAGGCACTTCAGCATAGCATTAAACTCCTATAATCCTCACAATAGCCTTTTTGTTGTTGTTGTCTCTTTCGTTTTCAAGTTGGTGTGCCAGGACTACCAGCCTCAGTAGACTTTGTTGTGGAATTCTTTTATTTTTAGCCCCAGGACCACTGCTTAGGGCCAGGTTTGCTCAATATCCTCCTTGTATTTCCTGTGATGCCCAGCATCTAGTCAGCCTCTAAAGAAGTGGTATCTGTGATGATGATGATGCTGGCTCCTAGTTATTTAAGGAGTTAATCAAGATGGGGAAAGAATAGTCCCCACAACTCAAGTGGTTGCATTTTAAGAACACTTTCTGGATTTGTCAAGGGACTTTTTCTTCCCTAATCTGGATAGACCCCTTCGTTTCTTCTTATTCTCAAAGCTGGCCTATATTTAGGAAGGGGGAGGAAGTGGTCAATACAAAAACACAAAAAGTATTGGAAGAGTTGAAGAGTCGATGACCTGGAGACAGGGCCTTACATAGGACCTGTCTGTCCTATACAGGATGGAATTTCTTTGAATTTGTTAGCAGATGCTCTTTTCTTGTGACTGTTTCATTTTTTTAAATAACAGATAAATATAAGATGAAATTAAGGGTGAAAAGTTATGTGTATATGTGTATGTGTAAGTTAGAGTTAATGGTGTAAAAAAATGGCACGGCATGGTGGCTCATGCCTGTAATCCTAGCACCTTGGGAGGCTGAGGCAGGCGGATCACTTGAAGTCAGGAGTTTGAGACCAACCTGGCTAACATGGTAAAACCCTGTCTCTACTAAAAATACAAAAATTAGCCGGGTGTGGTGGCGGGCTCCTGTAGTCCCAGCTACTCGGGAGGCTGAGGCAGGAGAATCGCTTGAACCCAGGAGGGAGAGGTTGCAGTGGGCCGAGATCACGCCACTGCACTCCAGCCTGGGTGACAGAGTAAGACTCTGTCTCAAAAAAAAAAAAAAAAGAAGATGCTAGTTTGAGTCATAAGAATTCAGAGGAGGAAGAGGCAGCCTAGGCTGGGCTGCCCTGGAACGACTTGAAGAGGTGGGAGTTGAGCTAGGCCTGAGGGTATAGATGGGATTCACTTTCAGATGAGTTGATAAGACTGGGAGGATACATTCATGGGGCTGGGAACACGTATAATATGTGAATATGTGTGATGAGTAATACTAACTAGGCTTGTTAGTGATGGTTCTGTAGAAAATGCTAGGATGATGGGAGGTGAGTCTAGGAATGCTGTTTGGAACCATACTGTGTCCGGTCTTTGAATGTCAGGCTGAGGTTTTTATTTTCCGGGCAAGCCTTTGCAGATGTTTTTTAGTATAGCGTTAATTATGCAACATGAAGGTTTTAGGGAGATTTCAATACAGGCAGCATGGATTGGACAGGAGCAAAGTGGGAATCAAGGAGACCATTTCTGAGTCTGTTGCCATAATTGGGTAGTTACTTGAACTAAGTTTGTGGCAGCGGGAATGGAAAGGAAAGGCCATTGATCAAAGATGTTAAAGACGAGCTGACAGGCCTTAGGAGTCTTGCTGAGCAAGGAGGTTGACAGAAAAAAAGAGGTCAAAAGCTCCTCAAAGCCTTTGTGTCTGAGTGTCTACAAGAATGATGATGAGACCCTTGACCGGAATAAAGGAGTAGGTGTGGGAGGGGGAGCCCCAGGTGGACATATTAATGGTGGTTTGGTTTTTGAGCTGCTTGAGAGGACATAGCATTTCAGGTGGCTAAAATCCGACTTTCACAAAGGACTCCTGACATTATCTTTTTACTCCCCTCAAAAAGCAAACACAACCCACTCCCCTATCCTATCTCAGCTACCTAAATGACTATCTAGCTATTTATAGATTCAGGCTGGGAATTTCATATTCATCCATCTAATTATTCATTCAACAAATGCTTATTGAATATTTACTGTGTGCCAAGTGCTTTAAGCTTTATGAATGAAACAGACATGGACACTACTCTTAAGAACTTTATAGTTGAATTAGTGGGGGAGCCAGTAATAAAATAATCATGCAAATATGTAAGATAGACTGTGATAAATGCTATGAAGAATATCTAATGTTTTGACTACGTATATTGAAAGGCCTTAGCCCGTTGTGGGGGTTGCTGGGAGAGGCATTTCTCACAGTTAAGCTCCAAACCCCTGCAGAGTGGATCAGAATAGAGCAGTGTAAAGTCACTGGAAAGATGAAGAATAAATAGCCTCCTGGTCTTGAGATTGGACCACAACCTGAGTGAAAGCATTGCTATATATAAAGAAAGACTTGGGGGATGGGGTTGGTATGGTATGGCAATTTATGAAAAGGAGAAAGCTGCTGCAGAAGCTGCTCTTTATCATCCAATAGATAACAATGTTTAGCCAACTGATTTTAATGATTATCTCAGTCCCAGTGGCAAGGTCTTCCAATTAGTCACTCACTCATGTGTTCTTCCAATTCTCTTGAATACATTTTGAACTCATAGTTGTGTGCCTTAGTGATTAGTGTACATCAGTAAATGAAATAAACCAAAAAATTCTGCCCGTCTGGGGAGTGGGATGATGGGGGAGAGAATGTCAAAGTAAACAATAAATAAGTACATTTTATAGTATGTTAGACTACACATAAATCCTCTAAGCAAAAAGTCTACTTTTTAAGTCTACTTTGGTTTCAAGAAAACAAGGAAATATATTACTGAAGTCTGTACTATCGTGATTAGTATGGAAGAAGTGAATGTAGACTAAATTTTAAAATACTGAAATCAGTGGGTCCAGTAGAAACCCAAAAGAAATAAAGAGGTCCTCATGAGGTACAGATGATAGACATTTCAGAGCCACTGGGGGAACATCTTGGCCACTAAGGAGTGTCCTCTGAACTACTTAGGAATTATGCTCTGAAGTGACCAGTAAGCCACCCACACCAAGAGAATCTTTTGGACTATTAGGTCTCAGAAGGCAGAGATAGTCTTATACTGTAGCCACCTTTATGCTTCCAGTGCCTGGCATGTAATAGACAATTAGGTGTTTGAAATGAAGCCCTAAAACAAATTGTAAGAAAAGCAAGCCTCTTTACCTAAATCTGAACATCCCAGGGCATTTTTTTCTTCTCATTTGTCATCTAGTCACAACCCTTGTTGTTGTAAAAGTCACTGGCCCAAAGCCAACTAGTATAAGCAAAAAGGAAACTATTTTCTTTTTGGAGACAGAGTCTCGCTCTGTTGCCTAGGCTGGAGTACAGTGACTCAGTCTCGGTTCACTGCAACCTCTGCCTCCTGGGTTCAAGTGATTCTCCTGCTTCAGCCTCCTGAGTAGCTGGGATTACAGGTGGCCCGCCACTACGCCCGGCTAATTTTTTTGTATTTTTAGTAGATATGGGAGTTTCACCATGTTTGGCCAGGCTGGTTTCCAACTCCTGACCTCAGGTCATCCACCTGCCTTGGCCTTCCAAAGTGCTGGGATTATAGGCATGAGCCACCGTGCCCAGCCAGGAAACACTTCACACTGATTTCAAGAGTGATGCAAGTAAATTCTTCAAGGCTCTTCCTCACCTGCTTTCCACCCCTCCCCCCCAACAGAAAGCTTCTCTTTAACCAGAAAAAATGGTTACGTGCAGCCCCAAATTACACCCGTTTAGCTTTTTAACCTAAAATGTAAGTTTTCTTCTCTAGTTGCAAATTAAAAAAATCTCGGACAAGGACTTTTGACTACCTTGGATCACATGCCTGTTCCTAGAGCAGACATTGGCCTGCTAGTCTTCAGTCATTGTCTGTCCTTAGCTAGAGCCAAGGCACTAACATTGGCAAGCCATCCAGAAACATACAGTTAGAGAGGAAGGCCCAGTTCATCATTGGAAGTCAAGATGTGAAAGACTAGAGATCAGAGGTCTTCTTATAATATAGTGCAAAATGCCTAAAGGCCAGGGAGACCTGAGCATCTGTAAACTTCTGAGAAAAGAAGTAATGGTACCAGTGATATTCAGGGAAGCTTTTTGCCTTGTGTTGCAGAAGTAATAGTTGAAGTTATTCGGGATGGTTCAGGCCAGGACCAGGGAGGATGAAGAGAAAGTGCTGAATTTTGAGGAAGAATGAGTAGAAGCCAGTCCTAGATTGGCTGTCCTGAGCAAGTGAGTTTGAAGAAACTGATTTAGCACAAGTGGCAGTAGAACTTCACTGTGGTGGAAACCTCACCCTGCTAGGTGAGGCCAGGGATTCTCTTCGGTGCTTCTGAAATTACTGGCCACTTGAAGAGTAATTCCCAAACAGTGTCAGTGCTTGAGTAATATTGCCAATGCTTGCTTGCTATGATGCTGTCTACATGGGGAGTGGTTTTTGTTCCCTATCCCTTCCAAATAACTTGGATTATTTACATATATTGTTTCTTTGGATAGACATGCTCTAAAAAAGTTTGCCTCTAAGGTGAAAATTCCAACTTTCGCTAAAGTGGTTGAAGTTGCATATTATTAAATGTTAAGGCCAGGTGCTGTGGCTCACGCCTGTAATCCCAACACTTTGGGAGGCCGAGGCAGGAGGATTCTTTGAAGCCAGGAGTTCAAGACCAGCCTACACAACATAGTGTGACCCCCAATCTCTACAAAAAAAAATTGTTTTTTTAATTAGCTGGTCATGGTGGTGTACCCCTATAGTCCTGGTTACCCAGGAGGCTGAGGCAGAAGGATTGCTTGAGCCCAGGAACTCAAAGCTGAGGTGAGCTATGATCATGCCACTGCACTTCAGCCTGGGCAACTGAGCGAGACCCCATCTCTAAAAAAATTTTTTTAAAAGCTATTCAACATAAAATATAAAACTCAGTAAAATAGGACATGATGACAAAATTTTGAAAAGAAATAACTCCTTGCCCAATTTTCACAATACAAAGAAATTATATAACATGGTAAAATTAGTGTGAATTTTTTCTCTGTGGAAAACACATCTGTATTTATTTTGAAAAATCAATTCTGTTCTATCACAATATAGATGTAGTCTGATAACAATAGCTTTTTAGTGTATAAGTGTAAGGTGTACATGTTTGATGTACGTAATGAAATCGTTACAGTAGTCAATCAAATTCACATATCCACCTATAATCTACTTGATCAGCAAATTTCCAGTATACAATACATTATCTCAGTCCTCTACTGTAGTCTCTAAATTTATTCATCTTCTATAAGTGTAACTCTATACTCACTTTGATCTGCATATTCCCATCCCCCCATTTCTATTCTATTTTTATGTATTTTACTTTACAAACTTCTTTTAGCTTCCACATTTAAGATCATGCAGTATTTTTCTTTTTGTCTGGTTTATTTCACTTAGCATAATGTCCTCCAGTTCTATCTATGTTGTCACAAAAGGCAAGGTCTCATTTTTTATAAGAATATGATGAATAATATTCCATCATATTTTCTTTATCCATTCATCTCTTGATGGACATGTGGGTTATTTCCTTATTTTGGCTATTGTCAGTAATGCTGCAGTGAACATGGGAGCACAGATGTTCCTATGAGGTGGCAATTCATTTCTTTTGGGTATACACCCAGAGGTGGGATTGTAGATCATATATGGTAGTTCTATTTTTAATTTCTTGAGGAACCTCCATACTGTTTTCCATAATGGCTGCACTAATTTATTTTCCTACCAACAATGTGCAAGGATTTCCTTTTTTCTGCACCTTGCAGGCACTTGCTTGATGGCATTTTTTTAAAGTTAGTAAAGAAATACCACAGAATGATTCCAAATCAAATAATAAAAGTGTACGTTTAGTGTATATGCTTCTTTTTAACCTGTTTTATAATGTTAAGTGTTTTTTTCTTATAGAAGCAATTCATTTTTATTGTAGAACATTTGGAAAATACTAAGGAGTATAAAGATGGAGAAAATAAAAATCATTCACAGTCCTGTTGTGCAGAGAGAATTTCTACTAATATAATTATTGTGTACAATTATATGCATATATTATGCATATATAACACATAATTATATATGCAGCATAGATGCATGTATTATATGTAATTATATGTGCAATTATGCACAATTATGTATGCGGCACATATGCATATATTATGCATTTATAATGTTTCACATTGACAGTTAATATGTATATATATTTTTAAAGATTTGAGTCTTATTGCTATTGATAATACTGTGTCAAATCCTATTTTCATTAGCTGTATTAGTATCCTTATATCGTTATATATTTATTCAGTAGAAGGTTTTTAATAACTATGATGTTCTGTCTTATGAATATATGGTATTTATTCCTCTACTTCCAGGTAACTTTGTTGTTTGTGAGTTTTTGCTGTGAGAAAAATGTTTATATGAATACTCTTGTATGCATGTCTGTTTTTTGTAGAATTGGAATTGAGAAAATACATGAGCTTTTTAGATGGTTCATCACTTAACATTTGCCAAATTGCCCTTTAGAAAATTTGTGCAGATTTATGTTCTCACTTGAGAACATATAAGAATGTATGAAAGTGCCTTCATTTCTCCATAACTGCAATAAGTGCTTCTGATTGAATAGATGAAATTTGAAAGGTAACTGATAGAGAGTCTGTATGGATTATTACTAGAGATTCAGATGGTTTGAAACACAGATTAGTCCTTCAGTTATGTATGTCTACATAAACAACTACCCCAGAACTCAGTGGCTTAAAACGATGATTTCTAATTTCTCACTTTTCTTTAAGTTGACTAGGCTCAGCTGTGCTGGTCTTCAGTTCCATGCGGTATAACTGAGGTCATGAGTCTGGAACAAACACCAGCGTCTCTCCTCGTGGCCTCTCATCAGTTAGTCTGTCTCAAGTTTTCTTTGTAGCGTGGCAGTTGGCTTCTAAGAGGAATTATCCTAGGAGAACAGACCACAGTTTTAGACACTTATAAAACTTCTGCTTATATCATGCTTTCCCATGTGGTCCTGGTTGATGTAAGTCAAAGTCAGATGTGGGAGGAGAGCTACATAGGAGTGCAAATACAAGGAGTGTGGGACGTAATGTAATGGACAGCCAGAGATGATAAATAAGTTTCAGCCAGCATTGCAACTCTGTTTAGCGATAACTGTTTGAAGCAATGTATTCAAAAGAATTTGGAGACCAACTTCTGGATCAGTGGGAAAGCATATTGTGATAAGCTAGTGATGTACGCAAGGATTTAGGTGAGGAAGTGGATATACTGGTGTGTTTACCAGTACTAATTCAATATCTGTTAATTTTTATCATAAAGTCAGAGACTTAGAAAATCAAAGTAAGTCATGAACTTGAATGTAAGCCCAAATATTTTAAAAACATTTGAATACCTGAGTAAATTTAGTCTTGATCTTTAGTTTATTCCAGTTTCACATTGACAGTTAATACACTTGGTAGTAAAAGATATAAATAATTGGTATCTTAAGGCTAGATTACTTTGCACAATACAATTATTTTACACCAGGGCTGCTGTTTCCCACTGATAAATGACACAGCTGTAGCAGAGTTCAAACATGAGGATCAAAGTACCTATGCTAGTAATCAAGATAGTAGTGCCTTGGGTTATATGAGTGTGTAGACAGATATCTCACATATGTGTTTGTGTGAGGGGAGTGTGTGTGTGTGAGAGAGAGAGAGACAGAGATTTTATGTGCTTGACTGAACTGTCGATTTGACCTTTGGACTAACTCTATGATCGTTAGTAGTTATTATCAGTGGCAGTATTTGAATAGGAGTAGCACTATAGCCCTCTGCCTTCCAAGAGGACTTGTAGGAAGATGTTCCTACTCCTCCTGATGCAGTAAAGTCCTCTTTTATGATTTTTCCCTTCTACCCCATACTCTGCTCCCCAAGAAGTTATAAGTATCAGTGGTTTAGGGTCCATTTTTCTACTGTTCTTTCTTTGCATGTACATACTTATATATACATAAATATTTTAACAAAAATGGGATTGTCCTGTAGGTACTATTCTTTAACTTTTTATTTAATAAATATCTTAGGTCTTTTCATAGTACTGGTTAAAGGTCAATATCGTTCTTTCAATAACTGTAAAACATGTCTTGATGGTTTTGTTATACTCCTGTTGTTGGACATCGAGGTTTTTTCCTATTTCCCCCGCCCCCTGCCCAATTGCTAGAAGTATGATAGTGAACCAATTTAAACAGAATCTTTGTGGTCACATGCAAATATTTTTATAAAACAGTTGTTTTATAAAACAACTATTTAGATGTGGAATTGCTGAAATAGGCTGTATTCGTAGTTGAGCTTTGGTAAGTTGTAGTAAGATCCTGCTAAACCCCGTAAGTAGAGTTCAAAAAATTGGAAATGCTTAAATGTGCAATCATAATATTGAAAAATAATACTTTTTAATAAGTCTGTGGAGCTACAAAAAAACTTACAAAAGTAATAATATGACACATTGTGCAAAACTGACTGCATAATGATTCAAAAAGCCCCAAATGATAACAATACATTCACTTCTTAAACTCCTCTGAGAATTAGGGTTGGCCAAATCATTGGAGACATTTGCCAATCACATTCAGATTAATTTCTGGTTTTCCTATTTGGTTTACTGTTAGACAGCTTTCTTCCAAAAAGTCTTAATTATTTATCCTTACTTATATCCTTGCCAGCACTTGGTGTTACTGTACTTAAGTTTTGGCTAGGCCAATGGGCAAAAATGGTATCTTCTTGTTTGAATTTACATGCTCCTGATTTCAGCCATGCATGGCATCTTTTTCAATATTTATTGCCCATTTGAATCTCTTCTGTAAATTTCCTGTTTCACATATTTTCTGTGTTTTTCTATTGAGTTATTTTTCTTAGTGATTTATGTTAGGTATTTATTTGTATTTTTGATATCTAGGCCAGTTAGCTTAGTAGACATCTCGAAAATATTTTGGTTGTGCACCCCTACAAATAAAAAGTTTTTGAGTATATACCCTCAAGTACGAACATTATACATGTATTTATTTAAAAAGTATATACATGTAATGCTGTCAATCTGTGTCTTACATATTAGTAAAGCTGTTTTTTCTTATTATTTAAAAATAAGTGTAAATAGAGGTACTAAATATTTTCTCCTGCAACCCAGTGGAAAGCCCAGTGTGCACCCACTTAGGCAGTTAGGAGTTCAGAACATAATATACCTTAGACCAGTTAGAGTTGCCAACAGGAATATGCTCTCTGTTTTGTGACCACAGTGTGCATCTTCATAAGCCTGTGGGCACCAAGAATTGTGGTGAAGTGGAAAGTAGCAATGTGTTAGACCTTGACTCTCTTACCTTAGTTAGCTGTATTACTTTGATAAAATTGATACTGTTATATACCAGTTTTCTCTCATGTAAAGTGGAGAGGATAATTCTTGTCTTGCCCATTTTAATAGGCTTATGATGTTGTGAGTTAATTTATATGAACAAACTTTGAAAAACTGTGAAACATTACATAAAGAGATAAAGTACGTGGGTATATGTTTTCCAAGTTTATGCCATTGGGGTTCTAAGAGAATATGCCTCAATATCATTTATGCTGAAAAACAACTTAAAATGCATGGCCTGCTCAGAGTGGTTTAGAAATGTGATCATTTAGTCTTCCTCTTATATAGATTTTACACCTCTTGAAAGTAGGAACTGTTACACATAAGTCAATGAGTATTTGTTGATAGTGTAGTGTTCACTTAATAATATACGTATTTCTTTTTTCTATTTAAGAAAGCCTTGTGACTTAGGAATTAGAAATCAGTTTCTTTGTGAAATGCCTAGACAGTGGTACTAAGGAGAGCTTTCCTTAAAGAGAAAGTTTAGGGCTGCACATAAAAGGCAGGACTTAGCTTGAATATATTCTACAGGAATGAAGAATTCAAGGTGTTGTAACGTTAGGGACACTTACATAGGTGAGTGGAACTGAAGTGTGAGGAGGCAATACTAAAGGCAGTATGTGGTATAGGATACCCAGGAGTGACTATGAAAAGACAACTTTGAATGAAGGTGTTGCTGCTGTTTGAAAAAGATATTTTGTAGTTTCTTTTTTCTTTTTTTTTTTTTTTGGCAAATGAATGAATTTAACTGCAGAATGAATTATTACCAGTAAAGGGGGATGGTGGAGAGAGAAGTAAAAGAAACTTATGCCTCAAATTGGGATTGCAACTGTATAATTAAACAGGTTTGAAATATTGTATTTTATTTTTAGAGACAGGGTCTCACTCTGTTGCCCAAGGCTGGAGTGCAGTGGCATGATCAGAGCTCACCTCAGCTTTGAATTCCTGGCTTCAAGTGATCCTTCTGCCTCAGCCTCCCGAGTAGCTGGGACCAAGGCGTGTGCCACCACACCTAGCTAATTTATCTATTTTTTTTTAGAGATGGGGTCTCACTATGTTGCCCAGGTTGATCTCGAACTCCTGGGCCCACGCCATTCTCTTGCCTTGGCCTCCCAAAGTGTTAAGATTATAGGCATTGAGCAGCTGCACCTAGCTTTTGAAGTATTTTATTTTATTTATTTATTTATTTTTTGAGACGGAGTCTCGTTCTGTTGCCCGGGCTGGAGTGCAGTGGCAGGATCTCAGCTCACTGCAACCTCCGCCTCCCAGGTTCAAGCAATTCTCCTGCCTTAGCCTCCTGAGTAGCTGGCATTTCAGGCACCTGCCACCACGCCTGACTAATTTTTGTATTTTTAGTAGAGACAGGGTTTCACTATGTTGGCCAGGCTGGTCTTGAATTCCTGACCTCAAGTGATCCACCCGCCTTGGCCTCCCAAAGTGCTGGGATTACAGGTGTAAGCCACCATGTCCGTGAAGTTATTTTAAATGTATTAATACTCAGGCTCTGCAAAGGTGCTGGAGATTAGGCATGCTCAGGCACGTACTGCTGGCTGACACAGGCAGAGCCCCTGACCAGTAGTAGCCCCTGAACACACTACGTGTGGGCGACGGGCCTAGCAGGTCACATTCCTTCTGAACCCTCTCTTCTTCTCATTTGATTCTCAGGACAACCCCACAGAGTAGGAAACAGGACAGGCCTGGTTCGATTCAAGTTAGTAAACTTTTTATGCTTACCCAGATGAATGAGAAGAGGAGGTAACATGTATATTATCTACTTTCAAAAACTTAATTACTTAAACTCTTGAAGAAGGTGGAAGACTTCAAAAAAGAAATTCTTTTGAGAATTTGGAAAAGTAGATGCATTTCTCAGAAATAGTTCACTGAAAAAATTGTGTATCAGAAAAGAAGGATGAAAATAAAAGGAAATCAGCTAGTTATTTTGTTGTTAACAGAATAATCTCAGGCTCTTTCACACCTAGTCATCTGGATTTTTACAATATCAAGTCAGCCCCTCCCCTCCATTATTCTTATGAAAGTCTGGCTGCTATTCCTTTCTCAGCAGGTTCTCTAAAAGAAGCTCTAGAAAGGAAACAAACATTATTATTGGTAGTAGAAGTAAAGTCCTTTGGGGTTGTGAGTCTTTACTGTATATAACACTTCCTTTCTGACCTGCTATTTAAGCCTCATTACAGAAGATGACCCTGAAATTGAAATATTTCACAATTATTGGTTTCAGTTCCTCAAAAACATTAATGGAGACAATTAATATATTATCAGAGTTGAATAGAGGTAAATCATTATAATCTTGCTGTATCAGTTATTGCTCTATGACAAACCATTCAAAAACTCAGTGGCTTGCCTGTAATCCCAGCACTTTGGGGAGGCCAGCGTGGACGGATCACGAGGTCGGGAGATCGAGACCATCCTGGCTAGCACGGTGAAACCCCATCTCTACTAAAAATGCAAAAAACATTAGCTGGATGTGGTGGTGGGTGCCTGAGGTCCCAGCTACTCAGGAGGCTGAGGCAGGAGAATGGCGTGAACCCGGGAGGCGGAGCTTGCAGTGAGCCGAGAGAGCGCCTCTGTACTCCAGCCTGGGCGACAGAGCGAGACTCCATCTCAAAAAAAAAAAAAAAAAAAAGAAAAGAAAAAAAAACTCAGTGGCTTAAAACAATAACTATATATTATTGTGCATACTTTTCATGGGTTTGCTGGGCAGTTTCTCCCGTTTGTTTCTTTCTCTAGTTTCTGTGGGGCCTGCTCTTATCTGAGATCACCTAGTCAGGTAAGAGGCTTTGCTGATCTTGGCAGGTCTAGCATGGCCTTATCCAGGATGATGGGAATGACTCTTCCTCTAATAGGTTCCGGCTTCATCTGCTAGGCCCAGGCTTGCTGTGATTGATGAAGACAGGCATCCACCCGAGTGAGCAGAAGCACCTAAGGGTCTCTTGAGGCCTAGATTCAGAACTGGGACAGTGTCACTTTTACTGCTTTCTGTTGGCTAAAGGCAGTCACAAGGTCAGTTCAGATTCAAAAAGTGGAGAAATGGACTCCATCTTTGGATAGGAGGAGTTGCAGACTAACATTGTACAAGGTTGTAGATACAAGGAGAGGTGGAAGATGGAGGCATTTTTGTAATCCATGTAAGGTACATGCTGAAAAAATTACTGAACCCAGCTAAAGTTTAGGTTCTTCAGTCTGAAATATGGGATTACACTTGATCCTGAACACACTGCTGATCATATATGTACTCCTTAGATTATATAGAAATCTATGTGGACATGTGTGGGATGACCCTCTTTATTAAAACTGTTAATTCCTAACTCCTGTAGAATAGAGTTATTATGTTTTTTTCTTTTGATGCCCTGTTTAGTTGGTTTGGTACTTTCACTGGGGCTGTGTCAGTTTAAGGTCCAAAATAGATCTGACTGATTCTGTTTTGGGGGATGGAGGAAGGTATCTTAGGTCTCAGTGTGCTTCTGAGAAGTCTTTCAAGTAGATGACCTCCCCTGTTCTGCCCACACCCAAAACCCACTGACCAAGCACTTGCTGTCATGTTACCCTGTTTTGTTTTCCCTGTGGCACTTATCACTGGTTAAAATTCTTATTCACTTACGTGTTTTCTTTTTCTGCCTTGTGATATGAGCCTCACAAGAGTGGGGACCTCCTCTGACCCTCTTTGCTGCTAAATTCTCACAGTTAAGAATAGTGCCTTTCTGTTCTTAGGAAATGCTCAATAAATATCTGTTGAACATTTGTAATAAATATTTTGTAATAAACAAGTCAGCAGTTTGTTAAAATACAGTGTGTTTAAATGCTATGTCACTGGTGCATTGCAGACACTTGTTGGGTATTTATGGAATCTTGAGGGAGGGCCGTGGTCAGTAGGAGCTCAAGGAGAATGAAAGCTTGAAGCCACAAAGGGTTTTTCTAGATTAATCCAGTGAAAGACAGATGAGCAGGAGAGTTAGGGTATGATAGATTTGTTGAAATGTTGAACTGTTAGACTTCAGGCTGGGAAGGAGGGAAGTAGAGCAAAAAGTGATCTGATAGATTGGGATAGAGATTCTTCCAAGACCAGAGAACTCCCACAGGGAAGTAGTTAAACATGTATACTGCAAGGTTGGAGATTTGGTGTTGCAGTGTGATCATTGAAGTCATGATTTTAGATGTGCCAGGTTATGGGTATGACAAGGTTCTGGGATTAAGAGAATGGATGGCTCAGGTAGTTGAAGGACCTTGGGGGAATGGGGAATAAATATCTGTTCTTTGAGAGAATGCAGTAGGACAGCTGATGGGAGAAAGTCCTTAACAGCCAAGGTACTGAGGTAATGCTTTGAAAAGAGGTTGAGGGTATAGAGGAGTTTGCTAATTATGGAGCACCATTTCCATAGGTAGTTAAATTTGTAAGATAGAAGGTGGACTGTAGACTAGGTCAGGGATGGAAAAAACAAAGCCTTGTAGGGTTAATGCCAGGTCAGTAGATGGATTGAGAGAGGAATTGGAGATAAAGTTAATTTGGGCATTGAGAGGTTTGCTGAATTTAGTTTCAGTAGACTCCTAGAGAAAGGTGACCCTGGGACTTACAGAGGCCGTGACTCATTTGGCCAAGAGTGGTGGTCAGCCCAGGAATTTGTGGGTTCTGCCTGTGCTCCTTAAAGGGTATTTGGGTAGGTAGATTGTGAACTCTTAATAGCTTACATACTAAGCAGATACATAGTCATTAGCAGCTTCCATATTTTCACTATGGTTTTTCAGAATATTTTAAGTATTTTTTTATTAGAAATGACATTTTCCAAATGTAAACTCTTTAGAGATGGAAAACATTAATGATATATGCAAATACTAAAGGACAGTGATTTAATTTAAGTAATACTGTTGTCAAGTGTAAAATTCAAAGATCTAAGCCTGGAACCTGGACTTAAAAAAAAAATTCAAGGATCAAGATTTTCAGGTTAGCATTTTCTATTTTTTGGTCATACTTTTTTTTTTTTTTTTTTTTGAGACAGGGTCTTGCACTGTCACCCAGGCTGGAGTGTAGTGACACGATCTCGGCTCACTGCAAGCTCCACCTCCAGAGTTCATGCCATTCTCCTGCCTCAGCCTCCCGAGTAGCTGGGACTACAGGCGCCTGCCACCACGCCCGGCTAATTTTTTGTACTTTTAGTAGAGACAGGGTTTCAGCATGTTAGCCAGGATGGTCTCGATCTCCTGACGTCGTGATCCACCCTCCTTGGCCTCCCAAAGTGCTGGGATTACAGGCGTGAGCCACCGCGCCCGGCCACATTTTTTTTACATTGGTATTAGCAGTAGATATTTTAATGTAAATATTTAATCTTTTTTGCTGTTAGTCATTTTGAAAGTTCAAACTGTGTGATGAACCAGACCAAAACTTCATAATCTTTAAACCACAAAGTTGCCTAATAGGCAACAAAGTAAGCAGGACAACAGTGGAAGATTTTACAAATTCTCAGAAACACCTGGAAATAATTTAGGAAAAGCTTTTGACTCTAGGCTCATAGATAGAGACTGTACATGAAGAATAATTAATAGCAATTACTTTCTTGTCTTTAGTCTTTCGTCAGATTTGTTTCTTTGAAAAGAGCAAGGCAGGTTAAAATAATCTGTATAATATAAATTGCCCATGCAATGCAGGTCAGTTTGTTTTATGCAGGTAGCAGTAGTACGAACTTGGGGTCCAATGATATTTTTTATATACTACTTATATATGATGGTAATAATTAAAATCTTTGAGTATGTTTTATTTCTTTAATTATGACAATTTAATTAAATGCCAAATGAATATAACATTTGTCAGACATAAGGGAAAATAAGATGAATAAGCACTGCACATGATACTCAGCTTAAAATAAGAACATTTTTTTTATGTCAAAGAGCTTCTCTAGGATCTGTAAATAGGAGTGTAATTGAAGTTGTAAAGTACATGCATTTGATTTTGGGAATTTCTTTATTATAATCTTTTATCCATAATATGTGTGGCAAATTTACTCTCCTACATTGTAGCTTACCTTCACATTCCAAGAGATCTTTTGACGAACAGAGTTCTTAATTTTAATAAAATTATGTCAGTCTTCTGTAAATTAACACAGGTTTTTTGTTTTTTTTTTTGTTGTTTTTAATTCCTTTCCAGTACTTTAATCTTTTTCCATTCCAGTCCTTACATTTCTTTATATTGCTGGCTAGTATTGCCAGTACAGTGATAGAAGCAACTACAGCTCTGATGTAAAAATGAAGGATTCTAATTTTTACCACTAAGAATGATATCTGATGAAGATTTTTGGAAGGTATCATTTCCAGGTGAAGGAAATTCTCTATTTCTACTTTAGTAAGAACTTTTATTATGAGTTTAAGTATTGAATTTTATCAACTATTTGTTCTGCATTCATTAAGATTTTTTTTCTTTTAGTTTGCTTATTCAGTGAATTCCATGAATTGCATTAATACTCTTGTTAATGCTAAACCATTAATGGTAAATCTTACATTGTTGGGATCAACCCAACTTGGTCATGAAGTACTCTTTTTTCCAAGTTAATAAAGTTTGTATTTTTTAGAGCACTTTTAGGTTCATGGCAAAATTTAGTAGAAAATGTATAAAGTTCTCTGTTACGCGTACACACACACAAACCTTTACCCCCTCCCCCACTGTGGACATCTTGCACCACAGTGATACAGTTGTTACAATTGTACCTACATTGTCACATCATTATCACCCAAAGTTCATAGTTTACCTTAGGATTCACTCTTGGTGTTGTGTGTTCATTGAGTTTTGACAAATGTAAATGACATGTATCCACCATCACAGTATCATACAGAATAGTTTCACCCCCCTAAAATCATCTGTACATTGTTCTGTTGGGTTTGTTGATACTTCATTTAAGACTTTGATATTTATGATAACAAAGTGAAATTGCCCTGTAATTTTCTTCTCTTGTACTGTCATTGTCTGGCTTTGATAGCAAGGTTGGTCTAGCCTCAGAAAATGAGTTGGAAGGTGTTCCACTTTTTTGTACTCTGGAAGAGTTTGTATGAGGTTAGAATCAGTCATGGAGAAAGGGATATTATAGTTTTCAAATGTTGCAGTGACTTCTTGTTTTCTCTGTGTACTCTGTCCTTTTATTTTGAGTTTATATTATCAGATGCATTTAAGTATAGAATTGTTATGTTCTGTTAAGTGTAGAATATGCCATCAGAATGAAGCCAACATTTTTATCATGAGGGGACCTCCACCTCCGGTAGTACTTGTGCCTTTATCTGTTTTGTCTGATTTTGATATATAAACTTTCTTTTATTTAGCATTACCTACTCTAATTTTTTTTCACCCTTTTAAAATATCTGTTTATCCGTATATTTGGGTGTATCTTTTTAAAATAGTATATAATGAATCTTTTTCCAGTTTTATAAACTTTTTTTTAACTTATAGTCAACTTATGATTGTTGGTATATTTAGGTTTATTTATACCTTATTTTGTTCTTTCTTCTCTTCCTTGTTTTCTTGTTGGTTATTTAAAAGGTATATAGTTTTAAAATTGTGTACAACCAAGATACTCAGCAATGGATAATCAATTTTCCTCTCAATCTTTGACTTTCAAGAAACTGGAATAGATTTCAGTATGTACTACAAATTGAGTGAGAAATTATTCGGGAAAATGCCCAATAAAAGGCCTTCATAATTTTGGAAGAAGTAATTGGAATAAAGGTGACTCATCTCTTATTAGTGAGAATGGTTAAATATGCTAATTAAATGCCTTTCACTTTTTGTGTTTACTTGTTTGTATTCATTGATGGAAGCAGAATGTTTGGTGTGTCTTTTAGATTTAAAAACTGGAATCTACTAGTAACATATTTATATTGGCCTTTTTGTGATTTAAAATATAATGTTATCTTTTATAACGGCATCAGACCACACTGAGTGCCTTCTAATTACAGTCTGTGAGTCTTGTGAGTACAGAGAAATGACAAGCTTTGCCCTGAAGGATTTCATATGCCCCAGCAATGTCTAATGATGTTAAGTTAAAGCCAGATAAGATTGAGAAACCTTTCTGTATGTGTCAGTATTAGGTCAAACCTCTGGATTTACACTGGTGGGGCTCAGGCATCAGAAAGAAAATGAGGAAAGGGGTGAGAAGCTATAAGGGAGTCAGAAACGTAGGAAGGAATACTACAGGAGTTGTGCATGTGGAGTAGAGTGCCACTCACAAGTTCCTTCAGTTGCCTGTCTTGAAGCAGATTATTCAAAAAACGTACATAGGAATTCTTAGTCTTCATCAGGAAGGTCATTATCACTAGGAAGACCTCACAAGCTCTATGTAAAATAAATATGTTTTTATAATATCAACTGCTTTACCTGGCAAGAAGCAAATTCAGACAATCCTAAACCTGTTTTGACCATGAGGTTACATCAAAACACTCCTATTATATGCTTCTGAATCATGAACTCAAGTCCATTTATTTAGTAAGAAGGAGCCTGCTGGGAATGGAAGAAAGCTAGATTTTTCTATTAAGTCCCGAAACCTTGTTTTTTCTTCACGTCCTTTTTTTGTATGTGTGCATTTTGCTTAGTCTTTAGTCAGCCATTTCTAGTGCAGTTTGAGGACCTGTGAATTTTTATATAAGCCTAGGAATCATCGGTATTAGGGCTTTAAATGTGACCTATTTTGAATCAAATGGAATCTGTTTTCCTCTGCAATTGAAGGTAACAGTTTTAAAGTGTTAACCATAGTCTTGGACATAAAATATTATTAGTCTTTATCTTGAATTTGTTACTACTTTGCACTAAGATTACAAGGGCCTTCACTTAGGTGACAAGGTTCTTACTATAGATATAATGTTTTTCTCATAATCCTCATAATAAATCAAACACATGGGGAAGAAGAGTGACCATTTCAGGATTCTGTGGAACTTGAATATGATAATACCTTACTGTCCTGAATGTACGCATACCCCTAGAAATAACTTATATCACTGACTCTGAAAATAACTCATCTGTGGTTGAACATCTTTTTCTTCAGAGACATTCCTGTAAAGTATACGTTGAGTAGCCCCTTTCTCTGTGATAGATTAAGCAGGCAAACCCAGAAGTTCAGAGAAGGTAATTTTTATAATTGCTACATGTTATTTTTGTTTGCTTTTTGAGAGAATTATTTGTGTTAAAAAGTAGTTTCCGTTTTATAATCTTGCTTTTTGAGCTTTCCTATATCAGTTATCGCGCAAAGTTCTTATTGCAGGGACCGCCCTGGAGTATGTTCTTGAATTGTTGGGGGTGGTCAAAAGGTTAGGAGCACTTCCTTGATTTGTTTTTTTTCCTTTTTTTGTTTTTTTTTTTCTCCTCAGGGAGTGAGCAAGCCAGTCATTTCTTCTTCTGTGAGACACAAGAGGAAATAATTAAAGAGTTTTTTATGGAGCAGTGTGAAAATTTGGTTTTTTACTTTAGAAAACTGATTTTATGGAGTATTTCTCAGGTGAAACCCATGTATTATTGGTAAAATTATATACATATGAGAGACTGATTTTTTTTTCATGTTTTATTTTTAGTAAGAAAGGAGGCAAAAGTTCAGTATGCCACTTAGACTAAATGTTTCTAGGATCCAAAATAACATTGATGTTAGTCCCTTTACTGTGATCACCTTACTCTGCTGCTGCTTCTACTTGTCACATCTGAGACTGTTTCTTAAAATAGAGCTCCCCAGCAGCAATTTTTCATTATATGGCCTCATCGTGCATGTATTTGGTATGAACTCTGATAAGAGATTATGATGTTGATATCATAAGAATTTCCCTCTTTTACAGAACATGAAAAAATGCATGCATTTAGGTTAAGCATTGACTATATATTGGAAATGTAGTTAAAAAAAACTGTACAGGTCCAGCACGGTGGCTCACGCCTGTAGTCCCTGCACTTTGGGAGGCCAGGGCAGGTGGGTCACTTGAGATCAGGAGTTAGAGACCAGCCTGGCCAACATGGTAAAAACAAATCTCTACTAACAAAAAATACCAAAAAAAAAAAAAAAATTAGCTGGGCATGGTGGCACTCCTGTAATCCCAGCTACTTGGGGGGCTGAGGCAGGAGAATCGCTTGAACCCGGGAGCCAGAGTGCAGTGACCTGAGATTGAGCCACTGCACCGTAGCCTGGTGACAGAGTGAGAATCTGTCTCCAAAAAAAACCATATATATGGTTTTTATATCTATATGTACATACACACACACACACACACACACACACACACGGAGCTGTATATGTTATACAGCTTACCCTCGTATATGTTATAGTGTAATCACAAAACCCTCATGCTGAGTTTAAAATTACAAAGAAAAAGTTTTAAAAATTCAAATAAATGTACTTTTTGGTTGAGTGGGAAAAGATGAAATTAAACAAATACTTTATGTCAGATAATCTGCCAGGCACTGGGGATACGAAGAGGAAATAAGCAGTCTACAAACTCTTCATGAACTTCATGATTTATTTTGTTGATGGTCATTATTTAGTAATGCAACAAAATTTCTCTAATATCTACCATTTTGTAGGTCTGGTGCTAGATGGTAGAGATAACATACTGCATGCTAATAAGTGGGTTTTTTTTTTTAGATTTTAAGAAAAGTTATTTAAATCCGAAACTATTTTTACTGGTTTTAAATTTTTGTCCACTTGTTTTGTGTATTATCTTCTGTTTATGGAACACTTAACTATATGTTCCAAGCACTCTGCTGGGTCTTTTATATGCATATGTCATTTATTGCATACACCATACCAATCTACCCGTCAGTTATTGAGCATTTATGTACCTGTCACTGTGCAACCATTTAATCTTGCAAATGAGGACCCTAAACCTTACAGGGCTGGCAGAGCTGGGATTCAAGTTTGAATCAGGTGGGTCAGCATTCTACCCAAAAAGATTTTTTATCAATTGTGCTTTATGATAAAACTGCCATGTACAATATAAACAATAGGTCATCAGATTATTAAAAATTCACCAGATTGAAAAAGAGGCAATGGAAGATTTAAGTGATGCCGAACTCTGGAATAATTAGTCATCATTTTGTGTAACATATATGGTATCTATTATGACAGCTTTTTAAAAAACCTCTACTCATGTCAACTAATACAGCTATTGCCATAAACTTGGATCAAGTTTATAATCAAGTTTTAAAAATTTAAGTTTGGCGGGTGCTGGGATTACAGGATTACTCATGCCTGTAATGCTAGCACTTTGGGAGGCCGAGGTGGATGGATCACGAGGTCAGGAGATCGAGACCATTCTAGCTAACACAGTGAAACCCCCATCTCTACTGAAAATACAAAAAATTAGCCGGGCGTGGTGGCGGGTGCCTGTGGTCCCAGCTACTCAGGAGGCTGAGGTAGGAGAATGACGTGAACCCAGGAGGTGGAGCTTGCAGTGAGCCGAGATCGCACCACTGCACTCCAGCCTGGGCGACAGAGTGAGACTCCGACTCAAAAAAAAAAATTTAAGTTTATAAACTTAGATTTAAACTTAGACTATGTCCTACAATCAAGCGTCCTGTGTAAAGGTGGCTGTGGTATGCTGGTGGCATTGAAAACTGGTAGCTTGAAGAATGTGTACTTTCAGTACATTCCGTGGATGTCCTCTTCTTGATTTTTCTTTTTTTTCAGGTTCTGAGCTTCCACTGACTGTGGTTTTCCATTTAAAGGAACAAAAAAGCACTAGTACCTAAAATTTGCTGTAAAAGACATTTCACCTGCTTTGGTATTACCTCACTGCCATCTGACTGTATCCCTGCCTTTCCTGATTTCTGTGGCTATAGTAGAAGTCTTGTGGAGTTTGTGGAGTTTTTGAAGTTTGTGTAGTTTTGAAGTTTTGAGAACAGACCTGTTTGTAGTTATGATCCAGTGGCATAAGCTGACCTCAGGATATACCAGCTTGCTTTATTAGTGACTTAATTTTCTTACTGTAGTAAATTGGGTGTGATTTTAACTTGTTCATTCTTTGTATATGTATACTTTAAGTATACATATTTTGTATATGTATATTTTAACTTGTAAGTGATCAGACATCTCTATCATCATCTCTGAATTAAAATTAAAATTGTTTAACTCCTGAAAAATTCAACTGATGTTATGCAACTTGGAACATAAGACCGGACAAATTACTGAATCTGACATTTCAAATATTTCCTAATGTGCTTTTAACTTTTGCTGGGCACAAATGGAATTTCTCAGCCTCTGTCATAAAAAAAGAGTTTGTTATTGTTTGGTAAGACAGATTAAAACACAGCTGGGAATGAAGTAGTTAGCCCAGTCTCAAAGACATTAGCCTCCCTCTGTTTATTTCCTCCTGTTTGTATTCCTAGAAGCAAACAGCTGTGCATTCCATTTTATTCTTTATTCCTTTACTTAAAATCTGGATCCCAAAAGAAGTAAATTGGGCATTTAGGCTTAGAAAAGTTGCCTTATCTGTAATTTTTATTGCCCTTTTCACTTGAAACAATGATGTATTCATAGTCTTAAATATTTTTAAAAGTAGTTACCCACAATCTCACCATCAAACATTTTCATATAGTTTACCCATAATATAGATACCATTCAGTAGTCTGCTTTTCTCAGATGATTGCTATAACATTTTCTTACCCATCTACAGACTTATAGTTTTAACTTCTGCTGTTCTGTTATTCTGTTTATTCTGTTATTAAATGTTTCATTTAAAATTGTGCACAGTTCACTTAGTTCCAAAATAATATTACTTTCATGTATGAATAACATACATTTTAAACTTTTAAATGTCTTTTCTAGACTGATTAAATGTTTAAATTCTCATAAAGCCATTTATGCTATACAAATTAGCATAGGTCTGCAGGTTTCAGTTCAAAGAATGTCAGGTATAGGTAAATAAAAACTTTAATTTGAAAAATTGAAATAAATACTCAAAAGTATTTGAAGCCCGTAGAGACAGGCAAGGCCTTTAGGAATGCATCAGTGAATTCATTTTTTATGTATATACAGGAATGCATGGTCATGCATAATTATATATAATTGGCAATAGTAAGCTGTTTATTATAGTAAGTTGATGTGGGTCCTTCAGATGACAATTTTGTGGATGGTGGAATTAAGATGATCTTGTGGTAGAGCATAGTTGGCTTCTGTGATTTATTTGTTGATGGGCCCCCATATAGCTCTCATTTTAGTTAACATATTGTTATTTATCTGTCATCCATGGACTTATTTTTACACTGTTAAATCTATTTTTTAGTATGTATTAAGTAAATAACTTTATGTTTTAGTTTTTTCTTTTATTTCTCTTAAAATGATTTATTATGACATGTAGTCATAGAATTCCAGTGTTCTTATTTTTAAGATAAAGTTCATGTTATTGAACACTGACAGTCATCTCATCCCATTCCTATCATTTTCTTCATCATCATCATCATCTGTCTTATAGTATGAAATTATACCTTGGGTCATAAATTACTCCTTTCATTCTTTTTAAACCAAAAGCTTTTTAACTTTAAGTTGTTATATTGCAACCAAATGGGACATAACAACAATATACTCCTTGAAAAAATGTTTTTTCTGAATAGAAAGGAATATGTGCTTCTGTTGGGAAACGTAGAATATCACACCAAAAAATGTTAATACCTGTACTCTACCACTGTATATGTAACTATTGACATGTATTCTTTCAGTTTCCTTCCTATACATTTATATAATAAGAGAATTGGGATTATAGTTCACACATTCATAACTTGATTCACTTAATGTGTCTTGAGTATTTACTATTAAATATTGATGTACATCTTTTTAGTTATTATTAGAAAAGCTATATGTATTGATGATAATTCCCCTGCCTTTTCAGCCTTCTTTTGTCAGCTACTGATGAAACTTTTTTATATAATAATAAACAGTGCTGGGTCAATGTATGTTTTAGATTTTTGACATTTTAATATTAAATTTTAATTTGTAGGGGTGTAGAGGCTTATAATCTCAATATTGTCCTAAGAATTTTTGTTATTCAAGGATTTTATGGATAAACATGGAAATAGAATCAATAATAACAGTATTAGTAATAGTAAAAGCGTACATGTATGAAACAAAAGAGTAAGGTTTTGTTTTCATTTTAATCAAAGGATTTATTATAGAAACACTAGTCTTTTAATCTTTTATTGAAATGTCCAACACTGTTTTGTTTAGTAAATCTGAGTTTTTAGAAGTTCATGTCCCTTCTTAGTAGAGCTATATTAATATTTTAAGTTAGAAATATTCAGATCATTCTCTGAATAAAGGCATTAGAACAATTCTCTGAAGAAAGGGAGTAGGAAAACTTCATGTATTTTTTTTCCCCACTCTTTACTTCCATTATTTTAAAGGAAGAGAAAATGAAATGTGCCAATTGCCCTCACTTGTGCTCCCAAGTGCTTGTTCTCCCTTCCCCCCACAGCTTATTTGAGTTAATCATTGGTTCTTCACTGGAAAAACACTTCAGTGAATGTCATAAAACTTCTATCTGAATTGGAGAAAATACGTTCTCCAAAAATATTAATATCTAACTTATAAGAAAACCCTTTGGGTGTTAAAAACTAACAGACTTACCGGTTAGCTGCTTATTAAAACGCACAATCAGCACCCCTCTCCCACCCCATCTCCGTGTCTCCACCCCTCATATTTGTGGGCATCCCACAGAATTCCATTATAATTTACAGCTTCTCAGGTGATCCCAGTGTGCAGCCAACCAAGGGTGCGAACCACCGTTTTAAACTGATGTAATGATAAAATTTTGCTCAAAGTAAAAACCAAACGTCTATAGATTTAAAATAGGACTTTAACTTTCTAAAGTGTGTTGGCCATTCTTGCTCTCCAGGATTAGCAGATATTGAGATATAGATTGAGAAGATACCAGTAAAACCATTTCTAGGAGCAAAAACTTTTTGGCATTGAAAGAAGAGGATTTACTATAACGTACGTGTTCTGGGAGATTAACCAAGATTGAGTATGTGGATGCCAACTTCAAAACAGAACTGCGAATATTCTTTCCTTCAGGGGAAAGAAGTATAATCTTGATTATATTCATATTAGATGTCTCTTTTTAAAGCGGGTATCTGCAATAACTGTAATTTGATATGAAATATCTAAATTCTATTGGTGACAAATCAGAGATACTGCTAATACAAGTGTGGCTTGTTGCATGCATCCATAATGGAAGGAAATGCTAAATTTTAGTTAGAGAATAGTGAAAATAAAGGAAAATTTATTTTCTACCCAACTTAGTGGGTTTTCTGAATTCATCTCTAGACCCCTTTGATTCCCTGGATTCCATGGAATACTAGGTTTATGTATGTTAGGGGCTGTCTTCATCTAAAAATTATTTATTTCAGTGGATAGTAGAGATAACACTGAAATAATGTGCCTTCCCCCAATGAAATATTCATGTAAACATAGAAGGCAGGCAAAGATTGTAATAAGTATTAAATTATTAACAATTTTTAGGGTTCAGTCAGAAGCTGTTTTGCACATCGATAAATATTTATTGGGTGCTTTTTATGCTAGGTACTGATCTGGCTAATTTTACATACATTAATTTTAGATATTCTCTATTTTATGGATAGCATTTACCTTGTACCCTTTAAAAAAGACATGTGAAATGATTGACAAATTAAAGCACAATGAAAATAAGATATAAATGAAATCAGAAGTAAGTTAGCTTTAAAAAAAAAAAAAAGAGTTGGGGGCAGAGAGCCTGTTGTCTGCTACAGAGACAGGCCATCTTTCTTTTTAATGAACTTCAGCAACTTTATTGAACAAAGATAACCTAATGAACATTAAATTGATATGGAACAAGTCATTCAATCTCCCTGCCTCTCAGTTTGCTCATAGGCTCTGGCAGCTAAGTGCCCTGTCTACCTAAGAGTGTTGTTCTCAGGACTAATGAGACAATGAAAGTAAAGTGGTATAATTATGGGCGGTGATGGTGGTGGTAGAAAGTAACTCACAATATTTAAAGTGTGTGAGGTGTGGCTAACACAACTAAATCTAAGACAGAATTTTATAGGAGGCTAGGACTCTAGACTAGTCTAGTGTCTTCATTTTATGCAGAGAAAAAAACCTAATATTTATTTAGTGCCTTTTAAGTGTTAAGAAACATTGCTGGCTCTTTTTATATATTGTCTCCTTTAATACTTAAAATAATTTGACAAAGGTAGGTATTGTAAATTGTCCCTTCTCCCTTTTAAGCAGATGAGAAACTTAAGACACAAAAAAGTAGCCAGTCCAACATCATGGCTAGTTAACCAGGATCCAGAATTTGAATTCACTTTTTTTTTTTTTTTGAGATGGAGTCTCACTCTATCGCCCAGGCTGGAGTGCAGTGGCACAATCTCGGCTCACTGCAAACTCCACCTCCTGGGTTCACGCCATTCTCCTGCCTCAGCCTCCCTAGTAGCTGGGACTACAGGCGCCAGCCACAACGCCTGGCTTATTTTTTTGTATTTTTAGTAGAGACGGGATTTCACTGTGTTAGCCAGGATGGTCTCAATCTCCTGACCTCGTGATCCGCCCACCTCGGCCTACCAAAGTGCTGGGATTATGGGTGGCTCACACCCACCGCGCCCAGCCTGAATTCACTTTCATTTGCTCTTTTCCGCCATACTGTGGAGGCCCTGAGAGTCTATTTTGTCTGAGATGAAGGTTATGTACCTTCAAATGTTATCCCCGCTGTCCATCACTGATGTGTTTCAGTGTCCTGGAAAACTATGTTTAACTTCTTGTTTGTGATTTTATTACTAGTTTTTCAGTGTGGTCTTCCTATCTATCTATCTATCTATCTATCTCTTTCCTGTTCTCTTGGGAAAAATAAAATAACTCATTTGGGACCATTACAAATTTCTAATTTCCAGATTTCACCTGAGTCCTCAGTAAACACTCAGTGGCTCTTTAAATGGCCCCTAACCTCCTAACCACCTCTGTAGAGGTTACACAACCACACCCTTCTCTCTCAATAGAGAAAAGTTGGCTGACAAGAATGTTCTTTATCCAAATTTTTCCTTCTAGCAACCAAACTCAGAATTTTCTTCCATTTTTACTTCCATTCTTTCTGTTTGAAGGGGTAACCATTATTCTTCTCTCTCAAGAAATTTTTCTTGCCCTTTTGCTATGGATTTCCACCCCCTGACCAAGGCTCTTTAGGATGTTACTTGGGTAACACTCTTTTCACTTTGTTTTATTTCTTCAAATCAGAAAACTTGCTTAAGCCACCCCCTTTCTGAAAAGGCTTCTTTTAACTTGCCCTCATTCTTGATATTTTCCCCACTTCTTGCTCTCCAGATGTTTTTGTTTTTTTTTTTTTTTTTTTGAGATGGAGTCTCTCTCTGTTGCCCAGGGTGGAGTGCAGTGGTGCAAACTCTGCTCACTGTAACTTCCGCCTCCCGGGTTCAAGCGATTCTCCTGCCTCAACCTCCCAAGTAGCTGGGATTACAGGCGTGTGTCACCACAGCTAATTTTTGTATTTTTAGTAGAGACGGAGTTTCACCATGTTGGCCAAACTGGTCTCAAACTCCTGACCCCAAGTGATCCACTCACCTCAGCCTCCCAAAGTGCTGGGATTACAGGCGTGAGCCACTGCTCCTGGCCTTTCCAGATTATTTTTTTAATAGCCAGATTCATTGACACCTTTTGAATGTGGCTATGATGTTAATCTTTCTTTCTTGGCACTATTGCCCACCCCTTAAAATCCCCTTCTTTACCTGGCTCAGCACTGCTCTCAGTGGAACATCTCTGTGCTTCTCTGAAGACAACTCAGTCTTGTCCCTTGGCTCATCTTCTACCTTAAATGCTGGTGGCCTTGCTTGCTTATATCCTTAATGTGTGCTTATTCTCGATATCTGTTCTCCCTGAGTGGCCTTATTCTTTCAATATGTATCATCCACAGCCACAGTTGATACCTCATAAAATTTTATCTCTGGCTGTCTTCTTTCCCCAGCTTCAAACCCTTTTTTTCCATTTCTACTTGCGGATGTCACAGACTTATCAATTGAAGATATTCCAAAGTAAACACATTCTTCCTCCCTGCCGTTTTTCCCCACCTCAACTCCTCTGTTTTCCCTCTATTTTTTCTCCTCAAAGCAAGCAACCAACTAACCTGGACAAAGCTCACCAAACCAACTAACCTCCCCAAAATAAAACAGCAACAGCAAAAATACCCCGTTCTGTCCTTCATGAAGACCCCAGTCTCTGGGACACTCACCCACTCAAATTATATAGAAGACCTTAAGAGTTAGAGTTTTGGAGCTGCTGAAAATTTCTTTTCTTGATGGGGTGGAGATGACGATCCCACCAGTGGATATATTGCAGGTCTTCAAAGAAGTGCTACATGATGTTTGGTTTTCCTGTTTAGTAGTCTATAAATGGCTTTGTAAGAAACACACACTGTCTATCCCATGATCACAGCACTATTTATGTCAAGCTTACACACGTGCATCTTTGCAGCTAATACATGCCTGATGCTCAGTAAACATTTGTTTTTTGATTTAGAAACCGAGGATATGAGTACCTCACCTCTTTTCTGTGTACTCTATTTTTTTTTTTTTTAATTTATGAATTACATTTTGGATCAAAAGAATCTTATTTCTGGGTAGGAACTTTTTATGTTATGGCCTCCTAGACATCATTTTACAGGTTTTTAGAGAGTGTTTATTTAATCAGTTTTAAATTGGCAGTGATAGGCTCTTTGACATTCAGAGGTGAGGTCTGAAGTACAGAAGAGTTAAACTAGAAACCTGTAATACCTGTTCAACCTGTGCTTTAACCAAGACTGGGAAGTTTCTCTGTAGGATTCACTTGGGGGAACTTCCTACACTTAGTAGTTTGTACTGTCATTTACGCTCTAAAACCTCTGTATTTTGGTCTAACTATCAAATGGCCAGACCACTTTGGGGGTGCAATTTCATCATAGTTACACAATGAGCAGTTTTGAAGAAGGTTCGCAAAAGGGAAAGTACAGTACATCCTCACTTAATGTTGTCAGTAGGTTCTTAGAAACTTCAACTTTAAGCAAAAGGACATTCAGCAAGTCCTTGAACCTTGTTTTCCTCCTTGTCATTTTGTTACGAGGTTGATGAAAAAAATGGTTTTATTGTACTTCATTTCATTTTATAGATGGCAACTGAGGCAAAAAGAAGGCAGTAACTGCCCAAGGTCAGACAGGCAGTAAGTGGCAGAGTTGGGATCTGGCTCCCAAGTCCCTGTTCTTCAGTAACATTATGCTGCCTCTCATAATGTTCTTTTTTTCAATAAACTGTGTGTGGGCTTCTAAAATAGTAACAGTTCTTTATATAAAAGGGGAAAAAAGTTTTAAATTAGAGCAGGGTTGAAGAAAGTTCAACTTAAACTTAACATTTGACTGAATTTTATCTGACTTTTTCCATGTAATATTGACGTCATCGAAACATACTGTAGTTATTTAAACGTGTCGTGGTTCTAAATGTCTTGCATCTAATGTTATATAACTAAATGGCCAAAGATAACAGTGTTACCTCGTTATCCCTGCTTTTGCCTCTTTTTATTTGAGTGTCTGTGGCTGTCTTTTCCTGCGGGTTTTTTGCGCCCGTACTCATCTTTCACACATTATTGATTATCACGCCTGAGTGATCTGCCACATCCCAAATTTGTCCTTTTATACCTTACCTGACTAGTGGCTGTGATCCAGGAACTTTCCTCCCTGGCACCTATGCAAAGATCAGTGGCTGCCAGCTCTAAGTTCCAGATCATGATTTCTCTACTCTCTGCAATTTACTAGTTAAGTATCAACTTTCCATGTTTGTAACTATAATAATGTAGATAATGATAAACTGAACTTTAAAGAAAACCCTATATATTTCACTTTTTCCACCTTCTCTTTGAAAGTAGTAATGACCATGGCAACATAAATTTATTTTTCCCTAACTACGTGAATCATCTGACCTTTGATTTGTCAATCTTTGTGACTCCTATTAATGTATAGTCCACCTTATATTTGTTTAAATTAAGTTATCAAATTCCAAATAAGCCATTGGTTTTAAAACTACAAAGTATTATCTTTTTGCTACCAAAAACATAAACAATTAAAGAAGTCACTAAACATATATTCGAGACAGATGATAACTACTCCCTGTAGACTTAACACTTCATTAGCAAACTAATACTCTTCACACACCCATGCCCCACCTTCCCCACCTCATTATTTACCTGTTGTATCTGTTAAGGATTGTTTCCCTTTTTGCAATCCATGCTTTGTATAGAAAAGTGAAGAAAGCAATCTCCAGAGTAACCTTGGAGCAGTAATCTGATCTCAGATTGTTCTGGGAGCTAAGAAGAATAGAGCCAGAGAGGTAAAAAGAATGTCAGTTTCAAAAGGGATACTGAACATAGCCTACTTATATGATATATAAAAGTGACATCAGATGCAATCGCTTGTTTGATTTAGGAACCTATGCAGGAAGAGGCCTTGATTTTAATGTTGGCATCATACTTGCTAACAACACTCTGCAAGTCTTCTGAGGCTTAATTTTTTTTTTTTTTTTTTTTTTTTTTTTTGCTTTGGAAGCATGGTTGTGGGCAGAGCTGGGATAATTTTGTGTGTGCGTGATTCTTAGTTATGCTGACAGCTTTCAGGTTTTGAAATCCTGTCTCTTCCCTGTTGGTTTAACCTGTGTTATCCACATTTTTTTATCTCATTTATTTCATTAATTTCATTCACTCAGCCCAAAGATGATTATTTGGCCTCTACTGTGCACTAGGTGATGTGTTCTTTACTGGGCTTTCTTGTTGTGAGTGAACATAGACATGGTCGTTGTACTTATGGAGTCTTCATTTTACTGGGGCAGGTAGTCATTAAACAGTTGTCATATAAATAAACATAAAATTACAACTATGATCAGCTTGGTGAAGGAGAAGAATGCAGTGTCATAAGATGTCTGCTGGGGAAAGTGACACACCACTTGATATTTTCCTCTTCTACTTGTCATTGGGTGGCTGGAGGTTTTCATAGTTCCCTCAGCCTTCCATAAGTCACCCCTGGTAGTATGTGAATCAGTCTAGTTTCTGTTAGTTGATAATTCCATATTTAATCACAGCCTGCATTACTGTTCTAGTCTGAAAGTATGATATGTATATCGGTTAGTGGAGAGACTAAAACTACTTCATACTGGTTGAGAGCTTCTATTTGTTCCTATCCCCATCCTGTCCCAGAAGGAGTTCTTGATTACTTTCAAAACATAAGATTTCAAGTCATAAAGTCATGGGTTTTAAATAGAGATAAACTTCAGCTTGGCTTTAGGATTTAAGCTATTCTTAGATAATCGGAAGGAATCACCTTCTGGCTGCCATTTTGCTGTATTTCTTTTGAGGTATTCTCTTTGGTGGACTTTACAGTTTTTGAGATTCTATTGAAATTGTGTATTTGGATTCAGTTGGTGGAAAAAATATTATGTTTTATGTATAAATAGACTATTCTAATACAAAATAAAGCTTCAGAGTTTGTATAACCAAAGTGAATTATATCTTATTTGTGCCACAGATGAAACAAATCATTTGTGGCCAATACATGGGTGGAAACCACAAGACCCCAAATTGAAGGCAGTTTATTGCAGTGATTTAAAAAAAAAACAAAAAACAAAAAAACTCAGTAGGAGAAATAAAATTTGATACGATTAGTAGTATTTTTGCCTGTGTTTGAATATTAAATTCACTTAAAATTCTGCACCTTCCTATGCATTCCCCCCTCCCATATATACACCTGCAACATACATATGTGCACATTCTGATTTTCATAATGCTTTACTACAAATAATAACAGCAATAAGAAAGGGCTCTTCAAATGAGTGTAATAATAATGGATAATACTGAATTATAAGATTCCTTCTAAGAATGTGTTATGGTCAGAAACACAGTAAAAGGTGGTAAATGAATAATGGTGAAATAATGAGTCAATATGCTGGAGGTAACTGGGTGAAGTGAAAAGAGCTGGGCATTGGAATCAGCCAGGCTTAGCTTTGAATTCCAGCCCTGATTCTAGCCATATAACCTCTTTGAGTTTCTGTCTCTTTTTCTGTAAAGTGAGCTTAATCACCTGCCATGCAGGATTAGAATAATATTCTTTAAGCTACTGGCACATGATGGATATTCAAATAATTTATCAAAGAAAACAAATTACTGATTTATTCTGTTTGTAGTCCTAGAAAACGTGGCATATTTTCCTTATTTTTACTCTTAAAGAAAAATGGAAAAATCAGCAATTGGCTTAGCAGCTTTACTAATATTGTAGTTAGTTTAGACCCAGGTGGCTAACTTAAGGAACAATGTTGAGTTTTAATATTTGAATTTAAGTAAAGGTCTGTTAATTGCTATTTAAAGGTTGTCAAGTTAAAAAAAAAAAAAAGAGGGTTGTAAACTAAAGCCAACATAGATAAATTAAGTTAGTGTTGCTTGCCTAGGTGGCTTCCGCTGACAGTGAAAGGAATCTGAGCCCTTTCTCCCTGCCTAGTACTGGCAGAGCCTCCAGCATCTTCTGGTCTTCACTTATAGGGCAGTGCTAAGTTGGCTCTGCCCACCAGTGGTAGGCTTGTTTCTAATATTGCCTCCTGACACACTGATTGAAACATCTACCAGTGATTTAATACCATCTTGTCTATGAGAACAAGCTACCACATTAAATGCACACATTGAATCTAAAATGAGCCAAATTTCAAATGCATTAAAATGTTAAACAAAATAGATAAATTCAGGAAATATGTGATTGGAAGAACCCATACAAGTCTTTTCAGACCTTGTATGTGTTGATTCAATTAAGGTCTTCCTAAACCTTGTCTTCCTTCTTTATCCTGCAAACCATCATTGGCTTTTGGGAAATGGCCCGGGTAAAAACCAGGTCAAGATTTAATTGGGCCACAGTCTCTTGGACTTGGATTGAGCATCTTTCTGGGCCATTACCGATAACTTGCAGTTCTTTCTCATCTACTTTGTGTAACTTTTCTCCACTGTTTTTTTGTAAACTGTTTCTGTCATTTTCTTCTGATTCCCGACTCAATGGTGTGCGCTAAGAAATGAATGTTAATCACTATCTGTAGAGAAAAGGCAATATATAAGAGAAACAAATTCATATTTAGTCAGTACTTATTATCTGTTGTTAATTATGTGTAGTCTAACTGTCCTAGAGCTGCCTGGTAACCTCTAGCCCTGAGTTAACCATTTTTAGGAAGCAGCCTACATATAAACCAGGAAATAAGGTATGAAATGAGATCAGGTAGAAACCCCAATCCCAGTATCTGGAAATGCCTCTCTTACCTATTTTCATTCGTTGATAAAATCAAAATGTCTGGCCTTTGCTGAATGACTAAAAATATGTGGATGGCTTATATGGAATGTTTTTTTTCTTTGAGTTAAAAAACCTTGTACAATAACTATACTTGAGTACTGATGTTTCCGCAGATATTTTGTGTATAAATAATAAGAATTGAAAGTGTAGGAATGGGTGAGGTGAAAACTTTTAATTGTATGAGGGAGACTTGTGAGCGTAACAATTCAGAAGACTTTTTTTTTTTTTTTGGAGACAGAGTCTCCCTCTGTTGCCCAGGCTGGAGTGCAGCGGCACAATTTCCACTCCTGCAACCTCTGCCTCCTGGGTTTAAGCAATACTCCTGCCTCCGGAGTAGCTGTGATTACAGGCACCTGCCACCACGCCCAACTAATTTTTGTATTTTTAGTAGAGACGAGGTTTCACCATGTTGGCCAGGATAGTCTCGATCTCTTGACCTCGTGATCCGCCTGCCTTGGCCTCCCAAAGTGTTGGGATTACAGGCGTGAGCCACCGTGCCCAGCCTCTCTAATAATTTTATATTTAACTGACTTATCATTCTTCATTTCTGGAGACGACATACTTTTTTGAAACTTGCTGTCTTTTCTTACATACTTTGGTTCAAAGTAAGCAGCCTTCCTGGCTGAGAGGGCAGGGTAGTTGAATTACTTGGGAGGATGACTGTGCCACAGACCCTACATTTATTAAACCACAGTTGTAAAACTCTTGTTTATAGTTGTAGTCTGTTACCATTGTGTCTTTTGGTGTTTGACTAATAAGACAATTGCAAGAAGTTTATAAAATCTTTAATCAAGTGAAAACTTTTCTGCAGTTTGGTATGTAAAATGAGAATAGTAATTAATTGTGATAGAGATATTTCTCCTTGCTTTTTCCCATCCCCTATTTCAGAGAAAA
This sequence comes from Homo sapiens, assembly GCF_000001405.40. Taxonomy (NCBI): domain Eukaryota; kingdom Metazoa; phylum Chordata; class Mammalia; order Primates; family Hominidae; genus Homo; species Homo sapiens. Next base: position 19,171,108 of record NC_000012.12, read on the forward strand.
ACCCCAGACACCTTGACTTGACTTATAAAGGGGCTCTATAGAGAGACTACTTTATTAATAGCTTGAGGATTGTGATGTCCAGTTATTCCTGAAAAGACTGTGATTGTTAAGAAGAAATCAATTGAGAGAGGGAGTGAGCATTTACATTCTGTGACAAGACTTTGATGAAAGGACTGAGGAAGATGAAGATAATCAGTTTCTTCATCTGCCTCTGGGAAGATTTTAATGTTTCTTTTAATATAAAAATGAAGAGACACTCATACCCTGTAAAAAAATAGCTACCTGTAAATATAGATTTACCAAGCTTAAGAAAGCTTGATTTAGCTATTCTAAAATTTATGTGGATTTATTTATATTGATATACAATTTTAACTTTTTTGAGATGGAGTTTTGCTTTGTTGCCCAGGCTGGGGTGCAGTGGCGGTACCTCGGCAGAGACAGGGATTTTACCATGTTGGCCAGGCTGGTCTTGAACTACTGACCTCAAATAATCAGCCCACCTTAGCCTCCCAGAGTGCTGGAATTACAGGCATGAGCCACCATGCCTGGCCCTTTAAAATGTTTTAAAATTCTTGCAATTTTTAAAAATTCTTGACTCTTGTAATAACAATTAGCTTAAAACACAAACACGTTGCACAACTACACAAAAATGTTTTCTTTATATCCTTATTCTGTATGCTTTTTTATATTAAACTTTTTTGTTAGCTTTTTAAACTTTTTTGTTAAGAACTAAGGCACAAACACACACATTAGCCTGGGGCTACACAGGGTCAGGATCATCAGTATCACTGTATTCTACCACCACATCTTGTCCCACTGTAAGATCTTCAGGGGCAGTAACACTCATGGAGCTGTCATCTCTTGTGATAACAATGCCTTGCTTCCGGAATACCTCCCTAAGGACCTGCCTGAGGCTGTTTACAGTTAGCTTCTTTTAATAAGTAGAAGGAGTACACTCTAAAATAACAATAAAAAGAAAAGTTTGGTAAATACATAAGCCATTAACAGTCATTTATCATTACCCAATATTATGTACTATACATAATTGTATGTGTTATATACTTTTATATGATTGGCAGCACAGGAGGTTTGTTTACATCAGCATCACTACAAACAGTTGAGTAATGCATTGTGGTATGATATTATGATGGCTACAACTTAACCAGGTGGTAGGAATTTGTCCGCCCCATTATAATCTTAGGGGACTACTGTTATCTATGCTGTCTGTTGTTGACCAAAATGTCATTATGTGGTTCATGACTATATTTGCAGTTCATATATCTGGCAAAGAAATCATATCCAAGTAACATAAAGAACTCCCAAAACTCACCAATAAGAAAACAAACGACCCGGGGGGGCAAAAGATTTGAGCAGTCACTTCCTCAAGAAGATATACAGATTGCAAATACATACTTGAAAATCTGCGCAACATCAGTAGTCATTAGGGAAATGCAAATTAAAATCACAGTTATATACATCGCATACCTGTTAGAATGGTTCAAAACAAAACAATGGAGACAACTGTTTGCTTGATTAAGTGCTTATCATTTACCAGGCACAGTTCTCTTATATATACGAACTCATTGGATCTTTGCAGTAACCCTTAAGAGAGCACCATCATTATTCTTATTTTCAGATGATACACCTGAAGCACAGATAAATCAAATTGGCTACAGTCACATGGCTAGAAAATGGCAGAGCCAGGAAAATAACACAGAATTTCATGAACACTGTATTTATTGCTCCACCATATTCAGTGTGTCCTGTGCTTTTGGGGTGTTAAAGTAGTGGTGGTGATCATTCTCCTCGTGTCTCGGGTATGTTTTGCATCTGAGCAATAGAATGGGAAAAAAGTTGTTTTTTTTTTTTTAAAGAAAATTGCTACTGATTTCCCTTTCTTTTTTTTTTTTTTTTTTTTTTTTTTTTTGAGACGGAGTCTCGCTCTGTCGCCCAGGCCGGACTGCGGACTGCAGTGGCGCAATCTCGGCTCACTGCAAGCTCCACTTCCTGGGTTCACGCCATTCTCCTGCCTCAGCCTCCCGAGTAGCTGGGACTACAGGCGCCCGCCACCGCGCCCGGCTAATTTTTTGTATTTTTAGTAGAGACGGGGTTTCACCTTGTTAGCCAGGATGGTCTCGATCTCCTGACCTCATGATCCACCCGCCTCGGCCTCCCAAAGTGCTGGGATTACAGGCGTGAGCCACCGCGCCCGGCCCTTGATTTCCCTTTCTTGTATGCATACACCCATACACATAAAATTTTGCCATCTGTTTATGAAAAAGTACAGCTTTAATTTCTTTTTATTGCCAGTTTTCAATCTCTGCCCATCAGAATAGTAAAGAAAGGATTCTCCAAAAAAAAAAATGTGCTCCATTATCGGAGCCAGACACAGTTGAGTGTGGGGACGAAACCAGTGCTAGCTGGGAGCAGTGCTTTTTACTTTTTTCCCCCAGGTAACAGTAATGACATGGTACTAATACTTTTTATTAGCAGTAAGACCTCAAAGATTCTCAAATCACTCACTATTTGAAGCTGTCATTATCCCACGAATCCCTTTGGCTCCAGGGAACAGGACAAAGAAGAGGAATACAGCCTAGGGGATAGCTTAAGGTGTCATGTTTGATTTCTTGTAATTAACTTTATCATTTAAAAAGGCATCATGTATTTTTATACTTTTTGAATTTGGCCAGGTCTCATGCGGATGATAGTGGTCTAGATAGTTCATGTTAGTAGTGATAAAAAATTAGGAGCCACCATCAAAAATCAAACATTAGGTTTTAAGTATTGGAATTAGGAGGTTTTTACCTTTCAGGACTCATAGACTGAAGCTACTGTTGCTATAGAAATGATTTTCCACCTACATAATTTGTGTTTGAGACAATTCTTTCTTAAATACATTTTTAAAACTATAAAATGAATAAGCGTAGGCATCACAGCACAGAAATAATTCTTCAGATGGGAGAAAAGTGATTTGTTTTTAATAATATCATGAGTAGAACCATGAAAACCCAACTACAAATCTAATTTTATTTTAAGATATTTCTTTAATACAAGGATTGAAAAATTAAAACAATGTAAATGCCTGTAAGGGGCATGGTACTATTCTGGCAACAAGGAGCTTTTAAGAGCAGTGGGCTCTTAAATAGGTTTCGTTTTTTGTTGTTCTTCCTGCTAAACTGCTCTTAAAATGATTATCAGAAAATCGCACTGGAGGTGTTAATTCTTTGAATATATTCGCTCTATGTGTATATTTCCCCAAGTTTCTAATATTCTGAGAACTTAAAAAAGCAAACATGGGTAGTATCATGTTGCTAATCTTGTTATAATATGATTTGAGTTTTATTTTTAACATATACTTAAATGTTATTTGTTTTTTACTTCATAATAACCAGTTATTTCATTTTGTCCTATAGGTGTTTCATGCTCTAAGAAAAACATTGCGAGCTCTTAGAGGCGTGGGATTTACACTTGGAAGCAGGCGTAGGGACCGTTCTGCCCAACTTTTTCATTTTACTGACCGATGAGCTGATACTTTGAGGGCTAAGGTGACACCTAGGTTATTCAGCTTATTGTAGCAGAGCCGAGACCAGAATTAGATTTACCCTAAGCCTTTTATTATTTACATGATGCTGTGTCTTTGTTAGCCTCTTCCATACTAGAGGGCCACTTGGTTGTATTTTTATCTGTACAATAGATTTATGTATGTAAACATAAATCTCCATGCAGTCATCTCTGTTGGATTTAGATGAATAAGTTCAAGAATCTAAACAAGCAGTTCATACAACACAGGGAAACTACAGCCAGTCTTCAAAATTGTTTTGTAGTGAGAGAAATTTTATTTGCATATGTAGCATTTTAACATAGTTGATTCCCATTAAGAAAATAATGATCAAGCTAATAAGAAATGTGAATAAAAAATGGGAACAGTGAAAGTCAGACAAAAAGAAACATAAATGGCCAATTTTTTAGAAGACAGCTGGAATGAGGTATCTTATTCCTGTATCAAATTGGCAAAGATTTCAATGTGGGAATATCCCTATGTTAGTGAAGGCAGAGGGAAATAGTTAACTCTCTTTTACTACTGATCGAGTGTAAACTGTGAAAATAGTCAAATATAAAATGCTCATTCATCAGTTCTATACCTGGAGATTTATCCTGCAAATTTAATAGTACAGTATTGATATTGAGTTGAACTTGCATATTGTTTTTAAGGATGGCCATTGAAATGTTGTTTATACACCCAACACATACAAAATAGCAAAAATAGAAATTAACCAGACTTTTTTCAGTTTTATAAATTATGGAACAGTAGAATATATGTAGCAATAGATTTGTATGTGCTAACATCTGATATTAAGAGAAAAAAAGCAAGTTTTAAAGCATGTTATATACTAATAAAGTTTTTATTTATGCTTTTCTATATAAAAATTCTGGTAGGACACAAAAGAAAATGTTAGCAATAATTACTTCCAGGTTTTATTGGGTTTTGATGTGGATGCAGTGGAAGAGATTTTCTTTTACACTTTAAATCCTTTGTAGGTTGTGGGAAAAAAATTTATATGTGCACTATACACATGTGTTAGCTTTGTTAAGAAAATTTGAAACAGTAAAGTGTACATAACATTGTTGAAACTCTTTTGCTTAGTAACTGTGACTGAAGAAATCTTTCCCTTATTTTGAAATAATTTTGAAAAGTTTGTTCTTGATTTCTTTATAATTTAAATTCTCTTAAACAAACATATTTAGTACCAAGATACAATTAAAGTATATTGGGAGTCAACCAACAAAGTTTCACAATCAATAGGATTCTGCCCGGGTTGTACCCCACACCTCAGTATTCATTCAGGAAGATAGGTTTGCCTAAGAAATACGTATTAAAAGCCAGAAGGTAATCCCTTTTGAATTCTGTAATTCTGTTTCTGGGTCTAGATGTTAAAAAAAATTAAATAACCTTCAAAATAGTGAGAAGTGAATATAACACAAATGTCTAACAATTGACTTATTTTATTAAACCATGAGATAACAAGATACAATGTTGTATAGCTTTGGAGGGAGTTCTCCAGACACTCTCTCTCTCTCTCTCTGTCCCCCCCCCACCTTCCTCCCTCCCTCTGTCTTCCTCCCTCCCTCTGTCTCTATTATTTAAAATAAATAAAGTAGATAAGTAATTTTTTTTTTTTTTAAGATGGAGCCTTATTATATGCCGAGGCTGGAGTGTAGTGCTGTTCGCGGGCACAATCCCTCTAGTGATCAGATCAGCACAGGAGTTTTGACCTGCTCTGTTTCCAGTCTGGGCCAGTTCACCACTCCTTAAGCAATCTGGTGGTCTCCCGCTCCCAGGAGTTCAGCATATTGATGCTGAACTTAGTACGGACACGCTATCAGCATAGCATGCTGCAGCCCGGAACTTTTGGACTCAAGCAGTCCTCCAGCTTCAGCTTCCTAAGTAGCTGGGACTATAGGCGTGAGCCACCATGCCTGCCTTTCTCTTCATTAACAGAGATTAGCAAGTGTTGTAAAGGTATTAAGTCTTGTACCAAACTGAAGTGTTTTCCTTGATAGAAGCTTAGGTATAGGAAAGAAAACTGAAGAGGAAATCACCTTCTTATTTTGAGACATAAGGCATTTTTTTTAACTTTCTGTATTTACTTAAATTGACAAATAATATATATATCATATGCTACATAATGTTTTGAAATATGTATACACTGTGGAATGGCCAGATCAATCTCATTAGCATATGCATTACCTCACATATTTATCTTTTTTTCTTTTGAGACAGAGTCTCACTCTGTCGCCAGGCTGGAGTGGAGTGGCACGATCTTGGCTCACTGGAACCTCTGACTCCCTGGTTCAAGCGAGTCTCTCTCCCGCCTCGGCCTCCTGAGTAGCTGGGATTACAGGCACGCACCACCACACCCAGCTAATTTTTGTATTTTTAGTGGAGACAGGGTTTCACCATGTTGGCCAGGATGGTCTTGATCTCCTGACCTCGTGATCTACCCATCTTGGCCTCCCAAAGTACTGGAATTACAGGTGTGAGCCACCACGCAGGGCCCACATATTTATCTTTTGTTTTTGTGGTAAGAACACCTAAAATGTCTCTTATCAGTTTCCAAGAATACGATACATTGTTATTTATGTAGCTTTTAAAAATATTGAACATAGAGATGTGATAATTAATGATGTGTTAAAAATACAGTACAAAATAGTACTAGTGATTACAATTATTCTTTTTGAGTGCATATGACTACCAGACACGTGGTAGAAACCAGATTTCATGTATTATCTGTAATCCTCATAACAGAACATATAAGGAAGATGATATTTCATTTGATAGATAGGGAAACTAAGGATGAGGGAGGCTAAGCAGTTGTTATGCAGACGAGTTTCATTTTGAAAGGGTCAAAGCCTTTGGATCAGTTCCCACTGCAACACATCTAATACACCCACAGTGCCGTGTTGTCCTTCGGGAAGAAGTTTTGTGCTCTTCTTTTGGTAATGTTGCTCAAATGATCATAATAATTTTAAAGCACACCAAGAGTTGACCTGGAGCCTGTTTGAACTATGGCATGCCCAAGTAGTGGTTTCCTTTATGCCCCATTTCCAGTTTATAGTTGAGGATAATCAGGCCTGTGCTATGTATTTATTTACTTCAATAAGTTATAATTTATAGGTGCATTTTTAATTCTACGGATCAGTAAGAGGTGATTTCCCTACTCAAAAATACTTGATTTGGCTTTCTAGTGGTAGGAATATTTTCTGCCATGATTACTTTTCTGTGATGTAGCCAGTGCTGATGATCAGCTTCTGTGTGACTAATTGGATAGCTCTGTGAGTTCACTGTGGAAATGTAAACTCTAGCTTTGAAATTGAGCATACTGTTCCTTATGGCAGTTAAGGCTGTGATGTTAGTGTCATCATCTTCATACTCCTGCACACAACTTCCACGGCTCCTGGTGTGCTGTGATTAGGTTTCTGGAACCATTGAGCACTCACCCCCACCCACGTTTCAGAAATCTCCTTGGTCTATTATTCCAGTGTGCTGCCCAAGTATTGTCATTTCCTTTGTGTGCTGTGACGTGAAAAAAACTGAGGATGCATTCACTGGTAGCAAGCCACATATTTATAAATGAGTACAACACAGAAATTGGTTTGATTTTTCTCTTGTACATTATATTTTGTTCAGAATTCATTATTCCCTAGGTAAATGCAGGAGACATCGCTGAAACATCAAACTGATCCCATCATTAAAGACAGTAGCATATTCAGGGATTATGCCAGCATAATTTTGTAGAAAATAAAAGAAGTCACAAGTTAGAGAGACAGGTGCAGCATTGCAGCTACACGAAGTGGAGCGTGCAGTTTTCCAAGTAGGTAGTTAATTTTATCCTTAGTTTTCATGATTGAAGTAATAACATTGATAAAATGAAATAAGTTAAAATATGACAGTGTTGGGAAAATGTAGAATGATAATACTCCGTAGCTTTTGAGAACCTGCTTACCTCTTTCTAGTGAGAGATCCAGGATTTTTCTGGTTGATAGAGATCTGTCCTGGGCAGAAAATGGCAAAACTGAGATTCGGCTCATGACTTCATTGCTTTTATTGTGTCCTTAGTCTGCCTTACTGGGCGTTAGTTTCCTTAATCTCTACAGAGGAGTTGTGGGCTAATATGCAGTGATGTCTGTGGATTGATTTCTTTAAAACAACAACAAAAATAAAAAACAAACAACTCTCAAAACACAAAGTAGTAGAAGTAGAAATATTTATAGTGGCTGGTGGAGTGCTGTTGGATATATCAGTCTAATTTGTTGAAACCTAGAAATCATGTATGTCCTAGTTGGTTTATTCTACTTGGGATTAGAAACCAAGTGCTTAGGGTAAAGGAGGAGAGATTCTGCATTTGTTTTATTTTCATTGCAGATGCACATTACCTCTTTCAGAAATTCCTGAGTCATACATGATTACATTATGTTTTTATGCGAGACATTTAATTCCTTTGCACTGGGAAATAAGTTTTTCAGTTGCAGTTTTTTAAAATGTGAAATTGGCTGCTTTATATAACAATTGTTTAATGCTCTTTTTATTATTCCATTTTTGATCCCATAGGTTGTTGTTAGGGCCTCTGTTTAACAGTATGTATTATTTATATTGAAACAGAAGAAACAGTTGTGTCACACTGTGATCTCAGTTTTATGAATTTATGCATAAGGCTAAGGACTGGAGGGGAACCTGAAAAAACAATTGAACAAAAGAATGAAGTGTTGGCCGGGCGTGGTGGCTCACACCTGTAATCCCAGCACTTTGGGAGGCTGAGGCAGGCAGATCACCTGAGGTCAGGAGTTTGAGACCAGCCTTACCAACATGGAGCGAAAGCCCGTCTTTACTAACAAATAACAAAATTAGCCTGGCGTGGTGGCACATACCTGTAATCTCAGCTACTCGGGAGGCTGAGGCAGGAGAATCGCTTGAACCCGGGAGGCAGAGGCTGCGGTGAGCCAAGACTGCACCGTTGGACTCCAGCCTGGGCAACAGGAGATAAACTCCGTCTCAAAAAAGAAAAAACTAAAACAGTGAAGTGTTAGTTAAATATAAATGTTTAGAGCGTAAATTTTTCCCTGGTATATGGGGGAGAGGTGGGTTTATTGCAGTAATTACAGGTGAGTTAATTAAGTAGCTGAAAGTTAGCCTCTCATTTGTAAAGACACACAATAATAACCTTTTTTAGCTAAAAATTAGAGACACTGAAAAAAAATTAGAAAAATATTTTTTAAAGAGAAAGGGTCTCGCTATATTTCCCAGGCCGGACTTCAACTCCTAGACTCAAGATATCCTCCTGTCTCAGCTTCCTGAGTATCTAGGACTACAGGCATGTGCCATGCACCACCACGCCTGGCTAACAGGATAAATTTATATGAAAAGACTTGTAAACAAAAGTCTTTCAGGCTGCTCTCAAAACACACACATGATTAATGATACTTAGTTTTTGTACCTTGTATCAAGGTGCAGTATGCTGGTGATTATTTTTTAGAGCACGGAAATGCCAGCGGTAGTAAGCAAATCTCAAACTGTCAGCTTAGAGGTTTATTGTGCGTGTCTGCTCTTTGAGTCTATAAAGGGATTAACAGCTGAATATAGACTTTAAATCACTGTTGGGATTTAAATTTTTACTCTGAAAGACTAGGTCATTTGACAGTAATCAAGGGTATTTTCATTCTCAAGACTGTTTTGCAGGCCCAGCAGAAAACCCCTCTATTTAACCCATGAGGGGAGTCATCCTCAGGGCTGAGGCATATGAAATCTGGGGTACTTCACACAGAAAAATAATAAAAATGTAGGGGGATTTGCCTTGTGGTTGAATCCAGGAAGTTCTAAATTGGCAATAAGCAGATAGGGAACAATTTTGTCAGATACTGTGGATTAATGGTATTTAAAAGGCACCTTGTTATTATTTTTGATGCACAAATAATTTTACATCTGCAAGCATATTTTAGAAATTCACCAATATGATGACTAATTATTTGGCCAAAAAAATTGACAGTGATTGTTGCAATTATATTTCTAAAGACCCATGCAATACAATGGTGATTTAAAATATGTTGGTCATATGAGTTTTTAAAACTGAATTGTTTGTTATAGAAGTAATATAAATATTTAAAAAATATATATCTTTGAAAAATATAGTGTTTTTTTTTTTTTAAACTGTATTCCAAAGCCGATTCCTGAGACTGTGCTTTATATGCACCTACGGCTCCTAAAAAACATCAGCCACAGCTTCAAGCCTAAGCTCACCCGAGACCCAAGTCAGACACCTCTGGTGTGGAGCCTGGGGATCTGTTTTTAAAGAACTCCACAGTGCACAGTCAGCATTCAGAACCACCATTCTAAAGTTTTATATGTTTCACATGGATAGGCAGATAGTTGAAATTGTAAAAAAAAAAAAAAATCAATTTTGATTCTCTAATATAATGGAAAATATCAGATTAAAAAGAACTCTATAGTAATATTTCACTATTTACTTGAGATGACCTGAACTAGGTATAACGAAATGGAAGACTATAGCACATTGGATAGCCACAGACCAGTACTGGTATGAATTAGAATTGAATTCTGCTTAGATTGTAAAGGAACTTAAATTTAGCACTAAGATAAGATTATTAAAGGAAAATAATGTGATTAAATGAAGTAGAACAACAGTACCTAAAATGTGTTATCTTTTAAAGTTTTTGAAATCTCTTGTTGAATAAAGCACAATAATTGTATAGCATTGAAATAAAGATTTTGAAGTCTTACTATACCACTAACTCAATATAGTAAAAGGTGATGCTGAAAAAACATTAATGTGGCTGTATTGGTTATTTTGATATTTTAAAAAGCCCTTTAGGGCTGGGCATGGTGGCTAACGCCTGTAATCTCAGCAATTTGGGAGGCCTAGGCGGGTGGATCACTTGAGGTCAGGAGTTTGAGACCAGCCTGGCCAACATGGTGAAACCCCGTCTCTACTAAAAATACAAAAAATTAGCCGGGTGTGGTTGCAGGCGCCTGTAATCCCAGCTGCTCGGGAGGCTGAGACTCGAGAAGTGCTTGAACCTGGGAGGCAGAGGTTACAGTGAGCCGAGATCGCGCCACTGCACTTCAGCCTGGGTAACAAACAGAGTGAGACTCTGACTCAAAAAAAGCCCCTTAGAGAACAAATTATTAATCTAAGACAACTAAGGTAAGGTAATGGGTAATGTCAAGGATGTTTTTGCTGATTGGGACAATTTGTATTCAACTGCAATTCGACTACATTCATTAGCTTCATCAGAAATAAAACTGAGGATTATGTGTCTAGATCTGGGTGAGCTCAAAGATGATTACTGCTACATAGTCCTTGCTCTCAAGAGATTATATATTACATAATTTGCTTTCTATCTTATGGTTTCAGTAGTTATTTTTAGCAGCAAACAGTTATGTTTTTTAAAGGCAGCAAAAATTTATGTTGTTGGGTTATTATTTATTTTTACTTTTTAAGACTTATTTATATACCAATTAAAGCCCAGAAAATTAGTCTTGAGCAAGAGTTAACACATGCTCCTAAAATTTTAAGTTTTTTGTTTGGCCAGATGAGGGCACTTTTTCTTTACATTTCTAGAATTTGAGCTGTGAAGCAGATTGTTTTTTCGCATCCAAGCGATTTCTTTCTTTCTTTTATTATTGCCAGTGAGACAGTTTTGGCATTTTTGATGTTTTGATTGTGCTGTATTCTCATAGATTAATCCTTTCCATCAATCCTTTCCTAAAGGAAAAGCTTCAGTTTCTTGCAAAGGTGTTGTATATGGGAACTTTAAAATGAATGACAAAATTTAATGGAACCAAGGTGGTTTTAGGAAAATGTCCATGTTATTTGTAATTTTGCTTATAGTTAATAATGGAAGTTGAAATGTACTTTTAATTTGAGTACTCTAACAATAGCAAGACGAAGTAGCATTGACTAGACCCTCCTCTTCTCCCTTACCATATTTCTAGTGCCTGCTTTACATTGAATTAATGTTGCCTTGCATTATTGCCGTCAGAATTATACAGAAGTAATGGAGAAGAAATAAAATACCAGAAACATTTTGTCTGCTGCTTAGAAATAAACAAAAATAAGTATAAGTACTGAACCCAACAAGTATAATATTAGAAATACAGCATATTTAACTTTCTTATTTGCTGTCAAATGCCAGACTGAATAGGATAAGGTTTCTAAGGTTATGTGTAATGTACTAAAACAACACAGACTGCAACTATTTGGTGTCAGTGTGAACAGTCTTAAGAAGAAAATCAAAGAGAATAATGTTTAAACGTCCCACAAAACAAAGCTGTTGTCATTTCGTCACAGATGAACAAAACAAGTTTATGTTTTTTGAAAGTTAAATTTCTGAAGAGCAATGAAACAGAGCTGTTGCTAATTAAAGTTTAAAAACCACTAGTGAAAATAAACACCAAAACATGGTTAACTTAAAGGAGATTAAAAGGAGAGTGGGGGAAACAGCAAGGATGAATTCAATGTGCAAGTTTGTTTAAAATTATATACAACTTAAGGAGTCATGAAAAGGAAATATTATTGTATTTTACATAGATAGATAGATGAGTATAAATAGTATCTCCCTTGTATAGATTAAAGAAAGCTGTTATCATTATCAGCTGACTCTGGAAAGAGGTGTCAGCTTAGTGAAGCCAGCAAACCTTAGTTTCCTCTGAGTGCCAGAGAGCCACTGTTATCATATTCTCTTTCATGAGCACCAAATGTGCTTTAGGTACTTTTCCTACATGTTCACTTATTATCAACAACCCTGTGGGATAATTATTAGTATTATCATTTTACAGGTGAGAAAATGTAGAATATTAAGTAGTATGTTTAGTGTCACAGAAACCGATAATAATGAATTTCTCAAACCAAAATTCAGATTGTAACGACACTTTAATGTTAAGAGGCATGTCACTGAGAAGCAAGTGGTTTGGGTTTCAATGATTGAGTTAGTTGTTCTCAGTCTGCTCTGCCCCAAAAGGCCATCTCTTGGTGTTTCAAGGAACAGCAGCTGGATTGCTTGATACTTACAAGGGAAAATTTTTTTATTTTCTTTCTTTTTTTATTTTTTGAGATGGAGTCTTGCTCTATTGCCCAGGCTGGAGCACAGTGGCGTGATCTTGGCTCACCGCACCCTCTGCCTGCCAGGTTCAAACGATTCTCCTGCCTCAGCCTCCCGAGTAGGTGGGACTACAGGTGTGCACCACCACGCCCAGCTAATTTTTGTGTTTTTTTGTAGAGACAGGGTTTCACCATGTTGGCCAGGCTGGTCTCGAACTCCTGACCTCAGATTATCCACCTGCCTTAGCCTCCCAAAGTGCTGGGATTACAGGCATGAGCCACTGTGCCTGGTCTTATAAGGAAAAATTTGTTAAGGCCTCTACAGAAACCACGTCTGGTGCCTATGGATGGACTGTTGTTTTTAGTCCTTTGGAGGAACAAAGTTTCCTAGTGTTTAATATCTATTATTATTATTTTAAAAGTAATTTTAAAAATCCTCGGGGAATGGCTATGAAAAAGATAAGAAGAAAGTAGTGATTTTTAAATTTTCATTCTATTCCCTGACTTTTTGCTGTATAAATTTTGGTAGCAGTCTTGTTGCCTAGACCTTATTTATCAAGCCATAGTCTATTTGAATAGTAAACCCCCAAAAATCTGGTTTTATGGCTGACAGATCTTTAATAAAAATGAATCCCTCTGCCCCTTTCTCATTAAACATTTGCTGGGGACTTTTTATGTACTGGCTATTTGTACTTGGATGTAGGATGTACATGTGAGATACAGCTATGCCCTTGCTAGTGAGTTTATATTCTCGTGTAAGAGCTCAGTAAGTAAGCTAGTCATCACAATGAAATGGGATAAGTACTGTGCCGGTGAGTAGGGTGCTGTGAAAGCATACCCCTGTCTTGTGAAGAGAGAGGGGAAGGAAGTCTTCATGGAAGACAGAATGTCTGAATGATCAGATCATTTCACAGATAGATTGAGAGGTAGGAAAGGCTAATTTTGTTGAAGAGAATAAGTGATGTTTGTTTTGAATATTTTGGGTGTGGCTATAGGTTTTGAGATCTACATTTGGTTTTTAAAAATGCGGGAATGGAATTTTTCAAAGAATTTTTAGCCTGGAAATGAATATTTGAGAGTTACTTGAATAGAAGTGATAAGATAGAAAAAGAGGAGAGGACACTGGGGAATACCTATAAAAATCAGAGAGGTAGAACTCCGCTAATGCAGGTCCTGGAAGCCACAGTCAGAAGACAAAACAGTACTTCAAGAAGTGATTGTTATATAGTCGGTGGAGGCAAATGCAGTGCTTACAAGTTGAGGAAGCAGAGTAAGGCACTGTATTTGATTAAGGTATCAGTTACTTGTGAGCAATATAGTGCAGGGTTAGATTTAAATCGACATTTTAGAAATGTACTTCTTCTCTATACCTTTTTTTTTTTTCTTTTAACATTGGTTCTTCACTTTGGAGAGGAGATTAATGGACCTCTTTGAAACTGTGATACAGAGATGGCGTACATTTCTTTTGTGCCCTGTCCATCCTCTGTTTCTTCTGAGAATCTAACTCACATTTACCTTGGAGAAAAACTCCTTATTCAGTACTTGTTATTATACTCAGGTCTGGTCAGTATTTGTTCCATACCTCCTGATCCTGTCATTGACCAGGGTGTGCACATTATGTAAGCTGGACCAGTAATACTAGATCCTGGGACTTTCCTTAAGCTCTGGAGAACGAGAATGTCTTATGTTGGATTTGAAGCTGTAAAGATGTCAGCCTAGAGCTGTCCTCATGGGGCAATAACAGAGAGAAAGACAGAGAGAGGAGGGGTAGGGATGGCCTGGGAGGAGGAGAGAGAAGAGTAGGAGGTAAAGAACGGAGACAGATAGATACACACTTTATCATATTAGTTGAGTCTCTGGATCTAGCCATTCCTGAATCTACTCCTGAACTTTTAAATTAATTGAACCAATACATTCCCTCCTTTTGTTTAAGCTAATTTGAATTGGATTTTCTGTTATTTGAGGCTGGAAGAGTCCCATTCCCATGAAGAATGCCTGTGTACTTAACATATCTTAAAGAATGCAAATGATTCGGGAGTCTCCATATCTGTAGGGGCCCAATGAAACAAAAAGTAATGAAGATCAAGTTGTTCCAAGGATAGCCATTAACTAATTAATAACACACACATACATATAAAATCTTGTTATTTATTGTAGTTGAGGGGATGGGATATTTTTATTAATGCCTTTTGGATTAATCAAGAATTAACACATTTATCTTCTTCAGTCTCTTTCATAAGAATATCCTTTGTGAAATATTTGGATTGCATTTCATTTGTTATCTGTCTCTCTAGGCTTATAAATATACTTGCCAACCACATACATGTCTTAGGACTCAGACCATAAACCCATAGATACAACGTAATTTGCCAGAGGTCCCATAAAATACTAATAATAAGGCTAGTTGTCCCTGGCTCTAGCTTAGTTAGGTAACTTGAAGAAAAAAGGAAAATGGCTGTGCTAATTTTGTTAGGAGTAAGCTTTCAGTTCAGTAGAAAATGACGATATATAGAAATATAATTCAATAAACTGTTTGATGGGTGGTACCATTAAAAATAACAGAGCAGTTGGGAAGTACTTGATATATAATAAAATATCAAAGGACATTGTCACATCTGCAGTCAGATAATAGTTCTAAGTTAGGTTGGCCACAGTGAGGGTGATTGTTTCTTTCTGGTCACTGCACTTGGCAGTAGATGTAGCTCCTGGCAGGTTCACAATGATGTTCGTTTTGATGAAATAGAACAAGAAAGTTGGATGGTAATAACGTGAATAACTGAAAATAAGCTCGAATTTAGTATACCAAATTTACTTTCTTCTATAGAATAATGCCAACTACTTTCTAATTAGTAGCTAGAAGAAATGGAGTAAGAGTAAAAAGTTTAGATTGAAATTGAGTCCAGTCTACATTCCCTCTGGTCATGTTTTTTTGAAACTGACCCAAAGCTCTCAACCTCTTGTTTTTTGCTTTCTTCCTTTTTTAGAATACCATTTATGGTTCGTATCCACCCCTTGAAGTCCTATATTCTAACTGAGCTTTCATCTATAAGCTTTTTTGGGCATTGTATGCAGAATTTAATAGCTTCCTATTTATTAAGAAACATTCCTTTCTCTTTGGGCAGAATTTATATTTTATTCCTTCTAAATGCTTTGTTAAATCAGAAGGTCGAGGAATAACAATATGCTGTTTCTGCCCTCTGGTGGTTGAAAGAGATGTTGTAAATAAGTAATTACAAAGATGTGTGTCCTATGACTCTAACCACCTATGGCATTATAGTTTCTTTTATTCCACCTGCATTTATTGGTTCACTGATGTATCAAGCATGTAATGAGCATCTTCTATATGAATGTCTTTATCAGTACTCTAAAGTGCCTTGTCTAGTAGCATTCTGGCCATTAGAAACAAGTTAACATATGTGAGGTCTTACAAATGAAGTTCCAAAAGCCCGCTTTTGCTATGTCTAGATCTGACTTTTTGCACTCCAGGTTTGGATTGCAAAGTGTTTTCCTATCTAAATCTAAAATTTCTAGATACACTGAACTTAATTGGTAGTACACATGGTGAATGAAAACTGAGGAAATATTGTGTCTTAGTCAACAGTAAGTATTTAATATCTCAGTTTCTGTGAGTCAGGAATTATGTAAGTGACTTAGCTGGGTGGTTCTGGCTCAGGTTCTCTTAGGAGATTATAGTTAAGATGTTAGTCTTAATTACAGTTAAGATGCAGGCTTGTCTGGGGCTAGAGGAACTGTTTCCAGGTTGATCCAGGTTGTTAGCAGGTGGCTTCAGTTCGTCAGTCATGGTGCTTGGCTTTACCCCTAGTTAGTGATGCAAGAGAAAGCAAAGAGAAGCCACAAGGGCTTCAGTGACCTAGCTCAGAGGTCAAGTTTTGCCATTTCTGCAATATCCTACTGGATATAAAAGTCAGATCTTTTTAGTGTGGAAGGGGACCAGAATATAGATAAGTTCTGTATTCCTATCTGATGATTTTAAATGGAACACTTAGAGAAGTAGGAAAAGAATGGTAATTGAGATGAATGAGTGTCTCTACCTTACTGAGGTGTAGAACCCATAAAGGTAACATACAAGAACATATTTTTATGAAAATGAAACTAGACCATTTTAATATTTTTTAAATGTGATCTGTTTCAATTTATGTTTCTTTCCCAGTTGGGTGAGAAACATTTCTTCTGATAGAGTGCCTAGTAAGTGGTGGCTGACCAAGCTTCACAGAAACGACTACTTGTTTGCTAAGATTCTTTGACAAATTACTTACATATTTGTGTTTTTTTCTTCAAGCAATGAAAACCATTTTTGGTCTGCCACCTGTCAGAACATTGCCATTCTCATCAAGGTCATTATGAAAAATAGAAAAAAATGAAGTCAATTGGGTGGTAAGGAAAGTGTGGCCACTTCACACATATGCAGGTTTGAACATTACTAGGTTGTCAAGAGCAGGTACAAATAGAGTTGAGTGTAAAGAAGTGTCCAGACTAGAATTTTACTTTAACATTAAGGACATAAGGACTTTGAAGTAGAATTAGAGAGGCAATTTAAAGTTACCAATCCTCTCTGCTCCTACCTTCCCCCAAAATTGTTATTTCCCTCCTCTTTCTTTCATCCTACCTTAATACATTTTTTTCATAAATAAAATCTGTTTTCAGATCAGCATGTTATTTTCACTTTGAAAAGACAAAAATTATACTTCTAGTGTAATGAATGTATGAGAAAGAAAAATATAGGAAGATAAGAATTTAAAACATTAAAATTTCATTAATCTGTCTTTCATATAAAGATTTCAATCATATTAGATTAGAAATGATGTTTCTGGTTCTGAAATTTTATTGATGCTTCTGGCAATGGCCAACTTAGAGTAAATATTTCAACGGAATAACTGTATCAGACCATGATGCTTGTTTACCTTTAAGGTCTTATTTTGCAGATTCAACTTATGAAAGTACTGTATTAATAAACTTGTAATCCCTAAAGACAAAAGAACAGATTTATAATACATATTATGTTGATTTAGATTCTATTCCTTTTTCAAATTAAATTCATTTTTTATTTTACCTTGTCATTGTCTGTTTGCATTTATAATTTATGTGTAAAGGCATTATATATACTTAATGGTAAATGGGATTCGATGTAAAAGAAAGCCTTTCAATGACCAATGTTTACTGAGCTTTTATTATACACCAAGACCTCTGGTAACTTTTGGGGTTACAGTGATGAATAAAACAGGCACTGTCCCTGAATTCTTGCAGCTGTCAACATAGAGCAAAGATAGACATTAGTCAAGTTTTTACACAGGTCAATAAAGTGTGTTTAAATGGGTTGAACCTGAGACTGGACATATATTTAGTTTACCAGAGAAGAATCTTCTAGGCTGAAGACACTCACAGGGTCTAAAAGAACCCAGTGTGCCTGGAACTAGGCAAGCAAGATGGGGTCCCCTAGCCATGGCTGGTGAGGGGGACCGGGGCCACACTGTGCAGGACCAAGTAGCTTCATTGAAGTCTTGGCAGTTTTTGGAGAATTAAATGATGTGAGAATTAGAGTAGAAACAAGGAGAATAGTTAAGAAGCTATTGCGTTTGTCTAAATGAAGAAAGATGGTAAATAGATGAAGAAAGTGTCAGCAGAGATGGAGGAAGGTAGACCATTTGAAGTGGAGATTTTGCAGATAGACTACATAGGATTTCTTGGGTTAGAAGAGAGGAATAAATTGCAGCCCTGTGATTCATGCAGCTGAGTGGAGAGTTCATGCTTAGAAATGGGAAAAAATATTTGTTCTTTTGGGGGAAAGGGCAGGGGGTCAGGGAGGAGTTGTGGATTGAAGGTGGGAGATCAACAAGAGATTCGTTTTTGGTAGGTTAAGTTTGAGATGGTTGTGGGAAAGCCAATGGAAATTTCAGGCAGGAAGTTTGGTATACCAGTCTGCAACTCAGGAATGGGTTAGGAAAATAAATTTGACTCATATCAACATATTCATGCTATTCAGACCATTAAACAGACTGCTCTCAAGTCTTGTGTAGACCAATGATAAGGACTAGGGTGACATAACTGCTAAAATTTTATTGACATAAATAACTCCTTTCTGAAAAACTAATAAAAATGAGAATGTTGCTTAGAAAAGGGCTCTTTTGAGAACAGCCAGAATTTTCCTTTCATTAGAGCTTTTGTGATTTAATGCCCCCACTTTCTATTCTTGATCTCATTCTAGTGGAATTTGGTTACTTGCTTTTCTGTGCTTTTCCAAAGACATTAATTTGTTTCTTTATTAATTGTTAAAATCTGCTTACAACGTGCGCTTCTTCATTTCCTCCTTGTGTCGTATATTTTAAAAGTTATTATTCAGCTGAGTCTTACTCTTTGAACTCTTACTCTTAGTGTCAGCTTCACTTCACCTTTTGAAAGAAAAAACCCAATCTTGAAATCCTCCTTTATCTTGTTAAAAAGTTTTAGGAAATATTTTGTTATATTTACTGGTAATTATATTTTCAGGGATAGAAATACTGGTTTAAAGCTAGGAAAACTTCCTTATGGATAATAATGCCTTTCTCTTGAAGCATTGCAAACAAGTAAATGAATTATCAGTTGGATAAATATTTCCTTTTTTGGTCTTTCAATTCCCCAAATAATTTCTTTTAAAAAATACTCATTTATTCAGGTTAATGCAAAGCACTGTGCCAGGTGCTGCAAGAGAGAAGGCTGAGAGATAACTGATTGCATTCAAGATGTGTACTACATGTGTGGCCCTCATCATGAAATCAGAGAGCTTTACATGCTGCGCATGAGTGATAACAATCTAAAAGTCTTAGTAGGAAATATAGTTATTGCTTGGACATTCTAGACTTAAAAATTAACCTTGAAAGCCCAGCATATCTAATCATTTCTAGCATGTTGGAGAACTGAAGATGATTCATTTAGCCAGAAATTTCAGTTATCTCAGTGTTATTGCAAGTTCCCTATCTGATCTTCCTCTTTTTGCTTGCCTTACTCTTGTGAGACAACTATTAGGTGTGTTTTAAATGGGTTGTCCCAAAGGAGAAGAGACTTTCCTATTCTCAGCCCTCTCAAGATAAGCAGAACTGAGATTAGGAAAAAAGCAACTGAGCCAGAGCCAATTTTCACAGGAATTTAAAAATATCAGTGTGAAAACAAAATGAGCAGTGAAGCCTAGCTATTTAAAGGGCATGCAAAAGAGAAGTTGGAAAAGGAACATGAGCTGGCAGCTAACTGGACGAGTGTGGTGACTAATTAGTTTCCTATGATGTAAACATATTTGGTATTTTATGTCATTTATTTTAATTTTTTTTGACCATGACTCGCAATAAGAAATAAATATTATTGGATGACCCACTGTCCACTTTATATAATACTAAAATGAAAATACTTTCTTCCCTTTACCACCTATACCTTCTCTTCTGTTTTGTTATTTTAAAGTACTGGTAGCAAACATCCTGTTAACTGCATTTCATTATCTACTAATGGGTCAGACCAAGATTTAAAAACACAGTGCCCTGTGAAACAGTGAGATTTACATGGGCAAGAATGGGAGTGAAGTAGGGATTATTTCTTGCATGTAACTGTGGGTCATAGACCAGTATGTAGAAATCAAACTGTTAATACTTTAATACCCTGACACACAGCTTCCCACACTGAATGCTTTGAGTTAATGTTGAGTGTTGTTGAATGAACAGCCTAGCATCCATCACTACCATGCGGCCTAATTGGTTGTTGTTGTTGTCAGTCTTGTCCCCTAAACTCATCTTATTGCAGTACAGATGATTGTTTTTCAACTGCTGCTGCCAAGAACCAAAATATTCAGTTATACAAAATAAGATACGTTGTAACCTAATTAGATACAGGTATATCAGCTGTTTTCTCAAATCACCTCTAAACATAATGCAATAATCATTTATTAACATTCCCTGTTCCTGTGAGTCAGGAATTCTCAAGCTGCTTGGTTGGGTAGTTCTGGCTCAGGTTCTCTTACGAGGTTGGATGAGCCTTATGAGCTTAAGGCTTTAGTCTCTGCAAGCTTGAAAGCTCATGCTGGAGGATCACGTGTCTGGCAAGTTGATGGTGGGTAGTTGGTTTCTCTGCATAAGGCTGCGTGACCCATGACATGGTGGTTGGCTTTGTCCATAGTGACCAAGCCTAAGAGAGTAAGGTAGAAGCCGCACTGCCATTATGACTTAGCTTTGGGTGTCACTTTTGTCATATTTTATTGGTGAAAAAGGCCAGCCTTGATTCATTGCAGGAGGGGACTATACAAAGGTGTGTATACCCTTGTATAGTCCGTGTATAGGCTGGGGATCACTGAGGGTCATCTTAGAGGCTTGCTACCATACTTTAAAAGGATATCTTTATTAACAATTGACTTGAATTTAAAAAAAATTTTAGTATTTTTATTTTTAATTTTAATGAAGGAAAAAGTAAACATGTAAATGCTTGCTTTATTTTTCAATTTTATAAAAGCAGTTAATTACAGAGAAGTGCTGACATTTCTACTTTTCATAGGAAACTTGGAGAGAAGTCAAAGGTGTAAAAAGGACAAATTTTAGAAAATGAGATTCATGAGGAAAGACTGATTAAGTTCACTTTAGTTAATGAAATGTGGAATTATGAAAAATTAAATATTAAGGAGAACCCTAATGAAATTATAAGAATAGAAAATAATTTACTCTTGGCCTGGCACAGTGGCTCACACCTATAATCCCAGCACTTTGGGAGGCCGAGGCGGGCAGATCACTTGAAGTCAGGAGTTCAAGACCAGCCTGGCCAACATGGTTGAAACCCCGTCTCTACTCAAAATACAAAAAAAATTTAGCCGGGCGTGGTGGCATTCGCCTCTAGTCCCAGCCACTCGGGTGGCTGAGGCAGGAGAATTGCTTGAACCTGGGAGGTGGAAGCGGTTTCATTGAGCCCAGATGGCACCTCTGCAGTGCAGCGTGGGCCACAGAGTCAGACCCTATGTCTCAAAAAATAAAAAAGAAAAGAATTTATTCTTACTAAAATTAGTAAACCTAATCATTAATAAGTGAAATTGATCTAGTAAATAATTGATCAGAGGCATGTGGTACTAAGCTTTTAAGGAGTGATGAGACTATCATAGACATTCTACTTAACTAATACTTTCGATTAGGGGTTAGTAACTGTGGCTGTGGACCAAATCCAGCCTGCTGCCTGTTTTTGTAAATAAAGCTTTGTTGGAATGCAGCCATACTCATTTATGTAATGTCTATGGCTACTTTCTCACTATAGCAAAGTTGATAGTTTTGACAGACTGTTGGGTCCACAAGGCCTGAAATATTTACTATCTGGTCCTGTACAGAATAAATTTGTTGACCCCTGTTTCAGATTTTAGACTTTTACATTGTAGATTAGGTTTTGGAGTGTTTATGAGGTGCATAAATCCAAGGACAGTAGCATGTGAGTCAACTTTAAACATAAGAGGGTGCAATGTTAATGTGGTTTTGATTTTTTAAGAAGGAAAGTCTTAATACTTAGAAGAGGGGCAGAATATAGTAAGATTCACAAGAATGATGCTTCATTAGGTAAGACTTTGTTTATTAAGATAATTTATGAGCTTTCAGTAGACCCCATGTTGGGAACACATGAAGCCAATATTTTAAAAGCAAATAATGTTGGTTAAATTAGGTTCTTGTGAGAAGGCAGTTTAAATTTTTAATCAATTTCTTACTTCAAATGGAAAGTTAGATATGAATTTTATACTTGGACGTTTATTCTGATTTAGAGTTTTGATTTTTTTAATTTGTATATAATCATAGGGTACAAGTGCAGTTTTACTACATTGATATATATTGCATTGTGGTAAAATCAGGGCCTTCAGTGTGCATCTATCACTGGAGCAATGCACGTTGTACCTACCAGAGAGCCTCCCAGCACATCGTACCTACGAAGCAACCTCCTATCATCCACCCTTCTCCTACCCTCCCATCCCTCTGAGTCCCTGTATTAGGCCATTCTTGCATTGCTATAAAGAAATATCTGAGGCTGGATAATTTATAAAGAAAAGAAATTTAATTGGCTCATGGTTCTGCAAGGCTGTGCAAGGATGGTGCTGGCATTTACTCTGCTTCTGGGGAGGCCTTGGGGAGCTTTTACTTATGGCAGAAGGGAAAGTGGGAGCAGGCATGTCACAGAGCCAGAGCAGGAGCTTTAAAAGAAAGAATGGTAGGGAGAGAGGTGCCTCACACTTTTAACAACCAGATCTCATGAGAACTCACTCAGTATTGCTACTACAGCACCAAGCCATGAGGGATCCACCGCCATGACCCAAACACCTCCCACCAGGCCTCACCTCCAACATTGGGGATTGCATTTCAGCATGAGACTGGGGCAGAACAAATATCCAAATCATGTCAGTCGCCATTGTCCTTCATTCCATACTCTGCTTCCATGTGTACACGTTATTTAGTTCCCACTTATAAGTGAGAGCTGCAGTATTTATCTTTCCTGTGTCTGAGTTGTTTCACTTAAGATAATGACCTTCAGTTCCATCCATGTTGCTGCGAAAGAAATGATTTTATTATTTTTTCATGGCCGAATAGTATTCCACTGTGTATATGCACATTTACTTTATCCAGTCCTCCACTGATGGACAGTTAGATTGATTCCGTATCTTTGCTATTGTGAATGGTGCTACAATAAACATACAAGTGCATGTATCTTTATGATATAATGAATTCTTTTCCTTTGGGTAGATATCCAGTAGTGGGATTGCTAGATCACCTGGTAGTTCTATTTCTGGTTTATTGAGAAATCTTCATACTGATTTCCATAGAGGTTGTACAAATTTACATCCCTACCAAGTGATTTTTTTAAATATGAAAGAATGGTCTGGAGAAATGCCCCTCATTAGTATCCCCCTTTTACCTCTCTACTGCAGAATGACTTCAAGGGGTACAGGTATTTACAAGTTTCATTATACAGACAAATTGAATATTGAAATTTCTGCATAAGAGGCACAGATTTTAGGATTCAAAGTTGTATGAACAAGGACAAGTGCTCTAGGGACTTGCAAAGCTGGAATTGGAAATCTCAGATGAAATACATTTCTAGTAGTACCACCAGCATATATTCTACTGAATTGGCTTTGTGATCATCATTAATACCTACTTATTAAAACTAATGAAAAGGGTTTATATCAAATATACTTTAAGGTATAAAAATCAAATTATAGGTAAAGCTGTTTTCTTTAGCATTTTAATTTCAAAACATAAAATAGCTACCGTCTATTGGGCATTTATACTGTACCAGACACTGTGTTTGTCACATTTCAAAAATGTTCTCATGGTAATGTTCACAATAATTCTGTAGGGTGAGAAATAGTCTTACCGTAGTAAGACTATTCAGTAAACGAAACCTCTGAACCTTGGAGTTCAACTTGCGCAAAGTTAGTAACAGGACTAGGACTTGAACCTGAACCATCACACTCCAGATCTCTCCATACCACACTGCTAGCACATGTGCCTGTCATCTTATTCCTGGCTCCTGTTATTTCCCTTTTTATTTCCTTTCCCTTCCTCCCACAACCCCTTTTTCCCCCCATTTCTTTTCTTTCTTTTTAATTGTTAATTACATAACTAATACATGCTTATCAGAACAATTGATATAGCACAAAAGGATATAAAGTACGGGTGAGTGATAGCTCATCCCTGTAATCCTAGCACTTTGGAAGGCCAAGGCAGGCAGATCACTTGAGTCCAGAGTTCGAGACCAGCCTGGGCAACATGGTGAAACCCTGTCTCTACAAAAAAATACAAAAATTTAGCCGGGCGTGCTGGCACACACCTGTAGTCTCAGCTACTCTGAGGGCTGAGGTGGGAAGATTGATTGAGCCCAGGAGGTGGAAGCTGCAGCAGTGCGCTGAGATTGCGCCATTGCACTCCAGCCTGGGTGAGAGAGAGAGACCCTGTCTCAAAAAAAAAAAAAAAAAAAAAAAAGTGAAAGTAGCCTGTATTTAGGCTATTAACATATACCATTCGGTTACCTGCCTTTTAGGTATATATCTATGAGATATATATATATACACATACATACAAAAATAATGTATGTATATCATAGATATCTTCCATGGCAGTGCACACACTTCTACCTATTATTTTTGACAGCTGCATGATGTGTTCCATACTACAGATGAACTTCAATTTGTGAAGCCATTCTCTATTGACTATTCTGTTTACTTTGGCATCTTTCTCTTTGTTGCAATTAAATAACTTTGTTTAATGAGCATCTGGTGTTTGCCTTACCTACACTAATTGAGATGATTGAAGTGTATCTAGTTTCAATTTTCAAAAAGCAATAGTTATGTTTTTTTCCATGACATTGAACAGTATTTTATTGAGTCTGATTTCTTGAATAATATTTTATTTCTACAATGTGAGCTCTCATGAGTCTTTTCTAAACTTTTTGAAAAATCTATCATCTTCCTTTCTCAGTTGTCAACAAAGATTATATTTTATATGTCAGTACTGATTAAGCATTTTTTAAGGATTAACTATTTCAATCAAATGTTTTCAATTAACACATAAAGACAATTTAATAGTAGATTTTTCATAGGTCTTTAGACTGTAAAATCTTGTATATTGTTAAATGCATATAGTGAAAAAATTTGAACCACAAACTGTCAACAAGTAATTTGTAATTTTTCCAATAGAGCATTAAGGTAACTAACATAATTCCTGGTGTTATAAAGAATAAAAAATATCATATCTAGCTAGCAAGAGTGTCTCTTACAAAGCAAGAAGAAAACCTACCCCTATGTGATCTCTTGTTCTGAGCAGGTGTGAATAAAAGAGGGACACTGGCAAAGTAGAAAAAGCATAAGCTCCTTCTAATCCCTTCCTGCCATTTCCTAGCAGAGAAACCCTGTTTTACCTTTCCTCATACACAGTATGAATAGTAAAACCTCTGTGACAATATTCCTGTACAAACAAAAGATTATTAATGTATCCACAACACCCAGAGTGGATCTCAATAAATGGTGGCTGCTATCGTGTTGCTGCCAAAGCTGCTACTCTGGCTTATGAGTTTTTAACTTGTTTTTTCTTTTTTTTTTCTTTTTTTTTTTTTTTTAGAGAAATAGTGATTTTTCTTTTCATGGTTTATAATTGAATGAGAAAATAAAATGAGTTTTTTGGATTCCAGCACTGATTGACCATGTTGACATAATTAAAATTTTCAAATCCTGTTCACTGGCTGTGATAGAGTAAGAATTTAGTTAAATCCCAAGAGCCAACCTGTCCTATTACCTTTAGAAGTGAATATACCTCCTGCCATCTGTACTTCCTCCCCTGCCCTTCTGTAGAGGTAGCTCTCTTCCCCACTGACTCCACACTGCACTTCCAACACTAGGGACCTCTCTGTTCAGATCTTACTTCACTTCCTGGCAGCGTTCAGCATCGTTGAGCCTTAACACCCTTTTCTCCTGACTTCTATGACATCATACCCTTCTGGGTTTCATGCTGCTTTCATGACCATTCCTTTTCTGGCCCTTTTCTCACTGCTGCAATCCTGCTGGTCTCCCATTCAGACCAGTCTCTCATACTGTTCTGGCTATTTTTCAAATATGTCACCAATACTTATTTTGGAAAATGTTATGTATTCCTGCCTCAGGGTCTTAACACTGACCTTTTCCTCTGCCTGTCTTTTTGTTCCCTTTTTGCTCACGTCTCACCTTTTGAATGATGCTTATCCTGACTCCTCTTTAATTTCACTACGGTAACCACACTCCTGAGCCACACTCTGCTTTTTCTTTCATAGCACTTACCACTTTCTAATGTACTACATCGTTTATTGTGTTTGCACTTGTCTTCTCTGATAGAAGCTCCCTGAAGACAAAGATCTGTTTTTCCCAAAGATACACCGAGCATAGGACTAGGCACACAGTTGGCATTGTTGAAGTCACAGAGTCTATCCGGTGCTGTGTGTGTGTGTGTGTGTGTGTGTGTGTGTGTGTGTGTGTGTGTGTGTGTGTGTGTTTAAGTCGCCTCGTTCACTTCCAAGGCTCTTTTTACACCGTATGCCAGTCAGCCATAAATCTTCATCTCCACCTCTTTCCTCATCTCCACATTCACTGACCTCTTCATATAGTGTCTAATATACAGTCAGAGAAAACAACTTTGCTGCCTTGCAGCCATTCTCAATTTTTCTCTTTCCTTCAGTTAACATCACCCCACCTCCCCTCCAGTCTGTCATCAGTGAGCCCTGTTGACACTTCCTCCCCTCCAAAACGTATCCCAAATCTGCTCACTTCTCTCCATCTCTGCCACACCTCTCGTCTTTGCCACCATCATCTTTCACTCAGACAACTGTGGCAGCCTCTTTGCTTTTCCCCTGCTTCTCCGCTCTTGACCCTTTACAATCCATTCTCCACACTAGCTAGATTCATTTTCTTAAAATATAAAAATGTAATTCAGATCTTGTCAATGTCTTCCAGTGGCTTTCCATAGCACTTAGAATAAAATCCAAAGTTCATTATCTGACTTGTAAGTCTAACCCTAGTTGACTTTTCTACTTCTACAGCTGTTTTCCTCTCACCCTACCATACTCTAGTCACAGAGGCCTTCTTTCATCTCAGATATGCCAGGCTTAGAGCCTTTAAACTAACTGTCCACTCTCTCTATCCGGATTTCTTTTCCCCTTTTTGTGACATTAAGTCAGTGCTTAACTGTTGGCCCTCGGGGCTTTTCCTGACAATCCATTCTCTGAGTCACTGAACCTGTCTTAGTTCTTTGCATAACCCTTTTCCACTATCTCATGTAGTCTTTTGTTTATTGAGTTTCATCCCCCATGAGAATATATGCTCCATGAGAGCATAGACCTTTTTACTGCTGTTATGTGTAATACATAGAACAGTGTCTGGTACATAGTTAATGCTTAGTAGATATTTGTGGAATGAATGATTGTGTGAATGAACAAAGGGAGCAGATTTTTTTAATTACAAATTTTTAATACTTAAGATATTAACTATCTGATTAACAATATCCTTAGGCAGAGTGGGAAAAAAAGTGACTATTCTGATTTTGGGGAAAGGAGCGCTAAGAAATATTTATTTTTCTGTCTTTTAGCAGAATGCAGGAATAGTTATCCCCATTTTTTTATTTACATAGTGAAATATTTTTTAAAAATTTTTCTATAAGACCATTACTCAGCAGCAAAATTATTTCATGTATGGTTTTGTTTTTTTGTTTTTCTAGCAAAACATGACAGATTTTCTTATAGTCTAAACATTGTCTATAGCAAAAGACAGCTTGAATGCCAAAATAATGTATAATTAGGTCTATTCATTATCTTGCCATATGCTAAGTAGATGCTAAGGATTTATCACTGCAGTAAAAGTCACTGGATCATTACAGTTATTTTATGGAAATATGTTTTAAAATTTACAATTCTTTTTTGTAAGACAGTAACAAATTATTATGCAGAATTTATACCTCTGCCTAAGACTCTTGCAAATATAAGCTCCTGATTTGGTAGAGATCTTCCTAAAGATTGAATATTTAAAAATCAAAATACTTGTTTTCTTTTTTTGAAAAAATGCCTTCTGTAGATATATCTGGGTGAGAAAGCAATAAAATATAAATAAAAATCTTTTATCAACAACATGTAGTGTCATTACTTCATGACTGATTGTCAGTGTGTTGTACTGAGGAGTGTCACTGGTTTGTCCCAAAGAATGAAGTGGTGGCAGTGATGGCAGCATCTGTTTCTAACTTGTGGTTTATTTCTCATTTTCAAGATCCTGTTGCCACTGGTTTTTCTCCCCAGTGGTTGGTTAAAATTCAGACTTGTTTCATGAATACATGGCAGTGTGATCTTAGGAGCTTGCAGTTGCTCAGTAGCCAACCACACTTAGAAAGTTTGATGTAAATATTTGTACTGCAAGATACTCTTTGTTGAGATACCAAGTCCCAGCAAAAAGTAGCATTAAACCTGAAGACCACAGAAGCCATGGAGGAAAAGC
Organism: Homo sapiens; assembly: GCF_000001405.40. Lineage (NCBI taxonomy): Eukaryota > Metazoa > Chordata > Mammalia > Primates > Hominidae > Homo > Homo sapiens. Next base: position 19,199,719 of record NC_000012.12, read on the forward strand.
ACATTCTACGACTTGAGCTTTTTTTCTGAAGCTGTGTGTAGCTGATTCTATATTTTATTCTCTAAGGTGAAATCTCAAACTTTTTGAAAAGGGTCACTAAAAGAGAATGAAATCATGTCTTTTGCAGCAACATGGATGGAACTGGAGGTCATTAAGTGAAATAAGCCAGGCACAGAAAGACAAACAGCACATGTTCACATTCTTAAGTGGAAGCTAAAAAAATGAATATCATGGAGGTCGACAGTGGAATGATGACAGTATAGGGGGAAGGGGAGCTGGAGAAAGGTTGGTTAGTGGGTACAAACATACAGTTAGATGGAAGGAAGAAGCTCAAATGTTGGATAGCAGAGTAGGGTGACTATAGTTAACAGCAATGTATTAAATGCATTTCTGAATAAATAGCTAGAAGACCTAAAATGTTCCCAACACAGAAAAATGATTAGTACTTGAGGTGATGGATCCCCTCAAATAACCTAACTTGATCATTACACTTTCCATGCAGCAACAAAAGTATCACCCATCCCCCTTAAATATGTATAGATATTATGTACCAATAAAAAAAAATTTAAACATTAAAACAATTTTTTTTATCCTTTATCCTTCCAGCTGAATAGATTTCCTTTTCATTCTTCCTGGGAATAGAAGATGTAATGGAAGTTCCAGTATCTGTATGCAGGCCTATGACTAGCTTCACTTCTTGGTGACTAATACTAGTTGACAAAACAGCATATTCTAAACTGATTGTCTTCGTTATCCAGTAGCTTTCCTATTCTCCATAACAAATGTTCCAAATCTTTGATTACTCACCTCAGAATGCTTGTCTCACTCCTCTTTTCCTCATTCCTAGTAGATCATACCTTGGAGAAGAAAGTAGAAACTATCAGGCCTGAACTTCATTAGCTTTTTCTTCCTCTTCAATCCAAATCTGTCTGTATCTTCATTCATTTTTCTTAACCCTTTCCTTGCTTGCTATTTCTGCTTTCCAAAACCAAGGAAGGAATTTTGACAGAGGTACCCAAGGAATTCACTGGGGGAAAATGAATGATTCAATAAATGATGTTATGATAATTAGATAGATAGCTATATGTAAGCATAAAAAATTTTTAAAACCTTAGGCCCTTATTATCATATCATGCACAAAAATTAAGTGGATTATTGATTTAAATGTAAAAACAAAAAGTATAAAACTTTTAGAAAAAAGAGATTATTTGTGACATTGGGTCTGGCAAAGATTTCTTAGATGCGATTAAAGATTTACAAAAGAAAAAATTGATAAATTAGACTTCATCAAAATTTAGAAATTTTGCTTTATCTGTGTAGGATACTGAAGAGAATGAAAAGACAAGTCACAGACTGGGAGAAAGTACAGGCAAATCACATATTTGTCAAATAACTCATATCCAGAATTTTTAAAGAACTTTTACAACTCAATAATAACAAGACAAACAGCTCAATTTTTTAAATGAGGGAAAAATTTAAATATATTTCACATGAGAATATACTCAAATAGCCAGTGAGCACATGAAAAGATGTTCAGCATCATTAGACATTAGCAAATTGCAAATTAAAACCACACTGAGGAACCCACTAGGAATGGCTATAATCAAAGACGATCAGTATCAAGTATTGCGGAGAATGTGGAGAAACTCAAACTCTGTTACACTAGTAATAGAAATATAAAATGTTAGAACCACTTTGGAAAGAGATTGGCAGTTTCTGGAAAAAATTAATTGTAAATTTGACCAAGCAATTTTACTACGTAAGTATGTTAAGAATGAAAACGTGTGCACACAAAGATCTGTACTAAAATGTTGATAGCATTATTCATAACAGCCTAACAGTGCAAATGTCTGTCAACTACTGTGAATGGAGAGACAAAATGTGTTTATTAATACAATAAAACTACCCAGCAATAAAAAGAAATAATTGACTGATAAATGGTATACGATGACTGAACTTTAAAACCTTGATGCTGCCTAAAAGAGCCAGACACAGACTACACATTGTATAATTCCATTTTTATGAATTTCCCAGAAAGGCAAATTATAGAGACAAAACAAATCAGTGGTTGCCTAGGGCTGGTGGTGGACGTGGAGATTGACTGTAAATGGGACATGAGGGAATTTTTTTGTGGTGATAGAAATGTTATAAAACTAGATGTGGTAATAGTTGCACAACTCTGTAAATTCACTAAAAGTCACTGAACTGTACACTTAACCATAGGTGGGTTTAATGAAATGTGAATTACACTGCAATAAAACTAAATAAAAGCTGAGTTAGTACCACTTGCCTTGGGTTCATTACTTTTTGTTCGTTCTTAATTATTCCCTTCACAGTTACTCCCCACTCTTCCCCTACCTTTTTCCATATTTCTTTACTCTTGAAAATTATTTTCAGTAGTTTTGCCTGCTGAGTTCACTGCCTTTTAGGTCACATTTAGACCTTGGGTTTCTATTACCACAAAAAAATTCCAAAATCTGGGTCCAAATTTCAACTCTATTCACTTATCTGTGTGACACTGGAGAAGCCTCTGAGTCTCTGTGTCCAGATTTGTTTACCAGGTAGAATATTAATAAGATCTATTATGTGAGGATTTGTGAATATTAAATGAAATCATATATATGAGACATTCCGTAAGTGCTAGCTGTCATTCATCACCTTAAAACAAGACTCATAAGTTGAAAGGCTGTGAACTGGTGAGCATCTAGAGCAGTGGTTCTTAATCAGAGCAAACTCAAAATTTAGGGAGGTTTTACAGACTGGCTCCACTGACAGGTCAGGTTGAAAGGTTTCTGGACCCTGAGAGTATGTGTGTGTGTGTTCTCCAGCTTCACAAATGGTTCTGCTATAACCCAATGGTAAACAAAACAACAACAGATTGCAGTGTTAAGACTCAGCCCGTAGAATGTACAAACGCCAATTGTGAACCCTAACAAACTCCAATTGTGAACCCTAACAAACTGTGGTCTCTGGGTGATAATGATGTGATAATGATAATTGCCGTATAAGGCTCATGTATTCATTTCCAGTCTTGCTCCTCTCATTCCCTCCCTTTGGTTAGGTATCAGATGGAAGGCAGATACGTTTAAGTCATGAGCGAGATCCACCCATCCTCATGTATCAGTTACAAATGCACTGTCCTACCTGCGTTAGGACAAATGCACTAAAACTGTATAAAGTCTTCAGAGGATATTCAGTTGTCATAGAAGTGAGTTATATCTTTGGTTGAGTTTTTAAACATTCATTCTTACTGGGGTAGTATTTGGGAAACATTGTATCAGGTTTTGCTGGTAGAGAAAGGGTAAATCAGTAAGTTAAAGAATAAGTGATATATAAGGATTTAAAAAAGAAGGCCTCAAGTTTAAAGGATATATGTAATTACAAGATGATCTCAATTTTAAATCAGAACACTTAAGTTGGATGTATAGGAGACAGGAAATGCATGTTAGAGAGCAATTTAGTGGTATGGAGGAATTCATAAAGTGAATTTGAAATGAGTAAGTACTATGCCGGTGTGACTGGAATTACCACCTCTTTACCTGTCCTCATTTACCTGTTTTTCTGTCTGTCTCTTAGAGTTGACTCCCTCACTCTTCCATTATCCAGGGTATAGAACACTTCTTGCCATCTGCTTCCAGATTCCATCCCAGAATAATTAGTTTTTATCTCTTTCTTTCTTCCCATTGTTGACAGCCGTCACTTTCTAGTATTCGCATTGTCAATACAAGTTCTCCAGTCTCCACACCACCAGTTCCCAGGTCCTCCACTGTGCCATATCTCAGCCTTGACCTGGCTGTTTCCTCCTCTTTCTCTCTCCTGTCTAGTCTAGATCCTTAGTATTCACCTGGGCATTTCAGAAAGTTCACCCCTCTCACAAAGACTACTAATTGCCTTCCTTCAAATGCTTTCTCTCTTTTCTCTAAACTCTCAAGAACACTAAAGCACCTGTCTTTTGCTGTAATACTTAGATTAGTTATATGTATATGTACTCTTGCCTAGTCTTTCCTATCAGTTGAACTCTTTTAAAAGCAGAGATAGTTGTACTCATTTTTGTTTCCATTGTGTATTGCAGCGTACCGTGACTCATATATAACCTGTTCTCAAATAATACTTAGAGATCACAGTTAGATTTTTTATTTGTTTCTTTTTAGTGAAGAATTTTCACTTTCTCATTTAGGAATCATAGAGCTTTCTTTGAGTACTGTAGGTAACTTACTCTTTCTACAGAACTACCGCACCCCCATACATACAGTACTTAGAGACACAAAACATATGCGTATTGACACATTTTAATTTTTGCGACCTTTTGATAACCTTGTCCCAGGAAGGGCCTTATCTTAGCTGTTTCCATGGGATGGCTATTTCCTATGTCTTCTTACCTTCCCACACCCTCCATGTTAAGAGGCAGGAGGGTAGAGGATTGTGAGGCTACTGTTCTCAAAAATGAGACATTTATATAGAAGGGTGATTTACAATAGGGAAGTAATAGAGGTGACCAGGAAGGGTTGGGAAGAAGGGAAAAGCACTAATTAGCATATGGGTACATTTAAAGATGGGTCAGCCCCACTCTGTCAGTGACTTGCTGTCGTGAGCTTGGTGCATGTCAAGTGTTCAAACACTTCCTATTTTTGCTCATCTACCCAAGGTGAAAGTGGAAAGTAGATATGAAAGAGTTGTCTGGCTGGTTTTAGTGGGGCTGTACTAGATCTGGATTTATGGAGGAAAATTAAAATGGAGCAGAGGAGAAAACTTCTTGACCATATTTTCATCATCCCAGACTAATGGCCATTGCAGCAATTTACTTAACAAACTAGGTGAATTATGTATTTGATGGCATAAACATGCATACACAGAATATTTTGCTGATTTTTGTGCCATTTTTATAAAACTTTTTCTCAAACTTGCAACATTATTTAAAAATTTTTGTATAGGTTTGTCAATATTTGGGTGATGTATGATCTATAAATCAATTATTTAATATGTAAACAACAGATAAGAAAAATCCTATCACTGTAGTTTGAAGATAGCAAACATTTTAATAAATACATTGAACATTTCAGTTTATTAGTCTTTATTAATATTTCCAAAGGAGAAGTTAAAATACCACTGCATAGTTTTCAGATTGTTTTACTTGGTGAACAGGCAAGAGAACAGAATAAGAGATTGAAAAGTGAAATAAGGATAGTTTATAGTTTGTTTAATTTATCACTGGTCCCATTTACATTTTGGGATCACATCTTGGATGTTTTGCAACTTCCAATTCATTCTAGCATTTTGGGATTCTTATGTTGACATAGTTAATTCTATATTGAAACCTAAGGACTTGTTATTTAATAAACTTGTAGAAATAATCATTTCCAGTTAAATGAACCACAAAGATTATGAAGTTAAAAACAAATCAGTTATCATTTGGTAGTTCTGTATAGTTTATTGTCAGTTAATGATCTTTATTAAATTTGCAGCTTTCTCAGTTTATTTGCATGTAGGTCATCATATGCTGAGATGAAATACCAAGTCATTTAAATTAGATACTGAGCATGCTCATATGAAGTACTTACTCTTGGAGACTGCGGTGTGGTTCAGTTTTCTTATAGTGGAAAGAGCAGAAAAGAGATCACGGTGTGCCCCTTTGTCATCGTTCTGTCAGGAAGCATGTAATTTGTCTTTAGAAACCAGAAGCCTGAGACAAAGAAAAGAACACAGATTTTTAGCAAAAGGCTATTTGGTGAGTTAATTGGCTGTTTTGTTCTATTTTGCTCTAATCGGTCAGTTATTCCTAGCTAGTCTATGTATTTACTTATATCTGCTGCTTTTTTGTACTGTGCTGAAGCTTTATGTAGCAAGCAACTTAGCCGAGATGGGGAGAAAATTGTTTCTGCAGTCTAAATCTTATTCTTCTGAAATATTTCCAGTACATTTCTGAGGTGACAAGTTCATAAATTGCTATGATGATACTTTCTCATGTTCTCCACAAATTTTCTTGCTGACTTGTTTTGAATAATGCTGGCGGAATTATGTGCCGAGATACTTCAGGATTTGTTTTTTTGGACAGTATAGCATTTTTGTTCTTACATCTTAATGAAATTACAATTTTTGCTTTCACATTTCTATATTGTATCTACCAAAGTAATAGGTAAGACCCAGTTTGCATAAGATCAAAAATTCTTTAAAGAAAATGATAGGGTATATTACAGTAATATGTACACATATTATTAAAAAGGTCGTTTAAAAATGAAAGTTTGCTGTGTAATACAGTTGATCATATAAACTATTCTAAAATAAAATGAAATTGACAACATTTTGTAAAATAAAAGGTGTTACAGTTATTCTGTATTCATATTTAGAATTCTATCTTTATTTACTGATTAGCTACAGAAGAGTTGCATGATAATAGTTTTGCCAGTTTAGGCTGTTACTTTCTCTGAGCTCATATTATGGTGATCAATAGGAAGATAATCTTATTTAAATGTTTTGTGATTTTTTTTTAAATCCAAAGTGTTCATGTTTTACCATGAAGTTAAAGGGCGATATTTTTATGCGTTTTCTCCATATTATGCTCTTATAATATTATGTAATATTTAAAATCTATACATTGTTATTTTCATGATGAACACAATTTTGATTATGTATTTATAATAGGTGAACTTGGCAACCAAATATTCAGAGTCTTCTCCTGGAGATTAAAATAGCATTACTCTGCTAGAGATAAACCATTATATGTTTTGATGATTTGAAGAAAAAGCATAAAATTACCATATTTATTTCCTTCGGGGAAAATCATGTTTGTTAGTACACATAAATGTCAGGTAGGGAATTTGAGGCTATAAGGTGCTTTAAAGAGGTCTAGAAAAATGATGTGGGGGGTGGGAACGATAGGAAGAGACTACTGAAAGCTTAGTACCTTCAAATGCCAGGCAATTATGTGAGGCTTTCCTGAAATATCTTTATTTTGTGAACTTCCCCCACTATGCCATTTTCCAGGATTGGCACATATGAAGGAGGTGGGTGTATACTTAAGTTTATATATTCATGAAAAGGGAGGGTTAGCGTTTAGAGATGAGGACTGGGTGACAGGACTCAAGAAATCTATTCCCACTTCTTTATACTGACTCACTTGTTTGACCTTGCACATGATGCATACCTTGTTTATTTCTACTTACTTTTAGTGTAATACTTTACCATGGCAATAAAGTGGTTCATTTATAGTTTCTAAAGCAATAAAATTATTTCACAGACTGTGACAAAGATTCATGAGGGGATAAGTCATTCGCTAATAGCCATTGTGGGAAGAAAACAAACAAGTATTGCTTTTCCGAATTCTATTAAATTTTTTTCAACTAAAATATTTCAAGTGTATAAAATCTATAAAGTCCTCTGTAGTCTTTGAAACTAATCTCAGAAATACATATTCTATGTGTATTATGTAATGGTGACAGATGTGGTTTTAACTTCTTTCTCATATTCACTGTAAACTTGATGATCACAAAATTTTCATGGCAAGATTGTATTATTATACTATTTTATACTATTTTCTCTTATTTTTTTAGTCCCAGATACCTCTAATCATAAGTCTTCATAGATCAATAGAAGAGAAATAATGAATAGAAGATCTATGAAAGAAAAGTGTGGAGAAATACTGGGAAAATGAAAGAAGAATACAGAAAGAAAAATTACCAATGGCAAGGGTGTCTTTGCCAGGTTTCTAGATATTAAGCATATACCTATCTATCTTATTGATTTCCAAATCATTACATTCATCTGCTCATTTAACTTAACATCTACCCATTAAGGAACACTTATTTCCTTAATTTTGATGAATCTCAGTAGTGCTTAAAGATCCTAAGTAGTGGTAGATGAAAATGGGTTTTGTGGTCAAGTACGTTTGGGGAATAATAGACCATAAAGGATTGTTCATAGCAGAACTTCTTGCCCTTTAATATCTTATTCAGAACCTTACCCTGGAACTTAATTTTTTCTGGCATATGGTTTACTTTTAAAAGGAAAAACTGTAATATATAATATTAAACATTTGGCAAGCATTTCAGTAATTGTAACTATGAATTTCTATATTAAAATATCTGGATAAGTGAAGGAAAAATTGTCAGTTTGCTTTTTATCTTCTATTTTGTAATCTTAGAATTACACGGTAATGAGAAGTAAAATGTATAATTAGTAGATAAGGTGATTGTAATAGTTATATAAGTTAAAATGGCATTTTTGAAAGCCACTAGGAGTGTAGTCAATGACTACTACATGAAATATTTATAATAAAATAGTAACCAAGTAAAGACTTTGATAATTCTCACAAGTTTCGACTCATTCTCTACTCTAGAGAACCTACTCTCATACTCTAAAGAACCTAGCATGGTGTTAGTCACAAAGTAGGCATTCAATAAATGTTTATCTAGGCCAGGTGTGGTGGCTCACACCTGTAATCCTAGCACTTTGGGAGGCCTAGATGGGTGGATCACCTGAGGTCAAGAGTTCGAGACCAGCCTGGCCAACATGGTGAAACCCTGTCTCTACTAAAAAATACAAAAATTAGCTGGCATGGTGGAAGGCGCCTATAATCCCAGCTACTCAGGAGGCTGAGGAGGAGAATCGCTTGAACCCAGGAGTCGGAGGTTGCAGTGAACCGATATCATGCCATTGCACCCCAGCCTGGGCAACAGAGCAAAAACTCTGTCTCAAAAAAAAAAAAAAGTTCATTTTTTCACTCGAATTTAAACCTTCTGCCTCTTCATTGAAACACATCATACTCATGGACGTAGAATACCTGTTGTCTGCTCCATTGGCCCAGCCACCTACTTTAGGGGACTTTTTCTTAAATTGTATTTTGAAAAATTGATAGTTGGATTTGGTTTCCAGCTAAGCTCTCATTTTTTGGCACTCCTGTGAAATTTGAAACCTAATTTAAATAGCAGTTTTCTTTGCTGTAACCTAATGACTAATACATGTTCTCAAATCATTGTTTATTCTAAAAAGAGAGGATACAAATATTAACAGATCTAGGGGCAAGACTTCCTATTCTTAGCTACTTAAGAGCCTGAGATGGGCTAGTTGCTTGATCCCAGGGTACTCTGCAGATCGAATGTTGGCCTCAAATATTTGACATCAATATGATTGTCCCTGAGAATGGAGATAGATTGAGTTTCCATTAAGATTAGTGTAAAATTGATATTTTGGTAGTTTAGTAGCCATATTTTTCTCAAAATAAAGTACTAGAAATTGAATATGCAATTCAGAGAGAAATAGTGAAAAATATGAGGGGACTTCAAAAATTCATGGAAAATGGATATTGTGATAAAACTATGCATGGATTTAATAAATTTTTTTACACCAAAATAAGCCTGTATGAATGTGTTATAGCAAGTCTGAACAGGACCTAGTTTGAGGCACTAAGAAGGATAAGACATCAGCTTGAAAAGAACTCCTATCAGAGCAACATGAATTCTGCTAAAATTGAAGGAAGAATAAACATCAAATTTATGGTAAAGCTTGGGTGGAAGGATGGTGAAATCATTGATGATTCACAAAAAGTTTATGGGGACAACACTCCAAAGAAATCAGCAGTTTACAAATGGATAACTCATTTTAGGAAGGGACAAGACAATGTTAGAGATGAAGCTTGCACCAACAGACTATCCACATCAGTTTTCAAGGAAAAAATAAATCTTGTTCATGCCCTAATTGAAGACTGACAGTTAACAGCAGAAATAGGAGGCACCACCATAGACCGCTTGATTGATTCAGTATACACAAATCTGACTGAAAAATTAGTTGAGCAAACTTTCCACTCAGTGAGTGCCAAAACTGTTGCACCCAGATTAGCTCCAGAGAAGAGCAGAGCTTCCAGTGGAAATTTTAAACAAGTGGGATCAAGATCCTGAAGCATTTCTTTGAAGAATTGTAGCAGAAGATGAAATATGGCTTTACCAGTATGGTCCTGAAAACAAAGTACAATCAAAGCAGTGGCTACCAAGAGGTGGAAGTGGTTTAGTCAAAGCAAAAGTGAACTGGCCAAGACCAAAGATCACAGCAACGATTTTGAAAGATGCTCAAGGCATTTTCCTTGTTGACTTTCTCAAGGGCCAAGGAACAATAACATCTGCTTATGAGAGTTTTGAGAAAGTTAGTCAAAGCTTTAGTAGAAATGTCTGGGAAGTCATCTTCACAGAGTTCCTCTCCACCACAACAATGCTCCTGCTCATTCCTCTCATCAAACAAAGGAATTTTGTGAGAGTTTCTGTGGGAAGTCATGGGGCATACATCTCATCATCCTGTTTTGGCTTCTTCTGACTTCTTGTTTCCTAATGTTAAAAAAATCTTTAACGGATGTCCATTTGTATTCAGTTAATAACGTGAAAAAGACTACATTGACATGGTTAAATTCTTAGGGCTCTCAGTTATTTAGGGATGGACTAAATGGCTGATATTCTCATTTACGAAAGTGTTTTAACCTTAATGGAGTTTTTGTTAAGGATTAGTTTATAATATTTATCTTTTCTTTCATTTTTCCACAGACGTTTTGAAGTCCCCTGATACATCTTAGTAAAATGTTACAAATATTCAGAGATTTTTATTTCTGACATTTTTAAAAGTATAAGTTCAAAATCTACTTTGTAAAGGTAACAAAGACTGTAAATCCAGAACAGAGGACCTGTGACTTATTAATACAAATGGAACTTTTCCCATTAGTTGTCATTTAACATGAATGATTTCCGGTGGAAGAGTTCTGGATTTTAGGAATTGGAATCTTCTCCCATTCTTCTTGATGTCTGGTGTACAGCTTGTCTGCTGTCTAGCACACATCTTTGGGTTATTTTCCATTCCAGATGAGCTATGATTTTTTATGCATAATTTTTTGGAGCTATACATTTTCCTTGAGAATAAATATCTGAAATTATAGTTTAAGTCAATAAGAAAGTATGATTTTTAAGTATATATCAGAAACATATTTTCCCTTTGAGGTCACATTGTCAGAGGCAGGAAAGGAAGAAGTGCAGCAGTTAATATCTAGCCAGCAAAATTTATCTGGGAGATGGATTACTAAGGTTAATAAGAAGTAGAAATTATAGAGCAAAGGATGTGAATGTTGGGAGACTTAATCAGTGTATATGTTTCCTGATTGGTCAGAGACATTGTCATTTTCACTGCCTTTTCTCCACTTTCTAAAGAGTTGATAAGGAAACAATTTTTTTTTTTATATTTGAAGAGTTGATCTATTTATAAATTTTAACAATGACATTCAATAGAGTTACTGCTGTAAATCTAGACATTAACATGAAACTTAGCCGTGTATTTTAAGGCTTAAGGAGGTATTGTCTAGGGTTTATGGAGGACTATTACATTATATTCTTTTTCTTGTTTTTAATACTTAAAAATTATGAAATAATTAATGTAAAAAATTACAGATATACCAAAGATATGAATAAGATAGAGAGTTGCCCCTACACTTTGTTCTTTGGTTTTATAACACATACCCTGCCCCCACCAAGTTGAATAATACTCCCCCACTTCAGAGTGTGTACTGATAATATTCTGATCCCAGAACCTGTGAAGGCTACTTTCTGTGGCAAATACTTAGCAGATGTGATTAAATTAAGGACTTTGAGATGAGGTTTTCCTTGATCTTGGTGGGGAGGGCGGTGGCGAATGCAGTCACAAGTGTCCTTAGAAGGGGAGGTGGGCAGAGGGAAATTTCAGAGAGCAGCGTGACTCCTGAGGCAGAGATGGAGTGATGGGACCACAAGCCAAGGCATGCAGAAGCTGGAAGAGGCGACCATGAACTTATTCTCCTTTACGGCCTATGGAATCCCTCTCAACACCTTAATATCTGCCCATTAAAACTGATTTTGGCATGAATTCTGGCCTCTAGAGCTGAAAGAAAATAAATTTCTATTTTAAGTCAATAGAAGATATCAAATGACCTAGTCACAAAAAAAATTTATTTTAAAGATCTTAATTGGCTTTTATTTGCAATTCTAGAATCAGATGAGACCTCATCCTATAAAACAGAATGAGTGTTGTGATGAGCTGAGCAGAGGAGGTTGGTTTTATTGACAGAAAAGGGCTGAAGAAAGCCGAAACAGAGAACAAAAAGCAGTTTGGTTGTTTTAAAGTTACTTACCTTTTTTAAAGTTTAAAGCAGGAGGTACTGCCTTATCATGCCAGCTAAAATTGGCCTGCTTGGGGATTTGGCTGTTATCTCCATTCCTCTCCCGATTTCTTGGAAGGTCAGATAAACAACTTGGTTTTGGCTTGGTGGTGTGAACTTCAGCATGAGTAACTCCATTTTGGTTTGGTCTGTTGAGCCTAGTGCAGGAGCTCAGTCCAAACCAATGAACTTCTATAAATTTTATTTAACGGAGGCTTGTATTAGTTTCCAATGACTACTGTAACAAATTACCACAACATTGGTGACTTTGGTAATTCAGTCACATCTGCTAAGTCTTTGTCACAGTTGGGATCACGTGGAATAATCGCTTGAACCCAGGAGGTGAAGGTTGCAGTGAGCTGAGGCGACGGCCACTGCCCTCCAGCCTGGGAGACAGAGCGAGATTCCATCTTAAATTTAAACATGGGGCAGCTATCAACCAAAGTCAAAAGAGAAACAAAAATATAAGGCATCTGTTAAAACATTACTTTCAAGTAAATGTAAGCAGGTTTTGAAAAATTAATTGGCTGCGTGTGGTGGCCCACGCCTGTAATCCCAACACTCAGAGGCCGAGGCGGGCTGATCACCTGAGGCCAGGAGTTCAAGACCAGTCTGGCCAACATGGTGATATCTCATCTCTGCTTAAAATACAAAAATTAGCCAGGCATGGTGGCGGGTGCCTGTAATCCCAGCTACTCCGGAGGCGGAGACACAAGAATTGCTTGAACCCAGGAGGCAGACAGGGCAAAACCCTGTCTCGAATAAAAGAAAAAAAGAAAAAGAAAAATTAATCCATGCTCATTAGTTTAGCTTTAATCTTAAATATTTATAACTTTTGAAATGTTGCATGACCAGTATGTTCATAAATTCATCAAACATATCCTCACAGCATCTACAGGGAAGATATCATTCCCATTTCAGAAAGAGGAAAACATGATGAGAGTGGGTTTTTTTTTGTTGTTTTTTTTTTTTTTTTAATTTCAGGCTCCCGGAGACTGTAAGTGGCAGAGTTAGAATTTAAGCCCAGATCTATGTAACTCCAAAATTCTTAATCTCTAAACTGAAGAATTGTTTTCAGTCTTGTTCCAGTACCTATACTAGATTTCCAAGAATTCAGACAACTCCTAATCTACCACATAGGGGAAATAGGGTCTATAAGAATATCATTTATGTCAGATAGTGAAACAAACATGAGATTATTTACACATTCCAGACCCAGGTGACCTAAATCTTCAAAGAAGGTGACTGATCCCTTTGGAGCAGGTGCTGCGTACAGTGAGAGAGAAGTATGTGTATTGTGTGCAGCGGCATGGATGGGGAACGATTTCTTCTGCCCAAGGATATGAGGGTGTGGGTGGCTTCTCAGAGCAGATTATGTCTGTGTTGGGTTTTGAAGGATGAATAGGCATTTGCTAAGCATGGTTTCTTTGAAAAAAAAAAATTGCTAAGCAGAAAAGCAGGGATGTGTGGCACTCTAGACAAGAGTGAACAGCAAGACCAAAAGATTATAGATGTCTTCAAGGAACAGGTCCTTCAGTGCTGCTAGAGTATTCAATGTGAGGTGCTTGGGGGCAGGGAGCACAGGCAGATGAGGAAGGCAGATCTGAAAAGCCTTGTATGCCATGCTAAGGAGCATAGACAATCCTGCAGGCTTTGGTGAGGGTCATTTTTAAGGGTTTCAGTAGGGGAGCAGAACAGGACAAATTGCATATTAGAGAAACTTGCAGCAGTGTGGAGGACAAATTGAAGGAGGAGGAGATAGGGCATAGATTCCTTAATGTTTGAAATAGTACAGTTGAAAATGGGACAAGGATTTTAAACTGTGGCAGTGGAAATAGAGATAGATCAATACAACGTAAGTTAAGGAGATGGAATGTTAGGTTTGATGAACTGGGATGGCAGGTAGCGAATGTGAGAGGGAGAACTGTTCTCTCTGGCATTTGAATTGTGTTTGAGATGAGACATTTTCAGGGGAAAAACAGGTTTAACTGGGAATGAAGATTGGACCTTTTAAGTTTGAAATGTAGATAGGATATTCTTTTTGTTGAGAAGCAAAAATTGGATATAGGGCTGTACACAACAAAATAATAATAATTATGATAATACTAATATTATCAGAGCAATAGATTTAGAATGTAAAGGTTTAGTTAAAACATCAATATTGTTATTGAATGATAAGGTTAATAAGGAATGGATTGAACCACTTAAGGATGGAGTGTGTAAAATGAAGTAGGTTTGGAGGTAGAACCATAAAAGAAACAAATGTCTAGCTGCTGTGTAAAGGAATGCTAATTCAGCAGAGCAGACCTAGCAGAAGTGATTAGCATAAAAGAACCAGAGGACTGAGATTAGGAAAACCAGGAGAGGGGAGTGTTAACTGTCTCAGGTGCTACACATCAGTCCTTTGAGATGCGGACCAAGAAGCACCTTTTGACTTTGTCAGTTAAAGAGACATCAGTGACCTTTGCTGAGGCAATAGGGAGAATAGAATTAAGATTACAGTTAATGGAGGAGGGAAAGAGGTGGGAGGGAGGAAGTGAGAAGTACAAATAGCCTTTTTGACTGAGAAGGAAAAGAGAAATTCAACAACATCAAAGAATGGGAGTGACTAAAGTGTGTTTTTCAGCTGGTACATAGGAGCCAGTAGAGAGAAAAGGTTGAAGATGGAGGGAAGAGAAGAACCAGTTGTTAGGACAAGGTGCCAGGGATGTTGGGAAGAAAACAGATCCAGCGACATATGATGGAGGGTGGACTTAACTACCCTAAGATTTGAGGGCAACAAATATTTGCTTGGGGCATGGGAGTGATTAGGATGGTGGCTTAAGGAGAGTGACAAAAATTTTAGAATAGCTGCTAAAGGGAGAATGAAAGCAAATGAAAGAGTTGTCTGCCAGATGGTGTTAAGAGCCCATCTGAAAGTGAAAACCATGAATTGTTCATCACATCATTCAATCTGCATGGGTAGATGCTGCCTTTCATTTGAAAGCAGCATATTTCTTTCCTTAAAAAAAAAAAAAATTGGCTGGGTGCGGTGGCTCATGCCTGTAATCCCAGCACTTTGGGAGGCCGAGGTGGGCGGATCACCTGAGGTCAGGAGTTCGAGGCCATCCTGGCCAACATGGTGAAACCCCGTTTCTACTAAAAATAAAAAATTAGCTGGGTGTGGTGGCGCATGCCTGTAATCCCAGCTACTCCAGAGGCTGAGGCAGGAGAATCACTTGAACCTGAGAGGCAGAGGTTGCAGTGAGCTGAGATGGTGCCACTGCACTCCATCCTGGAAGACAGAGTGAGATTCCGTCTCAAAAAAAAAAAATTGCTCTAAAATGTATCTGCTTACTAAAAACTATTTCTTCTTTTGCACTACTTGGAACTTCCTTGTCAGTTTAAGCTGGTTTAGGTTAGCCAGCTAGCCAAAAGTTTTTTTTTAAATGTAAAATATAAAAATATGTTATGAGTTATAAATAATATGGAAGCTATAATAGAATCCAGACGCTGAGTAACTATTTATTGAGTGTTTAGTGCTTTCTAGCATGCAGAAATGGCCAGGGAAATATGTCCTCTGACATGTTAACAGCTAACATTTTATCCTCATGTGTGTGGAGGTAAGGGGCGTTGCATATAGTAGTTTGGATAACAGCATCCCCTGTCACTTCAAGTTATACTTTTTAAAAATTGTAAAGCATTCTTATATTTGAAATCATATAATCATATTCTTCTGAGAACATTTCATAAAATAAGCCATATAAAGAGCCCTGTTCTACTCTGAGACCCCTTTAAAAATTTTAGCAGTTTTAAATTTAGTCTCAAGTAATTCAGCAAGTTTAAAAAAATTGTTCTAGCCAACAAGAGCTATAATAGGCACTTAATAATTGCCAACATGGTAAATATAATATCAATAGCTTGAAGAAGCACTGACTTTTGGCTTTCTGACTAAATTTGTGTCTCCAAAGGTAAAATGGTAATTTAACAACAAGTCAGCCCCCAACTTACAAATAAGATGTGTTAGAAAAGGTTGTATAATATTGAGTTGGGTATGAATTACATTTATTTTTATTGTTTTTTTCTAGAAAACTTAAAAGATAAGTGTAAGCAATAAAATATAGATAAGTTTAGAAGTAAAGAAAATCACAAAATACCGACTTGCTAAACATAGAAGTCAATAACATTGCTGTAATTGAACTTCAGTTTTAGCTCCGTTTCCCATTGTAAAAGGGAAATATAAGTTACCATGCTGTCAGAAAGAAGAGGCATTTTGGTTTATCCGGAGAGACAGTTTTTCCTTGAATAGAATTTCTCATGTGGGTTTTTATTTAGGAACACTGGGTGGTATAATAGACAATTTGCTGTACAAAATTTTTGCAGCTAAATAGGCAGGCTTCCTTTGGTTTTTTATTACAGCTGTCTTTGGAAAAAATCTAAGAGAGTAACATTGAACTCATCTTAATATAGGTGATTCTTAGAGGTCCTAAACTAATGTGATCCTTCTAGTGGTTAAATGTTCTGTTGGCCGGGCACAGTGGCTCATGCCTGTAATCCCAGCACTTTAGGAGGCCAAGGTGGGCAGATCATTTGAGGTCAGGAGTTCGAGACCAGCCTGGCCAACATGCCGAAACCCCATCTCTACTAAAAATACAAAAATTAGCCAGGCGTGGTAGCAGGCACTTGTAGTCCCATCTACTTTGGAGGCTGAGGCAAGAGAATTGCTTGAACCTGGGAGGTGGAGGTTGCAGTGAGCCCAGATCACACCACTGCACTCCAGCCTGGGTGACAGAGCGAGAATCCATCTCAAAAAAAAAAAAAAAAGTTCTGTTAAGGGCAGAGCCTAGACTACCTAAGGGATTCACTGCCTGGATGGCTGTGGGCTAAGAACCGTTATTAGGACAGGGAGAAAATGAAGGTGAGACATAGGTTTTTCCTATCATGTTTTCTTGTAAATGTGATTACTATCTTCCAGATCTACTACTGATTGTCTGCCTGCTACTGTTACCTCTTAATATGTTAAATATAACCTGGGATGCTTCTAATCCTTCTTTCCTTGACTCTCTCTCCAGAAAAAGTCCTCCATGACTTCTTTTCTCAATACTGTAATTACTGATGTAGTTATTTTGATTGTGTTTTATAGTCATAGCAGTGAGACTGCCTTACAACAATATTGTCTAAATTAAGTAAATGCAATAGCCAATATTAGACTGGTTTTGACCTTCAGAATGGCAACGCCAAGGATTCATCCCCATGTTGTAATTATGATTTTTAAACGTATTATAATCAAAAACACAGTATTAAAAGGGATACATGGGGTTTTTCAGTCATGCAACAAATATTTTACTCTGTGCTCCATAAACACCTACTATGTGTTAAGCATTATTCTCTATGCCAGGGAGATGATTGATATGATAGTAAACAAGAGAATTACACGTGTGGAATGCAGTTTACTCCCAGAAAGGGAAAGATTGAATAAAGCAGTAGGTTACCCAGAATTGCAGAAATATTTAGGCACCAAGGAGTAATGGAAAGGCTAAATATGTACAGGATGATATATGTGATAGGAGCTTGGCATACGGCCTGAGCACATAAATGCTTAATAAATTTTAATTGTGCCAGTTGCTTTTGTTGCTGTCACTATGCCAATTGTGGGATAAGGTAGGGATGCAAATCAGAATAAAAATGTTCAACAGGTATGAATAAAAATACAGCCCATGAAGGAAGTTGGAAAATTAGTCCAAGTAGGAAAATTCTCCCTGGGTCAGAGCTAAGGAGAATTCAGTGCTGCGGAAGCCAAGAATGTAAAGATTTCCAGTCGTCAAAAGCTGCGTAGACATCAACAGTATGAGAAAGAAACAGAGATCATTAATGTGGCAATGATGAGAATATTGATTGACCTTTAAGAAAGCAGTTTCAGTAGCATGATTGGTGTGGACTCTCTGGAGGAGTTTGGCAGAAGGAGAAAGATGAAAGAGCTGAGGGAAGAAGTGTGCTTTTTAAATTTGAGGACTTAACAATATTTACAAGCTTTCAGAATAGTTAAATGGATTACATTAAGTTATCTATTGCTGCATAAGAAATCATCCCAAAATACAGTGTTTAAAACAACAATAAATGTTTCTGTGGGTCAGGAAATTGCTACAGTTTAGCTGGATGACTGCCTCAAGATTGTTGGATACCATCTTGGGGGCTGGCTACCACAGGTGGTTGAGAGAAGACGTCAGATGATTTAAGTTATTTCAGTAAATTAGAAAGTAAGATTATCTGCTGGGACTTGTTCGAAGCTTAAGAATAGTTGAAAAATCAGTAGCTTCTCTGTGGCTGGGGGACATTAATCAGAGAGGGATAGGATTGTCAAATAGCATTGTTTTAGATACATCCGAGACATTGCTCCACAGAGAGTTATAACAGGTTACCAGTAATGTTTGCACAAAATGTTTTCTCCTCCAGTGTTACATGAGAAAACGGAGTTATTTTTGCCTAACTTCTAGCTCTTAACCTTCCCTGTAATTTAAAAAAGTCAAAGATGCCAGTGATTTTTTAAAAAGTGATGCCATATATTTAATGTAATTGGCAAGAATAGAGGATAAAGATTGGAATGCTAAACTCTTGAATAGATAACATTTTATTCTCATTTATGAAAGAAACCTAAATTTCATTAGATACAACAAGAATAAGAGATAAGAACATATTAGTCTGTATTTATAAATTCATGATCTTTGTAGCAATATCCAAAAATCCTGTAGAATAAAAATGTTTCTCCATAAAATATTTTCTCTGTAAAAAACATGTCTAAAGTTGTATGATTGATTTTTCTCCAGTAAAAAGGAATGGAGGAGTATTTCAATAATTTGTATATCTGAAACAGTTGATAGAAAGGTTGCCTGGATAGCTTTGAATTATCTAATTATATGTATATATTGTGTTTACTTATTTTTGTATATCAGCAGATTATCCTGGGCAATGGGATCACTGTTCTGTTACATTTTCCTCTATATGTTATTACATTTTTAAAAAAGAAAAAAGGCCACAAATAATTATTATTATTATTTTTTTTTTTACTTTTTAATTTTCTTTTTTTTTTTAATTTTTTTTTTTATTATACTCTAAGTTTTAGGGTACATGTGCACATTGTGCAGGTTACAAATAATTATTATTTATTGAAAAAGAAACTACAGTTGACCCTTGAACAACACAGATTTGAACTGCGCTGGTCCACTTATATGTGGATTTTTTTTCTAACCAAAAGAGGATTGAAAATACAGTATTCTCAGGATGCAAAATCTGCATATACTAAGGGCTGACTTTTCACATACATGGGCTCTGCAAGGACTTGCATATGCACTGATTTGGGTTTACACGGGGGTGATGATTTGGATATAGGCAGGTGGTCCTGAAACCGAATTCCCGAGCATGCTGAGGGATGACTGTATATGTGAATAAGACTTAAATTATATTTCCAAACTTGGGATGGAATCAAACATTTTAGTAACAATTCTGTTGATTACACTTCTATTTTTAATCTTGTAGGACTGTATTTATTTTTTATTTTTGTGTTTGAATATATGTGTGTGTATGTGTGTTGTTTTGGGAAACAATTATAAAAGATTTGTGAATTATTTGGATGTATGCTATTCCAAATACTCCTGTTTCCCTTCTTTTTTTTTTTTTTAAGTTCTTCCCTTGAATTGGCAATCATAATTTACAGAGATTTGTTACTATACATTGAATACTTATAGGTTACCTGTTATTATTTTAAAAGCATGCTAATATAACATTTTACATATGCCTTTATTTTTAAAATATGGTTAAATTGCTTTTAATCTTAGGCTTTAATTGATTTTTTTCCCATGGATTTTTCAGAGGGGAAGGTTATTCTCTGTACCTAATGTATAGGCTCAATTTCTGGTGTCATTCAGAGAAAAATAACTGATACAAGATCTTTATATAATTGGTTTTGGTGTGGGTATGGATGGGGGAGTCATTTAAAAAGTAGGAACAATAGAAGTACCTTTCTGGTTTTGTCAAGCATACCATAAAACAACAGTTAATACTTTCAAAACAATTTTCTTCTTTCTAAAAAACAATTTCACACAAAAGATGAGTTGATAGAAGAATTGTAGATAGATGTGTGGTAAACAAATACAATGTTATGTAATTACAAAACCTAAATGATGAGTATAGATGTTAACCATACAATTAATTCAACTTTTAACTAGAAACTTTTCATAATAAAATGCTGGAAACTGCTCCCATCCCCACCCCACCCCACCCCCAAAAAAAGAAAAAGAAACAATTTCACACAGAGAAAGTCCAAGAAACTCTCCAATTGCTTTTTTCTCTTTTCTTTTTTTTTTTAAGCTTTGAGTAAATGCTTTCATCAATCATATGTGTTCATGGAATGCAGTTGTAATTTCTACATAAAATGAAGTTAATTGTCTTTAAATAGTTGTTAGCCACATTTCCAGATGAAATGCCCAATACTTCCTGAGAAAAGTTATCAGTTAACTGACGTCATCTAGCTTGCAGTCTGCGTCATTAAGTTTGACAGAGGTATGAAAATGAAACATAGATGTATGCTAGAGCCCCGGTTGTGGACAAGCTATGTCATTCATGACTCATTTTAAACAATACAACTTTAGATGTTTTATAAAGCCAAATTGTAGTTAGAATTTATAGTTAGCATGTTAAAAGCTATGGTGTGCACTATTTCTATGAATGTACATTAATATCTTTAATCCCTTCTCCATAAGAGATTGTGACCTTTGGGTTGATTCCATTTTTTGTGCTGCTTTTAAAAAGAAAACTGAAAAGTTGAGTCGTTTATTATTGGTTCCTGTGTGAAATGCAGACCTAGACAAATTGTTGAAATTTATTTGTAATCTATTGTCTAGCAAATTATGTGAATTTTAACAGAAAGCGTAATTCCTTCATTAAAAATATCTGAACTCAATAAGAAAACAGACAACCCAATTAAAATATGAGCAAATGATTTGAACAGACACTTTGTCAAAGAAAACACACAGATGGCAAATGAACATGCAAAAAAAATGCTTAACACGTTTGTCTGTAGGGAATTGCAAATTAAATAACAGTGAGATACTACTACACACCCATTAAAATGGCTAAAATTCAAAAAACTGGCCATACCAACTGCTGGCAAGATTGTGAATCAACAGGAGCTCTTATTCATTGTGGTTGGAATGCAAAATTGGAAGACATTTTGGCAGTCTCTTACTGAAGTTAAACATAGTCTTACCATATGATTCTGCAGTCATGCTCCTAGGTATTTCCCCAAATCAGTTGAAAACATGTCCACACAAAAACCAGCACTTGAATGTCTATAGCAGCTTTATTCATAGTTGCCAAAACTGGAAGCAACCAAGATGTTTTTCAGTGGGTGAATGAATAAATAAACTGTGGTATATCCAAATAATGGAATATTATTCAGCAGTAAGAAGAAATGGGCTGTCAAGCTACAAAAATGACATAAATGGGTCTTAAATGCATATTGCTAAGTGAAAGAAGGCAATGTAAAAAGTCTACTTACTGTATTATTCCCATACACGTTCTGGAAATGGCAAAACTATAGAGTGGAAAGACCAGGGGTTTAGGGGGTGAGAGGAAGGGTTGAATAGGTGAAGCGCAGGAGAGTTTATGGTGGTGAAACTATTCCGTATGACACTGTAATTATGTTCATGCGACACTGTCTGTCAAAACCCATTGAAGTTTACAACACAAAAAGTAAAACCCGACCGTATGCAAAAAATCCTTGGGGATGTCAAAGGAGATCCCAAGGTAGAATGCAGACTATGACAAAGGAGCCTATTACAAATGTATGACACAACCTCACTGAACGGCATGGGGCAAAAAAGGTGCTCACCTAATTAACTTTGGAAGTGTATGGAGTCTGTAAGACGAAAGACAAACAAAACTACATACTTTATTTCAGTAAGGTCATCAAAAACAAGAAAGTCTGGGGAACTATCATAGCCAAGAGAAGCCTAAGGAGACATGATGACTAAATGTAATGTGATATCCTACAACAGAAAAAGCACTGGGTGAAACCTAAGGGAATCTGAAGAAACAATTGACTTTAGTTAATTTTTAAAAATATTGCCAGGCATGGTGACATGTGCCTGTAGTCCCAGCTACTCAGGAGGCTGAGGTTAGAAGGATTGCTTGAGCCTAGGAATTTGAGACCAGCCTGACAGCCTGAGCAACATAACGAGACCCCCGTCTCTAAAATATATATGTGTGTGTATGTATATATATGTATATTTATGAATATGTATATTTGTATACATACTTATATATATTTATACACACGCACCCACAGTCCAGCTTTCTTTGAGATTATCAAAGAAAGATCCTCAAACAAAGCTACATTTTTTTAATCCTTTGGAGTTACAGATGGGTTGGATTTAGGAATATTTATGTTCATTTCCTAGTGTCTGTAATTTCTGTTTTATGCTTCAAATAATTTTGTGCTTTGTAAAAATCTTGGTACAGTTTCCCTTTGCAAATGTAAGCAGAGCCTAATTTAATGATTTGTTCGTTCTCAGCTTTGGGAATTACAGAGTGCACTCACACATGCGGACGCCTCACACTCACCATCCCTTTTTGCAATGTATACTCAATGATTATTGATTGAAATAGCAACTTAGTCATAACCAGCCTCTTCCTATGAAGATTTTGAAATGGCCTATAATAAAAAGGCAATCAATTAATAATATATAAATAAGAGGAAGTGGAAAGTCAGTACCGGAGAAAATATGTGTTTGAGTCAGACCCACAGGGATGTGTAAATGATTTTTGAAATGTCAGCACATCAGGTTTTCTTTTAGCTACTCTTTAATTCTGGAATGACAAGCTCAAATGCCTTTGAGAGCTGGGCAGATGCTGTAAATATGTGCAGTTGGTGAAGTGTAATATAGTAGGAGGTGGTGGAGTCTCTGCTTACCCTGCCAAAGACATTCACTCGATTGAACACCACACTTCGGGGGGTAGCTGCCAGTTTGCTTTAATTTTGGCCTAAATTTTTGCAGTGAATCAGCTCATATAATCCAAGGGATATTATTAAGTAAGCATTTGATTGTTTTATGGAGAAGGAAGAAACAATAGATGTGAGTGAAATTTTGTCTTTTTTTTTTTTTTTTTTTCATTGTTGTGTGACATCAAACCTGATACCCTCCAGATAGCTTTGCAGTTAGGCAGGCCTAGCCTAATTTTGATCCCTGTATCCAAAATGTTGCTGAGTGCCTCCCGCTACAACCCGTGGCTCCTAAGTGGAAATGTGTGCTCTGCTGTTGTCTCTAGGGTTGCCAAGACATTAACACACTCTCTACCTCTGTTATTCAAGCATACATGGGTAATGAAAACAATATCATAATTGCCACCTGGTGGACAGTGATCATAAAATCCATCAGATATGAAAGAAGCCTCTTAATTTCAGCTGTTTCTTAATTTCAGCTGTTAAAATGTTTTTGTTTTTTTAAAAAGTATTAGAGTAAAATAAGTAGGGTACTCTAGGAATGTTTATATAGTTGTTTTCGTTGTGAGATCATATACCAATACTTTAGAACACCAGTAACTTATCTGGGAAATCTGGGACTTTCAATCCACAGCCATACTTGTTTGTTTTGTTATATTTAAATTACTCACTTTTTCTTTGTACAGGTTTAATTTGGTTTTTCCCAAAGCATGGTATACATATCACCGATAGTATATAAAATGATTTTTAGGTATGTTGTGAGCTGAGATAAACAAATTTGGGCATTTGTAATAGGTATAAAAATGGTCATTTAAACTGTTCCTATAAGAATAGAGTCCCTCTCTGTTCTTTTTAGGCATTCCAGCAAGTATCTTACATCAGAGATTAACTCAAAACATAATATTCTGGCAGAGGGATCAGCTCAGTTAATGGGGTCAAGCAGCAGAATCCTTCACTGTGAGGGAGGAAGAGCCAAGTAAAATTCTTTGCTGGACCGCTACTCCAAAGTTGTTTGGCTTCCAGGATAGCCAGGGATCTTGTTTCTTATTTATGTAAAGACTAGAGAACCAGCCACATACTTTGAATATCACTCATCTCACTGTGAAAAAATATTTCCAACATCCCTTATGCTAATTAATGAACCTTCTGATACAGAATTAGTTAGTGATACTTGTAGTGCCTGTGTGATTGTTGTCTAGGTTTCCTTGAATGTGAATCATTAATAGGATATTTAATAGATTAACTGTCTTCCTCCACTGTTTATACTAAAGTGTTTTAAAGTTAATTACAGTGTAACAAGGTAGTATGTGGATGAAATTTTCTCATTTTAATATTGTGTGTTAGAAAACTATAGCTATTTTTTGAATAAAAATCTGCAATTTTGCGGATACTGCTTAGGATGAGACTAGGTTGCTTTTTTAATAAAGTAACTCTCAAGTATGGTTAATAGTACATGTGGCACTCAAGTTCAATGAGATCCAGGAATGATGAAGTTTGGAAGTCTGGTTTAATTGAATGACTTTTGTTTTTGTTTTTGTTTTTTTCCTGGGCAGAATTCTACCATTAACTTCTTTTCCCACTCACTTGCCCATTATCAGTGGGTTTTGCTCTTACATGGTATAAACCAGTTTTCTGCATTTCATAGTAAAACATTATCCCAAGGAACACCTACCTTCTTTACAACCAAATAGGGCCATATGAAAAATTTTTTTAAAAATTGTTGCATAAAATAAGTTTAAATGGCCTTCAGTTTTGGAGAGTTTAATGAAATATTTCTAAATAAATATGACTAAGTTACAGAATTTTAGACAATTTGCTTCAGTGACTATCTCTGCTTAAAGCATTTTCAATGACCATCATTCAGTGTTCTAATGAAATAAAAATTACATTTCATTACATAATGATAGTGATATTTCAAAAGTATATGGCTTTAAATATATAGATACAGTATACACGTTCTAAAAGCAATGTTTTTGACATTTACTTGGAAAAAATTAGTGTTTTAGCCAGGCATGATGGTGTGCACCTTTAGTCTCAGCTGACAGGAGGCTGGAGTGGGAGGATTACTTGAGGCCAGGAGGTCAAGGCTATAGTGTGCTATTGTGACTGTGAATCCAGCCTGGGCAACATAGCAAGACCTCATCGCCATAAAAAGGGGAGAAAAGAATCTGTTAAAATTGGGGTTATCTCTTCTGTTAGCCACAACGGGATGGCAGTTTTAAGACAATGAAGGACAGATACCAGTGGAAAGGGTTTTTGCAATCCCTTGATTCCATACAGTAGGAAGTGCCCATCAGTACTTGTCCTTTTACAGCTACTTTCAGTCCGCTTTCCCAAAGGTGAGAGTCTCAATATTTCACGGCCACAAAACTGCTCCTTTTTACTCCATCTTTGGGGAGAGATGATAAACCATTGCCTACTGCGTGTGTCAGAGCATGTAGTCCTTTTCATAACGTTCCTCAGAGCAGAAATTGTGGACCAGTGCAGAATTTGCTTACTACATCTAAAACATCTGAGGGTAGGATTTTAATTTTCTGTCTCTTTTTTAATTGAAAATTTGCAAACAAGTAAAATTCTAGAAAATATGGGGTTTTAGTTTTAGCATTTGTGGAGTTTTAGTACAGAATTTGCAGTTCTTGCTTATTATTTTCCCTCGTTACATTATGCTGTATGGTCTGCCTTCTAGAGAGGACCACTCTGATCCTTGTAGAAGAACAAGACAGTAGGAAACAATCTGTTAAACCCATTTTTCTCATGAGAAGCAACAAAAGCATTATAAGGTGATGTTAGAGGGTCCCAAACTACCAAAAAGTTTCCTCAAGGATCTTCATAACTGTAAATTATTAGGATCTCCTTCATTTGTGGTTTAGATCAGAATGCTTTTTAACCTGTTTGTCTTCTGAACAAGTTGGATGTGCAGTTTGGCAATTCCATTTGCAGTGTGGGGATTAATCTGAATGTAGACTCACATTTTAAGTCTTCTTAGAGGGCTGGAAGTAATGAAGATCATCCCAGGATATATTCAGTTGGGAAAAAATTGTAGAAAATTGTGCGATTAAAGCAAGTCAAAATCCTACTAACTAGAACTGATTAAATTCCAATGCACATCTTCCTTCAGATCTTTACATATTTCATATTAATGCTACGTTAGTTATTTTTCAATTGTGGTAAAATTCATATCGTGTAAAAGTAACCGTTTTAAAATGTACAGTACATTGGTATTTAATACATTCATTCACAATGGAATGCAACCATCACCTCTATCCAGTTCCAAAGATTAATCTGCTTTCTGTCTCTATGGATTTACTATTTGGGGCATTTCTTATAAATGAAATTCTACAATATGTGATCTTTTGTGTCTAGCTTTTTTCACTTAGCATAATGGTTTTGTGATTCATGTTGTAGCATGTATCAGTACATCATTCCTTTTTATGGCTGAATAATATTCCATCATTTGTAAATGCTACGTTTTGTTTTTCCATTCATTTGTTGATTGGACATGTGGGTTCTTTCCACCTTTTGGCTATTATGAATAGTATTGCTGTGAACATGTATGTACAAGTATTTGTTTGAATACCTGTTTTTAATTATTTGGGTATATATACCTGGGAGTTGAATTGCTAGGTCATATGGCAATTTTGTGTCCAACTTTTTGAGCTAAACTGTTTTCCATAGCACCTGCACCATTTACATTCCTGTCAACACTAAATATTTATGCTGAGATCCTGAACTGACTCTTGGACTTCCAAATTAAATTGTGAACAATCTGGAATTTTTTGTTATAGTTAGGTAACACTAGCATATATTGTTATGAAATTTTTCAAAGAAAAGCTGTGAAACTGGTCCATTTTTAAAGTTTGTGTTTGGATAGTCGTAATTTTTTATGTCTGATCTTCAGTCATCTGAACATACTTTTTAAGAACAGTGTTTAAGAACTGAATGTGCTCTGTTATTTAAATTATTATGCCTTATTCCTTTCTTGTTTTGTCTTTTATATCTAATATGTAGGTAACATTTTTGAAATATTTAGCCAATTTAGGAATCAAAGAGTTATACAGATTATTTAGAATTGGAGAATCTTTCTGGATAGCAATTTTTAAGTTTTTTTTTACTTGATTGACAGTAATTTTACTGTATAAGGAAGTCGGTTATATCCTTCCAGTTCCCAGTTCCATACCTCTTTTGTGATGTTTTCTATTATGCAGAACTTAAAGTTTTGGCAGCTTAATCTTTTGTTGCTCATTGTTAATGTTTTCAGTTTCTTAATACACAGAACTGGCTTTTTCATTTTAAATTACATTTCCATTGATTAAATGTACTTTTTTGGGGGTCACAGAATGTGATAGACCATTCTTGGTGCCTACCAAATTGCTATCCACTCTTCCTTCCAACTTTCTTCCTATTGGAAAGAATCCCAATTTTGTTCTAGTGATTTCTTTTTTTTTTTTTTTTTCCCTCATGTCCTCTGGGAAGGTAAGCTTCCTCAGCCCCAGGGGCTAAATAATAGTTATTCTTGTAGAGTTAATCCTGTTCCCCATGCCAGTAATTGGTTTAAGCTGAAGAGCTTCTGTGAGTAGTTTAAACACAGAGTAGTTTATTCTTTCAAGTAAAGCAGTCCCAGAGATAAGTATTCCAGGGTTGGAATCAGAGTTCCTTCCATTTTCCTGCTTTACTGTCCTAGAATGTGAGTGATTTTCTCAAGATTAATTCATGCTCTGAAATGGCTCTCATTATGTCCAGAAGGTATAAAAATCAGAAGGGCAAATGAATTAATTTCCTAAGGTCCCCCACCTCATTGGCTGTGCCTAATTAACATGCCTGTACCTAGTTGCAAGGGAAGCCAGGAAATGTAGTACTTTTGCAGGGTGCATTCCTTCCCTGAATAAAGTTGAGCAAGAAAAAAAGAATGGGCAGTGGATAGCAATGACCGATCTCTGCCACAGCAGCAGTTGTTGAAGGTTAACCAGGTTTAGAGTTCAGTAGCAGCTGTTTTGCAAAAACCTTTATAAGAGAACGTTTCATTCAAAATCTAAACAGTAATATAAGCTAAGTCAAACTTGTTTTGTGATGTGAACTTAAGTTCATATCACATCTCATTTTCTTTCATATTCATTTCTGTAGTCATTCACTGCATCACCTCTGGACAATGGGAGCCCGCTAAGATCCCAGCTTAGTGCTTTTAATTGTTGTGGTGGGTCCTTAGTATAAGCCCTGCATCACAGTAAGTGAAACTACTTCATGGGAAAATCAGCTTTCTCAAGGGCATTTGTGATAAATCCAAATCCTTGCCAATCCTCCATGTGACTTATGGTCCTCTGCTGATAAATCTCCTTTGATTATAACCCTTGTCTCTTTAGTAGCTGTTTGTGGCCTACTATGTTACACCAGGTCCCTTTGTCTAATACTCACAACCTTTCAGTCCTGCTCTTCATATACCTTACTAAGCCATTGCATTATACAACTAAGCCAAACTAACCATTTCATTTTTACCCCAATATATTTGCATCATGACTTCCTGTTTTCTACTCTCCAGATCCTACCTATCCTTTATAGGATTCAAACTCAAAGCCTATTTATATTTTTCTCTGTTTTTTTCTGATCTACATGTCTTTTAGAACAATAGCTATTGCAAAATGAGCTCTAATTATATGTCAGACACTATTGTTGTAAGTCTTGTAATGTTTTCATTTGTTTCATCGTAACAATTATATGAGGAAGATGTTATTAGACCCATTCTAGAGATGAAGGAAGAACTGAGGCACAGAGACGTACAATAGTTTTCCTCAGACCTGATCCAGAATTCTGATCTAGGCAGCCAAAGTCCATTTGTGCAGTAGCATATCTAATATTCTCACTTGTATTTTACTTCTGTACTTATCTATTCCACTTACCCACCCACACCTAGACATTCTCTTTTTTTCTTTTTAATTTTTTAATTCTCCTACAGGATCTAGAAAAAATGCTTATTTTATGGAAAAAGCATTACACTCTAAATATTTGCTAAACAAATGAAAAATCTATTAGCCAAGTAATCAAATCTCAAACCATTTATGTGATTTTTTTAACACTAGACAGCAGTATGTGTAACATTTTCAATAGATTTCCAAAATAAGGATAAGTGGTTTCATTTAAAAGGGAAGAAAAAACTTGTTGACAAAGGAATTTATACAAATGAAGTGTAAAAACAGACAAAGAAATCTGCCCTCCAGTATCAGAAATATGAATGTAGAAGTGTGGCAAGTTAAAACTTGTTTTTGTTTTTTAAGTCACTCATAGCAGAGAAATGTTTAGTTTGTTTTTTGTTTGGTTTTAAGGGAAAATAGCCATACCCCAGTAAAACTTGATGTTGGCAGGCAGATGGTCTTGGTTAGAGTTGTTGACATGAGACCACATGACTGTGTCTGTTATGCAATATTGTGTCCGGAATTGGTGGGTTCTTGGTGTCACTGACTTCAAGAATGAAGCCGCGGACCCTTGCGGTGAGTGTTACAGTTCTTAAAGGTGGCGTGTCCAGAGTTTGTTCCTTCTGATGTTCAGATGTGTTCGGAGTTTCTTCCTTCTGGTGGGCTCCTGGTCTCACTGGCTTCAGGAGTGAAGCTGCAGACCTTCGCGGTGAGTGTTACAGCTCTTAAGGTGGCATGTCTGGAGTTGTTTGTTCCTCCTGTCTAGAGTTGTTCATTCCTCCCGGTGGGTTTGTGGTCTCGCTGGCCTCAGGAGTGAAGCTACAGACCTTCGCAGTGAGTGTTACAGCTCATAGAGGCAGTGCGGACCCAAAGAGTAAGCAGCAGCAAGATATATCGCAAAGAGCGAAAGAACAAAGCTTCCACAGTGTGGAAGAAGACCCAAGCAGGTTGCCACTGCTGGCTTGGGCAGCCAGCTTTTATTCCCTTATCTGGCCCCACCCACATCCTGCTGATTGATCCATTTTACAGAGAGCTGATTGATCTGTTTTACAGAGAGCTGATTGGTCCGTTTTGACAGGGTGCTGATTGGTGCATTTACAATCCCTGAGCTAGACACAAAAGTTCTCTAAGTCCCCACAGGGCACTGATTGGTGCATTTACAAACCTTGAGCTAGATACAGGGTGCTGATTGGTGTGTTTACAAACCTTGAGCTAGATACAGAGTGCTGATTGGTGTATTTACAATCCCTTAGGTAGACATAAAGGTTCTCCAAGTCCGCACCAGATTAGCTAGATACAGAGTGCTGGTTGGTGTATTTACAATCCCTTAGCTAGACACAGAGTGCTGATTGGTGTATTTATAATCCTTTAGGTAGACATAAGGGTTCTCCAGGTCCCCACCAGATTAGCTAAGATACAGAGTGCTGATTGGTACATTTACAAACCTTAAGCTAGACACAGTGCTGATTGGTGTATTTACAATCCCTTAGGTAGACATAGAGGTTCTCCAAGTCCCCACTAGACTCAGGAGCCCAGCTGGCTTCACCTAGTGGATCCCGCACTGGGCCGCAGGCGGACCTGCCCACCAGTCCCATGCCGTGCGCCCGCACTCCTCAGCCCTTGGGTGGTTGATGGGACCGGGCGTCGCAGAGCGGGGGCGGTGCTCGTCGGGGAGGCTTGGGCCGTGCAGGAACCCATGGCGGAGGGGAGGCTCGGGCATGGCGGGCTGCAGGTCCAGAGCCCTGCCCTGTGGGGAAGCAGCTGAGGCCCGGCGAGAATTTGAGCACGGTGCGGGTAGGCTGGCAGTGCTGGGGCACCCGGCGCCCCCTCCACAGCTGCTGGCCTGGGTGCTAAGCCCCTCACTGCCTGGGGCCAGCAATGCCGGCCGGCCACTCTGAGTGCGGCCCGCGGAGCCTGTGCCCACCTGAAACTTGCGCTGGCCCACAAGCGCTACGTGCACCCCGGTTCCCACCGGCACCTCTCCCTCCACCCCTCCCTGCAAGCAGAGGGAGCCGGCTCCAGCCTTGGCCAGCCCAGAGAGGGGCTCCCACAGTGCAGTGGCAAGCTGATGGGCTCCTCAGGCACGGCCAGAGTGGGCGCCGAGGCCAAGGAGGCGCTGAGAGCACGCGAGGGCTGCCACCACACTGTCACCTCTCAATATCATGGTGAGTAAAGGACAACTTATGAAGTCAGTTACTTTTTCAGGACCTTTCATTGAGTTTGTTGCAGAGATAGAATTGTCTTTTAGGTCCTAAGGCTGTGTCTTAATCATGAGTCTCCATAACACAGTCTGTCCTGTACTGTGGTTTTTTTTAAAACATGGGTAT
This sequence comes from Homo sapiens, assembly GCF_000001405.40. Lineage (NCBI taxonomy): Eukaryota > Metazoa > Chordata > Mammalia > Primates > Hominidae > Homo > Homo sapiens. The sequence continues at coordinate 19,231,081 of NC_000012.12, forward strand.
TTTCTTCCTTCCCTACAAAAGGGTAAACAGGAGTTTCTTAATAAGTAAATCAAGCTAACACACAAAGCAACCATTGTAAGAGTTTCTTTGAGGCCTGTTTTTTTGATGATAATGAAACTGGTAACACTATCATATGTTTAATTCTATTCCTACATCAAAAACATACCATGTATCTTCCAAGCAGATGGTACAAGTGTAGAATTGACTGTTAGTACTTGAATAATAGATATTGTTAGTAAATCAGACTCTGTAGAAAACGAGTTAGATTTTATTTCCTTTAGAATGAAAATCATTTTATATACAGTTAGAGTGTAAGTCACAAACTACCATTCACAAGTGTACATTCACATAAATATGTGCAATTTTTGTCCATTTTAAGAAATGTATATTCATCCAAAAGGTTATACTTAGGACCTAGGTAAGGAAACTACAACTAAATTTGTATATATGTACACATATATATGTATATATATTTATATATGTACACATATATATGTATATATATTTATATATGTACACATATATATATATAAATACTCATAAAGCTTGAGTTATTTTATATTCATCATATTTATGATTTCATATTCATCAACGTGTTCTTGAATCAGAATTTATCATGCTAGAATTTGAAGATTATCTTTCATAAGGCACAAATTTTTACAAACCTAATTTTTTATTACTACTATATATTTAATTATAAAATCAGTAAATTTAAGTTTTTATACTACATTTGTTGCATATATACTCTGACTGGAAATTTTTCTAGAACTGTAGTGATTAAGATGAAAATGTAAAGATTCCATTAAAAGAATCACCACTCAATCTGTTTTTTTCCATCGAGAAAAATTGTCTTCAAGCACCCAAAGATAGAGTTTAAATATGCCAAAGGGGATATAAATATAACCACACATTTCTCCTATAGCTCAGAAGCTGAGATGCCCTATGAAAACAAGGACACGGGGAAGAAATAGGATTAGTTTTATTGCTCAAATAATTGCTGCTTTTTAGATTGTATTTCTCATTTTGGTTTGTATTTGGCTGTATGAATGAACTTATTAGATGTTAGTCCAGTCTCCATGAGTACATACTTTCCATCTGTTGTGCAAGATAGTTTATATTAACAGATTATTTGAGATGGAAGTACCCATGTCTCTAAATTTTGTTGGTTATGCTGATTGTTCCTAATATGTAGTACTGGAACTACCTGAGTGAGGGAGATTGGGGTAGATCTCTCTGAGAAGGTAACATTTGAGCTGGACCTGAATAATGTAAATTAGTGAGATATGCAAGTTATGACAGAGTTCAGAAGGAGGAACTTGTGGCTACTAATCTCGTACAAGAAGTGGAAAGAATTTAGAAAGGATTTGGAAGAAATAAGGAGAATAAAAAATGTCTAAGTCTCTTATTAAACTGGCCTTAGAGGGGTAACTCGTCATTGATAACTTGAAAACTTGATATTTTCAAATTAAACAGTTCTGAATCCCATTAGTAAGCAAATGTATTTTAGAAGTTGTCACTCTCTGAGGAGGAAGATTCTAGTGTATGAAGGGCTTTCTCATTATAAATGGTCTCTTCCTAAGCAGGTGTTTATGGATTCATTTGATTCTTAAATCATTCAACTCTTCCAGTTACTGTTTCTAAGAGTTGCTGTGTAGTGAAATTTCACCTCTAAAAGAAAACCAAGATGATAGCATGGAGCAACCCTTGAACATTTCTTGGGTAGTGGATGAAAAATATCTGAACTATTATGTCAGTATCAAATGAGGATGACTAGACTGACATTGTGTTTAGAAGTTGTTGGCCCCATACCCATGTCGATTGTCTTCCTTGGTGGCATAGAGTTTATTCTTATACTCTACTTCAGTTTATATAGTTGTTACCTGTGCCATAAGTTCATGGGATATTTGAAACCTACCTCAGGTAATCATTAGGTGTGAGAGTTTAATTTCTGTAAGCTGATTTACCCCTTACCTGATTACCAACTTTTAGCAGAAGATAATGAGGATATGAGAGAGAGAAAGACACTATATTTTCAAATTATTTTAAAATTTACTTTTGTAATTAGTGTTACTTTGGTTTTTCTTTTTTTAAGTCATGAACAAATGGTATGTGCTATACCAAAATAAATGAATTTGGAAATTTGGGAAAAAGTGAGAAAGGAGGTTTTCATTATCCTTAATTTTTGCCTCTGTTTAAACTTGGGATTTAATGTGCAGTTGTGCTTTTCTCGTACTAGTATTTTTCTGATCTGAACAATTTGTATTAAATGACCTAGGCAATAAAAATCAGTAGTCAACTGATGAAACATTTGCATGCATCATGTCGTACAGCACTGTTAGGTACTGTATGGAAAAGAGATTGGTAGGAGATCTGTTTCTTAACCGTTAAAAGAACTACTTTAAATATGTGTGATGAGTAAATTGGTACCAATTTACGGTATTCAGAACACCTCAATGCTGGATTTAGTTGTTTGAACATAAGCCTGTTTACTAGAGTGAATGCTGGGAAACTAGGTTAAGTCAAGGTCAAGGCTGGCACTTTGAAGAAGAGAGTGGTCAAAGTTTTAAATGGCACTGAGAAGTAAAGTAACATAAGGGCTGAAAAATTACAAATATCACAATTAGATCTTTAGTCATTATCACAAATATTGCTGAGGAATGTGCTGAAACGTTATTTGGTGGAGAGTACTTTGGAGGCCCTCACTGGATTTTTTCTGTGGCTTTTTAATGAAGCATTGTTCTTCACCTATAGTATAGAGATAACGTGAAAAGAGAATCAGGATTAATTGAGATTTAGGATTCCCCTTGATTTAAAGACGTTTATTAGCTCTCACGAAGTAGTGGAGCATTGATCCGCAGTCTACCTCAGCTTCTTTTCCTAAAACGTGGTTTGGGCAGAATTGAGAAAGTTAAACTTGTCATCAGTGACATTTGGGGAAAACTGGGCAGAATTTTACAAGGAACTTGTGAGAATTGCCCTATTTGTAACCTATTCTTTTCCTTAAATGAATAGTTTCTCTTTAACAGGGCATCCTTTTTAAATGTAAAATTTAGATTACATCTTAGATTTGCGCTTTTATAACTACTGCTACCTCTAACTGAAATCGCCTCTTGAAACAGTCAGGTCAGCTGTCAGTTTGTTAAGCCTTTTCCAGATTCCCCCAGGCATTTAGCCATTTCCTCTTCTGTGCTCTACAAATGAGGTTGTGTTATAATGATCTGTTTACAGCTCTTTCTCCTTCTTATTAAACTGTCACTTCAGGCTGTTAGGGCCTTGAGAGCAGGGACCTTATCTTATGGCCCCCTTCACAACTGTGTTTTCCCTGTGGCAGTCCTTCTGTAAACGGTGGCTGTATTAAAGGGCCTGACCTTCACAGGTTCTACAGAAGCTGTGCAGGGTGCTGGTAACTTCATAAGCCAAACACTTGGTTGACTTGATGCCTCTTAGTATCCCTCATAAGCTTCCAGAGTCTCTTGACACATCCCTGCTGATTCGATGTATTGTTTTTCTCCTGGCAGCCATATGCAGAACCACCATACCACTGTGTGATTATGCAAACATTGTGCTGCAATTTTATTACAAAAATGTCTGCCTTCAAATGGGGTGATCTTATAGCATATGCAACAGTGAATACACCTAAACCAACTCTGCCAGGATAATACAAAATTCCTTCTCAGTAAGTTTTAGAGGTGTTTTGTTACAGCTGTCTGATGAGAACAGTGAAGGCTTTATTATATAATAGAAGATCAAATTGATTTGGGGGTAAGGATAGTAAGCTTACTATATTTTAATCTTCATACAGTATTTATAGGTTATGGTTTATGTTTTTTATTATCTTTTAGTTTCTCTGATTTATGTTTTTTAAAGGGGGCTGTCGTTGGCTTTTAGAACTGTGGAAAAGTTGTTTCATTGACTTCTTTTTCATGTTTCTGAGAATGGATTTGTTTTCTTTTATTGTATGAGGAGTTTAAACTTGAACATATTTGAAACTAACAAAGCCTTCACTGAAAAAAATGAGAAGGATCATGAATCACTACTTCTCTAAAACATATGCAAACCCTTCTGGTTATAGCAAACTGTGTTGGCTTGCTTATCTATATTTCAAATTACATGATGAAATAATTTTGTTTTCTCAACTTGAGATGCTATTTTTAATTTTTGTTACAGCAGTTTCATATGAAAGGAATTTGTTTTAGCACCAGTTATGTTGCGTGCTAGATTTAGTTGTAAGACAACTCAGATTGAGGTATCTAAAAATTTTTATATCAGTAGCATTCTAACAAGGTATGTACAATATGTTTTGTAAAATGGTTTGCCCATACACTGTTAAAAATCCCCATTTTGGGTAAAGGGCATGAACTGTAGAAGAAATACAGTCAGCCACTAAATGTCAGTCAGCATTTAATTAAACACTTACAATGTGGTAAGCACTGTTCTAATTGCTTGACATGGTTTTTCTCATACAATAATCAGAAAAATCTCATGAGTATTACATTATTATGTTTATTTTCTGAGTAAGGAAATGGAGTCACGGGGAGGCTAAGTAACCTGCCTGTGGTCAGAAAACTGTTGAGAAAAGGAGCTGGGCTTGAACTGGGGTCATCTGACTTCATAGCTGATGTGCTTTTGACCTTTAAGCTGTACTGCTTTCTGTGTGAATAGGCATATGAAGAAAGGTTTAACCTCACTTTAAATTAAAACATACACACACACAATTAAAACAGTGCAATGGCTTTCTTGCAAAGAAGAAAAATAATTGTCAGTATTCAATATGAGCTGAAATGTGGGGAAAGGAGAAATTTAATGCACTGAGGTACAAATATACATTGTTACCTCTTTTTGGAGGATAGTGTGTGTAAATGTTGAAAACATGCACGTGTTTTGACCTATCCATTCCACTTCTGAGAATTATCCTACATAGCTAAACACAGAAAAGCACAAAGATATCTGAGCAGTCATCACAAAAGGAAAGTTAGGAATGTAATTGCTGACATGGAAACCTGTCCACAGCATATTATTGAGCAAAAGAAAGCATGTTGCAAAACATATATAGTTTTATTTCCTTCTGTTGAATAAATACCAACAAACTCTGGTTTGAAATGATGTTCACCACGATGTTAACAACTCTTACCTTTTCTGCTAGTTAGTATACGTTGGTAATCAAATGTCTGGGCAGCGCAGGCACTCTACCTGGGTTTGAATCCTATTTAATCACTTATTAGCATTGTGACTGTGGGCAAATTACTTAACTACTTTGTGCCTTAGTTACTTCAGTAAAATGGAGATCACTACTATAGAATCTATCTTGTTGGGTTATGAGGCTCACATGAATTTGTAAAGTGCTTAACATAGTAAGTGATCAATAAAACTGAGCAACCATCATCATCGTTTCTGGGTGGTGGAATTCCAGGCAATTTTAGCCTTTTGTATACCTTTTATTGCTTGAATTTTTGAAACAAATATATATCATCTTGGAAAAAACAGGAAAAACTGTTTTTAGAGTCATTTTAGTTGGGGTGCTTACAGTTTAAACAAGAAATATGCATTTATTTAGAGCTAAGTTTATTTTAATACTCAGTAAACGTTTTCTTCAGTAACTATTTGCATCCATATATCTTAGTGTTTTATCCTATGCTATATGCCAATTTTAAGGGAATTGAAATCATATTTTACTCTTATGGCTGGAAGGCATGCATAATCACAACAGATTCTTCCTGGAGGAGCTGCCTTAATTTGCGGCTGCAATGACATGTTCTGATGTGACGTCAGTCTGGTGTCAGACTTCCAGAGTGGCAGGCCAGCCTCACAACCACAGTGTATTTCCTCAGTGCTTCATCCCCACAGTGCTCACTGAGAACAGCTCAAAGACAAAGCAGTTGAGTCTTATTTTTACTCCAGTGTTCTTTTTGCCTGTAATTGAATATCCTTTTAAGAATTGATTTTGATGAAGGCTGGTGAGTAATTCTTGTTACTTTAATGTATTAATAATAAATAGCTAATAGCTAAGTGAACAGTAGTCCTTTTCCTCAGTTAATGATCCTATGGCAAATAATCTTGGTAGCTCTGGTGCCAGGCATAATATCTAGTGCAAAGGATTTACATACTATAAATATTTTTATAAACAAAGTATTGTTTTGTTGTAGAAATATAAGTATATTCATTAGGTTTGCAAATGCTTGAACATTTTAAGATTTGAGCATTGGGAATGTCTTCCTCTTAGTCTCTCCTTAACTTTAGGCTACATGAATACATAGTAGTCACAAATTGCTTTAAAACCTAAAGATTTTTATTTAAAATCTTATTGTTCCTTATTTTTAACTTACTCACAGAAGATGCTTGATTTGCCCCTAGACCTCCAAAGATAATTAGATGAATAATTCCTCAGATGTTCCTGTGGAGGTACTAACAGTATGCATTATGTAATTTTTTTTAAGGTATATCGATACTAGTCTAAACTTATTAATAGAAGCTGCTATGTCTTTAATTCTTCAATTATTTGGGCCATATCAGTGATATGATTCAAAGTAGGAATGTTTATTGACTTAAAATTTAAGAGCAATATAATGGCAGGAGATTATATATTACAGATCGTATTTTATTTAGCATTTAAAGAAATTAAGAAGTTTCTTAATTTTTTAAAGAAATTAAGAGTTCTGCTATTAATTGTAGAGGCCAGGCAAGATTTATTATTAATAATATCAATTCATGTTTCTTTGAATTGTACTATGTAAATTGATTTTGTTGTTTTAAAAGCATTAGTTTAAAAAGTAGGTTATGTTGGGTAAGCTTTTTCTTTTGTTTTTAGACATAGCTATTTTGCTTATAAATTCTTTTTCCCTATTTCATAGGGATGAATGATATTATTGTAATTTCATTCTATTTATATTGTACAAACAAAAGCCTACAAAGTCTTACATTTTGCTATTTCTCGCATAATTGTTTTCTTGCATTTTCAGCAGCAGCATTGTGATTTCAAGGTCTTTTAGAAGAATTTCCAAAGTTTTTTCTTAAAGAATAAAAAAAGATTAGTTTTTTTCTTATAATTGTGCTACTCTAGTTTTTTGTTTGTTTGCTACTCTAGTTTTCAAGTCTAGATGAGGAAAACATGATATGGAAATTCTTACTAAATATGTTAAATATTTTCACTTCAGTTTTCTGAAGCAGTTGAAGAATGACTTGCTGTACATATTTTTTGTGAATAATATAGTTAGGTATTGAAGTGATCTAAATCAGCTTTTTATATGTGAATGTAAAAAGAATAACAAGTTTTAGGAATTAACACTAACTGCTTCATATTATGACTCCCAGTATATTATACATCTATACTTAGAAGCATTGAAATATAGAAGTAGGGTTTCAAGTTTGCTCTATTTGACTTGACAGTCCTAATTTAAGAGCCACAATTTTTTCCTTAAGTTGCAGAATTTTCAGATTCCAACTAAGATTCTACCCAATTTAACTATACAGAGGAATATTTCTATTCCCTTTTAAAATTTATCTTGAATCCGCTGAAAATGTTTTAACGTGGCTTTAAGTCTGTATTTTAAACTTAATCGGTAAGTTACTGTGGTGATGATGAATTGGAATATTCAGTATACATTTTAAACAAAGATGTTTTTGAGACATTATGACATCATAGGTCATGGGTTGCTACTAAAGTTCAAGTGAAGAGAAACTATTTCAACTTTTTTTTGTATGAACAGGAAATTAAATCTGGCCAAAAAAAAAAAAAAAAAAAAAGGAAGAGGGCAATGAGCAGAGCTGTGGGGATAACTTGAAATTAACATAAAAGTTTTACTCAAGAATAAAGCAGTAAAACAGAGCACTTGTCTGTTTTCCAGTGAATAAGGTATGCTTTGAGGAACGCTTTCCACCAATACTATAGACTGCTTGAAAAAGTGTAATTGTGCTACTCTTCTTTGTTTGAAGTTTAGCCTAGTAAACTCAGATGGAATAGTATTTCTTAAGGCCCTTATAGTCTTAAACTATATTTTTGTTCCCTTGTGGTAGACAGTACAAAACGTTGTATATATAGGATGCTTAATAAATAATTTCAACACGAAGAAATGAATTGGCAAAGCAAGTTAAATACGAGGAGGATATCTTGATCTTTGCATTGTAGAGATTCCATCTTCACTCTGATGATCAAAACCTGCTAGTTAACTAGCCTGTTGATAGCATGCCCTGCGTTGTACTCTGCTGGAAGGAAATGTGTCTCCAGAGTGAAATATTGCCATCACAGTGTCCTGTAGTGGCCATTGGATTTCCCCCCATGTCTCCAGTTATTGCCCACTCTGCTCACAATGTCACTGCTATTGGAAACTGGGTTACTTACCCTGCTATTCTGGATTGAATTTCTGTCCCCCTCGTGCCTCATCTGCAAGTGAGAAATTTCTCAGTGCTTGAGGATAATGATTTGTTGACTAAACTGAACCTAAATTAGGTGTTATGTGCATCACATAAAGTGCATTACTATCTGGGCCTTTTCAGAGTTTTAACAAATATATTATTTTGGAATTGAAGTAAAAGAAAACCTAGGAGGGGAGCAAATACATTGTTTCAAAACTTATATAACACATTTTATATACATAAACATATTGTTAGTCAAAGCCTAGATTTTCAACCACATTTCTTTGTGCCCTAGCCAGCTTCAATCTGTGCTGAACTCCAGCCACATCTGACTAATCCCGCTGATTCCACCAGGCTCAATTCAAATGGTAGCCACTTCCGTGATGCCTTCTCTGCTCTTTTCCTTTCTAAGCAAGATCAATCCCTAATCGGTTTCCCCTTTGTATTTTGTTTATGGTTATGAGACTCTTCATGTTTATTTATTTGTATTTGTGATATTATTAAGGCTGTGTCACCAGTGCCTAGCACATATAGAATGAATAAAAGTGTTTGTTATGCTACAAGATAGCTATTTTGAAAGAAAGCCAAACGTTTTTTACAAAATCTTTTTGTATCATAGGAATATCATTTGACTTATGAGTCAGCTCCTTTTTTATTCTTGAAGAAATTGTTTAAAGCTCATGCAGTATATGAAAATGAATACTGCACGATACGGAATAAGTGATTAGCAGTTTTTCCCCTTTTGAATTGAACTGTTACTCTGTCAGTTTGACTCTACTGGAAAGAATGTGTTTTATCTACAATAAAATAATTGGATCTCTTTAAATTGTGTGGCAATTTATGTATAGGTTATAATTTGGTTAACTTTCTAAAGTGGAGTGTGACCACACGCAAAAGAGTGGATACTTAAACTTTTTCTAATTTGCCTTTTGCTTCCTTCCCAAAGGTATAATAAACTTCTATATAATGCATGTTACAATAAAATATTACAAATTAGCATTCATTAGGGAGTTTTTTTTTTTTTTTTTTTAAAGACAGGGTCTTGCTGTTGCCCAGGCTGGAGCATAATGGCACCATCATAGCTCACTGCAGCCTTGAACGCCTAAGCTTAAGGGATCCTCCCACCTCAGCTTCCTGAGTAACTGGGACTACAGGGATGCACCACCTCACCTGGCTAAGTTTTAATATTATTATTATTAATTATTATTATTATTATTTTTTTTTAAGAGACAGGGCCTTTCTTTATTGCCCAGGCTAGCCTCAAACTCCTGGCCTAAAGCAGTCCTCTCACTTCAGCTTCCCAAAGTGCTGGGATTACAGGCTGTGTATATTTTTGAATGCCATGTTATTGCTTTTAAATGACGAGAATATTTCTGATTATTGAAATGTTTCTGAGTTAGGGTTCTGCCCAGTTTTATTTTGAAAGTCAGTAAGACTCTTGTGACACAATATTTTTATACAAGTGACTCTGCAACTTTTCGAGTAAGTATTCTTTTTAACCCGCTAAAATATACCCTGTGAGCATTTTTATTCTGTTATGTGGCTTTATAAGTGCTTTTTCCATATATCATTCAACAGTAAACTTTAACCTTGGATCACATTATCAGTGTTCCTTATTCATTAAATTACAGTTGTATGCAAGCCATTATACTTCACATTAAAGATGATGCAGAGAACCAACAATTATTTAAAGCAAGGAAGTGACATAATTTACTTGTTTTTAAGAAATCTGATTCTACTAACACATTCAAGTTCAGCTGTTATATGGTGAGGACTCTATTAGATCCAGCTAATATGCCTTGATGTGTAACCAGATAATTTATCCTTTTAAAGGGGTAGGGGTTTTGTTGTGCTGCTGGTTTGGTTTTTTGGTTTTAATTCCTATTCTACAGAAAGAAGCTGAAGCTCAGCTTGGAGGATAGACTCAATAGTGAAGAGTCTTGTTACAATGAGGTGGATTCAGATGCTGTTAAGAGAGTCTTATGTTGTACACGATAAATACATACTGTCTTAATTTTTCAGTTGAAAAATAAATTGTAAAAATAGCTGGGTGTGATAGGCTCATGCCTGTAATCCCAGCACTATGGGAAGCCGAGGCGGGCGGATCACTTGAGGCTAGGAGTTCAAGACCAGCCTGGCCAACATGGTAAAACCCCGTCTCTACTAAAAATACACAGATTAGCTGGGCATGGTTGTGGTGCCTGTAATCCCATCTACTTGGGAGGTTGAGGCAGGAGAATCACTTGAACCCAGGAGTTAGAGGTTGCAGTGAGCCCAAAATCACACCACTGTACTCCAGCCTGCCTGGGTAATAGAGTGAGATTCCATCTAAAAAAAAAAAAAGAAAAGAAAAATAAATTGTAAAGATAAATACATACAATTTTTTTTTTAAAAAGAGTCTTAGAACCATATGCGCCTGCACAGTGGCTGAGATGTTATTAGCAGTCAATATCACTTAATTCTTGAATACTTGGCAGAAAATTACTTTGGCAAATTAGTGTGTACATTTTAAGAATCATATTTCTGTTTTAACCATATAGTACCAGTTAACCTTCCCATTCTCTTAAATGGTTAAGTTCAGATTCACTCAAATTACTTACAGGTGAAAGAATTATCTAAATTATGTTAAGCACTTTTGCTTTTAATTTATCAAGTGATCTAAAATGTAACTCTGCTGTAATACTCGGGATGGATGTGATAGGTACATTTTAACTAGCATGGTGTTAATTGAATCATTCTTACATTACTTTCAAAATTGCTTTAAATTCATTAAAAGGTGTTCATTTTGTAAATTCCTTTTTTTGTTTTTTTTTGTTTTTTTTGTTTTGAGACAGAGTCTCACTCTGTCATCCAGGCTGGAGTGCAGTGGCACGATCTTGGCTCACTGCAGCCTCCGCGTCCTGGGTTCAAGCAATACTCATGCCTCATCCTCCCTAGTAGCTGGGACTACAGATGGGCGCCACTGCACACCTGGCTAATTTTTGTATTTTTAGTAGAGACACGGTTTCACCATTTTGGCCAGAGTGGTCTCAAACTCCTGACCTCAGGTGATCCACCTGCCTCTGCCTCCCAAAGTGCTAGAATTACAGGCGTGAGCCACCACACCCAGCCCATTTTGTAGATTCTCAGTGTGTATGCTGGTTTTATTTAAGAGAGCTTTTAAGAAAGATAACTTAGAAATTATCAGTGAAAAACCAAATCCTAAAACAGGTGAGTTGGCATGTGAGCTTTTTATGTTTTGAACATTTAATTTTTTTCCCCTTAATGTTCTTAATGTCTATAATAATGGTTTTAGCTTTGTACTTACAGTGTTACATCATACTCATATTTTCTCACTGGGGTTTAAGTCATCTCTTCTGAGTCAAGCAAGATTTTCAGTTCCTGTTGGGTGCAACACATGCTTTATAATTGTTATTATTTGTATTTAAATTCTTTGATACCTGTAATGGTAGAAATGTGAGGTAACATTTCTAAATCTGTTTTGGAGGTAATTTTGTCTGAACAGCTAAGAGTAGGAAATGATTATGAAGCTTCCAAGGATGAGAGGCATTGGGTTTAAAATTAAACTGGAATTGGGAAAGCTTTCATTACTGTGCTTCAGATAGAAATGATCCTGGGGTGATGGTAGGCAGTGAGATGAGAGGAGGAGGGAAGAGGAGCAGTGAGAGAGGCAGCATGTGCATGGCACATCTGCTGTCAGTGGAAGAAGGAAAGGGCCTCTAAGGAAAGTATGGCTTTATTCTGTTCTAGTGTCATTGAACAGAAGATGAAAGGCAGAACTGAGAAGTCTCATTGGCTGTGGAAGAGTTGGAGAAAGGGGCAGCTGTTGAAAGGTTGGGATCTGAAAAGGAAAGCAGCTCAAGCCTTGGAGGCACTCCTACTTGGAGTATGACTTCTGGCAACTTTCTAAATGCTATGAGCCTCGGTTTATGTATTCATAAACTGCAAATAATAACACCTACCTCAAATGGGCTCTGTGAGGATTGTCAAGGCCATTACGTGACAGCTGAATATGTGAGTAGCACTGAAATGCTTAAGGGTAGCTGTTATGGTGGTGATCATAATATTTATTGCTGGAGGTGAGGTTGAGTGAGGTTTTCACACCTGATTAATCCCTTCCTTTCTCCCAAGAAATTGGAAATTATCCGTTTTCTAAATGATGAGAGGAGAAAGAATAGAAATTAAAGGGTTAAGACCTTAAGGAGAATTTGTAGATGGTGGGTAAATGAAACATTGAGGTTTGAGCAGGATGTCTGGAAGCAGTTAGTTCTAAGTTAAAGGCAAATGACATTTAGAACTAAATGTGGGGAAAGGAAATATATACTTTTCATGTTTTACCCCTCAAAAAAAATTACAGTCTTTGAGATTGCTAACTCAGTGGTTATTTCTTCACATAAAAAAGCCTCAAGAATTCAGTTTCAAGAAAGGCAAAGCACTTTTAATGTTTTTCTTTTGTTCTTAAAACATTGCCTTTAATTGTAGGCACAATTTTCTATGCCAGCGTATTTTCAGTTTAAAAATAAATTGCAGAAACTGTCTTTGTGGCAGCCAGATTTCAACAGGACATTTTTCTCCTTTTTATTACAATGAAAGTAAATGAAAAGTTATCTATGTGAAACATTAAGAAATTTTATATTTAATAATAATTTTTAAATTACTTGACTAGCATAGGCTGAGTTGATTTAATAACTAAATGGCTGCTACAAACATGTTTTTTAAACCTAATTAAGATTTGATTGTTTGAGTTGCAAAATTACAAGACACTGTGTGATTTCTATTGATGAAATCTCTTCAATTTTAAGGCAAGCTAGAGAGTATAATTGTTTTTAATAGAGTAATGAAACTAAGGCCAACTTAAGAAGCTAGTAAATTATAGTTAAAAATTATGGTACTCTTTTTGGTTTCACTAGAAGGATACTGAAAACACAAGTTAAAAGCACACATCTGAGCTTTTTGCTGCATAGTTTTCTTCATAGAGAAATACAGTAGCTTCCATAGTTTCCACACCTCTTCTGCCCCACTCCAGTCTAACATTATTGTGGATGTGTGGCAGCTTTTGTGGGTTGGGCCTTTGCAAAAGTCCAAGTCATGATACTGGCCTTTGTTGCCAGGAGTGGCAGAAGAATTGCCAAATGGCAGCTGCCAAACCACTATGCTATTCTATTTTTCTTAAACTAAATTAAATCTTTTTCTTTTTCCCTTAAGGGAAATACATGATTCAGAGCAAATCATATAAATGGGTACACATGTGAGTTTAGTAAGAAACAACTGAAATCTCTTCTGTGGGATTCTAAAATATATATTACTCGTTTTGCGCAGTAGATACATTTTCAACGATATTACCATGGTTACATATATGAAACACTGCATAATAAAGGTTGCTTTGCCTGACTGTAATGGATCACTCAGAAGAATAGTATTGGCTGTTATTGGCAATATGTTAATAGCAATTTCAATATTCTTTTAAAAAAGCAGAGTGGATTTTGGATTAAAAAGCAGAGTGGATTTTAACTGCTTTGTCACTGAAGTTGCCCATGAAATAGAGATTTAAAAAAAAACCCCACCAAAAACACATGCTCCCACAAGGAAGAATTGCATTATGAAAGGTAGTGTGTAGCCAAAACATTAAAACATTTTTCTGAAGGTAGAAACAAAATCTCTAAAGGTCTGAAGTTCAGGTTAAATTACCCTTTTACCTTCCCAAAGCAAGAAACTAGTAAAACCATTTTCCTCTTTTACCATATAAAACAAGAGAAATCTACTTTTGAATATGCTAGCGCAGATATTTTCTTTGGACCATGTGTAAGTTGCTTTGTCTAAGAAAACAGAATATTTCTTAGCTAATAGCCTCTTCCTTCCCCTTTTTCCTTGCTATTATAATATAACTGCATTTTATTCAGTTTCCTCTAGGTCGGCCACAGACAAAGTTGTGAATTTTGACTGGAGTTAGCTCGCTCACCATAGTAGTCCCACTTATTTTGCCGTTGGTTGAATTGGACATAGAATCTCATATCTCTGACTAGTGAGATTCTTGAGAAAGATGGCCAGGGAGATTTTGGGAAACTTAGAGGGCAGATCACCTGAGGTCAGGAGTTCGAGACCAGCCTGGCCAATATGGTGAAACCCCGTCTCTACTAAAAATACAAAAATTAGCCGGGCGTGGTGGCAGGCGCCTGTAATCCCAGCTACTCGGGAGGCTGAGGCAGGAGAATAGCTTGAACCCGGAGACAGAGCTTGCAGTGAGCCGAGATCACGCCATTGCACTACTGCCTGGGGAACGAGAGTGAGACTGTCAAAAAAAAAAAAAAAAAAAAAAAAAAACCTTCCTTTTAACTCTAGACTTCGTGGTTCAGAGTATTGCTTTGTGATACAGCAGCCACCTTGGGCTTGAGAGGATGCCTAACTAAAAGGCACAGGGCAACCCAATAAAGATGGCAGTGCTGCAGTATTAAGCAATCCTGAGTCATCATCTCTTTGAAATCATAAGTATTATTTTAAAATAGTTCTTTCCGTATGTGGTTTAAAGAATATATCTCATTTACTGCCTTTTTTTTTTTTTTCCTTTTTTTGACAGAGTCTCACTCTGTCGCCCAGGCTGTAGTGTAGTGGCATGATCTTGGCTCACTGCACGCTCCATCTCCCAGGTTCATGCCATTCTCCTGCCTCAGCTTCCCGAGTAGCTGGGACTACAGGCGCCCGCCACCACACCCGGTTAACTTTTTGTATTTTTAGTAGAGACGGGGTTTCACCGTGTTAGCCATGATGGTCTCGAACTCTTGACCTCGTGATCCACCCGCCTTGGCCTCCCAAAGTGCTGGGATTACAGGCATGAGCCACTGCGCCTGGCTTGCTGCTTTGTTATATATATGTAACATTACTTGAATTTTTAAATGTTTAAATCTAGTACATTTAAGGCTGGGTGCGGTGGCTCACGCCTGTAATCCCAGCACTTTGGGATGCTGAGGTGGGTGGATCATGAGGTCAGGAGTTTGAGACCAGCCTGGCTATGATGGTGAAACCGCATCTCTACTAAAAATACAAAAATTAGCCAGGCATGGTGGCAGGCGCCTGTAATCCCAGCTACTTGGGAGGCTGAGGCAGGGAACTGCTTGAACCCAGGAGGCGGATGTTGCATTTAGCCGAGATTGCGCCACTGCACTCCAGCCTGGGCAACAGAGCAAGACCAAAAAAAAAAAAAAAACAATCTAGTACATTTAGTACTGGATTCATTTCTATAAAAATCAAATTCTGATTTTTAAATAACTTCTAATAAGGGTATTTTACCTATAGATATCAGATAAAAAAAGATTTTTGCATTCAATGAAGTTTCGCATGGTTTTGGTCTTATTGGATAACAGGAATCTTAATACCAAATTTCTTTTGTCAGTTAGTACTTAATTCCATTGAATACTTTAGTTTCTTTCCTTGTATAATTTGAAGTAACTCTCCATTAAGAATGAAATAGGCCCCTCACTTTTATGGGCTTTTATTATTTTAACTGGAAATTTGAAACACCATATTAACAAACAAGTTTTTTTTCTAATTGCCTATTTTTATTGGGGTTTATATTGAAATGTGCACTTTATGCGTTTATTTTCATGAGAGAATGTGTGCATGGTTATGATGTTTTTTAAGGAATGCCATTGGCATCCTCCTTTGTATGTCTCCTGAGGAGGGAAAACCATAGCAATGTCGACTCTACGAAAAGTATCTTCCTTTAATTACCCTGGAAAGGGAGGCAAACAACAGCTTCCCCCGTTTTCAGAGTGCTGTCATACAGTTTTAGTTATTTATATAAAAGAAACCTGTCACTTAAAGTTGATTTAAACCTGGTAAATTGCTCTTCCTTCCATCAGTAGTTTATAGGAGCTGTGTGCTTTAGCTTTCTCTTTTTATCTAAGCTTCCAGAAAGCTCAGAACTAAGATGTCTGCTTAAAAGTTCAGCATAGCCCAGGTGTTCCAGTAGTTACCTACGTAATTCATTATTTGGTTTATAAAATACATAAGATTGGAAAAGGAATTAGGTAGACTAATGAATTTCTATTTTATCTCCAGTAGACATGTCATTTTAGTGTTATACAGTTTGATGGAAATATATATACCATTTTATATACACACTGATTTAGTCATCTTAAAATCCTTCACAACCAAATTATTATTAAATGAAATAATAGTTTCATAGAAGCTTTAAAGTATCAGGCCTTTCATTTACTCTTCTGATTGTAGTAAATGATTAAAACTCTGGTAATAAATAGGAAAAAAACAATGCCAAGCCCAAGCAATCTGTGTTGCTATTTATCAATTCCTTGGTATCTTTTCTTTTTTTAAAAAAAAAAAAGGTAGGGGGTGAGGGCATTCGTTCATTTTATGCTGACCTTTAGTAGAGCATAATCATCAAGTTGAGCTTGTAAATATGACCTGTTTTCTTTAGCCCTGGAAGCTCTAGAATAACAGAGTGCTTTTAAAAAAAAAATTAACTTTTAATTTAAATTTAATTAAAAAAAAAAGAGAGAGAGAGAGAGAGACAAGGTCTTGCTCTGCTGCCCAGGCTGGAGTGCAGTGGTAATCATAGCTCACT
This sequence comes from Homo sapiens, assembly GCF_000001405.40. Classification (NCBI taxonomy): domain Eukaryota; kingdom Metazoa; phylum Chordata; class Mammalia; order Primates; family Hominidae; genus Homo; species Homo sapiens. Next base: position 19,248,008 of record NC_000012.12, read on the forward strand.
GCAGCCTCAAACTCCTGGGCTCAAACATTTCTCCTGCTTCAGCCTCCTAAGTAGCTATTTTAAAAATTAGGTGGGTGTGATGGCGTGCACCTTTAGTCCCAGCTACTTGAGAGGCTGAGGTAAGAGGACTGCATGAACTTGGGAGGTTGAGGCTGCAGAGAGTTGTGTTCACATCACTGCATTATGGCCTGAGGGATAGAGTGTTTAATCTTTAATGCCATAGTTTTTTGCCCAGACTTTAGTGCATTGGCACTATCTCAACTCACTGCAGCCTCTGCCTCTTGGGGTCAAGCGATTCTCATGCCGCAGCCACCAGAGTAGCTGGGATTACAGGCGTGTGTCACTATGCCTGGCTAATTTCTGTATTTTTAGTAGAGACAGGGTTTCGCCATGTTGTCCAGGCTGGTCTCAAACTCCCGGCCTCAAGTGATCCACCCTCCTTGGCCTCCCAAAGTGCTGGGATTACAGGCTTAATACCATATTTTTTAATGTACCTTTTCTGTGTTTAGATATATTTAGATACACAAATAATTAACATTATACTGCAATGGCCTATAGTATTCAATACAGTAACATGCGTTACCTGTTTTTATCCTAGAAGCAATAAGCTATACTATATAGCCTAGGTTTATATATAAATATATTTTCTATTTTTATAGTAGGCAGTACCAACTAGGTTTGTGTATATACACTTTATGATGTTCACACAACTAAAATCACCTAATATATTTTAGAATGTATCACCATAGTTGGGGTTGAGTATGATGAAACAAACAAACAAAATGTATTACCATAGTTAAGTGACACATGACTGTATGGGTAGGCACGAAGTTAAACTTTTAATTTAAATAATTGACCAAATACTAATATAATGATGACATATACTGAATGTCCTGCAGTTCATAATAATTGTAAATAACATTTATCAAGTGCTTATTATTTTCTACAGCTTCTATTATAAAGTAAGTTCCATGAGGGCAAGGATTTTTTATGTTTTTCTCACTGCTTTATGATACATTTTAATTTATAAATTAGGCACAGTGGGACAGGCATGCTGATTCATGCCTGTAATCCCAGCAGTTTGGGAAACCAAAGTAGGAAGATCACTTGAGCCCAGGAGTTTGAGGCCAGACTGGGCAACCCAGCAAGACCCCATCTCTGTTTTTTAAAAAATTAGGCACAGTAAAAGATTAACTACAATAACTAATAAAAGTGTAACAGCATGCCAGCATCACTAGTCTTGTACTTTAGGGGGTGGGGTGGGGTCATTATTAAGTAAAGTAAAGGTTGTTTGAACACAAAAACTGCAATACCTCAACAGTTAATCTGAGAACCAAGCCAACTACTAAGTAACTAACGGGGCAGGTTGCATCGACAGTTTAGAGACACTGGACAAAGGGATGATTCACATCATAGATGGGATGGAGCAGGATGGAGAGAGATTTCATCACACTACTCAGAACAGCTCACAATTTAAAACTTAAGAATTGTTTATTTCTGGGATTTTCTATTTAATATTTTTGGGCGGCAATTGACTGAGGGTAACTGAAACCATAGAAAGCAAAACCACAGATAAGGGAGGACTACTGTATATAAATATATGTCTATATAGATGTTATATTTTTGAAAATATTTGTGTGTATATACATGTATATGCTGACTAAATGAAGGAATAACCTGTGACATAGCTGCCTTTATTCAGTTGAGACACAGAGAGGTAAAGTAAGTTGCCAAAGATCACCTAGCTATTAAGTGGAGGAGCTGGGATTCAAACCTATGTAGTCTGATTTCAGAAACTGTGCTCTCAACTGCCATTGTTTTCTGCTACCTCTGTTGTGTTTACAGAAATACAGGAACACGAATAGTAAATATTGCTTTTCTTATTCAGTCGAGTCAGTTATTTTAAGGGTTATGATAGCCTAGTGCAGGGCTTCCCACCCTCAGCACTGCTGACCTTTCTGGAGGTTTATTTGGACATGGAGGGCTCTGCTCTGCATTATAAACTGTTTAGCAGCACCCTGGCCTCTACCCACTAGACACCAGTAACATTTCCCCAGTTATGACATTCAAAATGTTACCAGGGATTGCCAAATGCTCCCCTGGAGGCGAAATCACCCAATTGAGAACCACTTGTCTAGACCTATATATTAAAAGTCTGGAAGTAAGAGTAGGTAAACACTGGCATTGTATTTAGAAAAGTTTGGACTTCCTACTAGGCCACAGTGACTACAGAGACAAGGTGGGAATTAGTTTGTTCTGTGACCATAGGTATGTATTATATCAAGACCTGAATTTGGCCGGGCGCAGAGGCTCATACCTGTAATCCCGGCACTTTGGGAGGCCAAGGCGGGTGGATCGCGTGAGGACAGGAGTTTGAGACCAGCCTGACCAACATGGTGAAACCCCTCTCTACTAAAACTACAAAATTAGCCAGGCGTCGTGGTGCATACCTGTAGTCTCAAATACTTGGGAGGCTGAGGCAGGAGAATCGCTTGAACCTGGGAGGCGGAACTTGCAGTGAGCTGAGATTGTGCCATTGCACTCCAGCCTGGGCAACAAGAGTGAAACTCCGTCTCCAAAAATAAAGATAATAAAATAAAAAAAAATAAAGACTTGAATTTTATCCTTTTTATAAGGATTCTTCTAGAAATACAAATTTTTTAAATACTTTTTTTTATTCTCGGTTTTTATTAAGCATAAAATATCTGGCAAGAATTTTTTAAGTGACACCTTGTTTCAGTGTCTGTTAAAATTCTAATGCATTTTTAATAGGATAGTGATATGTTAGTTTGTAATTTAGTAGTGCAATACGTATTGCAAAAATATAGCATGTGTGTCCCTAAAAATCACCTCTTCATGCAAAATCTGGAAACAAAAAACGCAGGGCTTGGGGGGAAAATGGATCTAGGAGCACACTACACAAAAACTTCATTAGTGACACATGGGAATAAAGATAGGAACCGAATAAAAATGGTAGCATAATAAATATGACATTTGGCCTTGAAAAAGACCCGCATTTTGCTTGTGAAAGTAACTGAGTGTTGAAAGGGTTTCAGCATGTGAATTATTGGGAGGTGCTGGGAGGAAGGTTATCTGAAATTGAGTTGAAAGCTGTAGGCCTGGTGCGGTGGCTCACAGTGTAATCCCAGCACTTTGGGAAGCCAAGGCTGATGGATCACTTGAGGCCAGGAGTTCAAGACCAGCCTGGCCAACATGGCAAAACCCCATCTCTACTAAAAATGGAAAAAATTAGCCAGGCATGGTGACACACGCTCGTAATCCCAGCTAACTTGGGAGGCTGAGGCAGGAGGATCCTTTGAACCCAGGAGGCAGAGGTTGCAGTGATCTGAGATTGCGCCACTTCACTGCAGCCTGGGCAACAGAGCAAAACTCTGTCTCAAAAAAAAAAAAAAAGAAAAGAAAAGAAAAAAAAGTTGTATCACCAGATGAGGATAGGTGTGTTTCATAAAACAGGCAGTGAACTGAAGTAGCTGGTACATGTTTGAGGTGTGTGCAGATATACATTTTGTGTATTCCTACATGGCTGGGTTTTGTTGGGTGCAGTTTTTTGCATCCATCTAGAGTCTCTCACAGATAAAATCATGCATAAGCAAATGCCAAGTTGTGTTGTGCTCAAATTGTTCCTTTAACGTACAAATCATGTTGAAACAGTTCCAGCAAGCGTTATAGCAGAACTGATGATTCTCTTGATCTGAATTTTGAGGCCCATCCAAAAAAAAAAAAAAAAAAAAAAAACTTGTGAAATGCAGAAAAGAATGGCAGCTCTAAGATAAAAACATACAATTTGTAATAATACAGGGGACAAACTTTGGTAGAATTGAGAAAAGGCTAGAATCATTGTCTTCCCTTCCCTGCCCTTCCTGTGGTCCTGAGCAGTCCACTCCTCCGTTGTGCCAAGACAATGGTCAGGACCTAACAGTGAGCCAGCTACCTCCCAGGGTGTCAAGTGCTGTATCTATTAAATTTTTTCTAAATATTAACAGATGGCTCTATGTGCTTCTTAGACTACTTGATTTAAGGAATAATAGAAACACTATGTTTCATTAATGATTCTACTCTTACAATAGTCAATATGGAATTTTTTTAAAACTATCTATATCTTTATATTAATACTGTTTCAATTTTATTTAATGGATAAAGCTTCAGAGTATTGAGTTACCCAAAAAAATATGAAAATTAGGATTTGGAAAAAGAACTTAAGCATATGAAATTTACCTGGAAGTTTGCAGGTTGTGGTTATAGACTTCTCACCATACACAGCACATGTACTAATATTTTAAGATTAACAAAAGAAAACTAATATTCAATACAGACCTTACAAGGTAAATTTTCTAATGTCAGGCATGTCAATGATAGGTCTCTGTTACAGATTACTTTATGGTATATGACTTAATGAAAATTATTATAGACTATTTAATATATCAATGTATATTGCATATTATTTTGAGCATCTAATATTTTTGGCTTAAATAAATAGGGTTTTTTTCCTTCTTTCATTCAAGAAGACAGTTGAAGACCTAATCTTATCATTCAACCTAGAAAGAATACTATTTCTTAGGCAAACATCTTTTTCTCCAAAAATAGTCATAACTTAATTCAAAGCAATTTTTTTCAGTAAATATAACAGATTTTTCTTTGTTTTTGTTGTTGTTTCCACATTTCATTTAAGATTTTTGCTTCTCCTTCAGATTTCATTTTTTTCTACAACATACCTTCCTCAAGTGTCAAAAAATTAATCTCATTACATTATCTATATAAAGGTTATTTTTAAAACAGAAACACTGTAAATTATTCCTGTTTCAGAACCTTCTATTTTTTTAAGGTACTGGTGCCCATATAGTAGTACTGTTAGGTTTTCTTTCCATTTATGAATTTGGCATTAGTACTCTGTAATGCACCCATGTTGGACCATAAAACAGTGGAGGTAAGTAGACACTCATACTTACTTTTCATGACCCACCTATGAAGTGTAAAATACAGTAATCATTGTATTTTACAATGCAGTGTAAAGAGCTAAACAGCCAAATCAACTTACCTTTTTTTTTTTTTTTTTTTTTTTTTTGGGAGACAGAGGCTTGCTCTGTTGCCCAGAGTGGAGTGCAGTGGCACAATCTCAGCTCACTGCAACCTCCATCACCCAGGTTCAAGCGATTCTCCTGCCTCAGCCTCCCGAGTAGCTGGGATTACAGGCACACGCCACCACACCTGGCTAATTTTTGTATTTTTAGTAGAGATGGTGTTTCACCATGTTGGTCAGGCTGGTCTTGAACGCCTGACCTCAAGTGATCCACCTTCCTTGGCGCTCCAAAATGCTGGGATTACAGGCGTGAGCCATGGCACCTGGCCTACAACTTAACCTTTGTTTATAAAATAATGAAAAAGGATTGAGGCCAGACTGAGAAGGGATGCATTTAACTTTTTTGTAAAAATATAAGTAACATTTACACACATATACACTCTCAATAGATAGTAGGAAAGATATATTTAGGAATCTCAAAAGGCTGGCGGCCAGGTGCCGTGTCTCATGCCTGTAATCCCAGCACTTTGTGAGGCCGAGGCGGGTGGATCACCTGAGGTCAGGAGTTCAAGACCAACCTGACCAACATGGTGAAATCCTGTCTCTACTAAAAATACAAAAAATTAACTGGGCGCGTGATGGTGGGCGCCTATAATCCAAGCTACTTGGGAGGCTGAGGCAGAAGAATTGCTTGAACCCAGAAGGCAGAGGTTGTAGTAAGCCGAGAATGCGCCATTGCACTCCAACCTGGGCGACAAGAATAAAACTCCGTCTCAAAAACAAAAAAAAAGGCTGGAAGTTTGAATTTCATTTCCTTTGTAGACTAATGTTACAATAAATAAATGGGAATTTTAAATACCTGCATGTTCTGTTTTTCTTTTTTCCTTTTTTCAGCCATAATGAAAGGAAAGTGACCTGCAAACATCCAGTCACAGGACAACCATCACAGGACAATTGTATTTTTGTAGTGAATGAACAGTAAGTAAAGAGTTTCATGGAATGCCTGTATTCAAAATTGGGTTAGCATTGAAATTGCTGTTATTTATATTTCAATTTAGCAGTTTTCTTATCTGGACATTTGTAGTCAAGTATAATAACAGAATGCCAGCTGTTCACAATGTGTCATATAGAAACCTGAGTTAAACATTTTTTTCATGAAGAATGTAATTTCAGAAGCTGTTTTTATAGTACTTCAAACGCAGTAAGCTCAAGAACCCGGGATGCAAGCTTAGAGAAACTGTGTAAATGGTTAGATTATTAAACTAATTTGAGCTCACTTTTCTCATCCTTAAATCAGATAGTGGTAATTACTATTTCACAAGAGTTTTATAAGCATCAAAGAATGTATTATACTATAAAGCTATTCACAGAGTTAGTTACTGAAATTGTTATTGTTTTTAAAATTAGAATAATCTCATAATTCATTTTTAATTTTTCAGTTGGGTGACCAAGTAGAATATCTGCAATAATGCCTATTATAAATAAACATGATAGGCCGGGCACAGTGGCTCACGCCTGTAATCCTAGCACTTTGGGAGGCCAAGGTGGGCGAATCACTTGAGGTCAGGCATTCAAGACCAGCCTGGCCAACATGGTGAAACCCTGACTGTACTAAAAAAATAGAAAAATTAGCCGGGCATGGTGGAACGTGCTGGTAGTCCCAGCTACTGAGGAGTCTGAGGCAGGAAAATCACTTGAACCTGGGAGGCAGATTCTACAGTGAACCAAGATTACGCCACTGCACTGTAGCCTGAGCAACAGAGTGAGACTCTTGTCTTAAAAACTAATAATAAATAAACATGATAATAATGTATTTTTGGCTTAGGAAAAGCGTTAGCTGTATTTAAAGTTGTTGTAAGTATTAAGGCCTGACTCTAGAGTAACTAGGATCCAAGTACTGTGAAAAAGTAGGACACTCGCATTGTTAACTGTAGAGAAGTGTAATTATAAAGCGGGTTACATACACAGCAAGTTCTAGCATTTTGACATATATTTTCAGGACTGTTGCAACCATGACATCTGAAGAAAAGAAGGAACGGCCAATAAGTATGATAAATGAAGCTTCTAACTATAACGTGACTTCAGATTATGCAGTGCATCCAATGAGCCCTGTAGGCAGAGTAAGTTATTTTGCTTTATATTAATTATTGATAAGGAGTAAACAGTATCTATACCGTTACTCATAATGGACTTAAAAGTATAGAATAATAATTACATTTTTATTATTACATGAATTTGAAGGTAATTGATATAAGAAGCAACAGCCCGAAATACAAAGTAATAAGATTGTAATTCAGTGACTTAAATTTTTAAATTTGGAATAATTTTAGAAATACATTGATATTTGTGAGAGAGAATGGGTACACTTAAGTTTTAAAGGTGATTATTCATGTAATAGCCTAGAAATCAAATTATCTGACTATAAGAATGCTTAGATGGAGAAAACATTTTTCAGCAAAACCATTGTAATAGTATATTATGTTTATTGTAAGGAAATAGATAATTATAAGATAATTATAATAATAGTATTTTAAATGCCAGTTAAGGTTTTTGAAATAAAATTTTGTTAGGAGATTATAAATGAATGTAAATTTTCAAGTAATATAAATAATTTCTGATTATTAAGTAAAATAAATCCAACAGGCTAACTGAGCATAATGCTTTATGAGTATATTTTAATTAAAATCTGGAGAAATTGATGAATGGATTGAGAGCCACTAGGTCATTGTCTTGAAAGAAAGTTGAATCTGTTCCTCATACTTTACACCAGAAATTTTCTAGATGGATCAGTTGTTGAAATGTTAAAAACAAAACTAAGAAAAAAACAATGGAAGATTTGAAAAAAAAAAAAAAAGAAAAGCTCAGAATGCAGATGGGCTTTCTAAATATGACATAAAACTCAGAAGTAACAATATAAAATAATGAGAAATTCAACCACACGTAATTATTATCCATGCAGAGTATCTGTAATTCATATAACAATTAAAGAATAATTTCCTTATAATTAAAGAAGTGCTGTGAATCAATAAGAAAAGGGCTTATGAGCCAGTTTGGAAATGGAAAAATTATATGAAATCAGTTTTCGGGAAAGAAAATGGAATTTACTCTTAAATATATGAAAAAAGATTCTCAGCCTCATCCATAATATGAAAAATACTAATTAAAACCAGAAAAAGACACCATTTCCACCTGCAGATTTCCAAAGATCAGAAAGTTTCATAACACAGCACACTAACAACAGTATGGGTAAATAGGCATTCGGTTTATATAGTGAGCTCCAAGAAATAATGGAACAGAAGAGTGGATATTAAAATATGCAGTCATTTCAGAAAAATACTCATTAATCATGAGAACAATTATTTTAGATAGATAGGCACACACATACAGTGATATTGGTTGCCACACAGTTGTGAGTGGGGCTAGCTGGGTGCTGGAGCCCAAGAGTGAGTAGATTGATCTTTGTGTATCTTTTTGTGTCGTTTGAGTTTTATACTGTTTTTAAGCATTACCTGTTTGAAAGTAAATTAAAATCTATCAAGAAAACATGCTTTAGGAAAAATTTTGTTGATATTGGGCCTTAAAATTTTCTTATATACTAATAAAAGCTTCCCAAAACAAAATTCTAAAGAAGTATGCTGGATTTCCAAAGATTCTGAACAAGTAGAAAAGTAAGAGATAATTTTATGTTACTTTATAGCTTCATTGTTTTCATCTTTGTTGGTCACCATTATGATTCCTGCCAAAATAAATCTTCATGGTAACCATAGCAGTATTTTTAAAGACTGTATATCCTTATGTGTATTTTGAAGAATCCAGTAAACCCCATCTGTCTAGTTTAAGTTCAGAGTTGTCCATAAAAAAGAAAACACTACATCACATTAAGCAGATCCTTCCTGTCCTGTTTTGACTTGATGTGATATATTTGTTTATATTTAATATCTGTATATTTCTCCTCAGACTGAGTGCCATTAACTTTCTTTAATTGAACCTGCACTATTAAATGCAGATATAAAGGGAAAAGTTCTGTCATTTGGTTTATTCTTAAAGATCTGTTAACAGTTTTTACTCAAGATCTATTCATTTTATATAGCAGGTAGGACAAAATACTGCCACATACTCTGTGTTTCTAAAAATTGTATATCCTATCCAGATTTTAAAGGAAAGATTGTAAAACTTGTGATACCCTGGGGGAAAAATTTTTGGTGCGGAATTCTTACACTTCAAAAAACTAACCCAGCAAAAGTAGAATTTTAATAATTTTTCTGAAAAGATTTAAGTCCTGCAAGTCTTGGGAAAATCTGAAAAGAGATTAAATTTTAAGAGGAAGATAAGCTCAAATCTCTAGGCATTAATACCACATTTTCTGTCATGCTCTTTTTCTATTTAGACTTCACGAGCTTCAAAAAAAGTTCATAATTTTGGAAAGAGGTCAAATTCAATTAAAAGGAATCCTAATGCACCGGTTGTCAGACGAGGTTGGCTTTATAAACAGGTATTTTTTTTTTTTTGATATGAAACAAAAGACAGAATTAGAAGGAACCTTTTAAACTGAATGTACCTAAGACAATTCTATAAAATCATAAAATTAAGAAGGAACTATGGAGAAGCCACCCAGGTTATTTGACTGCTTGTTACCCCTGAAGAATATCAAGGGAACAGTGAAGACAGAAAAAGGAGTGGACATTACTTACAACTGAGATTGTGTGTTTGTTATGGGTATTTCTAGACTTAAAATTAAATATATGCTGTATGAAAATGTTAGAAATAGCATGGTAAAAGTATCCAGACAGAAATATTTTTAAAATGTCAAAATTGAAATAAACAACTAAATATTAATACAAGGGTACTCATTTTTCTATTGATATAAAAATTGTTAGAGAAATATACAGTTGTATATTTCCCCCCTTTATACAGAAATTTTACAATAATTTCAGATTTTTCTGAGTTTTTTCAGATTTTTGATTCTATAATATGAGATTATTCTTTCTTCCTCTTATTTTTTTTGGTTATTTATTTTTTCTTTTCTTTTTAATTTGCTCATACAGGGTTTACTCTCAGGCGTCCTGATTGGTTGATATTGCTGCACTGACTGGGGAACTTGCTATCTAAGCTCTTTTGGAACCTTATTAGTTTTGCAATTAGTAAATATATATGTACATTACTTCCTTGGATTTTGACATCATTTCGATTACATAGAGGCTATTTACTTCCCAGTTTGCAGCTAGGTTTCAGATAAGTGACTGGTAGATAACTGAGGTGACATCCTCAATCTTCAAGGCTTTTTTCTTTCTGATTCTATATACGTACAGATGATACAAAGCAAGTTAAATATTAGTTCATTGGTGTCAGTTTATTCTGTTAAATATTGCTGATTGCTTTCAGGTGACCTAATGATTTTTATTTATTGAGTCATAATTTTTATTGAAAGATCATTGACTATATTTTAACCATCTGATATTTAAGCTTTCCAGGCTAAAAGGTTTTTGCACATTTAGTTTCTTTTTTTTTTCTTTTTCTTTTTTTTTTTTTTTGTGAGACAGGGTCTCACTCTGTCACCTGCCCAGACTGGAGGGCAGCGGTGTGATCTCAGCTCACCGCAACCTCTGCCTCCCGGGCTCAAGCAATTCTCCTGCCTCAGCTTCACGAGTAGCTGGGATTACTGGCATGTGCCACTACCGCCAAGCTAATTTTTGTATTTTTAGTAGAGACGGGTTTTCACCACCTTGGCCAGGCTGGCCTTGAATTCCTTTCCTCAAATGACCACCCACCTTGGCCTCTCAAAGTGCTGGGATTACAGGCGTGAGCCACCACACCCAGCCCAGTTTCTAATAGAAAATTTTCTCCATATTTTCCAGCTAGTCTTTCTAATAAGTCCAAATTATGATCCACTATTTCAGTGCAAAACTGAGCCTCATACCCTAATGGCATTCCTTATTTAAAATAGCTCTTGTTCTTATTTCTTGATCCCTTGGTTAATTTAGCATTGCAAAAGTATTACCAAGTAGCTTCTCTAACAAGTGTTTATTTTGGGCCTAGTACAGTGGTTCACGCCTGTAATCCCAGCACTTTGGGAGGCCGAGGCAGGAGAATCACTTGAGCCCAGGAGTTCGAGACCAGCTTGGGCAACATAGTGAGACCTCATCTCTACTTTAAAAAAAAACAAAAAACAAAGATTAACCTGGTGTGGTGGTGTGCATCTGTAGTCCCAGCTACTCCGGAGGCTGAAGTGGGAGGATCACTTGAGCCCAGGATTTGAGCTTGCAGTGAGGTATGATCATGCCACTGCACTCCAGCCTGGGTGACAGAGCAAGACCCTGTCTCCAAAAAAAAAAGTGTTTATTTTGTAATATGTGTGTGACACATATTTGTTTACAGTGTCCCTTATCTGTACTAAAGAAAGAATATAATGAAGTAATTGAAGATGGCTGGGTGTGATGGCTCACACCTGTTATTCCAACACTTTGGGAGGCCAAGGTGGGTGGATCACCTTAGGACAGGAGTTCAAGACCAGCCTGGCCAACATGGAGAAACCCTGTCTCTACCAAAAATACAAAAATTAGCCAGCTGTAGTGGTGCACGACTGTAATCCTAGCTACTCGGGAGGCTGAGACACGAGAATCACTTGAAACCAGGAAGCAGAGGTTGCAGTGAGCTGAGATTGTAGCACTACACACCATCCTGGGTGACAGTGTGAGACTGTCTCGGAAAAAAAAAAAAATTGAAGATATCATTTGCCATTTAATTTTTTTTTTTTTTTTTGGTTTCTTTTTTGGTATAGCTGTCAATTTTAAGGCCAAATCTTTTATTTTGAAAGATTTTACCCATGTTAATTTCTATAATTCTGAAGTCATTACTCACAGCTAGAAATAAATTTAGAAATAATCAATGCACATCCAAACTGGCCTCTCGTTTTTTCTTTTTTCTTTTTTCTTTTTTTTTGGTATCTGTTTAATTCTCACTTCCAATTTTGCTACATTGCATATGGGAAAGTAATTTTTATTAAAATTCTAATTTTGTTTGAGCCTGATATTTTAATGAACTAAATTACTTAGAAATAGCTGCCAAAAAGTCTCTCTTTTTTGCATGATGAGCAAATCCCAAACTATAGGTGTAAGAAAAAAATGTTTATGAATTGCATTTGTATATTAAGGTTTCTTTATTCATAGTCATTTTAAATCACATTACCTTTGGAATAATTTCAATTCACATATTTCTCTTCTTGTTGAAGATTAACATATTTATTAAATCTGGTTTACCAGAACACATGCACTGCTGCATGGTTACATTATTCTCATCCTAGCAGATGTTTGTGTTGAGAAGAGTGAATTCCAAATTGCTTACAAATACGAAGCCAAATCAAATTGCCTTAATATATTCCTTTTGCATGATGGTATTTTCGGAGACCAGTCTAGTTGGGAATATCTAAGGCCCTAGAAAACTACCTCCAAATTTTTAATTGGCCTTTTAGATAGGTTATATTACACATGTATCAAACATACCTTGTTTTAAAAGTTTAAATAAATGCACAAGGCCAGGAACAGTGGCTCAAGCCTGTAATCCCAGCACTTCGGAAGGCCAAGGCGGGTGGATCACCTGAGTCAGGAGTTAGAGACCAGCCTGACCAACATGCTAAAACCCTGTCTCTACTAAAAATACAAAAAAAAATTAACCTGGCATGGTGGCAGGCGCATGTAACCCCAGCTACTCTGGAGGCTGAGACAGGAGAATCGCTTGAACCCAGGAGGCAGAGGTTGCAGTGAGCAGAGGTTGCACCATTGCACTCCAGCCTGGGCAACAAGAGCGAAACTCCATCTCAAAAAAATAAAAATAAATAAATAAATAAATGCACATGTGAGTTTTTGTTGTTTGAGAAATAATCCTTAAATATGCTGATTTAATCCAGGACAGTACTGGCATGAAATTGTGGAAGAAACGCTGGTTTGTGCTTTCTGACCTTTGCCTCTTTTATTATAGAGGTAAGTTTACCCTACTGTCTTAGTGTATTATTTTGTAATTGATATGTAATATAAGTTAAGTATCAGATACTTTAAAAAGTATTGTAACTCTGTGTGCTATTTTATTATCAACAAATAGTATCAAACAGATTTTTTCTCCTTTGACATATCATTCTGAGTTTTGGGGTTATGATAGAATAAATATGGTGCTTCAGACCGTGTTTGGTCTGAGTTTTGGTTCAGCTTCCCTAATCTTTGCTCTATAATGCTACTCTTGAATTCGGTGCTTAATAGATACAATCCTTAGTTTGAGGAGGTTCTTTTCACATGTCAGTTTTGTCAGATCTAGCTTATGGGTCCTTCAAGCACCCAATTCTGCTCCCCAGCAAATGATATTAGAATATTAAGGACTACTATTATGTAATGGCAAATGAAAAAAGTGAAATACAAATTTCATTTTGAACTTTTTTTTTGACCAAACACTGATAGCTTTTCTCTGGTTAGTAAATTATTAATTCAGTTTTAAATAAAAATCCAGAGATGTTTCATACACCACATGGATCTCTTAGATACTACAAGATACTACAAAGTTGTTACCTGCCAATGAAAGGCATACCTGGGTGGCACTCTCCGGAAAAGTCTGTCTCAGCTATAGTATAAAATGATGAATCTGGATAATCTCTCCTTCTTCTCTACTTTAAACTTTGGATAATGAAAGAATTAGATTGTCAAGCCATAATTAATAATTTATGACTTTTCTCTAGAAGTATAGCTTATAAGATATAACAGAGTTTTAGAACTGATTAGCAGTTTCTACATTTTTTGACTGCACAAAAGACCGGTAGCAAAATTTATAGTTGTGTATTGAAGCATTGTAATACATATTAACCTTCAAAATTTGGAATTACTAGAATTGTTTCCATCTGCAAATTGTAGTTGAGAATTACTGCTGAGTCAGAATTAACCAACCGTATAAAATTGCATTTTGTCATAGAGATGTTCCTTAGGCTGCAATTGCGGTGTTGTCTTTAGTTAAATGCTAAGCTTACTCTACAATTTTTCTTAGGGGTTTTCTCACTCTTTCAGAAAGTTAGGAGTTGTATTTCAGGCATTATCCTTAAGCTTATAATTTCTCTTCTCGTCTCTTTTTCAGTATATTTATGGACTACTTATAACAAGAAATGTTTATTATTTCTAATATTTTAAATTTCTAATACAAGAATTTGTTGGGTTTTGTTTTGTTTTGTTTTTGAGACAGAGTCTTGCTCTGTTGCCCAGGCTGGAGTGCAGTGGTGCAATCTTGGCTCACTGCAACCTCCACCTCCCGGGTTCAAGTGATTCTTGTGCCTCAGCCTCCCAAGTAGCTGGGATTACAGGCACGCGCCACCACACTTGGCTAATTTTTTGTGTGTATTTTTAGTAGAGACGGGGTTTCACCATGTTGTCCAGGCTGGTCTCAAACTCCTGACCTTAAATGATCCACCTGCCTCAGCCTCCCAAAGTGCTGGGATTACAGGTGTGAGCCACCATGCCCAGCCAAGAATTTATTGATGTTAATTTGCAACAAAAACCACTGAATTCCTTGTAATTTGCTATTGTTGTTGCTCAGGGAAAGGTGGGACTCATCACTTTTACTATAATAGGAAAGCTTTTGATCATATTTCAAAAATGTAAAAGTGAATCAGAAGCCATGCTGATGGATATAAAGATGAGAACAGTAGACACTGGGGAGCACAAGAGAGGGGAGGGCTGAACATAGTACCAACTGGGTACTGTGCTATCTGGGAGACTGATTCATTTGTACTCCAGACCTCAGCATCACGCAATTTACCTTTGTAACAAATCCACATGTGTACCCCTGAACCTATAATAGAAGTTGGAAAAACAAACAAACAAAAAACAAGCCATGCTGAGTCTGAGATTCCTTATTATTAACCACCTGCATTTTATATGCAATGTATTTATTAATTTTAGTAGTTTCCCAGATGGGGAATATAAAAAAGAAGAAACTGTAGAAACAAGAGAAATATCATTTAACTCATTTCAGATGACTGCTCTGCAGGCTGTTGGAAAGAAGTATATGATATTATACATTTTTACTATTTTATCAATAAGAAATATTAGATTTTAAATTAAAATAATTAGATTTCAGTGAGATCATAATAGCCTATATATTTTTTTTTGCATATTTAGTATTTGTTGAGTACTGTGCTGAGCAAGTTATATAGATGCTCTATTTTATCTAACCCTCACAGCTACCTGATAACGTGGGGAATCTTATGTTCATTGCACGCGAGGGGAAACTCATATACAAAGTGCTTACCTCAGGTCTCACAATTCGCAAGTGGCACAGTCAGGATTTGAACTCAGGCACTCTGACTCCAGAGCTGACACTGTTAGTTTCTATTCTCTTAATCACGAGTTTTTGCCCCCACTCAGATATCCTCTTCACTTAAATGCTGAGGGCAGTGGCCCCATTCATTTCTTCTCCATTTCTCAAAGCATCTAGTCTACTGACATAAAAAGTGTGTTGTCAGAATTTTTTGGAGATCAGTCCATGTTTTACAGATAATGGAAATTAAGACAGAGAAAATAACTGATTTGCTAAAGATATTCCCAAATATCTTTAAAACTAAGTAGAAATGGGGAATCTAAAATGTCACTTGAATCCAGTAAAATGTTGAGATTCTTACGGCTCTTGTCCCAGCTCATCTTCCCTACGAAGCAAATTTTGTGATGGAGATTAATATGTAGAAAGCTTTTTGGAGAGTGTTGTTCTTGGAACCATCAGCTGTGGCAAAGTGAAGGAAGGAAATGGCAGAGACAAAAGAAAATGGGATGCCATGCAGTCTCAGAAAGGCCTCGGCTGACCCCATAGAGAGTTCTTTCATTCTACAAACATTACTGAGTACTTACTCTTTGTCAGTCTATGAGTCTCTCTAGGTAATAGAAACTAGGACAGTGCTTCCATCAGGCTTGATATAGAACTAAACAGAAGAATGTCATGATTAGAAGCAGTTTAAGAAGCTGAAGAACTCAGGATAGTCATTTGATAGAAGGTGAAGATTTTTTACACGCACTGTCTTTGATTTTATATAATAATGGCAATATTTATTTAATGCTTCACTCTCAGTGCTGTTTTTGATGTGTATTAACTCATTTAACCCTCATAACAATCTTTTGAGGTAAGTCCTATTATCCTCAATTTTATAGATGATAAAACAGATACTAAGCATCAATAACTTGGCAAGGATTTCACAGCTAGTTAGTGTTAGGCAGGAAAACGGCCTCACGTAATCTAGGGAAATCACCCTGTGCTTTAGTGCCTCTGTCTATTCTGAAGCAACTTTAGAAAAGATTATTTTATTATGGGACATAGAAGGATGTATTATTTGATTAAAATGATTTTTTAATAAAGATGACTTCATGTGCTGTTTGTGACTATACCCTTTACATGAACATAAAACATAAAATTGGATTCAAAATTAGGGTTTGACTTATTCTTTTAAATTGTCACATTCTCTGTAATTCATGACTGCTTTCCAACTCTTTTTAACCTTTTGGACTAAATCTGTACTTCCGTTCATCCTTTTACGCATTAACGAATCGTACCTGAATGAGCACAGAATAGTAAAAACAAAATTTTGTTCCATTGCTATGAGAAAAGCTATTGAAAAAAGCCTCCATTTAATGTAACTTTTTCCCTTCTGGATGTTTCACCAGATACTCTGGAAATGAGGGCGAAATAAATAAAATCCCATGTTAAGTTTTTGATAATTAGGAAAAACAAAAAAGTCACACACAGCAAACATAATAAAAAGAATTATTTCACTTTTATGATTTCTCATTGGTGAGTTTATTAGCCTGATGACACCGCTTTATTAACTTGTCTTATAGGTCTATAACAATGAAGTACATATTTCAAGTTTCATAAACATCTCTGCCCCCAAGCAGCAAGTTAATAATGTGAATCTATACTGTGTCAAGATTAATGTTTATCATTTTCCTAGGTATATTTTATGTGCTTGCCTTGTAGGCCTGTAATTTAGTCACACTATTGTATATCAGAATGATTAGTAAAAAGCAGACCTTCAAAGTTAAATGTTTTAAAAAGCGTATAATTTATATAGCATAGTTCAAATATGTATTCACATGTCGTCTTCATTTATTCAACAAATTCTTTTGAGCATCTACCACTGTCATTCTAAGTGTCTTTGTAGAACTTACATTCTAGCATGGAGAAAAAGATAATAAGCAAATAAATAGCTAAAACATATAGTTTGCCGGAGGTATTGAGAGTAGGCAATGGTAACATTCTCGAAGGAGAACAGAGAAAACGTTAAATAAATAACATTTTAAAATACAGTAGTCAAGGAAGGCCTCATTGATGAGACCTTTGAGCAAAGCCTGAAGGATGTAACCAAGAAAGCCATGTATTTGTCTGGGGATAGAATGGTTGGGCATTTAAATCCTATCAGAGATGTGGGTGGGTTAATGCCATTACTTATATGCCAGTATGTTTTTCAGTGAATGACATGTAAAGGGGCTTTGTAGAATGCAGTATATATACCAAAGTATAAATTCTTGTGCTATTTGATATTTTCATTTAAAACCTTATAAAGGCCTGCCTGAACATGAATATAGTTCATTTATGTACAAGAACCTTTTGATTTGGCAAAAATAGATCTTGAAAAACTTTGCTTCATAAGAACATTTAAAATTCTAATCAGATGTTAAATTATCTCTTAGATGAGAAAGAAGAGGGTATCCTGGGAAGCATACTGTTACCTAGTTTTCAGATAGCTTTGCTTACCTCTGAAGATCACATTAATCGCAAATATGCTTTTAAGGTAAGGAAATAATGCAGTTTTTAATTCTGTGTTCAAAACTTGCGTTGGTTAAAATGGATATTGAGCCATAGATTATTACAAAAAAGCTACCTTATAGTGATTTTTATATTTAAAATATATTAATTAATGGTCTTATGGTTGTATAGAAGAATGTCCCTCTAATTAGGAAGCACGTGCTAAAATATTTAGGGGTCAAGTGTCTTCATGTCTGTGCTTTCAAATGGTTCTAGATAAAATGAACATGTCAGAATGCTAATAATTGATGAATATAATTATGGATGTCCTGGTGATTATTATACGTTTTTTCAACGTTACTGTATGTTTGAATTTTTTAATAATAAATTTGGGGTCTGGGCACAGTGGCGGTAATTCCAGCACTTCCGGAGACCAAGGTGGGAGGATCACTTGAGTCCAGGAGTTGAGCCTGGGGAATATAGTGAGACCCTGTCTCTAAAACAAAACAAAACAAAACAAAACCAAAAAAAAAAACATACTAGCCGGGCATGGTGGCTAGTCCCAGCTACTTGGGAGGCCGAGGTGAAAGGATCACTTGGGCCTGGGAGGTCAAGGCTGTAGTGAGACAGGATCACGCCACTGCAGTCCGGCCTGGGCAACACAGTAAGACCCTGTCTCAAAAAAAAATTATTAATAAGATGGGCACAGTGGCTCATGCCTGTTATCCTAGCACTTCAGGAGGCCGAGTTGGACAGAAAGCTTGAACCCAGGAGTTCAAGACCAGCCTGGCCAACATGGTAAAACCCCGACTCTACTAAAATTACAAAAATTAGCCAGGTGTGGTGGTGTGTGCCTGTAGTCCCAGCTACAGAAAAGGCTCAGGTGGGAGGATCGCTTGAGCCCTGGAGGCAGAGGTTGCAGTGAGCCAAGATTGCACCACTGTACTCCAGCCTAGGTGACAGAGTGAGACTCTGTATTAATAATTATTAATAATAAATTTGGAGGAAGAGTACTATAAGAGACAACAATATTTTTTAATAAAGATATATATATGTACCTTTATTGAAAAACTTAGAGAATAATTGCAAAGATGTTCTTGGGTCTAAGTACATCATGATCATCGGGTACTTTACAGAGAACACTGAAGTCAGGATGTGAAATCTGCTGTTATTAAATCCA
This sequence comes from Homo sapiens, assembly GCF_000001405.40. Lineage (NCBI taxonomy): Eukaryota > Metazoa > Chordata > Mammalia > Primates > Hominidae > Homo > Homo sapiens. The sequence goes on from NC_000012.12 coordinate 19,266,985, forward strand.
AGCAGACCTGAGATCCCCTTCCCTGATTAATAGTACCCACCAATCTTTGTGGTATTACTGGTTTGTGGATCACTCTCAAGTAAGAGGTCTTCAATGCTATTTTTGGAGATTTTTGTTTTCAAAAATCATTCTGCATTCTTTGCTTTATGATTATGGCTAAAATAAATTTCAGAGGTCACCTAGTTTTTCAGTCTGTTTTAGAGTAAGGAACTATAAGGTTCTTGCAGAAATTTCATTTTAAGAGAAAAGAGGGGGGAAGTGCTGCTGGTTAACAATGAACATGTTTGTACCATTATAAAATTGATTCAATTTTAAATTCCCACCACTTGTAGAGAATACTGAGGACTGCAGCTGATTTATAACTTTTGCTAATTAATATGTTACATGAGCAGGCCGGGCACAGGGGCTCATGCCTGTAATCCCAGCACTTTGGGAGGCTGAGGCAGGTCAGGATCAACTGAGGTCAGGAGTTTGAGACCAGCCTGGCCAACATGGTGAAACCTCGTCTGTACTAAAAATACAAAAATTAACCAGACATTGTGGTGCTTGCCTATAGTCCTTGCTACTGGGGAGGCTGAGGTGGGAGAATCACTCGAACCTGGGAGGCGGAGGTTGCAGTAAGCCGAGATCGTGCCACTGCACTCCAGCCTGGGCGACAGAGTAAGACTCCCTCCCTCCCCCAACCCCCCAAAAAAATAGCCAGGCACGGTGGCTCATGCCTGTAATCCCAGCACTTTGGGAGGCTGAGGCTGGCAGATCACCTGAGGTCAGGAGTTCAAGACCAGCTTGACCAACATGGAAAAACCCTGTCTCTACTAAAAATACAAAATTAGCCAGGTATGGTGGCACATGCCTGTAATCCCAGCTACTTGGGCTGAGGCAGGAAAATCACTTGAACCTGGGAGGCGGAGGTTGCAGTGAGCCGAGATCGCGCCATTGCACTCCAGCCTGGGCAACAAGAGCGAAACTCTGGCTCAAAAAAAAAAAATTGTTACATGAGCTATGGAGAAAAAGAACAGGAAAGGTATAGTGGTGAGGTTAAGGGGTTGGGTGATGGACGGCCTCAATGAGAAGGTAATGTAACTGGAGCAAAGACCTAAGGATAAGAGGGGAGTATCTTCATAGTTAAATTAACTTTATCAAAATAAACTGTATCAACAGTATAAACCAGAGAAACATAATTAAGTATTTTATGATGTTAAAACAAAAGTTAACACTTTGAAAATTTAAAATTATAACTTTATGAAGTACACATGTAGAGGTGCGTGATATTAGCACTATTATTAGGCCATGAATTTAAATTTTTTTGTTGCTTATCAATTTAGCAAATGTTTATCAATTTATGCTATTTGTAGGACTTTTTTCTGCGTTTTTAGACTCTTAAAAAATACTACAATGTTAAAATAGCAATAAAAGTGACCATACATGTTAAGTATATTTTCTCTGCAATTATTTGGTTCAGTTTTAATTTTATCTGTAACAATGATAGTAATTGCTGTTTCACTTTCTCTCTTCTGTGATGTTGTTTCCTCTGAATGTATGAGCTGCTTTACTCCTAAGTTTGCTGACATTGTTGCAAATGCTTATCAGAATGGTAAGTAGAAACTTTATAGACAATTATTGAACACAAGCATGAAACTTAAAGCTAGACTGGGTACTTTGACATCATCTAGTAAATATTTCCATTTGACTGATGGCGAGCATGGTGGGGATTCTTAGTGTCTTGAGTCATGGCTAGAACTGGATCGTCTTGATACCAACCCAGTGTTCCTTACATTGATCACAAATATGGGCAGTGGTCTTTATTTTTCCAAAACCCCACTCAGGGAGTCCAGTAACATTTTGTAGGTGGTTTTAATTATCTTAACATAGAACATTTGAGTAGTTTATTAAGGAACAGCTCAAAAAGAAAACACCATTTCGGATCATTTATAAATCTTTTGTGTTTGGGTGTAGATACCTATAAAGGATTCTATAAAATACAGCAGTGCCTTTTGAGGCCTAAAGAAATTGCTAACGCAGGAGGGAAATGCCATAACATGTACATTTCTATTAATTTTGTTGCTGGTTGCTGGGAATATTCTTAAATAAAGAATATTTATTCAAGAATAAATATTCTTATTCTGGGTGTGGTGGCTCACACCTGTAATCCCAGCACTTTGGGAGGCTGAGGCAGGCAGATCACTTGAGGTCAGAAGTTCGAGACCAGCCTGGCCAACATGGCAAAACCCCGTCTCTACTAAAATACAAAAATTAGTTGGGCATGGTGGCACATGCCTGTAATCCCAGCTAATCGGGATGCTGAGGCAGGAGAATCGCTTGAACCAGGGAGGCAGATGTTGCAGTGAACCAAGATTGCTCCACTGCACTCCAACCTGGGCAACAGAGTGAGACTCTGTCTCAAAAAAAAGAAAAAAAAAAAAAAAGGTGTGAATTGCAGTAAATGGAAATTGCTAGAAATGTGGAGATGGAAGAGGCACCACTAAGTACTTCATTTCTCACCTCCTTTCCTTTCCATGCACTCTTTTTTTTTTTTATTTTTAATTTTAGAGTGTGCACACAACTAAAAGAAAGAGGGTAAAATTAAGGGGGAAATTAATATATATTTTTCAAGTTAATAGTTATATTTTTTCTTGATTCATTTCCATATCTCAGGTAAAAGATAAGTCTACTTTCTCTGAAATTTGATAGCAACGTTCTATGTCAGGAATCACTTACCTTTTTTTCTTTTTCTTTTACAGAATCCTATATTTTTATTTAAAATGATCGTGTCATTTTCAATCAGGCAGCCCATCCAAACATGCGGACCTATTATTTCTGCACTGATACAGGAAAGGAAATGGAGTTGTGGATGAAAGCCATGTTAGATGCTGCCCTAGTACAGACAGAACCTGTGAAAAGGTAAAGGCTTGTAGAAAAAATGATGGTGATTTCCACTTCCATTTTATTCCATGCCTTGCAAGTATTTCACTGTCATAGTACATATCATTTTAATAGTCATGGTATGAAATCATTTTTTCCTCAGAAAGCAAGGATCAATTCCTGTTCTGAATTAAATTAATACACATTTTGTTAGTTTGCGATACCACCTACATTTTTATTCCACTTTTCTTCTTTTTCTTCTTTATTCATTTTCACCTATCGGTGTACTGGGGTGAATCCAGAATCCTAACATTCAAACTGAATGTTCTTTCTTCTTACAGAATTACCTTTAATTTCCGGTGAGTACGTTTTTAATTGTTACCTTAAAGCTACACAGATTTTTATCCTTTGAGATAGTGTTTTTAAGATTCTAAATCTTAGAAGAGAGTTTATTTTTATGAAGTTAATTTGTGTTTTTCTGTAATAGTGTGTTGATGTTTCTAAAGTGTGATGAATTACAGTAAGAAACTTTGATAGTTTCATTTTTTCAACATTTCTGATTAATTTTTATTGTTTTTGTAATGAATGTCTCCAGAAAATAGTTCGTCAAGCATTTAGATTGTTTCCAAATCCACTTCTTGGTGAATTGTACCTTTTTTATATTGAAACTCCACTACTCAGATTCCTTGATAATATAGATAAGTGCTGTTAAAATTGACCCATGTATTTTTCCCTGCTTGAAGATACGAATCATTTTAATATTCTTCAGTATAGCTAGTTAGAGGAAATCTGATTCTCAGACTACATAAATACAAGTAGTATAATGTGCTTTTTAAAAAATATATATTCCTGTAATTCGAAGAAAAAATTATGATGCAAGTTAATTTTTCTTCCAGTCAGTGACAGCTGAGCACATATCTTATGTAAGAAAGATGCTAATGTGCATCTTTTTTCCCTCTTCTTTTTTTTCCCTCTTCTCAGGAAATTAGGGATTGTTACAGTATACATCTAGTCCTTTGTTTTTCTTATTCTAGTGTGCATTTTAATAAAGTCTTGGCTTTTTGGCTAAAAGACTTAGGTTGATGCTGTGTATTTGTGCTATTTTTGTAAATATCAAGTCTAAATCAAGTTACCCAATCACTAGTAATTAGAGCTGGGGAAAAACTGAAAAGAAAAGAGGGTCTAGGATATAGCTCTAGGACATCTATTTTTAAGAAAAACCACTTTTGCCACATGCATATTGCAGGATGAGAGCAGATAGAAGGAAAATCTGTTTTTGGAATTGCATGTGTAAAAATTACCTGAGTAGCATAAAGATGAGGTGGTTAGCACTGATAACGAGAGAAAATGTGTAGGTGAAGAGAATTCATTTAAAATCTTCAGGCTGAGCATGGTGGCTCACACCTGTAATTCTAGCACTTTGGGAGGTTGAGGGATCACTTGAGCCCAGGATTTTGAGATCAGCCTGGGCAACATGATGAAACACCATCTGTACCAAAAATACAAAAATTAGCTGGGCGTAGTACCACACTCTTGTAGTCCCTGCTACTCAGGAGGCTGAAGCATGAGGATCACTTGAATCAGGAGGTTGAGGCTGCTGTGAGCTGTGACTGTGCCACTGCACTCCAGCCTAGACAACGGAGTGAGACCCTGTCAAAAAAAAATAAAAATAAAACTTCAATACTTTTAACTTCAAAGCAAAATTTTTAGGAAATTGTTTAGAATACAGAAATCTGTATAATAATTAAAATATTTATGTCCAAATAATTTCAATATTGTATATTATACTTTTCTCAGAATTTCAGCATGTTTCTACTTTATTTTATTAAATTTACCACTCTAAAAACTGATAATTACTCGTAATTTGGGATGATAAAGATGGCAATTATTTGGCTTGGCTTTTGGCAACCTGATAGTTCACTAGTTAGGTGCTTATACAGTTTTCAGCCGTCTTTGTTAGTGTAATCTACTCAGACAAGATTTATTAATACCACCTGCGTGCCCAGCTTAGAGTCCGTTATCCTGTAGAAATTATGTGTTTTCTTCTACTCCTAGTTGTTGGCATTTTTATCCCACTCTATTAGATTTAGTCATTCAAAGTGAAAGTAAGTATAGAGAGATTTTGTTTGCTTGGTTTTAAGCTAATGCACTCATTTTGCTGTATGGCTCAAATACTTAAAATATTTATCAGAGCTTATCACTGTAATACAACATCCAGTTTTTAACTTGAGAGTTCATTCTCCCTAACTTTATAAAGTATTTCACCTGTTCACGATAATGTCATAGTCTCCTAGTGTGCAGATCATTGATGGCCCAAAGAAAAAAAAATCTAAGTATAATATGGATTCTCTGAATAATTTTCATCTCTAAGCCCATTATTTTCATTTTATATATCTCAGTGTATTTTCTGCAATAACTTAAATGTCACTTTTTAAAATTAGATCACAAGTTTTATATTATTTATGGTACCTTAGCATACTTTTCTGAGTCAGCTTTGTTCCATTTAGAGAAAAGTCATCATATGTGTCTTTTTGACTACTTTTTCAATGATAAATCTTGGGGAAAAAGAAAAAAAACCCACCACAGTTTTAATTTAAAATAATAGCTTTAGGCTGAGCACGGTGGCTCACGCTTGTAACCCCAATAATGTAGGAGGCCAAGGTGGGAGGATTGCTTGAGCCCAGGAGTTCAAGACCAACCTAGGTGACCAGTGAGACCCCGTCTCTAAAAAAATTTAAAAATTAGCTAGGTGTGGTGGCGTGTACCTATAGTCCCGGCTGCTCGGGAGGCTGAGAGGGAAGGATCACTTGAGCCCAGAAAGTTGAGGTTGCAGAGAGCCAAGATCACGTCACTGCACTCCCCCCTGGGTTATACGGCAAGAGACCTTATCTCAAATAATAATGATAATAATCATGATGACAGTAATAATAATAGCTTTAGATAGACTACAGTAAATATGTTTTAAAAATCTTTTCAGTTATTTTATGTTTAATGTTAAAATTCCTACCCTCCCAAATAGCAAGGGATACATATGCTTTTAGTGTAAATGTTCTATGCCTTCTTTGTTGTTCTTGTTTTGAGATGGAGTCTCGCTCTGTCGCCCAGGCTGGAGTGCAGTGGCACGATCTCAGCTCACTCCAAACTCTGCCTCTCAGGTTCAAGCAATTCTCCTGCCTCAGCCTCCCGAGTAGGTGGGATTACAGATGTCCTCCACCAAGCCAGCTAATTTTTTTTTTATTTTTCGTAGAGACGGGGTCTCACCATTTTGGCCCGGCTGGTCTCAAACACCTGATCTTAGGTGATCCACCCACCCTGGCCTCCCAAAGTGCTGGGATTACAGGCATCAGTGGCCACACCTGGCCAACTTTTATTTTTCAAGAGAAAGAAGCACATAGTCTATCTTAGTAAATTTTCCCAATGTCTAATGTTGCCTCCAATCTAGAAGCCATGGTTTATATTTAACCTAAATATATGGATGGTTCATAACTTTACTCCAAGAAAAATAGTCACCTTTTTTTTTTAATTTTTTTTCCTTGGTGACCATATTCCAAAGCTTCTAGATATCTTCATCTATAGTTGATTACAGATATATGTATATAGATCTACATCCTTTCCACACGTCATAAACATTGGCAGCATTACCACACCTAGTTTCTGATAGAAGCATTTTTATTTATTGGAATATGGAGGGTTGGCTGGCTCCTGAGAGGCCTCCTAGAGTGGCATGATCTTGGCAGTTTCGTGCAGGTTCACACACTCAGCTTGATCTTTTCAGAGTCTGGAAGTGATTAGGCTCAGGGAAAGACCTAGATATGGCAACTAGAATAGTGAGCAAGTACAACTGTCGAGTGACCTAGACACATGCTGTTAACGAGCTCATTCTTTCAGTGGCCAGGTGGACATGGGATGCCAGATTCTAACCCAAGATTGCTTGATGTGTTGGAATTATAATGGTAAAATAAGGTCTGTGCCAGCCACTCATTAACTCATCTGATTCTCACAAGAACCCTCTGATCTTGGTGGCACAATCATACCCATTTACCAAAGAGGAAGCATAGGCACTTTAAGTGTTCTGTACTTTGCCTGAAGACTCAGCTAGTAAGAACAGAGTTGCAAGCTGGACATGTGCAGTCAGACTCCAAGAGCTCTAAAATCATACTGAGTTCCTCTTGAATACAAACAAAAGGAGTTAATTATATGGTTCAGATCTTTGATAGCATCAGACTATGATTTCCTGTTGCAGCCATTTCCACAACCAGACTCATGTTTGTCTCATGAGTCAACAAGCAGCTAACCTTGGCTGGGAGCCATGTGGCTCCTTTCAAGGGACTATCTACTGTGGTCCTTTAAGTGTAGACTTTGTGGTTTAACTGTCATAAGGCAATCTTAATTTGCTTTATTTTCAGATTCCTAATGGTGGGAGCACACATCACTTTTTACGCTCTAGTTCTTTATGTTTTCTTTTTCCCCCTTTCTGTTTATACATTCTGGTGTTGTGCTTGAATGTTAATATCACAGCATTGGGTATTTGTGTAGACTTGTCCACTGTGACCCTTTCCAGTCCCCTGGCCCCCACCCCCGTAAAGTATAATTTTTCCTAGATTGAATCCCAGAAGTAATATGTACATTATTTCATCTGATTTACTATGATTTTCTTCTCTGATTTCAGAGTGGACAAGATTACATCTGAAAATGCACCAACTAAAGAAACCAATAACATTCCCAACCATAGAGTGCTAATTAAACCAGAGATCCAAAACAATCAAAAAAACAAGGAAATGAGCAAAATTGAAGAAAAAAAGGCATTAGAAGCTGAAAAATATGGATTTCAGAAGGATGGTCAAGATAGACCCTTAACAAAAATTAATAGTGTAAAGCTGAATTCTCTGCCATCTGAATATGAGAGTGGGTCAGCATGCCCTGCTCAGACTGTGCACTACAGACCAATCAACTTGAGCAGTTCAGAGAACAAAATAGTCAATGTTAGCCTGGCAGATCTTAGAGGTGGAAATCGCCCCAATACAGGGCCCTTATACACAGAGGCCGATCGAGTCATACAGAGAACAAATTCAATGCAGCAGTTGGAACAGTGGATTAAAATCCAGAAGGGGAGGGGTCATGAAGAAGAAACCAGGGGGTAAGTGTCTGTCTTGTCATTATGAACCCAGGTTTCTTTGATGCTGTGTTGGTGGAGATTGGTTTCTGAGCTACTGATTAAAATATTGGTTTAAATTGTGTTTTAGCTGTTATAGCTTCATTACTACGTCTTTTGTTTATAATGATCAGATATAAGTATTTATTCTCTGTCTCTTATGTTCTGTCACCCAACTTTGCTAATGGCAAGGAGTCATCCTTCCTGGCCAAGCACAAGGAAAGGCTTGGGTTACAGGCAGAGATCGAGTTTATTTGGGAGAGGGAGGGAGCAAGCCCTGTCCTCCCAACCCACCCCTGTCTTGTCCCCTGCCATTATCACCTCTTCTCTGACTGTCCTCCATTACCAGTTTCTGCAGGTTGGTACAATGCAAGGATCTCCTGAGACAAGTAATATGGAGGCAGCAAAGGCCTACTGCTCTCTAATTCCCAGTCTTATTCTTGGGCTTTCTTTAAATCAGAATGCACATAACTATTAAATTCAAGGCCAGGCGCAGTTTTTCGGCTTGTAATCCCAGCACTTTGGGAGGCCAAAGCAGGAGAATCGTTTGATGCCAGGAGTTTGAGACCAGCCTGGGCAACCTAGCAAGACCCTATCTCTGTAAAAAATTCTTAAAAATTAGCCAAGCATAGTGGTGCATACCTGTAGTACCTACTACTTGGGGGAAGTTGAAGTGGGAGGATTGCTTGAGCCCAGGAGTTGGGAGCTGCAGTGAGCTATGACTGTGCCAGTGCACTCCAGCGTGGCAGCACAGTGAGAACCCAACTCTAAAAAAAAAAATGTAAATATATTTATATGAGCATTTATTCATTTTTGCATGCACCTTTTCTTAATATATTTATTTTGCAACTACTATATGCTAATTGTGGGACCGCAAAGTAAAATAATGAAAAGATACAGTCCAGATACTCACAGAGATAATTCTCTAGTAGAGGAGACAATTGAATAAGTAGATGCAATTTAGTGTGACAAATACAATGAAGGCAGACCAGGGTGCTGTAGGAACACATTTCGGGACAACAGCACAATCTTAAGGATTCAGAGTCTAGGAAAACCTTTGTAGAGGAAGCAAAACACAAGCAGTGATACGAAGAATAACATGCATATTATGGCTTAGATATGCAAAGCGCCAGGCTTGGTAGAGAACAGAAGAATCAAAAGAAATCCAGTATGACTTGATTGTAACTGGGGAATCAATGAGTGAAGAACAGGCTAGAGACATAAGCTAGGAGAGAGAGATTCAGATTGGTGTCTCAGAAATCTGGATAATAAATTGGAGAAAGTTCAAAAGTTACTTAAGTGATTGAAGTGAGAAGAGGATGAGGATGTATTCGGGATATAATTGACAAGTCTAGTTGATTGCTTTGATGTGCTTGATTGCAAACTCGTCTTGCTCAAGATTAAGTTTGGTGCCGGGCAAGGTGGCTTGAGTCTGTAATCCCAGCACTTCGGGAGGCCAAGGCGGGCAGTTCAGTTGAGGCCAGGAGTTCGAGACCAGCCTGGCCAAGATGGTGAAACCCCATGTCTACTAAAAATACAAAGATTAGCCAGACATTTTAGTGCTCACCTGTAATCTCAGCTACTGGGGAGGCTGAGGCAGGAGAATCTCTTGAACCCGGGAGGCAGAGGTTGCAGTGAGCCAGGATCGTGCCACTGCACTCCAATCTGGAAGTTTCTTGAAGGAAATCAAAAATGACACCCTGCCTTTTAGGCCTGGGCAACTAGGGTGATTTGGTGCCTTTTACTGCAAAGAAAAGATTTGGGAAAAGAGAAGATAGTGGTTGGATGGGTTATGTGAGGTAATACATATGTTAATTAGCTTGGTTTAGCCATTCCACAATATACATATTTCAAAACATGTTGTTCACCATAAATATATATAATCTTATTTGTCAATTTTCTTTAAAAAGGAAACTGGCAGATGCTCAAATTTACCAGTAATCAGGGAATTGCACATTAAAGAAACAATTAGGCATTATTTTTCACTTACCAGATTGACCAAAATCATAAATAAAAGAATTAAGGCATAGATGAATAAAAATTAGATTACTTAATGTTGGATGGAATGACAGACATGAATAAGCTTATATATTACTAGCAGGAAAATAAATTAATACAATGTGATTAGACAGAAAAGAAGCAGGAAGCAGGTCTGGGGGGAAAAAAATGAAAGGATGTTTGGAAGTACTTGGGAAAGTAATCACTTTCAGAAAAATTATAAAAATCCAAATCAGAAGATTGGTGCGTCTCTGCTCACCAAGTTAAATCTTACTTCAAAGAAGAATCACTTTTCCCCGAAAATCATACTTTCTTAAGTTTAAAAGTGTATAGAGAGAGTCAACAGATATCTGGAAATTAGAGGATTTTTAAAAATTGTGAAGTATAAATACTAGTTTTAGGTTCCTTTATGAGTGTAATTAATATCAGTAAAGTCTTTCAGTGACTTCTTCCTTTTGGACATACACCAACAGCTTCTGAAGGCTGGTTTTAGGTTATTTTGAGCTAAGATTTTCTCTGGGTTCCTCCTACATTTTTGGGTTAACTGTTATGCCAGTTTTTATAAATACTGTTATTTAGATGTTCTTTTGAAATGGCTTGAGTCCACTTTGGATCATAAGAAAATATCATCTACATTATGATATAAACTTCATCATAAAAATAGTTGTAGTGTTTTATAATGAAATGATTTTTTATTGGTGGAATGAAACAATTGTAATTCAATATATAAATCATTTTTTAAAAAGCTTTATGAAAGTCTTCTATTATTAAAGTTCTGATAGAAAGAAAAAGGTTTAATATTTAGTCAAAATAGTAGATCCCTGCATCTGTGAACAAAGCTTTAAAGTTTCATTCTGAGTGGCAGGCACTGTTAAGATGCATGGTCCTTAAGCCATTGTTCTGCATGGCAGAATCACAGGGAAAGGGCTTTTATGGTGCTTGACAGGCAGCTGCTGGCCAATGGGGCACTAAATCTGATGTAGGAGCTTAGAGTGTTCATTTCTTAAGCTTTCAGTTAAAAGTAAATCACACTTTGCTTAATTTGAATTTCTTTGGGGAAAAAAGTCACTAAAGGGAATTGTAGTTTTGAAAAACAGGTCTCAAAGTGCTAGAAATATATGGGATAAAAATAAATTTGCTTGATAATAATTTAATTTTTAATTAAAATTCCCCAAATGTGGTTCCAAAGATGACAGAAGAGCCTTTTAATGTCATTAATTAGGCAAGCTTACTAAAAATATATATATCCTGCTGTTAATGATCATATGATAGTTGACAGTTCAGGTTCAATATACGTCTCTACAACAGGGTCCAACCCAAACATTATGAATACTTCAGAGCACTTGACAAAAGTGTTTTAGTGTAATTATATTTTTGAACTATAATTTAGATATTAGTTTATAAGCAACTTTGGGTGTGTTTTAGATTGATAATGTATGTCCCCTTCCTTACATGTTTCTATGATATAGCTCAGTGCTTAATCTCTAGCTTTTTGCATATTAAGCCTCCTGTAGTATTTCTTCAATTTATGAATGACCAAACAAACCAAGGTGTGTCAGAGTAAATTGCTTTAGTACTAGGGCAGTCTCTTTGATGGAGTCAGCTTTCCCTAGCTGACATATTTGCACATAGTCATGGGATTGCCAGCTCTGGATGTTTTCCAGTTTCTGGCTTTCGTGTGATAGGAGACGGTGAAGATGGGGAGGAAGACCAAGCAGAAACAAAATAGGAAATACCCATGGAGGGAAAGCCTCAAGGAATTGAACTCTTTATACTGGTTATATAAGAGCAATTGGGTACCTTTCTCCCTCTCTCCACCCCGAAGGCATCGAATCGGATGGTTGGCCTGAATGCAGCGGTTCTTGTCTGGAGACATTTCGTTCAATTTTGAACAACCTCTTTTTGAGTAGAGACATTGAAATCCTGAAGAACAACCACCATGATGAAGGAAATTTAGTTTAGGAGAAACGGTTGAAAGAATTAGAAATATTTAAAATACAAAATAAGGCATAGAATTTTAGAGCTCTAGAATAAGTTTATGATGAAATCATCTTCTAGATGAGAAAAGAGGATCCCAGTTTCAGTTGGCCATTGGCTAGATTTTAATAGCATATTAAAGAGCTCTCTGGTGCGATAAGATTATATCCTTCCTAATTTTTAATACCTTTTTATTTTTAACTAAGTCATTGTGATAGATGAGTATGGTTTTTTAAAAATAATATTCATATCGTGGCAAAATTTAAAAATAGAGGGATTTTTTTAAAAAATCAAAAAGTTTAGGGATCACTGGCATAGTTAAAAGAGTGCTGCTTTAGAAAGTAGGAGACCTGCATTTTAGTTCTATTTAGCCCGCAAGCTCTTTCTGTAACCCCAAGTATGATCTCTTGGACCAGGTGTGGCTCACACCTGTAATCCTGGCACTTTGGGAGGCCAAGGTGGTTGGATCACCTGAGGTCCGGAGTTCAAGACCAGCCTGGCCAACATGGTGAAACCCTGTCCCTACTAAAAATACAAAAATTAGCTGGGTGTAGCAGCAGGCACCTGTAATCACAGCTACTCGGGAGGCTGAGGCAGGAGAATCGTTTGAACCTGGGAGACAGGTCCAGTGAGCGGAGATCATGCCATTGCACTCCAGCCTGGACGACAGAGTGAGACTCCATCTCAAAAAAAAAAAAAATACATACATATATATATAAAATCTCTTGGTCTTTTCTCCCCTACTCCCCTACCCTGCCCCCAATATTCTGAAAGCCCCAGAATATGTAACTCATCCAAGGTCTAAGTACTTAATAGGAAAGCAAGAATCAAAACTTGGCTGTCTTGATTTTTGATCAACCACTTTTCCTGTTTTACTGTTTTCCCACTATATCCCCTCTGGATGCTTTAACCCACAAAGAGAAGGTATATTTAACATGAGATTTTTCTCTTAGTGTAAAGGTAACATAATTTTACTGCCCCAATAGACACAAATTATGCCGGCAGTTTATTAATTAGGTGCCTCATAGTCCAGAATGCACTTAATTCATCACAATGAAACCTGTTTTTTTTTTTTTTTTTTTTTTTTTTTTTGGAGACAGGGCCATCCCTCTGTTGGCCAGGCTGGAGTACAGTGGCACAATCTCAGCTCACTGCAACCTCTGCCTCCTGGGTTCAAGCAGTTCTCCTGCCTCAACCTCCCGAGTAGCTGGGAGTGCAGGAGCATGCTACCACACCTGACTAATATTTTCTAGTTTTTGTAGAGACGGGATTTTGCTATGTTGAACTCCTGACCTCAAGTGATCCACCCGCCTTGGCCTCCCAAAGTGCTGGGATTACAGGGGTGAGCCGCTGCACCCAGCCTGAAATCTTTTTGTAACTATAATATATCAGTATTTGTGCATTGTTACTGACAGGTCTTTGGGTCAAAAGAGAGCTCTTATATCCAGATTATCAGCGAAGGATTCCCAGATTATTAAGAGTATGGTCAAATGATTTTCCCATCAAATATTTAATCCCTTCGGGTCCATGTAATTACCAATATCTCTGACATTTTCACAACCAGTAGGAGCCCATGTAATATTAGGAAAAAGTTGTTAACTAAACATTGAAAGAAGAGATCAGAAAACCTGAGTTTGTGGAGTCCCAACCCTTCCACATACTTGGTTCATTGAATTCTGTTGATTTTGATATTAGGATATAAATTTATGCCTATGGAGATGATTGTATAAGATGAATACTTGTAATTTAATTTTTCTTTTTCTTTTTTTTTTTTTGAGACAGAGTGTCTGTCACCAGCACGATTTCAGCTCACTGCAACCTCCACCTCCCAGGTTTAAGTGATTCTCCTGCCTCAGCCTCCCGAGTAGCTGGAACTACAGGCGTGCGTCACCACACCTGGCTGATTTTTGTATTTTTAGTAGAGACAGGGTTTCACCATGTTGGCCAAGCTGGTCTTGAACTCCTGGCCTCAAGCGATCTGCCTGCCTCAGCCTCCCAAAGTACTGGGATTACAGGCGCAAGCCACCACGCCCAGCCTAATCTTACTTTTTCTAATCTAGATGTTTCTTGTTCTGGTGGTGGTTAAAAAGTTACGTTTGGGAAAAATAAAAAATTAGCCACACATGGTGGCATATATCTGTAGTCCTAGCTACTTAGGAGGCTGAGGCAGGAAGATCACTTGAGCTCAGGAGGACCGGGCTGCAGTGTACTCCACTGCACTCCAGCCTGGGTGACAGAGTGAGAATCCATCTCAAAAAAAAAAAAAAAAGTATGTTTGTATTTAGAATTTGAATTATACCTACACCTCTGTATCTAAAGGAAATGGAGGCCAGGCGCTCACTCCTGTAATCCTGGCACTTTAGGAGGCTGAGGCAGGCAGATTGCCTGAGCTCAGGAGTTTGAGATCGCCCTGGGCAACATGGCAAAACCCCATCTCTACAAAAGTACAAAAAATTAGCTGGGCATGGTGGCTGGTGCCTGTAGTCCCAGCTACTCAGGGGCCTGAGGCAGGAGAATCACTCGAACCTGAGAGGCGGAGGTTGCAGTGAGCTGAGATTGTGCCAATGCACTTCAGCCTGGGCAACAGAGCAAAACACTATCTCCAAAAAAAAAAAAAGATAATAGGGAAACACAAATGCTAACTTTACGTAGAGTTTTTAATTGATTCTTTTTTTTCTGGCTCACTTCTCCCCTAACTTTTAAAAATCTTTTTTATATCATGAATTTCACCTAGTATGAAGTTGGCACTGTGATAGTTTTATAAACTCAAAAGAGTATGTTTATCAAAGTGGTTTTTGTTGTTGTTGTTGTTGTTGTTGTTGTTTTGAGATGGAGTCTCACTCTGTCGCCCAGGCTGGAGTGCACTGGCGCGATCTTGTCTCGCTGCAAGCTCGGCTTCCTGGGGTCACGCCATTCTCCTGCCTCAGCCTCCCAAGTAGCTGGGACTACAGGCACCTGCCACCACGCCCGGCTAATTTTTTTGTATTTTTCGAAGAGACGGGGTTTCACTGTGTTAGCCAGGATGGTCTCGATCTCCTGACCTCTTGATCCGCCTGCCTCCGCCTCCCAAAGTGCTGGGATTACAGGCGTGAGCCACTGCGCCCGGCCCAAAGTGGTTTTTTTAAAAATAGTAAACTGAAATTGTATTCTTTCATTTTTGGAAATGGTAGTATTCTGTGCTTAGTAATATGCAATTACATATCCAATTCCCAAAATTAACATTTTAAAAGAATTATACTTTGCATGCATAATGTACATGAAGCATTTTTAGATTGCTTTAAGAAGCCTCCTGAAAAATATTCTACCATCTATGAAGTGGAATATTAATTACTGTGCTGGAAACTTTGCAAAATTGCTGAGATTGCACTTTTATATCTGAAATATTGTGATATTTAAGTATTTTATCTTTAATAGAATTCTGAGCATCAGCTCCAAGTCACTTTTATATCTCAAGTTAGGAAAAGCTATGAAAGGAAGTTATTCCTTCAAACCAAATGTACTGATGTATTTACTCCCATAAATAACCATACTTCCTGAAAGAAAACATACAACAGAATAGTCAACATATACTTGTAGTAATTTATTTCCTGTCTTTATGCTCTATGGGTATAACTCACTTCATATTTCATCCATACATAGAAATCCTAGTCCTCTGATGAGATGTATAAAAATGAGAGTTTATTTATATAAAAACAAATAAAATATAGTGACAGAATTGAGATTAGATTTTAAACATTCTTATTTCTCAAATGAAGTATAATACTCTTTCATCTTTAAATCAAACTCTACATTGTGTGGAACTAATAGTCTTTTGTGTAATTGATATAGATGCTGTTTATCTTGTATTAAGTGTGTTAAATCGAATTTCATTAAAAAGATTAAAATCTGTTAATAGTTTATACCTTGGATAATATTTTGATCTTTAAAAAAATACATTCTAAGCTGGGCACGGTGGCTCATGCTTGTAATCCCAGCACTTTGGGAGGCCGAAGTGGGTGGATTACCTGAGGTCAGGAATTCAAGATCAGCCGGGCATGGTGGTGGATGCCTGTAATCCCAGCTACCCAGGAGGCTGAGGCAGGAGAATCGCTTGAGCCCAGGAGGCGGAGGTTGCAGTGAGCCGAGATCACGCCATTGCACTCCAGCTTGGGCAACAGAGCGAGACTCTTGTCTCCCAAAAAAAAAAAAAAAAAAAAAAAATTCTAATGTATATTTTACTTACTGGAACAAAAGAAATGTACTCTAATTTAGAATTTGGAAAATAACCCTCCTTCATGTTTACATTTTAATTATTTTTTTATTTTAGAGTAATTTCTTACCAAACATTACCAAGAAATATGCCAAGTCACAGAGCCCAGATTATGGCCCGCTACCCTGAAGGTTATAGAACACTCCCAAGAAACAGCAAGACAAGGCCTGAAAGTATCTGCAGTGTAACCCCTTCCACTCATGACAAGACATTAGGACCCGGAGCGGAGGAGAAACGGAGGTCCATGAGAGATGACACAATGTGGCAGCTCTACGAATGGCAGCAGCGTCAGTTTTATAACAAACAGAGCACCCTCCCTCGACACAGTACTTTGAGTAGTCCCAAAACCATGGTAAATATTTCTGACCAGACAATGCACTCTATTCCCACATCACCTTCCCACGGGTCAATAGCTGCTTATCAGGGATACTCCCCTCAACGAACTTACAGATCGGAAGTGTCTTCACCAATTCAGAGAGGAGATGTGACAATAGACCGCAGACACAGGGCCCATCACCCTAAGGTAAAATAGCTGCTGATTTTGTGTTAACTCACTACCTTATAAATGCTGTGTTTTCTTTCTAGTATACTATTTTAAATGTGAGAGACAAAAGAATGGGGATAAAGTAAGCAAGGCAGCTCTTTTTTGTTTTAAAAAATAAATAAAAATATTTTACAACATTAAGATCTCATGTATAAAAAATACCTAATTGCAACACTTC
Organism: Homo sapiens; assembly: GCF_000001405.40. NCBI lineage: Eukaryota > Metazoa > Chordata > Mammalia > Primates > Hominidae > Homo > Homo sapiens. The sequence goes on from NC_000012.12 coordinate 19,283,945, forward strand.
ATCTCTCAGGAACACAGGAGCAGTTCTTTTGAGCAGATGCATTCTGTTTTCTCTGCTTGATACCATATCTCATCAGTTCTCCGTGTAGCTTAACACCACATGCATTTTTCTGTTGTTTTTGTTGTTGTTGTTGTTTTGTTTTGAGATGGAGTCTCTCTCTGTTGCCCAGGCTGGAATGCAGAGGCATAATCTCAGCTCACTGCAACCTCTGCCTCCCGGGCTCAAGCGATTCTCCTTCCTCAGCCTCCCGAGTAGCTGGGATTACAGACATGCGCCACCACACCTGGCTAATTTTTGTATTTTTAGTAGAGATGTGGTTTCACCGTGATGCCCAGGCTGGTCTTGAACTCCTGATCTCAAGTGACCCACTGGCCTCAGCCTCCCAAAGTGCTGAGATTGCAGGTGTGAGCCACTGTGCCTGGCCTAGACCACATTCATTTTTATTGGCTTTTTACACACTTGGAAATTCTACACCTACTGTCTTCTGGCATACCTGAAATTTTGTATCAAGCTCATCCTGTTGTTCATGAGGATAAAAGTGTTAACTTTATCTTCTAACCAATGAATATATGGCATATTGAGATAACTCCTTAAACACTCGATTTAATATTGTAGCTTAATGGTATGTATACATTTTAAAAATGGAGATCATGTTTTACTTTGTATATTAAGTTGGTTTAAGCATTGCTTAGTATAGATTATTTGAAGTGAATTCAAAGTGCTTTGTATCAATCAGCTTTTCATAATGCTAAAGCAGTGGCTTTGATTAGTCAGCTAGTACACAACCAGTTCCCTAATGTCTATCCTAAAGTGCTTTTTTTTTCATACTGAAGAGTTCTTTGACCGGACATAGTGGCTCACACCTGTATTCCCAACACTTTGGGGAGCCAAGGCCATAGGATCACTTGAACATGGAAGGTTGAGGCTGTAGTAAGCTGTGATTGCACCACTGCACCCAAGCCTGGGAGACAGAGCAGGACTCTGACTCAAAAAATAGTAATAATAAGTTATTGCTTTATACTGTTTTAAAATGCTCTTTTCTTATCCTTGTGACAAGCTGATTTCTTCAGCTGCGTTATTACCTAAGCATTTGCTTGATATTTCCATAAATAAGCATTTGTTAAGATTAATAGATTAATCAGGAATTTTCCTTTGAAGAAAGTTTTAATTTGCCTCACAACAAAAGGCTCACTTTGAACTCCATCGTAACAAAGTTCAGTGTTTCCTCACTTTTTCCAAAGACTAAATCATGATTGATAAAAATAGTAACAATATATAAGAAAAATCTGATCTAATACAACTTAATGTGTATGGTCTAACAATTGGCTCTAAATTACATGCTCTCATGGTTAATAGTATTTTTCATGTTCTTGGCCAGAATATATCATCTGTTTCGACAGCAAATATGAGATGAATCTATATTCTCTATCCAATTCTCAACTGTCTGCTACTGCTACTCCCAAAAGACTTCTCCAAAATTGCCAAATTTTTCTTTCAAACTATCCTATCCTCTTCCTTGATCTAGATCAGTGGTTCTTAAAGTGTAGTTCATGGACCCCTGTGGGGGTTCCCTCCCATGACCGTTTCAGGGAGTCAAAACTATTTTTATGATCATAATAAGGCATTATTCATTGTGTTCCTATTTGCTCTAGTAGTGCAGAAGCGATGGTGAGTAAAATTTCTGGCACCTTAGCATAAATCAAGGCAGTGGATCCAGACTATGCTAGTGGTCATTGTAGCCCTCCCTGCCACACACTTGAAGTAAAAAATAAAGTATCAGGTTCACTTATAAATCTCATTCATGAAACAGTAGAAAATAATTTTATTGAACCTTAACATTTTGTTACATATTCTTTTACTATTACTTGTGATGAAATGGTAAATGCATAAAGCATTTCTATGGCATACCAAAGTGCTAACCGTTGTCTCACAGTAAAACACATGATGGAGTTGCAAGCTGAATTAGTTCCTTTTATTGTGAAACATATTTTTACTTGAACAAAAGACAACTGTCAATATTCAGACGTGGTATTTGATAGACACACTTTCTCAAAGTGAATGCTATCCTGTCACTTCAAGGAAAACAACTGACAGTATTTGTTACTGATAACAACGTTTGAGTTTTCAAGCAAAAAATAGAATTTTGAAAATCATGTATCTGCCACCCTGAACTTGACAGCTTTCCGGTGCTTAAAGATTGGCGGTGATATTAACAGTTGTGATGTTTTTATATTGTATACTGACATATGTCAATATTTAGAACATTGCATAACTCACTGAACCAATATTTTCCAGATGACCAGTGTTTGATGTCACAAGATTCATTTAAAGTACAAATAGACCAAGTGGATATTAATGTAACAGAGTATCAAAAGTTCATTGATAAGGTTTCAGATATCACTTTGTAACTAACCTTTAAAAAATATCAGTTTTTTGAGCTATAGCGCAGTGTCAAAGATGAACATCTATAATTATCAAGAAAAACTATTAAAATTCTCTCCTTTTTTCCAACTATATATATTGAGGGTAGATTTTCTTCACATACTTCCACTAAAAGAGATTATCACAACAGATTAAATACAGAAACAGATACAAGAATCCAGCCAGACATTAAAGATTTGCAAAACTGTAAAACAATGCCACTCTTGCCACTAAATTTTCTTTTTAAGAATATAAAGGGATCCTGAGGTCAAAGAGTTTTTGAGAACCTCTAAACCAGATTTTAGAATTACTCTGTTCAGGCCGGGCAAGTGGCTCAAGCCTGTAATCCTAGCACTTTGGGAGGCCGAGGTAGGTGGATTGCTTGAGGCCAGGAGTTCGAGACCAGCCTGGCCAACATGGTGAAACCCCGTCTCTACTAAAAATACAAAAATTAGTCAGACGTGGTGGCATGCGCCTGTAATCCCAGCTACTTGAGAGGCTGCGGTAGGAGGATCTCTTGAACCCAGGAGGTGGAGGTTGCAGTGAGCTGAGATCTTGCCATACACTCCAGGCTGGGCAACAGAGTGAGACTCTGCTTCAAAAAACAAAAAAAAAAAGAATTACTCTGCTCATCCACATCATTATTTTTTTAGATGGAGCCTCGCTCTGTTGCCCAGGCTGGAGTGCAGTGGTGCTATCTCGGCTCACTGCAACCTCTGCCTCCCGGGGTCAAGCACTTGTCCCACGTCAGCCTTCCGAGTAGCTAGGATTACAGGCCCACGCCACCACACCTGGCTAATTTTTTATACTTTTAGTAGAGAAAGGACAGGGTTTCACCATGTTGGCTAGGCTGGTCTCGAACTCCTGACCTCAAGTGATCTGTCCACCCTGGCCTTTCAAAGTGTTGGGATTACAGGCGTGAGCCACCGCACCCAGCCCCACATCAGTATTTTATGTCAAGAAATGTTAGTCTCTATCATCTTTCATAAGCACTAATAGCAATTTTAAATGGTATTTCATAATAGGAATTTAAGATTTCTCCTTGCTGACATTGATAAGAAAAAAAAAACTTTACCACAGAATTACATTGTGCCTTTACTTTCCTAGCATGTCTATGTGCCTGACAGAAGGTCAGTGCCAGCTGGCCTGACTTTACAGTCTGTTAGTCCCCAGAGCCTCCAAGGGAAAACGGTGAGTAATATCTTTATTTACCATACCATGTTTTATTTATGTGCTGCACAGGAAGGTACATATCTAACATAATTTTTAAGTTTGAATTTTCAGAGGTTCTCCCAAAGAAAAAACATTACTGCTTTTGTGCAAGAGATGCTCATCAGAATTTGAAATCATGTAGCCATTTCAGTGTTTTAGTGGATACCTTTTCCTAAGTGTCTGACTGGCCAAATAAAAGATTATATTTTGAAACTTTATGGCCGGGCACGGTGGCTCATGCCTGTAATCCCAGCACTTTGGGAGGCCAAGGCAGGCGGATCGCTTGAGGTCAGGAGTTCAAGACCAGCCTGGCCAACATGTTGAAACCCCATCTCTACTAAAAATACAAAATTAGCCGGGCATGGTGGTGCGTGCCTGTAATCCCAGCTACTTGGGAGGCTGAGGCAGGAGAATCACTTGAACCCAGGAGGTGGAGTTTGCAGTGAGCCGAGATCCTGCCATTGCACTCCAGCCTGGGCAACAGAGCAAGACTCTGTCTCAAAAAAAAAAAAAAAAAAAAGAAACTTTATTGTATGAACTAGGTGGGTTTCTTTACTTTCATTCCCTTATCCTTAAAACAGAAGTTGCAGTAATTCATTAGTGAACAAATCCAGCAAGCAGTTATTTGTAGTCAAACTACCAGCGTATTAAGTTTTTCGTGTGAATTTTTAGATTAACTTCTTTAGAGCTGTTTGTAAAATAAACTGATTTACATATCAGCAGAAAAAGACTGTAACAAGCGTTCGATCAAAGCAAGTATTTACCATTACCATTTCATTGTCAGTGTTATGTTAATTGGAAAGGAGTTACATTAGCAGGACACTTCTTCTAGTTAAAGAGAAAAGATGACTTTTCCTCACTTCAGTTTATTTTAATGGTATTCTTTTATCAGGGGCACTGGCTTTATTGTCAGTAGATAACCTCAGTTTCTGTAAAGATGTGATTTTAGCACCTGTGTGTATAGTTGTTCATTATTTAAAATTCTCTTCCTGCAGTAATCAAATTCATCTTATGTGTTTTGTAAAAACATTGTTTTATTTTATCTTTTACACATTTAGATAAAATGAAATATTTCCTTGCTTTAAGCTTCCTGCAGTTTATTTGCCAAAGATTATTTGATTAAGACTAAGGACTTTTAAATGTGGGAATCTTAAAACATTAGATTGTTGGCCTGACAAATAGTCATTAATCATAGAGTAAATGCTAAATAGCATACCACAAATGTTTCTCTTCTGCCTTGCTCCCTCTAGTGGATATTTAGCCAAAATTTATTTACCACCACCTACTTTCTTTGGTCAAATGTGCCTCTTTATTTGGCCTCAAAATCTAAATAAAGTTATTGGTATCTTTCATCCTTTTGAAAATCTCTTAGTCTGTTTAGCTCCATAAATAATAAACCAGAGTTTCAGTATTCCTTGCGGTATCACTCTGGGTTCTTAGAATATCTAAATCCCTTTGCCCATCTTACCTTCTCCCTGGCAAGACCTCAAGTGTTGGAGATGATGATCATAAAACAAGGACTATCCTAGCATCATGAGGTCACGAGATAGGATTGGCATCAGAGCAAAAGCAACTGTTCTTTTTCTCTTACATGGTTTATTTAAATCTCATACACCAAATATTCTTTGACCATTTAATATACAGTAAAAAACTGTTGTCTCACCTGTGGATACCCAGTTTTATCTAAGGAATCCAATAGTAACTTCTGCTAACACTTTTTCTTCTGAAGGCAATAATTTTTAATATGATTTTGGATAATGGTTAAAAATGATTTCTGTTTTTGAAAAGAATTGTCAGAAAATAAAGAGCAATAGCAAATAAACAGAACGGAAGAGAGTTAATGCAATGCTGTCGTGTAGGCAAAACAAACCAATCTTGGGAATACTTTTTAGCCTGGAATTTTTAAGAGTACATTGCAGCACTCCAGTGAGGAAAGCCTGTAGCCTGCTTTCAGTTGTTAATCATAACAAAGCTCAGAGAAATACCAAGTAATATTTTATGGGCTATAAGAATGCCAATGATCATACTTTACTGTATTTCTAAGAAAAGTATATTAAATTGGCCCATTAAGGAATTTCATCCACTGTTGAAAATTTATTTTCCTTTGGATCACAGTCACCAATCAGGAACCAAAAAAAGGTTCTCTTCTTTTCCCAGAGTGAAGAAGGAGGGTTTATGTGCCCATGGAAACTCTCTTTTTCTTAAAAAATAAAACTGATCTTTTGGTCATAAAAAATGCTATATGAAAGCACTAACAGTGACATTTCAGAGTATAACTGGGAAGCAATTAATAGAACCCAGATCCCAAATTTAATAATGTGAAGATATCCAAGTTTTATTTTATTTTATTTTATTTTTATTTATTTTTTTATTTATTTATTTTGAGATGGAGTCTCGCCGTGTCGCCCAGGTTGGAATGCAATGGCGTGATCTCGGCTCACTGCAAACTCCACCTCCTGGATTCAAGCGATTCTCCTGCCTCAGCCTCCCGAGTAGCTGGGATTACAGTTGCGTGCCACCATGCCTGGCTAATTTTTCTTTAATCTTTAGTAGAGGCAGGGCTCAGGCTGGTCTCGAACTTCTGACCTTGTGATCCGCCTCCCTCAGCCTCCCAAAGTGCTGGGATTACAGGCGTGAGCCACTGTGCCCGGACTACATTTATTTTAATTATTTTATGTAGTTCTGTTAGAAAGTTGGACATGCAGGTATTTGTACTATTGCTGGGAAAAGGTGTAATTTTTTTAGATATCTTAGTAAAATATCTTTTAATAATTTTTTAGTAGCACTTATGTACAAACCTTTATAATGTTTTTTTGGCATTGTGCTTTTTTGTACTTAACATTTAAATGTTCTCATGAGTTCTGAGAAAATGCCTTAATTTACTGTTGTTTTGCTGTATCTTTTAAAGTAACACTGTTCCTTCTATTTCTCTAGATATCTATGCATTTATGTAGGACCTATCATCATAGTGCCTAGGCACTATGTTTGATGTCAACCATAAGAGGAAACTTGCCAAGAAATCTTGGTTTAATATCTGTCACTTAAGACAACAATTAATCTGTTTTCCACTGTTTGGATTCTTAAATTGTACTCCTTCAGCCAGAGGAGCTTACGCTGCTGCTAATAAAGCTGAGACGGCAGCAAGCCGAACTGAGTAGTATCCGGGAGCATACGTTAGCACAGCTCATGCAGCTAAAGCTTGAGGCCCACAGCCCAAAGGTCAGCTATGGAGAGATTTGTCTGTGTCGTCTGCCATCATCTCTTATTTTGAAACACTCATCAGTCAATATGATCAGCATCATTAGTGTTGAGCATGAGCCCATACCATCATTATAGTGACAACATTAGAATCTCCTATTAACCCTTTGAGAATTCAACTTATTTATACATTACTGAAAGAAAATACAGGTAGGGTGCATTTCTTCTTAGCCTTCTACCCCACCCGCTCACCCACTGGCTTTTGGTTTTGAGGAAGGCAATGCGTACAATACTTCATGTACGCATTAACTTCATGTTGTTACTCACTGAATACTGTGACTTCCATATCTGGTAAAACAAATATTGAGAAGTCCTATAATTTCCAATAAAACAATAAATTAAAAATTCATTATAGCTTTAATAATACTGCCTTTTAAATGTTAAAAATTAATTTTAAAATGTCTTATTTTTAATGAAAAGAACGAACACATAACCGTTTCTCAAAGGGTTTATAGCTCTGGTTATATAAGAAAGATCTTATTTAAAGAAGTAGTACTATATTAGAGGAAATAATTGACATGTAAAAGTTCTAACAGTCAGTTTGCTAAAGCTATTTTAAGGAATTTTTCTGCTTAATAGTTCATTGTTCATATGCATGTCTACGTAATTTCTTACAAAACAAAATATAATTTTGTAATTTAATATGTCAGCGGTACCATTTACAGGGGAGCATGTGCGTGAAAGTTGTCGTGTACTGTGATATAATAGGTTGTAGTAAATTACCTGTTTTTCTTATTCCAAAATTGACCTTTTCTTGAATTCCACATCCTCTTTCTCTGTCCCTTTTTTCTTAATTGGTGCCTACTAGAATGAAATTCTTTCACATCATCTCCAAAGGAACACCATATATTTGGATCATCAGGTGGGATTCATAGAGATTTTCTTACTTTTAATACTTAATAGAACTTCTTAAATATAATACAGTTTTTCAGGCTTCTCAGCTATTTCAGTCACGTTGAATTAATAACATGACTTTTACAAGTGATAGAATATGAAATCTCTGACCAGGTGGATTCAGGAATTCCATAATAAACAGGGAGAAAGGACAGGTGTGGAGGTAAAGAGGGATACAAATGCTGGGTCACCTGAAATTGAGGGCCTAAATTCTCTAGACTTCGTTCTTCTTATCCCATTAAAACACCTACTCCTTGAGGCTTATCTCAGCTTGGAGCTGACCTAATTAAAGGAACAGACACCAAGCTGTGAATTGTCTTGTTGGAAGGCAAGAAGGAGGGTGAATGTAGTGTGCTCTGTATTCCTAAAGGGGAGTTTAAAGGTGGGTGAAGTTGGCTGGATGCAATGGCTCATGCCTGTAATCCCAGCACTTTGGGAGGCTGAGGCAGGCGGCTCACTGGAGGCCAGGAGTTCGAGACGAGGCTGGCCAACATGGAGAAACCCTGCCTCTACTAAAAATACAAAAATGAGCCGGGCGTCACAGTGAACGTCTGTAATCCCAGCAGCTTGGGAGGCTGAGGCATGAGAATTGCTTGAACCCGGGAGGTGGAGGTTGCAGTGAGCCGAGATCATGCACCACTGCACTCCAGCCTGGGCTACAGCGCAAGACTCTGTCTTAAAAATAAAGAAACAGAGAAAGAGAGAGAGGGAGGGAGTAAGGGAGGAAGGAAGATGGGTGAAGTGTGTAGTGGAGGTGATTTGCAGTTGCCTGTCCTTATTCCCTGTTTGCTGTGTACTTCCAATGTTTGGTCTTTGCCAACGTGTGTAGAGCCAGTTTTATAGGAGGCTCACATTCCTAGCATTACCTCAGTGGTGGCACCAGGTGTGCCTGGTTGAGGTGAATGTTCAAAAGTGAAAATGGCAATGGGCCGGGTGTGGTGGCTCCCGCCTGTAATCCCAGCACTTTGGGAGGCTGAGGCAGGTGGATCACCTAAGGTCAGGAATTTGAGACCAGCCCAGCCAACGTGGCGAAACACCGTCTCTACTAAAAATACAAAAACTAGCCGAGCATGGTGGTGTGCACCTGTAATCCCTGCTACTTGGGAGGCTGAGGCAGGAGAATCACTTGAGCCCTGGAGGCAGAGGTTGCAGTGAACCAAGATCACACCACTGCACTCCAGCTTGGGTAACAGAGCGAGACTCTATCTCAAAAAAAAAGAAAGTGGCATTTAACAAGGAGTGACTCAGTTTTTATAAAATGTTCTATTAATATTTAATTTTAATTTGTTGGGAATTTTTTGTTATTAGACATAATTTCTTTCATTGAATACATTTTTTTATATAAATCAAGCTAAAACTTATTCTAGCTTGTTTCAAAATGTCCAAACTTGACTATTTTATCAAATAAAGAGGTTACTGTAGAAAATAAGACAAATGCTTTCATATTTATATTTGCCTGTTTGAAACAAAACAGTAATGTGCTACTTTAAATTAGTTGTATTTAAAGAGGGATTTTGCATTAGGATAACCCTTTGAAAGGTGTTAAATCATTTTCCTTATTTTAATTTTTAAAAGTAACACACTTTTGTTAATATAAAATTTATATATTTTCCACAAAACATTTTCATCAGCATTTTGGCCATTGGAATACTTTAAAAATCAGCATTTCATGTATCCGAATTCCAGATCTTCAATCCAGAGATTGAGGCTATTGAAATTTAACCACAGTGTATATTATGCACTTTGTATATTATGCACTAGAAAAATGCATCTTCCTTCAAAATTCTACACTGCCAGAAAGCTGCTAAGATACATGGGAAATAAAAAACTCCTTTGTATTTAGAGCTGCAAATAGTCCTAAAAAATAGGTTTAAAAAACAATGATATAAACATGAATCTGAAGTTACCCCACATCTCTGAAAATAAACCTTGTGGTTTACTGTAATTTATTACTGACCTCATTGAATCAAAACTTGCAGAGACATAGAACTTCAGAAAATTTTAGAAAAGGACAGGTAAATATATCAAAAACACCACCATATGCTAAGATGCCCTTCCTCAATCACTTTCCCACATCGAGATTGTGTTTTATCCCTTTACCTAAATGACCTAGACCTCGTTGAGGTTCACATTCCCATCTCTCCTCTCAAAGAAAGCTTTGTTGAACCTTTTCTACTGCTCCATGCTTGTGGTCCTACTGGTGACTTCTAAACATCCTAATGTGTTATTGATCTTCTCTATTCTCTCAACATCTCACCAAAGCTTTTCCAGTAATTTATCTGAAGTAAAGCTATTCAATTTTTAAAGTTTGTGATAATGAGAAGAATTACAGAATTGTTTGAATGGTACTTGTGTTTGAAGTAAGAATATTTTGATAGCAAAAATTGGGCCATTTTTAGGTAATAATTAGACAGCATATGAAAACATGGTGGAGACTGCCCAAAAACTCAGATATACTTAAATGTATGTATCCTTAAGGTTTCCTAAAGAAAATCTCTCCTTAGATAATTTTATTAAAAATTTATGATTTAGATAACTTTGAATTTTAATAAAATTTTTCATTCAGCTCAAACATTTCCAGCTTTTAATCTTGTTACTGCCAGTAGCGTAACATTTTAGAGTACCAGGTCCGTTGCTTTTGTAGGGATTATTGGTTCCCTGGATTTATGAATTGATTCATCAGTTTTATGTAACCACAAATTTGAGAGTAAATTATAAAATCTGAAAGAGGAAAAGGCTCTGGTCACATTTTATACTATATATCATAACAAATGAACATGTACTAATCTATTCTCACTCTAACACTTACTCTGCCTCCCCTAATAAATCATCAGAATAACCCAAGACCAGCAACAAAATGTAGTTTTCCTCCTGCCCCTTGTGAGGTATTACAATAATCAAAAGCAAAACTGTAATTTCTTTAAATTCTGTTAATCACTGTCAGTATTCACAAAACACATAGACCCAAAGAGTATTCTCATAGTTACTTCAGAGGTCAACTCATTTCTGATGCTACTGGAATGTTTAATAACAAATAAAAAATAAAATAGCCTTATCTGAAAGTCTGCAGATTTACATATTAAGCAGGCAATCCAAAAATCTTGACTTCTGGTGCCTGTAACTTCAGCAATATAATTTGATTCTCACTGTCACCGTTTATGAGGATGAATCATGTATTAAAGTGGTTTAAAAATAACAATAGATATACTAATTACATGGTAGAATTTTCTTCAGTTTTTTGTTTCATCATTAAGTACACTATTACAGTTTGTTTATGCTTCCATAGCCCAGTTAGTGTATTATTCAAAGTCCACATTTATATAAGACTAGCCCTGGTTTATTTGTCATTTTTGTGAATTTTAAGATAGCATAGGCCCAAAGTAGAACCTGTATACATACAGTAATCCCAACTATATATTTTATGTACCTCATCCATGCTCTATGTAGAGAATGAATAAATGCATAATATATCAGTAACTCATTTTCTTCTCATCCAGCTTAGTTGTTGCTGAATATTGGAGACACTTTTGGTTACAGTTTAAGTGAAACTTGCCAGCTTCATCCTAAAATGCATGTACTGAATGGATTTAACATTTATTAGCTTTTTCCATGTTTATTTTTCTGCCTAACAGAATATAATAGGGATGGAGGGAAGCCATAAGTAAAGTGTTGCCCTTGCTGTGTACTTGCCAGGAGGTTGGAAGTAAATTTCAGATTATCAGCAGTTAAAGTGGGGTCTCCTCCCCTGAAGAATGAAATATCCTGTTGTAGTTCTTTGAAAGTGCCATAGTAGCTGGTGTTTATTTTATGAGGGAAAAAGAAAATTTTGAAAAAAATTTTTTTTCTTAACAGGGCAGATCAAGCATAAGCTGCCCTGCTGAGCAATCATTTTATGATTAGGAGTCCCTAAAAGGTTCCATAGAGCCAACTATAAGTCATTTGTTTGAAACTGGAGTAACAGGTTTCCATAGGAGCTGATTGTAGCCAAACCATTTGATGATATTTGGTTGTAAGATAGAGAAGAAGGAGCACACTGGTTGTTTTGGCTCCTGTACCCTACTGGTTATTAAGGATTTTTCATAGTATCCCTGGTGGTTAGATTCCCAAGCCAGGCCATGAAAGATAGTATTTTACCCTGTGCTATATCTGAAGACCAGACTAACAGTATCACACACCCTAACCACACTGAAGAAAATATCTCTTTTAAAAATGTATTCAGTGGCTGGGCACAGTGGCTCATGCCTGTAATCCCAAAACTTTGGGAGGCCAAGGCAGGTGCATCACCTGAGGGCAGGAGTTCGAGACCAGCCTGGCCAACGTATAGTGAAACCTCGTCTCTACTAAAAACACAAAAATTAGCCAGGCATGGTGGTGGGCACCTGTAATCTCAGCTACTTGGGAGGCTGAGACAGGAGAATCACTTGAATCCGGGAGGTGGAGGCAGAGGTTGTGGTGAGCCAAGATCACGCCACTGCACTACAGCCCGGGCGACAGAGTGAGACTCCGTCTGAAAAAAAAAAAAAATTACTCAGTGTGGCCAGGCACTGTGGCTCACGCCTGTAATCCCAAGACTTTGGGAGGCCAAGGTGGGTGGATCACCTGAGGTCAGGATTCCGAGACCAGCCTGGGACAACATGGTGAAAGCCCATCTCTACTAAAAACACAAAAATTAGCCGGGCCTGGTGGTGTGTGCCTGTAATGCCAGCTACTTGGTAGGCTGAGGAATGAGAATCACTTGAAGCTAGGAAGCAGAGGTTGCAGTGAGCCAAGATCATGCCCTGCACTCCAGCCTGGGTAACAGAGCAAGACTCTATCTCAAAAAAAAAAAAAAAATGTATTCAGTGTGCAAACCTCAGATCTTAGGAACACGTATGCCTTCTTCAGCAGATCTAACATTGGGAGTAGGGACTTGAAGTTTCTCAGTCTTGTCACTTACTAGATCTACGCTAGTTTCTAGTTCTTGGCTCCTGTAGCCTGGACCAGGTCTGGTTGGGTTGAGCAAAAGAATGAAATTAGGCGTTTAGAAACTAGACCAGGAGCTGAAGACAGGAAGCAGTCAAAAACTCTCCATGAGTGAAGAGGTAGCACTTTTTTGATCCAGGCATGAAAGGAGTATTAATAGGAATGGGGAAGTTGGAACGTGTTTCCCTCCATATTCCTCACGTCTATTTTAGCTTTTCCTTCCATTTGTTTCTTACTCTTTTTCTTTCTAACATTCTCTGCTAGTGTTTGAAGAGCAGTTGTGAGGGAACTTAAATGATATTCCCCTTTTCCTTTTCCCTAATAACCTTCCTGCCAGATTTTCAAGTAGGCAATGATAACAGCAGGTGAGATATTAGGAACTGTGACTACGAAGTATGTAGATGGAGATGTGCAGAAGGATCCAGAGACTTAGAGCAATGCTTCACATGCTTTTGGTAAGCATGCTCCCTACTGTGGGTAAACCAAACATGTACCAACCCCCCCAGAATTATGATATTCTACTGCAGTAACCAGCCTCTTCTTTTAACATCAGATAGCTAAAGGACGTTATCCTCAAAGTCATGGAAAAGCAGGAAGTTTTTCATGACAAATCAGTTTGCCATAGTACAGTTAAAAAAAAAAAAATACAGGCCGGGCGCGGTGGCTCACGCCTGTAATCCCAGCACTTTGGGAGGCCGAGGCAGGTGGATCATGAGGTCAGGAGATCGAGACCATCCTGGCTAACAAGGTGAAACCCCGTCTCTACTAAAAATACAAAAAATTAGCCGGGCGCGGTGGCGGGCGCCTGTAGTCCCAGCTACTGGGGAGGCTGAGGCAGGAGAATGGCGTGAACCCGGGAAGCGGAGCTTGCAGTGAGCCGAGATTGCGCCACTGCAGTCCGCAGTCCGGCCTGGGCGACAGAGCGAGGCTCCGTCTCAAAAAAAAAAAAAAAAAAAAAATACAGTGCAAGCATACCTATGTATTCTTTTTTGCATGAAAATGTTTAAGGTTTGCCAGAGTCAATAGCTAAATCCTTCTTTATAATTTACCAGTAAATTATTATTTTTTTTTTTTTTTTGAGAATGAAAAACATTTCATGTTTATTTGGAGATCCAGTAGACTGGGGATAGATTGTCAACAGAGTCAGCACCTATATATGTGTCTTTTTATCAGTACATTTTTTAAAAAACAATTATCAAATTCTGAGGAGGAGGGTAAGAAAATCTTTTTTGGGCTGGGCACAGTGGCTCACGCCTGTAATCCCAGCACTTTGGGAGGCCAAGGTGGGTGGATCACCTGAGGTCAGGAGTTTGAGACAGCCTGGCCAACATGGTGAACCCCATCTCTACTAAAAATACAAAAAATTAGCCGGGCATAGTAGTGCGTACCACCCGCTACTTGGCAGGCTGAGGCAGGAGAATTGCTTGAACCTGGGAGGCAGAGGTTGCAGTGAACCGAGATCGCACCACTGCACTCCAGCCTAGGCAACAGAGGGAGACACCATCTCCAAAAAAAGAAGAGGAGTAGGAGGGACAGAGATAAAACTGAGAAAATCCTTGAGCAGGATATGAAATAATAATAATGGCAGAACTGTAAGACTAAATGGATAATGGAGTAAATTAGAATTTAATATGTGTCTCTTAAATTGGCCTATTTAGTGCTCTTACATTATTATCATGGGTCTGTTCTTAGCAGTAATCTGTCCTATTTTTTTAGCTTTTTTTTTTTTTTTTTTTTTGTAACCTATCTCAGTGCTAACTGGGGAAGATCTCCGTCTCTTGGTGTCCCTGCCTCAGCCTCCCGAGTAGCTGTGATTACAGGCACCCACCACCACGCCTGGTGAATTTTTGTATTTTTAGTAGAGATAGGGTTTCACCATGTTGGCCAGGCTGGTCTCGAACTCCTGCCCTCAGGTGATCCACCCGCCTCAGCCTCCCAAAGTGCTGGGATTACAGGTGTAAGCCACCGCGCCTGGCCCAAAGCTTGTCATCTTTATCCCTCAAGTCCCTCACCAAAAAGCTAAAGCAAAAAAATAAAATAATTTAAAAAAAATGGTTCAGAATATCAGTTGCTATTAACGTTGGTCATGTCACAAGCATTTATTGAATACATCTTCCTTCAGAAGGAACTCACTGGGCTTTGAGAGCCGTCAGCACTCTTGCTTTACTATTTGCTTAGACTAGGAACTTAAGGCTGGCACCTTAAAACCCCCAGCGGAAAAGAGGATAACACATAGAGAAAGTGAGGCCGAGTCTCCTCTACAGGCTATGGCTGGGACAGCCTGACACCAGTCTCTCACAGTCTGGCTGACTGATGAAGAAGAAGAAAAACAAGTGGCAGAATAACTGGAAGGACCTAAGGTATGACAAGCCTCCTTGGCATCCTGCCTGCCTCTCCATCACTGTAAGGATGGAGATTTTCCAAATTTGTGAAAATGGCAGAATTAAGTCAGACAAGTGCCTGGAGTTCTATTATGTTCTCCTAAAATCTTGTCTGCCCAACATCAGCATGTATTAAAGTTAAACTGATGACTTTAAACTGGAATTAAATGTACTTTAAAAACAGTTTCACTGAAAATGGAAAAATCATGAGATTCTGTAGAACTGTCTGAACAGATTTTTTTTAGCTGATTACATGTTGGCATGGTGTTTGCTCAGGAGAACAAAGGCTACCATAACACCTTATGTATATGAGATCCCTCATTACCATTTAGTCAGCAAATCTTGGCAATGCTTCTCCTGAATCTTTAGTCAGCAAATCATTTAGTCAGCAAATCTCTGTAATGCTTCTCCTGAATCTTTGCACGCACATAGCAATATTCCTGGTCTCACATCTAGATTTCGTCACGTATCCCGTTTTATTGTATAATAGTCTTGGATATTCCTCATCTTAATTTCCCTGGCTTTGGATAATAAGTTTGTTAACTGTAAGCCTCCACTCTCACATTTGTAACAGAGTAGTAATGTGAACCTTTAAGGGTTGTTAGGGATTAATTGAGGTAATATCTATAAACTTCTGAACACAGTAAGAGGAGCTTGTAAGCCCTCGGTAAATGGGAAGTCTGTGACTGCTGAAATTGAAATTAGGTCCAGTTGCTCATTTGATCTTCCTAAAGCTCCTGCCACATTATGTCTTTTAGCCAACTCAGGAAATGTCACAGACTCCTTTTGCCTTACAAAAAAAAGTCTCTTTTTGTCATTTAAGCCTTCAGTCTTCCACCACCACGCCACAACTTGTGAAATAATTCCTCCCCCATAAACCCGTTTCTCCAGCCAGTGACTCACCATTTCTCAGATACTTCCAAAGCACTCCGTTCTCTGCATGGTGTACCTGTGTAGTGCCTGTTCAACCTTACTGTGTAAGTATCACTTTACAGTTCACAAAGCACCATCCTATACAACATCCCACTTGTTTCACATACACAGGCTCTGCAGCATATGGACCAATTAACCTTTATCCCCATTAAATCAGATTCCATGACTTGCCCAAAATCATAAGCTAGAGTGAAAACCTTGTATTAATGGATTTTCTTTCATCTTTTAAAAATTCTATTTTAACTTCTTTCAAAGTTAATGGATCATTCTGTTCTTAGAGTTTGGCTGCAGTCTTTGTTACCTGAGGAATATCAGCTTCTAGCTATGGCTCTAACAAGACAGCAAAGTGAAAACAAAATGTCCCTACCTATTCTAAAATGCATAATAGTTATACAATTCTATTTTTATTTACAAAATATTATAAATACTATTTTACAGTTACAAAATTATAAAAGTAGCTCATTATACCAGGCTTTGCTTCTGTCTTAATTTTACAGTAGGTTTTGCCTCTGTCTTAATTTTATGTACATTTTTCAGCAAGTTTATTCATTCTGCAAAGATTTATGGAACTCAGGATGCAAAGATAAGCCATGATGCTAATGCCCACAATGTAGAATTCTTGTTCAAAACTTGGAAGGAAATGAGGTTGAGTATAAATGCCAAAAACATTTCTAAAATTGACCTAAAGGTGTCATTATGTTGTTGAAACATAAGCTGATAAATCTTTGAATTAATGGTAGGAATTCAGCTACTCAGTGCCATTTGTAACTTTGTAAGAACACAGTTAACCATTGATAAAATCCAGATCCTTCTATCTAGAAGTTATTTTAATTTTGATTTAAAATTTGGACGGGTGCGGTGGCTCACACCTGTAATCCTAGCACTTTGGGAGGCCGAGGTGGGCGGATCACCTGAGGTTGGGAGTTCAAGACCAGCCTGACCAACATGGAGAAACCCCATCTCTACTAAAAAAAAAAAAAAAAAAAAATACAAAATTAGCCTGGTGTGGTGGCACATACCTGTAATCCCAGCTACTCAGGATCCTGAGGCAGGAGAATCTCTTTTACCCAGGAGGCGGAGGTCATGGTGAGCCGAGATCGCGCCATTGCATTCCAGCCTGGGCAACAAGAGCGAAACTCCGTCTCAAAAATAAAATAAAATTCAAGTATATTTTAGAATAGATTTATCCATGGCAAGAACAAGTACCTTTTTGACTAACAGAGATGTAAGATTTTCACTTCAGGAATGTTTTTTCACTTAAAAATGGTAGATTTTAGTGTATCCTTAAAATATTTGCAAAGAAGAAAATGTGACAATTTCAAACCTTATGTTCACAGTAAAAGATTTTTTTTAATTCATCTTGAGTTCTTTTAATATTTCCTGTTTCCTGTGGATGCCAGGGATAAACATAGTAGTAGCCTTGCTTGAAATTAAAGGAACAGGGATTAGGAAAAGGCCATTAAACAAGGAAAATACATTAAGCTACTGAAGTAAAAAAAAAATCAGATCTGTAAAACTTATCCCTAGCCAAATGTAAGTAAATTATTTGGAATGGCACTAGCCCAGGCCTTCAAAGTTTGCTTTCAAATATACCACAAGGACATAATCTATCTTCCTTGAAGAAAAGGGGAAATATTATAAAGTCTAGCTATATCTTTAAAAATATTGTTGATTCTTATGACTATATAACAATAGTAATGTTTGCAGGTTTTACTTACAGGAAAAAACGTATGATAATTTATTCAAATTACTTTAAAACTTCTGAAGTAATCTCAATAACCCCTTCAGTTATAAAGAGACTTATTTACATTCTTCTGTTACTGAAGTCACTTCACATTTCCCTGCTTCCTGTTGAAGAGTGGTTTCAATAGGTAGCATACCCTTCAATCTCAGGTTCTTGGACTTTCAGGTGTGCCTAGAGAGAGTGGAAGGCAAATTTACATTGTTATTATCTAAATGACCTATTTATAAAGACCCCTGCATTCCCTAAAGCCTCACCCTGGGCACATCAAATTCTTTAGCTTTTTAGTTTTGCTGCACATCTTAAGAGCTTATTGATGTAGACACAGAAGGACATTCTTGAGAAAATGGAGTATTCTGTGATTACGCTATGGAGTTTTTTGCTTTTGTTAAGACAGATTCCCAACTGAAAAAATCTTTTCCGAAGAAGTCATTAAGAACTCAGGAAAAAGTCCCTTTTTCTCTTAAATGGAAAATGACAGCAAGAGATGGGTCTTCTTCTTAGTTAACAGTGAAGGACAGAAGCTCTGCTCTGTATCCACCCACACTGTTCAAGAAAAAGGAACTATTGGCACAGAATTCAGACTCAAGTAAACTAAGTTACAAGACAGCTTGAGCAAAGGTTTCCCCTCCTGCAAATGACTTGCAGATCATGGGGAAAATCATACTTGCTTTACTGGTCCTCTGTCGCCGAGGCTGGAGTGCAGTGGCATGATTTTGGCTCACTGCAACCTCTACCTCCCAGGTTCAAGTGATTCTCCTGACTCAGCCACCTGAGTAGCTAGGATTACAGGCGCCCACCACCACACCCAGCTAATTTTGGTATTTTTTATTAGAGATGGGGTTTCACCATGTTAGCCAGGCTGGTCTTGAACTCCTGACCTCAAGTGGTCCTCCCACCTTGGCCTCCCAAAGTGCTGCCGTTACAGATGTGAGCCACCACCCCCAGCCTACTGGTGTAGAATTTTTAGACCTGGTATCTAATATGATAGCCACTAGCAACATGTGGCTATTTAAATTTGTAGTTACATATATATATAAGTAAAAACATGTCCTCAGTCATGCTAGCCCCATTTCAAGTAGTCAATATTGAACTACACAGATGTGGAACATTTCCATCATCACAGAAAGTTCTGTTGGACAGCACTGTTCTGTATGAAATTTTTTTTTTTTTTTTTTTTTTTTTTTTTTTTTGAGATGGAGTCCTGCTCTGTTGCCCGGACTGGAGTGCAGCAGCGCCATCTCGGCTCACTGCAACCTCCATTTCCCGGGTTCAACTGATTCTCCTGTCTCAGCCTCCTGAGTGAGTGAGACTACAGGCGCACACCACCGCACCCAGCTAATTTTTGCATTTTTAGTAGAGACGGGGTTTCACCATGTTGGCCAGGCTGGTCTCGAACTCCTGAACTCAGGTGATCCACCCACCTCAGCCTCCCAGAGTGAGTCACCGCATCCAGCCTCTAGATTATTATATAAACTTTTAAGAGAGCAATTAAGCCACTGCTTAATCACTTGTTATTTTTAAAGGGAGTATGGAGAATTAATTTTTTCTAAGGATGAATTATATGAATGACCATCTTGGCTCTGCTCACTACTCATCTCTTTTCCCCCTCCCCAAATGATTCAGGAGCATTTTACCTCATGAGTTAGAATATCCTATTTTTTCTGAGTTCAGAGCTGGTCCAATTTCTCCAGAGATAGATTTGAAACAGACATTTAAAAGCTACTAAAGTAGCTGGCACAGTGGCGCAAGGCTATATAGTCCCAGCTACCAGGTAGACTGAGGCAGAAAGATCACTTGAGTCCAGGAGTTGTGGGCTTTTGTGCACTATGCCGATCAGGTGTCCACACTAAGTTCAGCATCAATATGGCAACCTCCTGGGAACGGAGGACCACTGGGCTGCCTAAGGAGGGGTGAGCCAGCCCAGTAGGAAATGCAGCAGGTCAAGACTTCTGTGCTGATCAGTAGTGGGATCACATCTGTGAATAAGCACTGCACTCAAGCCTGGGCAACATAGTGAGACCCCGTTGTTTTTGTTTTTGTTTTTTTAAGATATCCTTTCTTTGAGCTTTTTTTTTTTTTTTTTTTTTCTTGAGACATGATCTGGCTTTGTCACCCAGGAGTGCAGTGGCAATCATGGCTCACTGCAGCCTCAACCCCCTAGGCTGAAGTGATCCTTCTGCCTCAGCCTCTCAAGTAACTGGGACCACAGGCCTGCACCACCATGCCCAGCTAATTTTTTGTAGAGGGGGGGGTTTCACCATGTTGCCCATGCTGGTCTTGAACTCCTGGCCTCAAGTGATCCACCTGCCTTGGCCTCCCAAAGTGCTGGTACTATAGGCGTGAGCCACCGCGCATGGCCGAGACCCCATCTCTTAAGAAAAAGAGTAACTGGCCAGGCACGGTGGCTCACGCCTGTAATCCCAACACTTTGGGAATCCTGAGGTCAGGCGTTCAAGACCAGCCTGGCCAACATGGTGAAACCCGGTCTCTACTAAAAACTCAAAAATTAGCCGGGCGTAGTAGTGGGCACCTGTAATCCCAGCTACTCACGAGGCTGAGGCAAGAGAATCGATTGAACCAGGGAGGTGGAGGTTGCAGTGAGCTGAGATTGCGCCATTGCACATCAGCTTTTAAAAGGCAGTTAAAATCTCTTAATGCTATATCTTAGACAACAAGAAAATATTTTAATCTAGATCCAATATTTGTGTTTACTTAGTTTGAAGTTTTTTATCTTTGATAGTTGTGCAATTACCTTGATCAGTATCTGATATCAACTCATCTGGACCTTGAAAAATTCTTTGGCAGTCATGTTTACTTGAATTGATGCCAGGATAGGACCATGGTTCACAAGCCTGACTTCTCAGAACTGACAGTAAATCTTCAGAAAGACAAAAACAAAGTACAATACTCAAGGCTGTCTTTCCCCCAGTCCCCAATAAGAATTGCCAGGGCCCAGACCTGTAAAGGTTTTAAATCTCCACAGGTAGTTTTATGGGGGCCGGGGGGCTTTTTTTTTTTTCTTTTGCCAGATATGAGAACTACACCAAAGAAAGAAGAAAAGTCAGCTGGATGTGATGCCTCATGCCTGTAATCCTACCACTTTGGGAGGCCAACACGGGTGGATCTCTTGAGCCCAGGAGTTCGAGACTAGCCTGGCCAACATGGCGAAACCCCTTCTCTCTTTCTTTTTTTAAAATTTTTTAGTTAGAAATGAAAAAAAGAAAGAAGTCTAGGTTTTCTGAAACAAGCACTGTCTTGGTGCTACCTTTTTTCATGTGTGGACACATAGAAAGCGAGGATATTTGTACAGCACCTTGAAACAAATAAGCAGGAGGTGATGTCATGAGCCTTAGCCCTGCAGGGACCAGACTAGGCCTTCTGAAGCTGAGGTGGTCCTTGTCCCCACACCTTGTAACCCATTTCCAGCCCATGGGTGTCAGTTGGGAAATTCTACACAAGATCCTAGTAGATGTAATTACATATAATTCAGTGGTTTTTGATGATGGGGTTTTAAAATCAAGTTATTCAATAGGTGGGGTGCAGTGGCTCACGCCTGTAATTCCAGCACTTTGGGAGGCCGAGGAGGGCAGATCACAAGGTCGGGAGTTCAAGACCAGCCTGACCAACATGGTAAAACTCCGTCTCTACTAAAAATACAAAAATTAGCCTGACAGGGTGATGAGCGCCTGTAATCCCAGCTACTCAGGAGGCTGAGGCAGGAGAATCACTTGAACCTGGGAGGCAGAGGTTGCAGTGAGCCAAGATGGCACTGCTGCACTCCAGCCTGGGTGACAGCGAGACTGTGTCTCAAAAAAAAAAAAAAAAGACCCAGCACGGATGGCTTGAGGCCTGTAATTCCAGCACTTTGGGAGGCCAAGGCGGACGAATCACCTGAGATCAGGAGTTTGAGACCAGCCTGACTACCGTGGAGAAACCCCGTCTCTACTAAAAATACAAAAAATTAACTGGGCATTGTGGCACATGCCTGTAATCCCAGCTGCTCGGGAGTCTGAGACAGGAGAATCGCTTCAACCTGGGAGTCGGAGGTTGCAGTGAGCCAAGATTGCGCCATTGCCCTCCAGCCTGGGGCAACAACAGCAAAACTCCATCTCAAAAAAAAAAAAAAAAAAAAAAACAACTATGAAGACTGGGCGCGGTGGCTCTACTAAAAATACAAAAAATTGGCTGGACTTGGTGGCGCACGCCTGTAATCCCAGCTACTCGGGAGGCTGAAGCAGGAGAATCGCTTGAACCCAGGAGGCAGAGGTTGCAGTGAGCTGAGATCGCCCCATTGTACTCCAGCCCAGGCGACAATCCGATACTCCGTCTAAAAAAAAAACAAGTTATTCGTATTTGCCAAACAGACCTCAAAACTGCTGAAGAGGCCAGGATTAAGTATCAGATTTTCTAGATAGTTTTTCTAAACATTTGGACTTAGAAATTTCAAGTAAAAATGTGTTTTGTTGTGAACAGAAATTCACCGGCATTATTACCTAAGTGTATTTCCGAGATGTTGCCACGTATGTTTTCTTATTTACAGCTAGAGTTAATTATGAAAATTGTGGGGTTGGAGGCGAGGTGGGGGTGGCCGTTTGTTTTCTCGTGCTCTCCAACTAGCGTGCTCTCTTCCCCTCCCCCGCGGCGTGCAGTGGGGTAGAGAAAAGGTGGCGACGGCGACTGGAGCAGCAGAGGCTGTAGCATCGGATACCCACCTCCCACGAACCGGTTCCTCTTCCCCCTCCTTGCTGTGTGTTTGATGTGTTGAAGCAGGAGGGAGAACGCCGCGAGCAGCGCCGTGAGCAACACTACCATCGTCCCCAGCACTGCGGATCCGGGCCCTAGCGGCGGGCCCAGTAGCGGAGGTGGTGGCGGCGGTGGAGGCGGCGGCATCGAGGTAATAGGTGACTGATCTCCCCGGGCGCTAGCTCTGAGCAGATGCGGACTCTCTTCGGTTTCCTAGGCAAGATCGACGAACCACACCTCTTCCCGCCGGATAATTCACCTTTGCCAATCGCAATCTCGTTAAATTCCATGATCCAGACTCAGCAGTTGTCGCACCATGTCTGACAAACACTGTATTCCTTGACAGAGCTTTGATAACGTACCATATGCAGAAGGAGTTATTCCTGATAAGGCTAAGGCTTGTCTCTGTTGGCACCAGCTAATGCAATGGCAGGTCTTCTGCTTGGTGTTGGGCTCCTGCCTACTCCTAACCCACTTACTCAGACTGGCGCTGTTCCACCGGCTGCTTTGGGGGCTCCTACTCTTGTTCCTGCCCTTGCTGCGCTTGGGCTTCCTGGAGCAAACTTGAACTCAATCTGTTGCCACAGATAGTTGCTGAAGCTTATGAGCACTGTTGGTCCCAAGTTGAAGCATGTAGCTGCTGGTCTTGTTTCACCAAGTCTGAAATCGGATACCTCTAGTAAAGAAATAGAGAAAGGGGCCCCACATGGTGGCTCAGGCCAGTAATCCCAGAGCTTTGGGAGGCTGAGGAGGGTGGATCACTTGAGGTCAGGAGTTCGAGACCAACCTGACCAACATGGTGAAACCTTGTCTCTACTAAAAATTCAAAATTAGCCGGGCATGGTGGCGCATGCCTGTAATCCCAAATACTTAGGAGGCTGAGGCAGGAGAATCGCCTGAATCCTGGAGGCGGAGGTTGCAGTGAGCCGAGATTGTGCCATTGCACTCCAGCCTGGGCAACGAGCACAAAACTCTTGGCTCAAAAAAAAATAGAGGAAGCTATGAAAAGAGTACAAGAAGCACACTGCCTAATTTCGGCTGCTATAGAACCAGAGAAAGAAAAAAGAAGGCATTCAAGATCACATTCTAGGAGGAGGAGGACTCTCATCTTCTAGACACAGTCAAGGAGCAGATCAAGAGAGTGATTACATTGTCAGTCTAGGAGTCGTTGATGATTCAAAAGCCCAAGACAGAGAAGATCTCATTCCAGAGAGAGAGGCAGAAGGTCAAGGAGCACATCAAAAACGAGAGACAGAAAGAAAGAAGACAAAAGAAACATTCAAAAACACCCCCAGAAAGTTACAGCACGGCTAGACATTATAGAAGTACAAACAGAGAGACAACAACGAAGAAGCAGGAGTGGAACAAGATCTCCTAAAAAGTCTCGGTGTCCTAAAAGAAAATTGTCTCTCTCACCATCCCCTGGGAAACATAAAAAGAAGAAGAAAGATAAAGAGAGAAATAGGTATGAAAGAGAACGATCAACAAGCAAGAAGAAGAGTAAAGATAGGGAAAAGGACCAGGAAAGAAAATCAGAGAGTGATACAGATGTAAAAGTTACACGGGTTTATGATGAAGAGGAACAAGGGTATGACAGTGAGAGAGAGGAAAAAAAGAGAAGAAAGCAATAGAAGCAGATTCCCCTAAAACAAAGAAACGTTCTGTGGAAAAGGGAACTGGTGATTCACTAGGAGAACCCATAGTGAATGGGAATGATCATCATGAAGAAGACATGGATATGAGTGACTGAATATTGCCTCTATGGGAATCCAGCTGTATACATGCATCAGTGTCATTGCTTTGTGTGATTTCTGAATGTTGTATTTGTTCATCTCAACCCTAGATGTATATAGCTCTGAGTTATTAATGGTTATAAAGCTCTTGTTATTGATATTACCTATTTACATCAAAAAGCTTTTAGAAAATGGTATGATGTAAGCAATTCTTGTCATGGTGAAATCTGATGGTGTAACCCGTTTTACTATTGGCGCTGCTTCATAACAAAAATGAAAAGCTATATACATCTACAGCCAGAATGGATTGTTTATGTCATATAATTTCCTTTACTAAGTTCACTTACATTACTTACAGAGTTTTATTCATTGCCATAATAGAGCCATGTAGGAAATGCACTGACTGCATGTTATTGTGGCAAGAATATCCTAAATGTCATTAAAATCCTCCAACATGATGGATCTCCTTATGGTCTTGTTTGTTGACATGCCAAATTAACATAGTTCCATCTGGAAATGAGCATTTGAAATGATAATCCGGCTGGGCACAGTGGCTCACCCCTGTAATTTTAGCACTTTGGGAGGCCGAAGGGGGGCAGATCACCTGAGGTAAGGAGTTCCAGACCAGCCTGGCTAACATGGCGAAACCTTGTCTCTACTAAAACACAAACGCACACACACACAAAATTAGCCAGGCATGGTGGTGCATGCCTGTAATCCCAGCTACTCCAGATTCTGAGGCAGGAGAATCACTTGAACCCAGGAGGCAGAGTTTGCAGTGAGCCGAGATTGCGCTACTGCACTCTAGCCTAGGCGACAGAGCAAGACTCCATCTCAAAAAAAAAGAAAAAAAGAGAAAAGAAATAGATAATTTTTTAAGCCTTGTAGCAAAATTTTTGTGATTTTGGTTTAACTTTGGACGGTTATTATGCACTAACCTTTTTTGATGGCTAATTAGGGTTTAATTACAGAAACAAGGTTTCAAGTAAAACTGTCTTTGGCAGTGAACAAATAGTATATTTTGAAGTAGAGTTGTATAGTTTTTCATAAGATGTTTGGGAATTTTTTTTCCTGAAATAATTTATTCCACATCTACATCAGTGAAAGCTGTCTACCTATCCTGAGTCCATCTTAAAGAAAAAAAAAACTCATCTCTTGCCCTTATTTTGAATTTTCCACTCTTTCATTAATTTATTTGTTTTAAACTCTGTTGGAAATTGACCTTCATATGCTTTTAAAATAAGACAAATCTGGGTGTAGTGGCTCACACCTGTAATCCCAACACTTTGGGAGGCCGAGGCGGGCGGATCCCCTGAGGTCAGGTGATCGAGATCAGCCTGGCCAACATGGTGAAACCCCGTCTTTACTAAAAATAGAAAAATTACTGGTAGGCGCCTGTAATCCCAGCTACTCGGGAGTCTGAGGCAGGAGAACACTTGAACCCGGGAGGTGGAGGTTGCAGTGAGCCTAGATCGTGCCACTGCACTCCAGCCTGGGCGACAGAGTGAGACTCTGTCTCAAAAAAAAAAATAATAAAATCTCAAGTTGTATAAAACCGATACATTTGTGTTACTGCAGTAGTATTCTTAGGCACACAGTGATTTCATGTTATATATGCAAAGTAGTTAGGCAACTGCTTTCTTTGTTACAGACATTTCAAGCTCCACTATGTGCAGTAAAAACAAAAGTAGGCTACAGTCTGTGCCATGTTGATGTACAATTTCGAAATTATTTTACAAGACTTTGATAATAAAACCCTTTAACTTAAAAAGAAAAGAAAATTGTGTAATGCCTGAATCATACATTTTCATTCCTATTATTATGAAATAATCTGCCTTTTATAATAGCTTTATAATTTAGCAATTAAATGTAAATCTGTATTACCTGTTACTTCAAAGAAGGAATTAAAGTAAGAAGCAAAGCATTTAACTCATTTCAAGTGAATCCTTAAACATCCTACGTGTACTATTTAGTCTTTCCTCTGATTCCTTACACAATATGTAGACTGTTAACACCACTCTTAAAATGGTTTCTTGGATTCTTATATTCAAACCAGAAGTGAATTATATGTATTCTTTATTTATTTATGTATTTATTTTAAGAACTTGAAGGCCAGGCTCATGCCTGTAATCCCAGCACTTTGGGAGGCCGAGGCAGGTGAATCATCTTAGGTCAGGAGTTAGAGACCAGCCTGACCAACATGGTGAAACCCCGTCTCTATTAAAAATACAAAAATTAGCTGAGTGTGGTGGTGGGCACCTGTAATCCCAGCTACTCAGAAGGCTGAGGCAGGAAAATTGCTTGAACTCGGGAGGCAGAGGTTGAAGTGAGCCAAAATGGTGCCATTGCACTCCAGCCTGTGTGACAGAGCGAGACTCCCTCTCAAAAAAAAAAAAAAAAAAGAATGCAGGCTAGGCACAGTAGCTCTCGCCTATAATCCCAGCACTTTGGGAAGCCAAGGCGGGCGGATTGCTTTGAGCTCAGAACTTCAAGACCAGCCTGGGAAACATGGCAAAACCCCATCTCCACAAAAATTAGCTGGGCGTGGTTTTTTGTTTTTTTGTTTTTTTGGTTTCCCAGTGCCTGTAAAAGTAATGATTATACTGTATTCTGTTAAATGTGCAATAGCATTATGTCTAAGAAAAAAAATCCTGTATTGCTAAAAAACACTAATGATCATCTGAGCCTTCAGCAAGTCCTAATCTTTTTGCTAGTGGAAGGTCTTGCCTTGATGTTGATGCTTGCTAACTGATCAGGGTGGTGGTTGCTGAAGGTTGGGATAGCTGTGGCAGTTCCTTAAAATAAGACAACAGTGAAGTTTGTTACATCAATTGACTCTTCTTTTCACGAAAACATTTCTCTGTAGCATGCAGTGGTGTTTGAGAACATATTGCCCGTCGTAGAACCTCTTTCAGAATTGGAGTGGGGTCGGGCATGGTGTCTCATGCCTGTCACTTTGGAAGGATAAGGTGGGAGGCTTGCATGAGGCCAGGAGTTTGAGACCAGCCTTGGCAACATACCAAGACCCTGTCTCTGCAAAAAAAAAAAAAAAAATTTTTAATCAGCCAGGATTAAAAATGTACTTGCCTATAGTCCCAGCTACTTGGGAGGCTGAAGCGGCAGGATCGCTTGAGCCCAGGAGAGGAGGTCAAGGCTGCAGTGAGCTGTGATTACTCCACTGCACTCCAGTCTGGGCAACAGAGCAAAACTCTGTCTCGAAAAATTAAAAAAAAAAAAAAAAGTAAAATTGAACTGAATCCTCTCAAACTCTGCTGCTGCTTTATCAACCAAGTTTATATATTCTAAATGCTTTGTTGTCAACAATGTTCACAGTACCTTCACCAGGAGTAGATTTTATCTCAAGAAACTACTTTCTTTGCTCATCCATAAGATGCAGTTCCTCATCCACTCAAGTTTTAGTATGAGATTGAAGCAATTCGCTCACATCTTCAGGCTTCACTTCTGATTCTTTTTATTTCCACCACATCTGCAGTTCCTTCCTCCACTGAAGTTCTAAACCCCTCAACCTCATTCATGAGAGTTGGAACCAGTGTTTTCAAACTTCTGTTAATGTTGCTATTTTGACCTCCTCTCTTAAATCACAAATATCTAGTATCCAGAATGGTGAATTCTTTCCAGAAGTTTCTTCTTTAATTCACCCATATCCATCAGAAGAATCACTATCTGTAGCAGCTAGAGCCTTATGAAATGCATTTCCTAAATAATAGTAATTGAAAGTTGAAATGACTCCTTGATCCATGGGCTGCAGAATGGATGTTATGTTAACAGTCGTGAAAACCACATTCATCCACTTACATGTTTCCATCAGAGCTCTTGGGTAACTAGGTTCATTGTCAGTGGGCACTCATATTTTGAAAGGAATCTTTCTTTCTGAGCATTAGTTCTCAACAGTGGATTTAAGATATTCAGTAAACCATGCTGTAAACAGATGTGCTATCATCCAGGCTTTGTTCCTTTTTTGGAGCATAAGCAAAGTAGATTTAACATCAGGATTTTCACAATAGTAAATGAGCATCAGCTTCAGCTTGAATTACCAGCTGCATTATCCCCAAACAAGAGTGTCATCCTATTTGAAGCTTTGGAGCCAGGCATTGA
Source organism: Homo sapiens (assembly GCF_000001405.40). NCBI lineage: Eukaryota > Metazoa > Chordata > Mammalia > Primates > Hominidae > Homo > Homo sapiens. The sequence continues at coordinate 19,312,342 of NC_000012.12, forward strand.
CTTTCCCTCTCTAGCTATGAAAGTCCTAGGTGGCATCTGATTCCCATACAAGGCTATTTCGTCTACATTGAAAATCTATCATTGAATTCAGCCACCTTCTTCAGTTATCTTAGCTAGATCTTCTGAATAACTTGCTGCAGCTTCTCCATCAGCACCTGCTGCTTCACCTTGCACTTACATGTTATGGAGATGGCTTCTTTCCATAAACCTCATGAACCAAACTGCCAGCTTCCAAGTTTCCTTCTGCAGCTTCCTCATCTCTCTCAACCTTCATAGGATTGAAGAGAGTTAGGGCCTTGCTCTGGAATAGGCTTTGGCTTAAGGGAATGTTGTGACTGTTTGATCTTCTCTTCAGACCACTAAAACTTTCTCCCTATTAGCAGCAAGGCTGTTTTGCTTTCTTATCATTTGTATGTTGACTGGAGTAGCACTTATAATTTCTTTCAACAACTTGTTTCTTTGCCTTCTCAACTTGGGTAAATGTTTACCACAAGAGGTCTAGTTTTCGGCCTGTCTCAGCTTTTCCACATGCCTTCCTCACTAACCTTAATCATTTCTAGCTTTTGATTTAAAGTGATAAGCATGCAAGTCTTCCTTTCACTTGCACTGTTAGAAGCCATTGTAGGGTTATTAATTGGCCTGATTTCAATATTGTTGTGTCTCGAGGAATAGGCAGGCCCAAGGAAAGGAAGAGAGATGGGATAACGGCTGGTCAGTGAAACAGAACACACAACCTTTATCGATTTCATCATCTCTTATGAGCGAGGTTCCTGGCTCCCCCAAAACAATTATAAAGGATGAGCCAGGAGGATTGCTTGAGCCCAGGAGTTCAAGACCAGCCTGGGCAACATAATGAGGCCCCTGTCTCTACAAAAAATAAAAAATTAGCTGGGCATGGTGGCATGTGCCTGTAGTCCTAGCTATGCGAGAGGCTGATGTGGGAGGATCGCCTAAGCCTAGGAGTTTGAGGCTGCAGTGAGCCATGATAGGGCCACTGCATTCCAATCTGGGCAACAGATCACCGTAACACTTAAGAATTTTTTGTTTAACTGATGTGTTGTTCCAAATACCTTTACATGTAATTATTAAGTTTGACAAAATTAATTTATTAATTAATCAGGTTGGTGGTAAAGTAACATGAGGGAACTACCTGGGTAGATGGAAACATTCTGTATGTTTTGATTGTTACATATGTGAATACTTTTGTCAAAAGTCGTTGATGTATAACTAAAATTTGTCAATTTATTCTTCAGTGAAGTTTTTTTTTTAATATCCTCACTTCCAAAAAGCAGTTGTAGGCACAGAGATTTAAAAATAAATGGTCTAGTCTGAATGAAATTTTTAATTGGGATATTGTTAAAAGACAAACATGTGTTTCATTATCACTTAACTGACTAAAAAGTAGATTAAACCAGTCACAGGAGGTTTCTAATTTGATAACTAAACAAATTTTATTGGCAATTAGACTGAAAATATAATTGTCTAGAAAAAGAGTTTTAAGATTTAGTTTTTTCTTACATTATATTAATAAATTTATTAATTTTGAGATTAATGAACTTTTGTTGTAGACTTAGCTGAACCAGTAAAGTAGCATTTGTCAACCACGATAGAAATGCTTATTTTCTGTATATGAAAGATGAAAATTAAGCGTTACAAATTACCATTATAAACAGACCTGTCGACTTACAAATGGTAAAGCTTTCTTGGCCTTTTACTATATACATCATGATGGTCTTTTGAGTGCTTTAACTCAAGTACAGAGCCTGCTAAAACAAATATTTTTCTAGAGGCAGTAATTAAGTACAACATAGCTGGAAATGTTAAGCTTGGTTTCAGACTACCTTTTTAGAAGCTAAGGAGACATACCAAGTCTTTGCTGAATAAGTCTTAGTTTGCATATCCTTGAGTAATTCTACATGTGGTATTATACTGTGAGAAAATCCAAAATAGAGTCTCTATAAATGTCAAGATTACCTTTAATAAAATATGTGATTAAGTGACACATTCAGTATATTATATTTTAATACTTGTAGAGAACTAATTTTTTATAACCTTACACAGAACTGAATATCATTTTCAGCTTTATTACTGAATTCATAATCAAATTGTACCATTTTTCTCCTGATTGTGTAGGTTCTCACCCTTTAGTTTACCCTTTGAATTATGATTTATCATCTATTTTATTATATGTAGAAATATTCATTAATTGACTATATCATGATTATATGTATGAAGTAAAACTAGTTGTGACAGTGTTGCAATTAGTAGTTTTTTCTTGGAAGTATTTCACAGCGTTTAATACTTGTTTGAAATGGTTTATATGAATTAAATCTGTACAACCATGGGGTAAAATGTAAACAACTGCACTATTAGGAAGATATTAAAGTAGAGGCTATATTTACAGTGTCGTCTTTCAAATCTAGCTATGCTGTAAACTGATGTTTGCTGTATGCTCCTCCTGATTTGAAATAGATGAAAGAAAATGAACCTATTATCACCATGGTTCACACAATGATTGAGAACTCGGCGCTAAGACCCCAACTGTACCAGCAAGTAAGGTCTTGGACAGTGAATGATACTGCTTTATCATCTGCAAAATCCCTCAGTGACAGTTTTGATTTATTCTCAGATTTACTCATGACATCAGTGTTTTTCTTATTTTATTTTTTGTTTATGTTTATTTGGAAAACCACAATTCATCCATGCTTTTCAAGATGCTGCAGTATTCTTAGCATGGCTTCGCTGAACATTTTGCTGTTGAATATTAAATGTGCCATTTTCCTAAAGTTTTTGTGCAGAGTATTTGATTGATATGTACTTGGAGGTCTGCAGTACATTTGCAAAATTACTAGATTTTCATATGGTTTTATTAACTTTAAAAGCATTATACCTATTTTTTAGGGAAAAGGCTTTGTAAAAATATTTACTTTCAGGGGTTGCCCTCCACAACTTCCCCCAACCTAGTGTTTTAAGAATACATTATATTTGTATGGGCGTTATTTAAATCTAGTTTCTGTACTATGGTATGGTAAAACTTAAAGATAGCCACTTTTTAACATACTGGGGGTATTTTGTCGCTGTATTCTTACCATTCTCAAGCAGTCGTCAAGACTATCATAAGTTACCCTATTGTTTTTCCTTATTCAAAATGTGTGTCATGGAGTTGGCTGGCTTTAACTTAGGAACCTTAGTAATCTGCAGATCTGCAAAAGAAGTCATATGTTTCTATCAAATTTTTGTGTATCTCATGGTCTAAATGTTTCTAGCTATGTGTTTCTCAACATCAGCTTCTTTCACTTCAACACCCTCAAATTACTCTGGCGTATGACCTTTACAATCTTTAAAAATCATGCAGAAGAAGAAAATTAACTAACATGAAAAATGAATATATATTTTGATTTAAATATATAAGGCACCTAGTAAAAAGAACGACTTTGAGCTCATGCTGGCTTTTAAGGCCTCTATTTGGTTCAGTTGCCATGGGATCTGCATCACAGGGCCATGTAACTGAGGAATGGATACAATTGATCAGAGGGTGACTTATATTTCAGCACAGTTTTCAAAATATTTAAAGTATATTATTAGATGACTGAAAATAGTCTCAAATTTGCAATAAAGAGATTAACAAACTATTAAATATTTAAAGTTAAACAGCTTTACTTATCAAAAGAAAATGGAATCTTTCAATTCTTAAAGTCACCAGATTATAGACCTTGGTACTCTATTCCAAAGTACCACACCGAGAGTATTTGGAATAAGTATTATTCCGAATAAGTATTATTCCAAAACTGATACCTTCTGCAGTGTCTGAAGCTGTCAGTAAAATATATCATCTATAAGATGCTAAATTGACATGAGATCAAAGGGATTTTGTTGTAATAGGTTATGTTTTTATCACATTTTGCATATTTTAGATGAGAATGGTAGCCTGGATTTCAAATCTGTTTGGTTTGGTTGGGTTTTTTTTTATAATGCTCAACATTCATGGTTCAGGATGCGGAAGTCTGATAGTTTAAATTATTTGGTTGCATTAAAAGTTCTAATTGGGGTTTTCCCAAAGTGTGGAGATCTGAAATGGGAAGGGCTGAGGGGGGGGAAAGTGAAGATGTCTGAGACTGGCACATTATAGCATCACTGACCTTGAATACCGAAAGAGCAATAGATTTGTATAAATATTTCTTTATATTAATATGTGAAAGAAAACTAAAATTGTATAGAACAGAAAGATCTGAATGTCTAATGTCAGCAGCCTTGCCTGGGCATGGCTGAGTCACCAGTTACCAGGAAATCAGTGTTAACTCTCAGTGCTGTTAAGGCTAGGGAGTCTTCAGACTGTCTTATTTTTATTCAGCCACTAGTAAAGGACTTAATTATTAAGCAGGGCATCCTTAATAGATTAAAGTGACAGCCCGACACATTTTTTAAACTGTGTTTATAAATTTGCACAAACTGAAATTATATTTTATTTTTCTCCAGGTTTCCCTCATCATGTTATTATCCAGGGAAAATGTACTGCTACAGTTTGCTTTTCTGAAGTTGAATGACAGTGTTTTATTAATAAGTTATTGATATTTAGCTAGAAATACAATGGCAAAATGTTTTATAACCTATTTTATTCTGAATCATAGCCACTCAGTTTTTGGAAATGTTTGCATTTTTCTTCCTTGGAGAACACTCAAGAAATTACCTAGGCAGTAATTTTCTTAAAATTGGTCAATTAAAAAAGACTTAAAACTGAATCCAGGCTTGTCGAGGTGGCTTATGCCTGTAATCCCAACAATTTATGAGGCCAAAGCTGAAGGATCGCTTGAGGCCAGGAGTTTGAGACTAGCCTGGGCAACAAAGCAAGACCCTGTCTCTGCAAAATATAAAAAAATTAGCCAGGCATGGTGGCACACACCTATAGTCCTAGCTACTCAGGAGGCTGAGACAGGAGTCCGAAGCTGCAATGAACTGTGATTACGATTACACCACTGTGCTCTAGCCTGGTGGGTGACAGAATGAGATACTATCTCTTTTTTTTTTTTTTTAAGCATTCTGTATTCTACACCACCTTTCACAGTTACATTTTAGGACCATAGTTTTTATAACATGATTAATACCAGTGAAATTAATCACCTGATAAGTAATTTGTCCTAAAAGATGCAATATCAACAAATGCCTATAGTCCTATGAGCATTTTTTTTGCCATCTGTGGATATAATGTCTAATTTTATCAAATTTTAAAATATTTCCCCAAAACTCCTTTTTGGAGTTTATGTATCATGTTCATATACTCTAAAATATATATAGTCCACATACCTAAGGGATATTGAAGTTGAATTTTAATTAACATATGTAACTTTGTTTTAATGCCAAGACAGTTTATAAAAAAAAAAAGTATCAGATACTTTAAATGGTTCCGACATCCTAAATAAAATATAACACATGTCCTTATGTAGTTAATAAAATCCATATAACACACTCCTCAACCTGAAGTTGGAGCACTGCACAAGTTTATGTAATTACTACATAGCCCATTTTTTCATTTGCTTTTCTAGTGTTGCTAAGGTACTTCGAATGAAGTATTCAAACCAAACCTTTTTTTTTTTTTTTTTTTTTTTTGGCTAAAGGTGTATTTGAAAAAAATGATAAACAGTGTTACCATGAACTTAAATTAACCAGAATGCTCATGAAATTTACTTTTCTTTTTTTTCGGTAGGGCCAGGGGTTGGGATGAGGAGTCAGGATTTTCATGTTGAGGACAAAATAGCAACCTTTTCAATTCTATGAAGGCGTTTTTTGTTTGTTTAAGGAAAAATTTTGTTTTCTTATGCTTTTATTCTGTCATAAAAGCAATGTGTGGGGAGAGGTTTAAGGATTTGGTTAGTTGATGTCTAATGAATATCTTTATTGAATAACTTGATAAAAGATTTCAAGAAAAATTTCGGTGGTACTAAAAGTAGAAATACCACAAAAATCTGATTGATATGTATAATATATTTATATGGCTATAAAGGATATATCGCTCTAAAGTTGTAACTACAGTAGACATTTTTCTCTATTATGATATGCTAACTGATGTAAAAATAAATCTGCAATAAGATTCCCCAAATAAAAATAGTATATCAATATCCTAAAGATTTACTATAAATTAGTAAGTTTTCACTTTAATATACTAATGTTTTTTTCTGTTGACTCTGAGATATAGGGTACATTTGATATTTTAATCTAGATGAAACACTGTCTGCTAGTTATATTCAGATTCTGTAATCTAGTAAAGCTGTTTTGCATTTAACTTTAAATATTAAGCAAACTACGGCTGGGCGTGGTGGCTCACGCCTATAATCCCAGCACTTTGGGAGGCCAAGATGGGAGGATCACTTGAGGTCAGGAGTTCCAGACCAGCCTGGCCAACATGGTGAAACCCCGTCTCTATTAAAAATACAAAAATCAGCCAGGCATGATGGTGCACGTATAATCCCAGCTACTCTGGAGGCTGAGGCAAAAGAATCACTTGAACCCTGGAGGCAGAGGTTGCAATGAGCCGAGATCGCACCACTGCACTCCAGGCTGGGCAATAACGAGACTCCATCTCAAAAAATAAATAAATATTAAGCAAACTATATTTGAACATCTTAGTAGCTTATGACTTTTCATCTTTAATTTGTTATAAATATGAAAATGGAATTTTGGCATTGTCTTACTTTTTTTATCATAGATCTACCTATTTAAAACTTACTTCATATTACTTTTTTTCCAGATAGGAATATAAATTATTTTCTTGGATCTAGGTGCTTTAATTTACAATGACAGTTGACACTTCTCAGGACACACCTGAGGATACTTATTTTGAATAGTATAAGAGTATTCTAACTTTTGTCATTAAATTCATTTTTCATGTAATATTCATTCCTATGAAAGTTTTGTGGTTTAACAATCACTGCATACCCTTAAATAGTCACAGATTCATTTGCATGAGGTATGTGAAAGTAATGTCTTGAAATGAAATATAAATCCAGGATTTATTGTATGTTTGGAATGCTTATATTTTTAACCTTCTCCTGATTCCCACATTTCTAGATCAATTCAAAGTTATCTCCTGTTTAAATGATGCTTCCTTTTAAAGCTGTAACTGTCAAGCAGTTTCTTTCATAGAGAAAACATATAGAATTGTCATTTATACATTCTTATGTATTATGCGTATATGAAATTTAATTTTTTAAACTGGAATGTAATTGGGACACATTACTTCTAACCCCACCTTGAAAACATTGTGCCATTTAGTAAACATGCAATGAGCCCCATTTAAATTTTTTCTACTGTGTTTTTGTTATTTTCTCACAGTCAATATAAAAATCAAAAGACAAGAAAAATAGTGAAGTATTGCCTGCAGAGGCTGTGATGTTATCTGTGGTATAACTGACTGGGATGGCTATTGAAATCTTGCTAAGCACAATCAGAAGTAACCAAAATATCTTTTAACCAAAATGTACTGGGCAGAAGCTGAAGAAAGGATATTTAAGTACACTGAATAATTCCTTACAATATAGTAACATAAATGGAGTCAACTAACACACATAAACTTTTTATGAAATTTGACTATCCATAGTTTATAACATAGGCTTTCAGTTTTATAAGATTTCGAATGATTTTCCTCTTTTCAATTAAACCCATCCTTTTCCTTCATTATCTTTTAGTTCTTAAGACAGAAGAGCAAGATAAGTCTATATTGTGTATGTGTGTTTATATATTATATATATGTATACAATATGTTATAGGTTTTGTTAAGATGTGTTGACATTTGAGTGTACACATACACAGTGTGTGTTTATGTATATACCGTGAAGGATGGTTTTGGCTGTTGAACTATGCTTAATTTAAGTATTTGATTTGACACAGTTGCTACGATTGTATTTGTCAGTTTTTTTATTAAAATAATGTGTGTCTTTAAAAGAAATGATGTAAGATACTGTATTAGTTTTGTTTGACCAGCATATTATTATGTTTAACAAGCTTGTTACATACATCGTTCGTATGTATCTTGCATATTATATCACTGTTAAGTATTTTCTACTTTGTTGATCAGTGTTTGAATTAAACTTCTAAAAGTGTAAGAATCATTAAAATCTATTTTTGTTATGTTATATATATTTAATATAAATCCAAAGTATTAATTAATAGGGTAAATATATTTTTAAATAAGATTTTTTAAGTTGCTATATGATTTTTTTCTTATAGCTGTCACAAGATGAAGGTAGAGGCACATTATACAAATACAGACCTGAAGAAGTAGATATTGATGTAAGTATTAGTATGATATATGTGGTCAGTACTCTGTCGTATTCTCCGCCAAAAACACTGGAAATAAGCATGACCAAAAAACTTCTTTCTCCCAAGTCCTCCAAAGTGACATCAGGTAAATTCATATTTTATGTGTGTGCTCTAAATTATTATTCCCTGCCCTCTACGTCCCACTGCTCCCTATTGTTAGCAGTCCAACGTTATTAAGCATCACTTAAATGAAAGTAAAAACTGTTTCTGATTTTTAGAAGTTACAGATTGGCTGGACACGGTGGCCCACACCTTTAATCCCAGCACTTTGGGAAGCCGAGGCGGGCGGATCAGTTGAGGCCAGGAGTTTGAGACCAGCCTGGGCAACATAGCAAGACCCTGTCTCTACTAAAAATACAAAAATTAGCTGGGCATGGTGGTACACGCTTGTAATCCCAGCTACTCGGGAGTCTGAGGCCTGAGAATCTCTTGAACCCAGGAGGGACAGGTGCAGTGAGCCAAGATCATTCCACTGCACTCTAGCCTGGGTTATGGCGTGAGACCCTGCCTCAAAAAAAAAAAAAAGTTATGGAAGACTAGAGACTGGAGACGAATTGCTGTGTTTTTCAGATAAAGTTCGGCCTTTAGAAATTTTATCACTACTCCTTTTTAAATTTAGTTTCTTTTAAATCATATTTTAGATTGCTGATTTGCCATACATTCTTCACTCATTATACCCCCTTTTCTTTTCTTTTCTTTTCTTTTCTTTTTTTTTTTTTTTTTTTTTGAGTCAGGGTCTCTCTCTGTCACCCGGGTTGGAGTGCAGTGTCATGATCTCAACTCACTGCAACCTCCACCTCCCGGGTTCAAGTGATTCTTATGCCTCAGACACCCAAATAGCTGGGATCACGGGAGCATGCCACCATGCCCAGCTAACTTTTTGTATTTTTTTTTTTTTTTAGTAGACAGGGTTTTGCCATGTTAGCCAGGCTGGTCTCGACCTCCTGACCTCAGGTCATCCACCCACCTTGGCCTCCCAAAGTGCAGAGATACGGGGGTGAGCCACCGAGCCCAGCCCCCTACTTTTTCTTTTTAACACCTTTCATTTTGTGTAGGCTGAGTCTTGTTGTCTGACAAAGATAAGGTAGTTATTTTAATAGATAAATGGCAAAGAAAGTAAAGTCTCAAATTTCTTGCTTATGTGTCATTATGCCATAAAGTTGGGGACATATTTCCAATTTGTCCAGTGTTTTCATTTTGAAACATTAAAACTGGTTTATTGTACTATTGAAATTTTATTAGAATACTTTCTTGTACTTTCATAATTAAGAAATTAGGGTAATATTAAGAATTTAAACACTAAAACCCTGATGAAAGTTATTTTTCTCCATTAATAATATTTTTATTTGTATTTCAATTAGAAGTGATCTATTGTTTATATTATTTTCTAAGAATCTAAGAGTGTGTTTTTTAAACATATAACAATAGAATCCAGTAAGCATTTTAATTAAGGACTGCATATTATCACTTAACCTATTTAGCAGATTGTAGAGGCAAAATGCTTGCATGCCTATTTTTTAAGGATTCTATCTTTGTAAGCTATATTTTAACTTTTATTGATTGAAATATAGATTTTTGGTCATATAATGACTGCCTACCTCCAATTACAGAAAAAATAAAAAATTGCTAACAAGACATCTTCTCTTATAACCTAGGCCAAGTTAAGCCGATTATGTGAACAAGATAAAGTGGTGCATGCTCTGGAAGAGAAACTTCAGCAACTCCACAAGGAGAAAGTAGGACAATTATGTTTATTGTCTACAATTGATGTTACTTAATATGATTATTATCAGGACACTGATAAGTAAAAAGAATTAATACAATGATGCAGAACATTAAGTGTAATTCTTTTTATCATAATAGTACACGCTTGAGCAAGCTTTGCTATCAGCCAGCCAAGAGATAGAAATGCATGCAGATAACCCAGCAGCCATTCAGACAGTGGTGTTACAAAGGGATGATTTACAAAATGGACTGCTTAGTACGTGTCGAGAACTTTCTCGAGCCACTGCCGTAAGTAGATTTTTTTTTTCCCCTAATAAAAGTAGCTTAAATATGTAGTTCTATTTTCTTCTCTTTTTTTTAATACTGGGCTCTCTTTAGGATTCTTCTATATTATTATAGCAGAAAATATTAATTTGTTATTAGTGTGCTTCTGTTTAGGAACATAAAATTAAAAGATTATTTAATTAGTGGGCATTCTGTTATTTACTTATGAGACAAGGTCTCACTCTGTCACCCAGGCTGGAGTACAGTATTTTGACTATAACTCACTTGTAGCCTGAATCTCTTGGACTCAAGTGAGTGCTTCAGCCTCCCAAGTAGCTGGGACTACAGGCTGGCACTACTACACCTGGCTAGATTTTTTTTTTTTTTTTTTTTTTTTTTCATAGAAATGGGGCCTCACTATGTTGCCCAGACTGGTCTCAAACTCCTGGTCTCAAGTGATTCTCCTGGCTTGGCCTGCCAAAGTGCTGCGATTACAGGTGTAAGCCACCACACCCAGCCAAACATTTTGTCCTTTGTGAAATGAGTGTTTTACAGGGGAGATGAGTACTCCTGTTTATTGCATTAAGAAAATAAGTAGTCTGGATGTGGTGGCTCACTCCTGTAATACTAGCACTTTGGGAGGCCAAGGTGGGTGGATCACCTGAAGTCAGGAGTTCAAGACCAGCCTGACCAGCATGGTGAAAACCCATCTCTACTAAAAATACAAAATTAGCCAGGTGTGGTGGCATGCACCTGTAATGAGGCAGGAGAATCATCTGAGCCCGGGAGGCAGAGGTTGCAGTGAGCTGAGATCGCGCCATTACGTTCCAGCCTGGGCAACAAGACTGAAACTCTGTCTCAATCAATCAATCAATAGAAATATAAATAGCAAGGCTGGGTGCGGTGGCTGACACCGTAATCCCAGGACTTTGGGAGGCCGAGGCAGGTGGATCACTTGAGGTCAGGAGTTTGAGACTAGCCTGGCCAACATGGTGAAACCTCGTCTCTACCAAAATACAAAAATTAGCTGGGTGTGGTGGCAGGTGCCTGTAATCCTAGCTACTTGGGAGGCTGAGGCACGAGAATTGCTTGAACCTAGGAGGCAGAGGTTGCAGTGAGCCAAGATCATGCCATTGCACTCCAGCCTGGGCAACAGAGTGAGACTCTGTTTCAAAAAAAAAAAAAAAAAGAAAGAAATGTACGTAACAGAACCGTGTAACTCATAGTCATATAACTATGACTGTGAGTCTCTTGGAATTACCAAATCTAAAAGTCTTAACTTGCAGCTTATAAACTGTTTTATGAGTTTAAACAGCTGGCTTTAGGTCCTATGATGTGGTCATCTCTATAAACATAGTAAGAGCACCAGTCTAAGCAGCTCTTTGAAAGAGAAATCTTAGGAAAAACTGCCATGTTATATAAAACTGCTCCCAAACCCTTGTCTGTACCTTCAATGGGCTAGGGAGCAGCTATCTTTTAAGAAGGGCCACAGACAGTATAGCTTAATTTAGAGGAGTCTTTCCAGGCTGGCAAGATCCCAGAATCTCAACTTGGCTTCTATTCTGAACCCTGAATTCCAAACGTGAGCCATTTTTAAAGGAATATACCATGATTTTAAAATCACTGAAAACTTAGTTTGAGGAATTCTTAAATACCTTACATTTCTATTTCCATTTTTAAAATACTGTTATTTCTGTTGTCTCATTTGAGTCTTAATTATATTGTCATGTTTGTAGACTTTTTTGAAATTTAATATCCTTTCCATTGTGAGTATCTTGAAATAAGAAACTATGTCTCATTCACATTGGATGAATGATTGAGCTGAATGACTTACCCAAGGTTACAAAGCTAATAAATAATATACCTAAAACTCAAATCCAGATCTTCTTACCACATTTCTGAAGATTTAGATCTACATGGATTTCTGTAATATAGTCATAAAGAAAATATAAGCACCTGAAATACTGTCTACAAGGAAGTAGTACTGAGCTAATCAAGGATAGGTAGGATTTGGATACAATGAGAAGAGAAGTGAAGAGTGGTTTATTCAAATAATACAAAACACCCTAAGCCACAGCAAAGATGAGAACATAGGAGACATGTTTGGAAAAGGAGGAAATAGAACTAACAGCCTGACTGGGATAGAGGATTCCTGTGAGAGGATAGAAAATGTGAGATTAGAAAGGGAAAATGGGGTTAAACTGTCAATGCCAAGCTAATGAGAAGCTCAGGGTCTCTGTGACAACTTGAGTCAAATCAAAATGGTAGGCTCTACAGACATTTAGTTGGAAACTATTTAATGATTTGGTATCTGCTCTTGAAATTCCGATTTTAGGGAATCCCTTTCCTTATCAACTGGGATTAATAAATTAAATCTCATCAGTAGGTTTAGAATTTGCTGCATCTCAAGGTTAACTTTAGCCCAGATGGGAAATTTGTTAAAAATATCTTAATAGAAATGAATTTTGCCAGGAGTGCTGGCTCACGCCTGTAATCTCAGTACTTTGGAAGGCTGAGGCAGGAGGATTGCTTGGGCCCAGGAGTTTGAGACCAAACTGGGCAATTTAGGGAGACCCTATCTCTACAAGAAACAAAAAAGTAGCTGGGCATGGTGGTGTACACCTGTGATCCTAGCTACTTAGGAGACTGAGGTGGGAGGATCTCTTGAGCCCAGGAGGTCAAGGTTGTGTGATTGTGCCACTGCACTCCAGCCTGGGTGATAGAGTGATACACTGTCTCTAAAACAAAATCGTTAATAATAGAAGGCCAGGCATGGTGGCTCACGCCTGTAATCCCAGCACTTTGGGAGGCCGAGACGGGCGGATCACAAGGTCAGGAGTTCGAGACCAGACTGGCTGACACGGTGAAACCCCGCCTCTAATAAAAATACAAAAATTAGCCAGGTGTGGGGGCAGATGCCTGTAATCCCAGCTACTCAGGAGGCTGAGGCAGGAGAATTGCTTGAACCCGGGAGGCGGTGGTTGCAGTGAGCCGAGATCGTGCCATTGCACTCCAGCCTGGGCGACAGAGCGAGACTCTGTCTCAAAAAAAAAAAAATAGTAATAATAAATAGAAAATAGGCCAGGCAGGTGCGGTGGCTCAAGCCTGTAATCTTAGCACTTTGGGAGGCCAAGGCAGGCAGATCACCTGCGGCCAGGAGTTCAAACCAGCCTGACCAACATGGAGAAACCCCACCTCTACTAAAAATACAAAATTAGCCAGGCATGGTGGCGCATGCCTGTAATCCCAGCTACTCAGGAGGCTGAGACAGGAGAATCGCTTGAACCCGGGAGGCTGAGGTTGCGGTAAGCCGAGATCACGCCATTGCACTCCGGCCTGGGCAACAAGAGTGAAACTCTGTCTCAAAAAAATAAAATAAATAAAATAAAATAAAATAAATAAAATAGAATAAAATAAAATTTGATCTTGTTTGAGTATCCCTTTTTCTGGTTTTTGTCTTATGTAATCACTTTCCTGGTTTCTTTTTCCTTGCCTTCAACAATAATCAGTGGTTATGACAAACCCTCAGAATATATTCTTCTAAGACAAGTCTTATTGCATAGAATACAAACTATGTTATTTGTGCCTTTATGTAAACTTATTTATATTTGTAGCTTAAGGCTGCAAATGTTAGCATGTGCATAACATCATACTGGGCATATGGTTGGCACTCAGTGAATGTTGATTAGATTTAAATTTGAATTACATTTTTGCTGGCAGAATCTCAAAGGATTTCACTGAATCTTTCACAGTCAGTTCATAGCACTAGTTCAAATCTAAGCCCCAAGCATAAGGGGTATAACATTAGCACCTCTGTAGATCAAAGCTGTGATTCTGAAAACATCTTCTCCTCACCTGGTAGGCCACAAAAGTACACAAAACTAGGATTAGCACAAGGGAAGCATGTAAAGCAGTGTTCCCTATACTTTTTATTTATTTTTATTTTATTTTAGGTTTGGGGGTACATGTGTAGGTTTGTTAACTGGGTCTATTGTGTGATGCTGAGGTTTGGAGTATGAATGAGCCCATCACCCAGGTACCTAGCATAGTACTCGATTTCAACCTTTATCTTCCATTCTTTCCCCACCCACAGTAGTCCCCAGTTTCACTGTTACCATCTTTATGTCCACGAGTACCAGTGTTTAGCTTCCACCTGTAAGTGAGAACATACGGTATTTGGTTTTCTTTTCCTGCATTAATTTACTTAGGATAATGGCCTATGGCTGCATCCATGATGCTGCAAAGGACATGATTTCATTCTTTGTTATGGTTGTGTAGTACCGTGGTATATATGTACCACATTTTCTTTATCCAGTCCACCATTGATGGGCATCTAGGTTGGTTCCATGTCTTTGCTATTGTAAATAGTTCTGTGGTGAACATGCAAGTGCATGTGTATGTTTGGTAGAAAGATTTGCTTTCTTTTGGATATACTTTTGGATATATACCCAGTCAATGCAATTGCTTGGTCAAATGGTAGTTCTGATTTAAGTTCTTTGAGAAATCTCCAAACTGCTGTCCATAGTGGCTGAACTAATTTATATCTCCACTCACTGTGTATAAGCATTTCCTTTTCTCTGCAGTCTTGCCAGCATCTGTTTTTGTTTTTTTTTTTTTTTTTACTTTTTAATAGTAGCCATTCTGATGAATGTGAGATGGTATCTCATTGTGATTTTAATTTGTATTTCTCTGATGATTAGTGATATGGAGCATTTTTTTATATGCTTATTGGCCACTTGTATGTCTTCCTTTAAGTGTCTGTTCATGTCTTTTGCCCATTTTTTAAAAGGGTTATTTGTTTTGTTTTTTCCTCGTTCAATTGCTTAAGCTCCTTATAGATTCTGGATATTCAACCTTTGTCGGATGGGTAGTTTGCGAGTATTTTCTCTCATTCTGTAGGCTGTTTACTCCATTGATAGTTTCTTTTGCTTTACAGAAGCTCTTTAATTAGCTCCCACTTGTCAGTTTTTGTTTTTGTTGCTATTACTTTTTTCTTTTTTCTTTTTTTTTTTTTTTTCTGAGACAGAGACTCACTCTGTTGCCCAGGCTAGAGTGCAGTGGCGCGATCTTTGCTCACTGCAACCTCCACCTTCCAAGTTCAAGCAGTTCTTGTGCCTCAGCCTCCCAAGTAGCTGGGATTGTAAATGCCCGCTACCAAGCCTGGCTACTTTTTGTATTTTTAGTAGAGACAGGGTTTCACCATGTTGGCCAGGCTGGTCTTGAACTCCAAGCCTCATGTGATCTGCCCACTTTGGTCTCCCATAATACTGGGATTACAGGCGTGAGCCACCATGCCTGGCTAAAGGATTCTTATAGTTTGAGGCCTGACACTTAAATCTTTAATCCACCTTGAGTTAATTTTTGTATATGGTGAAAGTAACGGGTCAGTTTCATTCTTCTGCATATGGCTAGCCAGCTATTCCAGCACCATTTATTGAATAAGAAGCCCTTTCCACATTGCTTATTTTTGTCAATTTGATCAAATATCAGATGGCCATAGGTGTATGGCTTAACTGCTGGGTTTTATATTCTGTTCCCTTGGTCTGCGTCTGTTTTTGTACTAGTACCATGAAGTTTTAGTCTGTAGCCTTATAGTATAGTTTGAAGTCAGGTAGTGTAATGCCTCTGGCTTTGTTTTTGTTTAGGATTGCTTTATCTGTTTGGACTCTTGGTTCAATATGAATTTAAGAATTTGTTTTCTAGTTCTGTGAAAAATGATGGTAGTTTGATAGAAATGACATTGAATCTGTAGATTGCTTTGGGCAGTATGACCATTTTAACAATATTGATTCTTCTAATCCATGAACATGGAATGTTTTTCCATTGGTTTGTGTCATCTATGATTTCTTTCAACAGTGTTTTGTAGTTCTTCCTATAGACATCTTTCACCTCCTTGGTTAGATGCTTTCCTAGGAGTGTGTGTGTGTGTGTGTGTGTGTGTGTGTGTGTGTGTGTATTGTAAATGGAATTGCATTCTTGATTTGGCTCTCAGCTTGAACATTATTGGTGTATAGAAATGCCAGTGATTTTTGTACATTGATTTTGTGTCCTGAAACTTTCCTGAAGTCATTTATCAGTTGTAGGAGCCTTTTGATAGGGTCTTTAGGGTTTTCTAGGTATAGGTCACATTGTCCGTGAAGAGAGGTAATTTGACTTCTTTTCCTATTTGGATGCATTTTATTTCTTCCTCTTGCCTGATTGCTCTGACTAGGACTTCCAGTACTATGTTGAATAGGAGTGGTGAGAGTGGGCATCCTTGTCTTTTTCCAGTTCTCAAGGGAAATGCTGCCAGTTTTTGCCCATCTCAGTATGATGTTGGCTGTATATTTGTCATAGATGGCCTTTACTATTTTAGGGCATATTCCTTCAATATGGATTTATTTCGTAAGGGTTTTTATCATGAAGAGATGCTAGATTTTATCAAAAGCCTTTTCCATGTCTACTGAGATGATCATATGTTTTTTGTTTTTTATTCTGTTTATGTGGTGACTCACATTTGTGATTTGTATATGTTGAACCAATCTTGCATCTTAGAAATGAAGCCTATTTTATCATGGTGAATTAACTTTTTGATATGCCACTGAATTTGGCTTGCTTGTATCTTGTTGAGGATTTTTGCATCTATGTTCATCAGGGATATTGGCCTTTGTTTTCTTTCTTCTTTGTGTCTTTACCAAGTTTTGGTATGAGGGTGATGTTGGCTTCATAGAATGAGTTAAAGAGGAGACCCTCCTCCTTATTTTTTTGGAATAGTTTCAGTAGAATTAATACCAGCTCTTTGTATGTCTGGTAGAAATCGGCTGTGAATCCATCTGATCCGTGCCTTTTTTTGTTTGGCAGGTTTTTTATTACAGATTCAATTTCAGAACTCAATATTGGTCTGTTAAGTGTTTCAGTTTCTTCCTGATTCAATCTTGGGAGATTGTATATTTCCAGGAATTTATCTATTTCATCTAGATTTTCTAGTTTGTGTGCATAGTGGTGTTCGTAATTGTCTCTAAGAATCCTTTGTATGTCTGTGGGATCCATTGTAATGTCATCTTTGTTGCTTCTCATTGTGCTTATTTGGATCTTCTTTTTTTCTTTATTATTCTAGCTAACAGTCTGTCAATCTTGTTTTTGTTTTCAAAGAACCAACTTTTGATTTCCCCAGGCTGGTGTGGTGGCTCATACTTGTAATCCTAGCACTTTGGGAGGCTGAGGTAGGCAGATTACTTGAGCCCAGGAGTTTGGGACCAACCTAAGCAATATGGTGAAACTCCATCTCTACAAAAAAAAAAGCAAAAAACAAAAAAAACTAGCCGAGCGCAGTGGCGTGTGCCTGGAGTGCCAACTACTCAGGAGGCTGAGGCAGCAGGATGACCTGAGCCCAGAGAGGTCCCGGACAACAAAGTGAGACCCTGTTTCAAAAAACAAAACAAAAGAAAATCCACAAAAAAGCCAACAGAAGTGTGGCGCAGTAATAGTTATTTATTTAAATCTTCCCCTGTGTGCTAGCCTTTCTATTTTTATTATATCTAGAATTTTTAACAATAAAAAGCAAGCACTTTCTTTGAGATGAGAAGTTAGTTTTGTTTCATTGAAAACATTAGAGAAGAAACTAAACATGGGAGTTAACAATTACAAATAGCTAAAACATAGAATGACTACAATTGTGGTCATAAACTAGAAATTTAAAATATGGATAGCTTTATAATTGTGGCTGATAGTTGAGCCTCACTTTATACAGTTTGAGTTGGTGCCCTTTTAAACATCTTTTTTAGTGTGTTTCAAGTCGAGGCTAAGTGAAAAAATAATAATAAAACGTAAACATCTTTTTAGGTTAAAAAAAGCCAGTGTAGTCATTAGATAGTGTAATGAGGCATGCCATGTGCTTAATAAGTAGTGATTTTATTTGAGAAGCAGTTACATGACAAGTATAAATTCGTAAAAAAAAATTATTTTTTAAAAAACTCCTTAAATAATTAAGCACATTCTTCAAATGTGAGCCAGGAAATCTCTACATCCTGAAGGTAAAATGAAAAAATGAATAAATCAGACATAAGTTTCTTTTGATTGACCTGAAAAATCAACTGCTTCTAATACCAGTTGGCAGGACTGTTATGGTGGAGTATTAGTGACCAAAAATTAACATTTTAATTTTTTTGCCTGATCCTCGAAATATACCAGTAAAATTAATTTAAATATCATAAGGCTTTGATTTTCCAAGATATAGTGGTGGGCATTAATTTGTAATATTACTTAAATTTGGAAAGAGATGTTTGAGTTTAAATTAGGAAGTTAATGAATAATTACACTACATCTATTGCCTCTCCCTCATTTTGATATTAAAAACCTATGTCAATACTTTTCCAAAGTTGTAGGTTTTATTTTTTAATGAAAAGCAGAAAAATGAATTGACATTTCTTAAATTAAAACTTAGAAACCCTAATTGAGAAGCAAACCAGAAGTAAAACAGTTTATTAGCTCTAAGAATAATAGTAATTATTTGCTTTTTTTTAAACTATAGCCACCTGTAGTCTTACAATATTTACTTGATTATTTTAAAAAGAGGCAATGTGACAGCAAAATACAGAGAAAACAATTTGAGATTTGTGTCTAGTGTATTGTGTAACCATTCCCTTGAGTAGATTTTGTTGTAAATTGCCATTGATTTTAGATAAGAAAAGGAAAGTTTTCCTCATATTAAAAACTTGGAAATGCATCATTGGTTTTGATTTTTTTTTAAATAGAATTTTTTTGTAGAGATGAGATCTCCCTATGTTGCCCAGGCTGGTCTTGAGTTCCTGAGCTCAGGAGATTTCTCCCACCTCAGCCTCCCAAACTGCTGGGATTACAGGCGTAAGCCACCATGCCCGGCCATTAATCCTTTCTTAATAAAGGACATAGTATATATCTGCTATATAGCCGTCTAGCTAAATATTAAAATCCTTAACTGATTTTTTTGGAAATCTGGAATTTCATTACATTCCTGCTTCACTTTCTCCCCCGCACAGTGGCCAAGTCTTGTCTCAGTACAGACTACATAGAAGTAAGCACTATTAAAATTTACTTGTTCCATACCCTAAACTTAGACAATTTTTTTAAAAAAAATCTTGGCCGGGCCTGCTGGCTCCTATGTGTAATCCCAGCACTTTGGGAGGCTGAGGCAGGAGAATTGCTTTAGCCTAGGAGTTCAGGACCAGCCTGGACAACATAGTGAGACCTCAAGTTTACAGAAGATTAAAAAACAATGCCCCAGCATGGTGGTGTGCACCTGTACTACTCAGGAGGCCAAGGTGGGAGGATTGCTTGAGCCTGGGGAGTTGAGGCTGCAGTGAGCTGAGATCACACCACTGCACTCCAGCCCAGGTGACAGAGTAAGAAAAGTCTGGCCTGGCACAGAGGCTCACACCTGTAATCCCAGTTCTTTGGAAAGATTGCTTGAGCCCAGGAGTTCAAGACCAGCCTGAGCAACATGGTGAAACCCCAAATTAAAAAATTATCTGGACATGGTGGTGCAAACCTGTAGTCCTAGCTACTTGGGAGACTGAGGCAGGAGGATCGCTTGAGCCCAGGAGTTCAAGGCTGCAGTGAATTATGATCATGCCACTGCCTTCTAGCCTGGGCAGCAGAGCAAAACCCTGTCTCTAGAAAACTCTGCAGCAATCCCTCCTCCTGCCCAACATGCACACTATTTTTTTCTTTTCTTGGAATATAACATGTTCTCAGAAAAGCACACAGTTTAGGAGTTTAGCCAATATCTATATCAAGACATTGAATTTTACTAGCATACCAGAAGCTCCTCTCCCAAAAGGAACACTGCCAGACTTTTTTCTTCTTTCTTTTCCTTTAACTTTTTAAAATTGTTTTAGAGACAGGGTATTGCTACATTGCCCAGATGGGAGTGCAGTGGCTATTCACAGGTGCAGTCATAGCACACCACAGCCTCCAACTCTTAGCCTCAAGTGATCCTCCCCCTGCCCAGTCTCCTGAGTAGCTATAGCCTAGCACCTGACATTTAAACTATAGGTGAGTTTTGCCTATTTTTGAACTTGTTTTTTGGAGACAAAGTCTCTTACACAGGCTGGAGTACAATGGCACAATCTCAGCTCACTGCAACCTGCACCTCGCTCAAGCGATCCTCTCACCTCAGCCTCCCAAGTAGCTGGGACTACAGACATGCGCCACCATACCTAATTTCTGTATACTTTGCAGAGATGGGATTTCACCATGTTGCCCAGGCTGGTCTCAGATTCCTGGGCTCAAGCGATCCGTCCATCTCGGCCTCCTAAACTGCTGGGATTACAGGCATGAGCCACTGCACTCAGTCTTGAACTTTATGTGAAGTGTAACCATATACTCTTTGCCTGGCTTCCTTTAACTTACGAGGTTCATCCATATAGTTCCAGATTGAAAGAATCCATTCAGGCGGGCAGATCACCTGAGGTCAGGAGTTCAAGACCAGCCTGACCAACATGGAGAAACCCCGTCTCTACTAAAAATACAAAAATTAGCCGGACATGGTGGCGCATGCCTGTAATCCCAACTACTCGGGAGCCTGAGGCAGGCGAATCGCTTGAACCCAGGAGGCAGAGGTTGCGATGAGCTGAGATCGCACCGTTACACTCCAGCCTGGGCAACAAGAGTGAAACTCCATCTCAAAAAAAAGAAGGCCAGCCGCGGGTGGCTCATGGGTGTAATCCCAGCACTTTGGGAGGCTGAGGCAGGCGGATCATGAGGTCAGGAGATTAAGACCATCCTGGCTAACACGATGAAACCACGTCTCTACTAAAAATAAAAAAAAATTATCCAAGCGTGGTGGTGCGCACCTGTAGTCCCAAGTATCCCAGCTACTCGGGAGGTCGATGCAGAAGAATCACTTGAACCCGGGAGGCAGAGGTTGCAGTGAGCCAAGGTCATGCCACTGCACTCCAGCCTAGGCAACAGCATAAGGCTCCATCTCAAAAAAGAGTTCATTCATTCTCTTTTTTTTTTTTTTTTGAGATGGAGTCTCGCACTGTCGCCCGAGCTGGAGTGCAGTGACACCATCTCGGCTCACTGCAACCTCCACCCCCCAGGTTCAAGCAATTCTCCTGTCTCGGCCTCCCAAGTAGCTGGGACTACAGGCACCCACCACCAAGCCCAGATAATTTTTTTGTATTTTTAGTAGAGACAGGGTTTCACTATGTTGACCAGGCTGGTCTTAAACTCCTGACCTCGTGATCCCCCTGCCTCAGCCTCCCAGAGTGCTGAGATTACAGGCGTGAGCCACCGCACCTGGCCTTCATTTATTCTTTTAACTGTATAGCCTGGCATTCTCTACTTTTTATTGAAAGCACTATTTTGTGGCAAGTACTTGAGATTTTAAGGTAATTGTATATTTGAAAAGTATTAGCCCTTGTAAATTATCTTGCTATATTAGCTTCTTGACCACAAATACGTAAGGTCATATTTAAAGATTATTAGCATGGTACTCATATAATCTAGTAAATTCTTTAATGAAATACCCAGCCAGATGTTGGGAGGAAATGTGTTGTGCCATTGCTGTCCTTTCCTCGCTGTCCTCTGTTGTCTTGTGTTCCTACCCACCTGGTAATCATGTTTGAGGAGCTGAAGTAAAGACAGAAACAGGTAGGCCTAGCAGGATTACAGGACTTGGGCCAGTTCAGTGGCAGGACTCTCCAGGTTAGGAAAATTGAAAGTATACTGTGCCTCTTCACTTCTAAAATACTGATAAAGGAATGTCTAGCTCTCAATCTGTATTTTTAATGTTTCTTTAAGAAAGAGAAGGATTCCTACCATCCTGAAATGTTCTTATACTTAAATGCCTCTGCAGTGCAGTTAAGCCTACCCTGAACTCTGCATTTCCACAAGGGAGCTTAGGTGTTAGCCTGTAATACCCTCTTAGCCACTGGGCTGTCATTGGATCTGTTGTCTTAATTTACTCTCCCTAAAGCCATCAAAGACCCACTATTTGCAGTTTTTGTGGTGCACACAAATTAAACCATGGCTAGAATTAATTTTTGTTAAAGGAAATTAATTTTCATATTTATTCATGTAAAAAGAATTTGCTGACTAGATGTGGTGGCTCACACCTGTAATCTCAGCACTATGAGAGGCCAAGGCTGGTGGAATCACTTGAGACCAGCAGTTAGAGAGCAACCTGGGCAACATGGCAAAATCCTGTCTTCACAAAAAAAAAAAATATATATATATATATATATATATATATATATATATATATCTCTGTATACGCACACACACACAAAATATTAGCCGGGCATAGGGGTGATGGCACACATCTGTTTTCCCAGTACATTTTGAATAATTTTTCTTCACCTAAGATTTTTTTTTTATGAAAAAAAAAAAAAAAAAAAAGACTGGCAAGATAGCTTCAGTTTTTTGTTTTTTTTTTTTTCTTTTTGGAGACATGGTCATCTGTCACCCAGGCTGGAGTGCAGTAGCACAATTTTGGCTCACTGCAACCTCCGCCTCTGGGCTCAAGCAATCCTCCCACCTCAGCCCTGCCCCGAGTAGCTGGGACCACAGGCAAGCGCCACCGCACCCAGAGAATTTTTGTATTTTTTCGTAGAGATGGGGTCTCTCTATGTTGCCCAGGCTGGTCTCGAGCTCCTGGGCTCAAGTGATCCACCTGCCTCAGCCTCCTAAAGTGCTGGGATTATAGGCGAGAACCACCACACCCAGCCAATCACCTAAATTTTCTAAAGTTATTTTAAGTTAGTTACAGAATATACAAAATAAGATAGCTCTTTATTTTTTTTCTTTTACTTTATTTATTTTTTTTTTTGAGTCGGAGTCTCGCACTGTCACCCAGGGTGGAGTGCAATGGTGCAATCTCGGCTCACTGCAACCTCCGCCTCCCAGGTTCAAGCGATTCTCCTGCCTCAGCCTCCTAAGCAGCTGGGATTACAGGCGCCTGCCACTGCGCCTGGCTAATTTTTTTTTTTTTTTTTTTTGTATTTTTAGTAGAGACAGGGTTTGGTTACGTTGGTCAGGTAGTTTCAAACTCCTGACCTCGTGATCTGCCTGCCTCAGCCTCCTGAGGCGCAATCTCGGCTCACTGCAACCTCTGCTTCCTAGGTTCAAGCGATTCTCCCTCCACAGGCTTCCAAGTAGCTAGGACCACAGGCACAAGTCATCGGGCCCAGCTAATTTTTGTGTTTTCAGTAGAGACAGGGTTTCACCATGTTGGCCAGGGTGGTCTCAAACTGCTGAGCTCAAGTGATCTGCCCCCGTCAGCCTCCCAAAGTGCTGAGATTACAGATGTGAGCCACTGCGTCTGGCAGATGATGTATTTTTAAGCACCTCTAGAATTATTCTATATTCAACAAATGACAAGCTGTTAAAGACCAAACATCAAAATCTTCTCTGTGATATTATTGGTTTGGGGGTGATTTTTTTTCCAAAGGAGAAAAGTACAGATGGATAATAGTGT
Source organism: Homo sapiens (assembly GCF_000001405.40). Taxonomy (NCBI): domain Eukaryota; kingdom Metazoa; phylum Chordata; class Mammalia; order Primates; family Hominidae; genus Homo; species Homo sapiens. The sequence goes on from NC_000012.12 coordinate 19,336,082, forward strand.
CTATATTGAGTCCTCACAAACAGGATTCACTGAATTGTTTAAATAGCTAGCTAAATTCATTTGTTTTATTGTATTACTATAAGCTTATTGTAAGTAAAGTCATGTCAAGCCTCTGATGTTATTGAAATTCCAATATGCTAAAATACAAACTATTTCCATTCATGGAGAACTTTTAATGAAGACAGATAAGAAAATGCTTTATTTATGCCTCTTCTACATTTTAGGAAATAAACAGCAGCACAATAATACTTAGGTTGCTTAGTAAATTTTTGTTGAATTGAGTTTTAAAAAGGGACAAAAATGGTTATAAAAATTCCTGTTTTGCTAAGTATAAACTATATGACTTTCTAAAATCTAGAAAGTTACAATTGGAGTGATAACACCATAAAAGCACATTTTCCCCATTAAAGTAATTAACACTTTTTGGTTTTAGGAATTGGAACGAGCATGGAGAGAATATGATAAGTTAGAATACGATGTAACTGTTACCAGGAACCAGATGCAAGAGCAGCTGGATCACCTTGGTGAAGTTCAGGTACAAAAGTATAATATTCTTTATATTGTTTTAACTGTTTTTACTGGTACTGTACAATCCACCTTGTTAGATTTACGCATACCCATAACAGTTTTTACATTATTGGCTACCTGAGACCTGGATTTGAATACTTTTAATGACAGGAATCTTACTATCTCACAAAGGAGACCATCCCCTCTTGTTTAAGAGTTCTTTGTTCTGTTGGGCACATGGTGAGCCCTGGAGTGTTCTGTGCTCCTATCAGTCTCAGCTCTACAGTTTCCTAAAAACATGGTTTCATATCCTTTCACAGGTCCATCTGTGTCACTTGGTATTGAGATGTTGAATTATATGGATTTATCAAATAATGAATATTTTATCTTTTATCTTTTTTTTTTTTTTTTTTTTTGAGACAGAGTTTTGCTCTTGTTGCCCAGGCTGGAGTGCAATGGCGCGATCTTGGCTCACCGCAACCTCTGCCTCCCGGGTTCAAGCGATTCTCCTGCCTCAGCCTCCCGAGTAGCTGGGATCACAGGCATGCACCACCAAGCCTTATTAGAATAGGGGAAGATACAGCACCATTTGCTATAAAGAATCCAGTTAATAAGCAAACAGATCTGAGACCTAGTTCCAAGGGTTAGTTTTCTTATCTATAAAATAGAAATAATAATACTTGGCCGGGCATAGTGGCTCACGCCTATAGTCCCAGCACTTTCGGAGGCTGAAGTGGGTAGATCACCTGAGGTCAGGAGTTTGAGACCAGCCTGGCCAACATGGCGAAACCCTGTCTCTACTATAAATACAAAAATTAGGTGTAGTGGCAGGCATCTGTAATCCCAGCTACTTGGGAGGCTGAGGCAGGAGAATCACTTGAACCCACGAGGTGGAGGTTGCAGTGAGCTGAGATCGCACCACTGTACTCCAGCCTGAGCGACAGAGCGAGACTCTATCTCAAAAAAAAAAAAAAAAAAAAAGAAATAATAATACTTGTCTTAAAATGTTGCTCTGAGGAACGCAGATAATACATGTTTAAGAAAATAATAAAAGTTACGTCACGCTTATGACCCAATGTAAATTTGAACATTTTAGTTGGAAATGCATGGACTTAACAGACAGATCAATACAATGAATGAAAAATTAGTTAAGTTCAAGACCAACCAGCCTGACCAACATGGGGAAACCCCATCTGTACTAAAAAATACAAAATTAGCCAGGATCACGAGGTCAGGAGCTCAAGACCAGCCTGGCCAAGATTGTGAAAGCCCATCTCTACTAAAAATACAAAATTAGCCGAGCTTGGTGGCAGGCACCTGTAATCCCAGCTACTCCAGAGGCTGAGGCAGGAGAATCGCTTGAACCCGGGAGGTGGAGGTTGCAGGGAGCCAAGACCACTCCATTGTACTCCACCCTGGGCAACAAGGGCGAAGCTCCATCTCAAAAAAAAAAAAAAAAAGATTAGTAAGGTTGAATCAGAAATTCAGCTGCCCTCTATCTGTGCTGTCCAGCATAGTACTGGCCACATGTAGTTGTTGGGCATATGAAATGTGACTATTGTGACTACACAATTAAAACTGAACTTTTAGTTGTATTCATGTTAACTATCTAAATGTATTTACTTGTTTATTGAATCAGGGTTTTGTTCTGTCACCCAGGCTGGAGTGCAGTAGCATGATCCTAGATGAAACCTTGAACTCCTGGGCCCAAGTGATCCTCCCACCTCAGCCTTCCAAAGTTCTGGGATCGGCTGGACACATTGGCTCATGCCTGTAATCCCAGCACTTTGGGAGGCCGTGGTGGGAGGATCACTTGAGGCCAGAAGTTTGAGACCAGCCTGGCCAACGCAGTGAAACCCCACCTCTACAAAAATACAAAAATTAGCTGGGCACTTGTGGTCCCAGCTACTTGGAAGGCTGAGGCAGGAGAATCGCATGAGCCTGGGAGGCAGAGGTTGCAGTGGAGTGGAGATCACGCAACTGTATGCCAGCCTGGGCGACAAAGGGAGACTCTGTCTCAAAAAAAAAAAACACAAAGTGCTGAGATTACAGGCATGAGTCACCAAGCCCAGTTTGTCTAAATTTAAATGGCCACATGTGGCTGGGACTTCTGTATTGGACACTGAAGTTACACTGTCAGTAATCAGCTACAATAATCAGCTACAGGCACCTGTAATCCCAGCTACTCGGGAGGCTGTGGCAGGAGAATCACTTCAACCTGGGAGGCGGAGGTTGCAGTGATCGGAGATCACACCATTGCACTCCAGCCTGAGTGATGGGCAAAAGTCCATCTCAAAAAAAAAAAAAAATAAGAAATCAGCTACAAAAATGAGATGCTAAATACACTAGAAAAATAGCTATAAATACCTAAGATATTACTAGAGGTCAGCAAACTTTCTGTAAAAGGCCAGATCTGTCACATATTATTTAATGTTTTTTGTTATTTTATAACTTCTCTTTTTTTTTTTTGAGACAGAGTTTCACTCTTGTTGCCCAGGCTGGTGTGCAGTGGTGTGATCTCTGCTCACTGCAACCTCCGCCTCTCATGTTGAAGTGATTCTCCTGCCTCAGCCTTCCTAGTAGCTGGGATTACAGGCATGTGCCACCATACCTGGCTAATTTTTGTATTTTTAGTAGAGACAAGGTTTCACCATGTTAGCCAGGCTGGTCTTGAACACCTGACCTCAGGTGATCTGCCCGCCTTGGCCTCCCAGAGTGCTAGGATTACAGGCATGAGCCACCGTGCCCGGCTATAACTTCTTAAAAATAGTAAAATTTGTTCTTAACTCACAGGCCATACCAAAAGAGGCTGCAGGCCACAGAAATTTGCCAATCCCAGATTTAACCTGCCAAAAAATATATTTATTATGAAAATTTAGTAACCTTATTACAGGATATAAGAGAAGACCTGAATTAATGGAGAGGTGTAATTGGTATACCATATTCATGGATGGTCTGATTTAACATTATCACAATGAAAATTCTTCCTGTAAATGCAATTTTATTCCAACCAAATTTCCAGTAGAATTTTCTAAAGAAATTTCTGAAATGGCTCTAATATTTTTAAGGTATAATAAAAACCACAAGTAGTTAAGACATTTCAAAAAAAAATAAAAGAATGAGAAGTCATACTCTATGAATGGTAACATTGCATATACAGCCTTAGACCAGTTACATAACAACTCTGGGTCTCAGTTTCCACAACTATAAAATAAAATAATACCTACTCCTGCTAGGTTATTATGAGGATAAATATGTTTATATTTTGCAGCATGTAGAATAAAACCAGGCATATAAAACACGCTATATAAGTGTTTGTTAAATAAATAAACAAGGAAACATAATGTAAAACTATAGTGTTAAACATGGTACAGGAAAAAATAGACCAATGGAACAGAATAGAGAGTTTAGCAGCAGGCCATGAATATCCACAAAGCAGAGAGAGAAAGAAAGAGAGAGAATTGTTGAACAGCATTTGGCTTTATCAAAGTTAAAGATTTACCCTCAATGAAGGCAACATAGACAGAGTAAAAAGATGACCTACTGGGAGGATGTATGTTTTACCTCAAAAATTCAACAAGGGATAACTATTTAGATTTGCAAGGAAGTTTTTCTTTTTGATTTGGAGAAATAATCCTTTAGAAAAACATACAAAAAACATGAGTAACTAATCATAGGAAAACTCAAATTACTAACACGTGTTTGAAAAATAGTTCAAAGTTACTGGGAAGAGAGGAGCCCCTCTGCCCGGCCAGCCGCCCCGTCCAGGAGGGAGGCGGGGAGGTCAGCCCCCCGCCCGGCCAGCCGCCCCGTCCGGGAGGTGAGGGGCGCCTCTGCCCGGCCACCACCCCGTCTGGGAGGTGTACTCAACAGCTCATTGAGAACGGGCCATGATGACAATGGCGGTTTTGTGGAATAGAAAGGGGGGAAAGGTGGGGAAAAGATTGAGAAATCGGATGGTTGCCGTGTCTGTGTAGAAAGAGGTAGACATGGGAGACTTTTCATTTTGTTCTGTACTAAGAAAAATTCTTCTGCCTTGGGATCCTGTTGATCTGTGACCTTACCCCCAACCCTGTGCTCTCTGAAACATGTGCTGTGTCCACTCAGGGTTGAATGGATTAAGGGTGGTGCAAGATGTGCTTTGTTAAACAGATGCTTGAAGGCAGCATGCTCGTTAAGAGTCATCACCACTCCCTAATCTCAAGTACCCAGGGACTCAAACACTGCGGAAGGCCGCAGGGTCCTCTGCCTAGGAAAACCAGAGACCTTTGTTCACTTATCTGCTGACCTTCCCTCCACTATTGTCCTGTGACCCTGCCAAATCCCCCTCTGCGAGAAACACCCAAGAATGATCAATAAAAAAAAAAAAAAAAAGAAAGAAAAGAAAAATAGTTCAAAGTTGGCTGGGCACAGTGGCGTATGCCTGTAATCCCAGCACTTTGGGAGGCCAAGTCAGACAGATCACTTGAGGGTCAGGAGTTCAAGACCAGCCTGGCCAACATGGCGAAACCTCATCTCTACTAAAATACAAAAAAAGAGAGAGCTGGGCATGGTGTCACACACCTGTAATTCCAGCTATTTGGGAGGCTGAGGCAGGAGGATTGCTTGAACCCAAGAGGCAGAGGTCACAGTGAGCCAAGATCACATCGCTGCACTCCAGCCTGGGTGGCCGAGTGAGACTCAGCCTCAAAAAAAATGAAAGGAAAAGAAAAATAGTTCAAAGTTAGTAGTAACCAGAGAAATGCAAATAAAATAAAAATTAGATTTGCATTGTATACCGTTTCAGATTGGCAAAAATGTGTCTATACATATATATATCTTTTAAATTTTATGAAAGTAATACATGTTGTATATAGATGTGCAAGGATCTGTTATTTATAGTGACCTTCCCATCCTCTGTGTCAGTATTTACATCTCTGGGCTGTCGTTGTGTTTGGCTCTTGCATGGGTACTTTCTTTTTTTTTACTTTTTGATGCTTCCAGGCTGTAGCTTGGAAAACTAGATAACTTAGGTTATGTAGTGCCTTTTTGGAGCAGCATTAATTCATAGTCTTTAGGCTTATAGACTTTTCTTGAGTTTTTTCTTTTTCTTTTTTTAATCTTTTGATCAACTCCCAAGTGCTTGGAAGACTTTGAAAACATATTGCTTTTTTTTTCCCCCTGTGACAGAGTCTCACTCTGTCACCTAGGCTGGAGGACAGTGGCACGATCTTGGCTCACTGCAACCTCTTCCCCCAGGCTCAAGTGATCCTCTCACCTCAGCCTCCCAAGTAGCTGGGACCACAGACATACACCACCCCGCCCAGCTAAGTTTTTGTATTTTTGGTAGAGATGGGGTTTTTCTGTGTTGCCCAGGCAGGTCTTGAACTCCTGAGCTTAAGCAATCCACCCACTTCAGCCTCCCAAAGTGCTGGGATTATAGGTGTGAGCCACTGTGCCTGGCTGAAAACATATTTCTACCCATTAGAGGACTTTTTTAGCATATTGATGCAATACTGATTATATTCTAATATCTATAGTCATTAATAACTGATACTCAGCCAAAGAAAGTATTGTTCTAGGCAATGTGACAGTTTTTGTATGTCATTGCCTATTTTTAAAAATAAAGTTACATTCCTAGAATAGTGTTTAGTATTATCCAGAATGGTGTTATTATTACCCTATTTATGAATAAGAGTCATAGATTTCTAATAGAATCTCAGAGAAAACCAATGTAATCTTATTTTGGTTTCAGTTAGTGTATTTAACCTGAGGGCATGATGTGGAATTTTAGAAGTAAGAAAATTGGCCGGGCGCGGTGGCTCACACCTGTAATCCCAGCACTTTGGGAGGCTGAGGAGAGCGGATCACCTGAGGTCAGGAGTTCAAGACCAGCCTGGCCAACATGGTGAAACCCCATCTCTACTAAAAATACAAAATTAGCCGGGTGTGGTGGCACATGCCTGTAATCCTAGCTACTCGGGAGGCTGAGGCAGGGCAATTGCTTGAACCTGGGAGGTAGAGTTTGCAGTGAGCTGAGATTATGTCGTTGCACAAAATACAAAAATTATGGCATAGCACGTGCCGTAATCCCCACTACTGAGGAAGCTGAGGCAGCAGAATCACTTGCGCCCAGGAGGCAGAGGCTGCAGTGAACTGAGAGCTTGCCACTGCACTCCAGCCTGGGCGACAGAGCAAGACTCTGTCTCAAAAAAAAATAAAAATAAAAAAATACATTTAAACTCTGTCAGTCAAAATTCATCTTGATATATTTTGTTAGTTGTACCTTTGTTGTTGTTTTTATGTTCTAGAACCTAGGAAGTTAGTACACCTTCCATTTCTCACCCATTCCCCAATGCCCTGCCACATCTCCCCCTCCCAGAAATTATTTTTTCTTTTGGGGTTTGTTTCTGCTCTGTTTTCATTCTCTCTGTTTGTATTTTCCATTTTGGGTCCCTTTTAATCAATATGCCTTCCTGGTATCATAAATAATGTAAGACAAAGCTTATTGGAAAGATTTAAAATAGTATATTTAAGTATGAAAATTAAATATTTTTCTTGCTCTGCTCAGTCTTTTATATTTGCCACTGGACTTGCAAAATTGGGAGAGTCACATCAATCATATTAAATATTCGTAACACTTAATTCACTGCAATTTGCATTTTTAGATGTAATTTATATAATTAATATATAATCATTTAACTTCAGTGAATGATTTTTTTTCTTATATATGGTCTATCCATTTTTACTGATAGACGGAATCAGCAGGAATTCAGCGTGCACAGATTCAGAAAGAACTTTGGCGAATTCAGGATGTCATGGAAGGGCTGAGTAAACATAAGCAGCAAAGAGGTACTACAGAAATAGGTAAATTAGCTTTGCATTTTATTTTGTGACTGACCACAGTATTACAGTCATGTGTCGCTTGGTGACAGATTACATTCTGAGAAATGCATTGTTAGGTGATTGTGTTGTACAATCAGAGTGTACTTAAACAAATCTAGTTGTATGGCCTACTACACACCTAGGCTATGTGGTATATAGCTTATTGCTCCCAGGTTGCAAACCTGCACAGCATGTGACTGTACTGAATACTGTAGACAGTTGTAACACAATGTTATTTGTATATCTAAACATAGAAAAGGTAATGTGTTACACTCTGACATGAGGGCAACAACTAGGCAATAGATATTTCTCAGCTCTGGCTGGGCACAGTGGCTCACACCTGTAATCCCAGCATTTTGGGAGGCTGAGGTGGGCAGATCACCTGAGGTCAGGAGTTCAAGACCAGCTTGGCCAACGTGGTGAAACCCTGTCTCTACTAAAAATACAAAAAAAGCCAGGCATGGTGGCGCATGCCTGTAGTCCCAAATACTCAGGAAGCTTAGACAGGAGAATCGCTTGAACCCGGGAGGTGGAGGTTGCAGTGAGCCAAGATCATGCCAGTGTGCTCCAGCATGGGCAGCAGAGGGAAACTGTCCCAAAAAAAAAAAAAAAAATTTTCTCAGCTGCATTATAATCTTATGGGACCACTGTCGTATATGTAGTCTGTTGCTGACCAAAACATTGGTATGTGGCACATGACTGAATGTCTAAATGGAATGACATATATAATTGAGTTTCTTTTGTTATTTTAATGCATTTTTCTGAACAGGCACTCTTAACATTGAATCAGAGCACAGGTTTATAAAGTAAAAAGTGAAAGCTCTGTCAACCATACCTAAACAAAAATAATTATTGTCTTGTGTGTATAATTATAAATATCCACAATGTTTACACTTTAGAAGTTTTATCCCCACAACAAGAACTGGGATCATCCTATATCTATTTTTCAATAATTTGCTTTTTTCTCCATAACAATGCAGTGTAAGAATCCATTGTATAAGGGAACTGTAATATATTTATCCATTTCCATATTGATGGATAATGTATGTTGTTTCCAGAGTTTTTTATGAATGCTGTCATAAGCCATGCCATAGTGAACATTATTAATACATACAACTAAACACATATGTTAGTACTTAATGGATTTTAAAAGGTGAGAAATAAGCACATGTTTTCCATTTGGATAACTGCGGCCAAAATGCCCTCCTGAAGGATTATTTCACATTATGTTAATACCAGTAATGTTTGAGAAAACCCATTTCCCCATACTCTTGTTTAAATATTTGTTGCCTTTTTAATGTAATTGCTTTCCAATTCTGAAAACAATAAGTGAATGATTAGAAACTGAAGACTTCATTTAAAATATGTGAAATCGGCCAGGCGTGGTTGCTCACGCCTGTAATCCCAGCACTTTGGGAGGCCGAGGCAGGCGGATCACTTGAGGTCAGGAGTTCAAGACCAACCTGGCCAACATGACAAAACCCCGGCTCTACTGAAAAAAAAAAAAAAAAGTACAAAAATTGGCCAGGTGTGGTGGTACGCACCTGTGGTCCCAGCTACTTGGAAGTCTGAGGCAAGAGAATCTCTTGAACCCGGGAGGCAGAGATCACGCCACTGCACTCCAACCTGGGCAACAGAGTGAAAAACAATAAAGAAATAAAAATAAGCCGGGCGCAGTGGCTCATGCCTGTAATCCGAGCACTTTGGGAGGCCAAGGCGGGCAGATCACCTGAGGTCAGGAGTTCGAGACCAGGCTGGCCAACTTGTTGAGACCCCATCTCTACTAAAAATACAAAAATTAGCCATGCATGGTGGCGTGCACCTATAGTCCCAGCTGCTCGGGAGGCTGAGGCAGAAGAATTGCTTGAACCTGGGACGCAGAGGTTGCAGTGAGCCGAGATCTTGCCACTGCACTCCAGCCTGGGCGACAGAGCGAAACTCTGTCTCAAAAAAAAATAAAAATAAAAAATAAAAATAAATAAAAATAAAAATAAATTTAAAAAAAAATACATGAAATTGTTCTTTTTTTGGCTGGACGCCATGGCTCACGCCTGTAATCCCAGCACTTTGGGAGGCCGAGGCAGGTGGATCACTTGAGGTTAGGAGTTCAAGACCAGCCTGACCAACACGGTGAAACCCCATCTCTACTAAAAATAAAAAAAATCAGTTGGGCGTGGTGGCGCACGCCTGTAGTCCCAGCTACGAGAGGCTGAGGCACAAGAATTGCTTGAACCCAGGAGGCGGAGGTTGCAGTGAGCTGAGATCACGCCACTACACTCCAGCTTGGGCAAACAGCAAGACTTCATTTCAAAAAAACAAAAGAAATTGTTCTTTTTTTATAGTATTAGAAAGATATGTTTAATATAGTTACGTTTTCTAATATTCCCAGGTATGATAGGATCAAAGCCTTTCTCAACAGTTAAGTACAAAAATGAGGTAAGTTTGGATTGTTTTTCTAATTATAAATTACTTTTAATGCTTAAGAGATGAATTAGAAGTAATTGTCTTCTCTAATCTTAATAACAAAAATATTTTTTAAATATATTGAACAGATATTGTTTTAGTCTTGAAATTTTATTGGATCAGTAATTTGGTGCTTCTAATATGTGATTTTTCTTCCCTTTTTTAATGCAAAAAAATGGAATCTCTGCTTTTTATCTGTTAGAATTTTAACGTTGTCATACTTTTTCTAATCTAAGTAATGTTTGAATACTTATCATTGTTTCTTATACTATGTAAAATTTATAGGATGATCGATAGATAAGTTGGTTGTATGTCATGCGTAGCATAAAGAAATTACAACTACAAAGAGATACTGTCAACCTAACCAAAAGAATCTATTATTTTGAATTTCGTATAAAAACCAAAGAGGTAACTTTTTTTTTTCCTCTCTTAAAAATTGGGGGGCCAGGTGCAGTGGCTCATGCCTGTAATCCCAGCACTTTAGGAGGCCAAGGCAGGAGGATGTCTTGAGCCCAGGAGTTTGAGACCAGCCTGGTAAACATAGCAAGACCCCCATCTCTAGAAAACATTGAAAAATTAGACGGGCATGGTGTGCCTGTGGTCCCAGCTACTCGGGAGGCTGAGCCAGGAGGATCCCTTGAGCCCAGGAGTTCAAAGGTGCAGTGAGCTATGTATGATCAAATCACTGCACTATAGCGAGACCCCATCTCTACCAAATAAATAAATAAGATAAATTGTGAAAATATAAGAATAGGATTTTAAAATCAGTTCTTTCCTTCTAGTTTTAAAATGAAACCCAGTAATTAGTTTTAAATAGTAATCTCTTTCAATGTTGAGTTTCAGTGTGAAGCTAACCTATATGTTACAGGAAAGAATCAGATGTAATTATATGTTAAATTCCAATTATTGGCTATGATAAAAAATTTTTGATTTTACTTTTCATTATTAGACTTTTGGCTTGGCAGTGTCCCTTTTAGTATCTTAAAGTAAATTTAAGTTAATATACCATTGCAAAGAATTTAGATATGCTTAATTCAATCTGCTTATCTAAATAAGGTGACTGTTCTACAATCTTTAGGAAGAGGAAGTAGTCCCACCTCGTCCTCCACTTCCTCGGTCCTATGACTTTACAGAGCAGCCTCCCATAATCCCCCCTCTGCCCAGTGATAGCAGCTCCTTGCTCTGTTATAGCAGGGGCCCAGTTCATCTGCCTGAAGAAAAGAAGATGTATCAAGTTCAAGGATATCCAAGAAATGGATCTCACTGTGTAAGTGGCTGGAATAGCCACAGAATAATCAATCCTACATGTCCTCTCATTTTTGAAAATTAATTTATTTTACACTCAAACTTTTTTTTTATTATAACCTTTATAACCTCATTTTTGGCCAGCAGTTTTTAGTTTATATATGACTTTATCATTTGTGTCTTTCCTGTTTTGGTTTTGCTATTCTCATTTTTAATATTTTTATAATTTTAATATTTTATAATTTCATAGCATTTTTCATATTTTCATAAAGTGGTAACTTTTCCCATGATGAAGCAGCCGTATTTTAGATATACCATTTTAGGGTATTGGAGGCAAGATTATACCTTCAGATCAGAAAGAAGGGAGAAAGAAAAAGACCGTTACTAGGGATGGTAAAGGGGCTGGGATGTGGACATTTTGGTCTAGGAAAACTACTCAAAGATGTGGATGTTGCTAAGGAGAGATGTCACCCCTGAAAATGGGAAATACGTTTAGGGTTAAGCAAATAATGTAGGATATAATAAGCAAAGAGAAAAAGGAAATTAGAATTGAGCTAATTTGAGAACAACAAAATGTCTGTGACAGGAATTTTAGTGCTGGGATGGGCCTCACTTAGACTACCTTGTGAATGAAAATTTATTGAATTAATATAGTTATTTTTAGCCCTCAATTATTCCATCATAAAAATGTGACTTTGTTCCTAAGAGGAACAGAAATATTCTTTTTTTTTTTTTTTTTTTTGAGACAGGGTCTCACTCTTTCCCAGGCTGGAGTGCAGTAGAGCAATCTCAGCTCACTGCAAGCTCCGCCTCCCAGGTTCAAGTGATTCTCCTGCCTCAGCCTTCTGAATGGCTGGGATTATAGGCGCACACCACCATGCCCAGCTAATTTTTGTATTTTTAGTAGAGACAGGGTTTCACCATGTTGGCTGGGCTGGTCTCAAACTCCTGGCCTCAGGTGATACACCCACCTTGGCCTCCCAAAGTGCTGAGATTACAGGTGTGAGCCACTGCACCCGGCCAGAAATATTCTTAATATTAAAACGAAGTTTTGCCACTTAAAAATTTCTCAAATTTCTTCTTTCCACGTAATTGTGACATAGGTATTATTTGTGTTATATCCCAGATGGCTCACTAGGGCTACTAATGTTTAGAGTTTGATTTGTGTCTTTAGCAGTAAACATTTTAAAAGAAACTTTTAGCAGTTTTTTAGGGTAATTACATGTCTTCCTTTCAAGGGTCCAGATTATAGACTCTACAAGAGTGAACCAGAGTTAACAACAGTGGCAGAAGTTGATGAATCTAATGGAGAAGAAAAATCAGAACCTGTTTCAGAGATAGAAACTTCAGTTGTTAAAGGTCAGCATTTGTAATATGTTTTACCTCTTGGTTTTTGTTTTTGAAGACAATTTACTGCCAAAATAGTAGTAAATTCCATTTACATGTTGACTCATATATGAGTCCAACCCTTTATCTGAAACCTTTGGACTCTGATGAGTTTCTAAATTAAGAAATTTTCAGATATTAAAAGATAAAATGGCCCATAAATGATATATGTCATCTCAGCTAGGTATGAGGCAGCACCCTTTTTTTAACACTATTTCTACAATATTCATTCCAAGTGGCATAAATAAATGCTAAAAATAAAAGACATTAGCTGGGCATGGTGGCACGTGCCTGAATCCCAGTTACCCGGGAGGCTGAGGCAGGAGAATCACTGGAACCCAGGAGGTGCAGGCTGCAGTGAGCCGAGATCGCACCACTGCACTCCAGCCTGGGCAACAGAGCAAGACTTCGTCTCATAAATAAAAATAAAAGACATCACATCAGATTAGGTTTTACTAAGAAATAAGTTTATGTCAAACTTTAAAGTTTCCCATTTCCTGGGAGAGTTTTCTTTTTTTTTTTTTCTGTTTCTGGTGGTTGTTTTTGTTGTTGTTGTTGTTGTTGTTGTTGTTGTTTGTGATGTGTTGTTGTGTGTGAGGTCTCACTCTGTCACCTGAGCTGCTGTACTGGAGCAAACATGGCTCACTGTAGCCTCGACCTCCCAGACTCGGTGATCCTCTCACTTCAGCCTTCCAAGTAGCTGGGACTACAGGCACACACCACCATACCCAACTAATTTTTTAAGTATTTGTAGAGACAAGGTCTTGCCGTGTTGCCTAAGCTGGTCTTGAACTCTGGGGATCAAGCATTCCTTCCACCTCAGCCTCCCAAGGTGTTGGGATTACAAGCATGTGCCACCACACCTGGACAGGGTCTTTTCTGTGTGTGTGTTTAAAATTATGCATAAGGTATTAATGGCTGAAACAAATTTTCACACAATATCAACAAAGTAAATTCTAAAATAATATTTCTGTAATGTATACTCTGATTTTTTTCTTAATGCTGGTCATTTTTCTAGAAGGCAATTGCGTAAAGAAAAGAGTAGAGAGAGAACTATCCTAGATTAAAAAGATAGATAGGCCAGGGGTGGTGGCTAACGCCTGTAATCCCAGCACTTCAGGAGGCCGAGGTGGGCGGATCACCTGAGGTCAGGAGATCAACAACAACAGCAACAACAACAACAACCAGAAACAGAAAAAAAAAAAAAACTCTCCCAAGAAATGGAAACTCTACCAGCCTGGCCAATATGGTGAAACCCCATCTCTACTAAAAATACAAAAGTTTGGCTGGGCACGGTGGCTCACTCCTGTAATCCCAGCACTTTGGGAGGTGGAGGCGGGCAGATCGCAAGGTCAGGAGGTGGAGACCATCCTGGCTAACATGGTGAAACCCTGTCTCTACTAAAAATACAAAAAATTAGCCATGCATGGTAGCACACACCTGTAGTCCCAGCTACTCAGGAGACTGAGACAGGAGAATCACTTGAACCCAGGAGTCAGAGGTTGCAGTGAGCCAAGATCGTGCCACTGCACTCCAGTCTGGGTGACAGAGTGAGACTCCGTCACACACAAAAAAATAACAGATAGATATATCGCACTGTTTGAAACTTGATTGGACCATGGTTTAAAAGAAGAATCTCTAAAGTAGCACAATTAATGGAAATTTAAACATGTTCTAGATATTAGCTAACAGTGTGATTGTGATATTGTGGTTGTGTAGTAGAATGTAGTATGTGAATTCTGAAACACTTAGGACAAAAGCATCTGCCACTTTTAAAGGATTCGCCAGAAAGAATGTGTATGTATTTATGCAGAGATAATGTAAGTGTGACAAAATGTAAAACTTTTTAGAAAAATAAGTGCTTATCATAACCCACTGGACTGATTTTTGTAATCTGCTAAAGGATCACTAAGTAAAGTTTGAAAAACATCAAAGTGAGGCCAGGCTTGGTGGCTCACGCCTATCTATAATCCCAGCATTTTGGAAGGCAGAGGCGGGCGGATCACAAGGTCAGGAGTTCAAGACCAGCCTGGCCAACATGGCGAAGCCCCATCTCTACTAAAAATACAAAAATTAGCCAGGTGTGGTGGCGGGCACCTGTAATTCCAGCTACTCGGGAGGCAGAGGCAGGAGAATCACTTGAACTGGGAGGCAGAGGTTACAGTGAGCCAAGATCGTGCCACTGCACTCCAGCCTAGACAGTGACTCCATCTCAAAAAAAAACACAAAAGCAAACAAACAAGAAAACACCTAAGTGGTAGTAATGTTCACATAGCTTTTTTCATTGTTGGAATATTTTTCTAGGTTATCTAATGTCGTTTTTTAAATTTAAAAATACTGGCATCTTGAAAATTTAATATTTATACACCTTTTCTTTCTCATCCTAATCCTGTCTCCTTATTCAAAGTCTTTTTTTTTTTTTTTTTTTTTGAGACAGGATCTCACCATCGGCCCAGGCTGGAGTACAGTGGTGAGATCATGGCTCACTGTAGCCTCCTTCCTCCTCTGCCTGCCAAGTAGCTGAGACTACACACGTGTGCCACCACACCTGGCTAATTTTTGTATTTATTGTAGAGACAGGGTTTCACCATGTTGCCCAGGCTTGTCTCAAACTTCTAGGCTCAAGCAATCTGCCTGCCTCAGCCTCCCAGAGTGTTGGGATTACAGGCGTGAGCCACCACACCTGGCCACAACAAAGACTTTAAATGGGCTGGGAATGATGGCTCATTCCTGTAATCTCAGCACTTTGGGAGGCCGAAGCAGATGGATTGCTTGAGTCCAGGAGTTCAAGACCAGCCTGGGCAACATAACCAGACCTCATCTCTATTTTATAAAGTAAAAAATGTATTTAGCTTTTTTTTAAGCATATACAACAACTATTTGACAAAAATAGCATATAAATGAGGAGGAAGTTTATTGATATTAATACGCTTTAACATCTTTGTTTTGTTCTGAATCATGGTAATGATTTTGACTAACTTCAGACTTTCATAAGTTTAAGTATGCATGCTAGGGTTTAAGATAAAAGAAATTGTTGAGACTGCAGAGAGCTGTGATCGTGCCACTTACACTTCAGCCTGAACAACACAGCAGGACTCTGGAAGGAGAGAAAGATAATCCAAAAAAGAAAAGAAGCTGGAGAAAATGCAAAGCAAAAAAATACATTGTTAGAAATAAATCTAAATACATTGGCAATTACAACAAATATAATTGGACTGAATGCTTCACTTAAAAAGACTGGCCAAGGCAGGGCGCAGTGGCTCACACCTGTAATCTCAGCATTTTGGGAGGCCGAGACAGGCAGATCACCTGAGGTCAGGAGTTCCAGACCAGCCTGACCAACATGGCGAAACCCTGTCTCTACTAAAAATACAAAATTAGCTAGGCATGGTGGCATAGTTTGCCTGTAATCCCAGTTACTCAGGAGGCTGAGGCAGGAGAATCGCTTGAATGCAGGAAGCAGAGATTACAGTGAGCCGAGATCACGCCATTGTACTCCAGCCTGGGCAACAAGAGCGAAACTCCATCTCAAAAAAAAAAAAAAAAAAAAAGACTGGCTGGGCCTAGTGGCACGCGCTTGTAATCCCAGCACTTTGGGAAGCTGAGGCAGGAGGATGGTTTGAGCCCAAGAGTTCAAGACCAGCCTGGACAACGTGGCAAGATCCTGTCTGTCTCTACAAAAAAATAAATTAGCCAGGCGTGGTAGCACATGCCTGTAGTCCCACCTACTCAGGAGGCTGAGGTGGGAGGATCGCTTGAGCCCAGGAGGCAGAGGTTGCAGTGAGCCGAGATCGTGCCATTGTACTTCAGCCTGGGTGACACAGCAAGACTCCATCTCAAAAAAAAAAAAGAAAAATACAGAAGATAAAGTGAAAATGAGTACCTATAGTTAGCTATTGTTAACATTGTTAGTGGACACTTTGAGGCAATATTGTATGATTTTTTTAAAGCCAAGCAGAAATTAAGAACATTTAGGTTGAACTAACTTGTTAACGATGATGATAGAGATGTATCAGTATGACAAAGAAGGCTTTTTTTTTTTTTTTTTTTTTAAATAGAGATGGGTCTGTGTTGAGCAGGCTGGTCTCAAACTCCTGGCCTCAAGTGATCCTCCCATCTCAGCCTCCCAAAGTGCTAGGATTATAGGCAATGAGCCACAGCACCTGGCCAAAAGAGGGCATTTTATAATTAATGTTCTTAAAAATGTCATCAGTTAATCTGTACAATTTTTTCTTCTCTTTTTTCTTTTTTTTTGTTTTAAGGAGACAAGTTCTTACTTGCTCTGTTGCCCAGGCTGGAGTGCAGTGGTGCGATCTCAACTCACTGTAACCTCTGCAGTGATCCTCTCACCTCAGCCTCCTGAGTAGCTGGGACTATAGGTGTACACCACCACACCCAGCTTTTTTTTTTTTTTCAATTTTTTTGGAGACAGGGTCTCACTATATTACCCAGGCTGGTCTGAAAATCCTGAGCTCAAGTGATCATCCCGCCTCAGCCTCCCAAAGTGCTAGGATTACAGGCATGAACAGAATTTTGTTTTTAAATATAACCCTAAATTTATCTGGTGGTATCATTGACTGACTTTGACTCTTTTATTTTTATTTATTTATTTTTTTATTTATTTTTGAGACAGAGTCTTCTCTGTCACCCAGGCTGGAGTGCCGTGGCGCTATCTCAGCTCACTGCAACCTGCACCTCCTGAGTTCAAGCGATTCTCCTGCCTCAGCTTCCTGAGTTGCTGGAATTATAGACACCTGACACCATGCCTGGCTAATTTTTGTATTTTTTATAGTAGAGATAGGGTTTCACCATGTTGGCTAAGCTGGTCTTGAACTCCTGAGTTCAGGTGATTCACCCGCCTCAGCCTCCCAAAGTGCTGGGATTACAGGCGTGAGTCACCACGCCCAGCCTGACTCTTTTTTTTTTATTTTTAGACAGAGTTTCGTTCTTTGTTGCCCACGCTGGTGCAATGGTGCGATCTCGGTTTACTGCAACCTCTGACTGCTGGGTTCAAGTGATTCTCCTGCCTCAGCCTCCCGAGTAGTTGGGATTACAGGCATGCGCCACCACGCCCATCTAATTTTGTATTTTTAGTGGAGACGGGGTTTCTCCATGTTGGTCAGGCTGGTCTCAAACTCCTGACCTCAGGTCATCCGCCTGCCTTGGCCTCCCAAAGTGCTGGGATTACAGGCGTGAGCCACCGCGCCAGGCCAGCCTGACTCTTTTTAAATAAATTTGCTTTCTGATTTTAAAAAGTGTCAGAAATTAAGTAAGCTAAAAGAAAGCAATGCTGTATAAAAGATGTTTTGTAAAACTTACTGCTGTTTTAATTTTTAGGTTCCCACTTTCCTGTTGGAGTAGTCCCTCCAAGAGCAAAATCACCAACACCCGAATCTTCGACAATAGCTTCCTATGTAACCTTGAGGAAAACTAAGAAGATGATGGATCTAAGAACGGTATTTAACTGGAAATTAATCTTCTAGGAAGATTCTCACATCTATTTATTGCTTTCTTACATGTTTTCATTTTCAGTGTCTTATCAAAATTATTTTTGCATACTCAAAGAAAAACTTAGTAATCTTAGTTATTCTTTATTCTTTTTTTTTTTTTTTTTTTTTTTTTTGAGACGGAGTCTCGCTCTGTCGCCCAGGCTGGAGTGCTGTGGCGCGATCTCGGCTCACTGCAAGCTCCGCCTCCCGGGTTCACGCCATTCTCCTGCCTTAGCCTCCGGAGTAGCTGGGACTACAGGCGCCCGCCACCACGCCCGGCTAATTTTTTTTGTATTTTTAGTAGAGACGGGGTTTCACCGTGTTAGCCAGGATGGTCTCGATCTCCTGACCTCGTGATCTGCCCACCTCGGCCTCCCAAAGTGCTGGGATTACAGGTGTGAGCCACCGCCCCCCAGCCCGATCTTAGTTATTCTTAAAAAAAAAAAATTGTTTTTTTTTTTTTGAGATGGAGTCTCGCTCTCTCGCCTGGGCTGGAGTGCAGTGGCGTGATTTCAGCTCACTGCAAACTCTGCCTCCCGGGTTCACACCATCCTCCTGCCTCAGCCTCCCAAGTAGCTGGGACTACAGGCGCCCACCACCACGCCTGGCTAAATTTTTTTGTATTTTTATTAGAGACAGGGTTTCACCATGTTAGCCAGGATGGTCTCAATCTCCTGACCTTGTGATCCGCCCGCCTCGGCCTCCCAAACTGCTGGGATTACAGGCGTGAGCCACCGCGCCCGGCCTTAAAATTTTGTTTAAAGAATTAGCACGTCAGAGGACAGACCTAGTCAACACCTAATTTAAGTTTCTTTTGATCAGCCTAGACATGGGGTCATAGTCGTAGTCCACAATTTGTAGAATCTATTCTCTAATCACTGTACTACACTCCTTGATGCCTCTTAAGAATTTTCTCGATGAGAGGTATAGATGTGTCCTGTGGCCTCCCAAAAGTTAGTGGATTTTCTAGCTATCATGAGGTTGCAGGGCCTTTTAGCTATGGTATTAATAGCTTTAGAGTTTGCCAGTCCTCTGGTTACTCTGAGAAATGTGAGTTGGAACTAGAAAATAAATCCTATATTTTACATTTTCATCTGAGATTCATTTAATTCAAACTCCAAACCAGTCGAGTTTTGTTCTTTGGAAAATGCTGAGAACACTTAACTCCCTTTCTTCAAGTATTCTCTAGAAATTTGGGCTGCAAAAATGCTTCTACTTCTTATCTTTATCAATACTCTACCTATTTGGTATGAGATAATTTTAGGCTATAAGACAAGAAAGGTACTACATATAAGATATATGGCTAGTCTTTTTTTTTTTTTTTTTTTTTTCAATGGATAGGGTTTCACTCTATTGCCTGGGCTGAAGTGCAGTGGCATGATCATAGCTCACTGCAGCCTCCAACTCGTGGACTCAAGGGATCCTCTCACCCCAGCCTCCTGGCTAGCTGGGACAATAAGCACGTACCACCATACTCGGCTAAATTTTTTTTTCTTTTTTATTAGTAGTGACGGGGTCTCTCTCTGTTGCCCAGGCTAGCTGTTCTTCAAAGATATTAAAGTACAACTACAAAGTACATGCCAAAAAAAACTCAGCTGCATTTATACATAGGAAATGTAATGTTTTCAATTAGTACAAAAGTATAAAGATCTATAGAAATAATTATCATGGAATAAAGATAATATATCAGCATTAACATTAATGGTCATGATTCTGTAATACTATTGTTTGTTCAGAGTTAGGCATTTTTTACAGATTGGAAGATTTCATTGGAAATGGTAAAGCTAAAATAACAAGTCTACAGAAAAAGGACTACAAAAAGTGCATGTTAAAATCAAGCAGAGGCCAGGTGCTGTAGCTTACACCTGTCATCCCAGCACTTTGAGAGGCCAAGGCTGGCAGGCAGATCATTTGAAGTCAGGAGTTCGAGACCAGCCTGGCCAACATGGTGAAACGCTGTCTCAACTAAAAATCCAAAAATTAGCCGGGAATGGTGGCAGGCACCTGTAGTCTCAGCTACTCGGGAGGCTGAGGCATAAGAATTACTTGAACCCAGGAGGCGGAGGTCGCAGTGAGTCGAGATTGTACCACTGCACTCCAGCCTGGGCAACAGAGTGAGACTCTGTCTCAAAAAAAAACAAAAAAAAACAACACACACACAAATATAAAATCAAGCAGAAAGATACTAGCAGGTTTAGGCCAGGCATAGTAGCTCATACCTATAATTCCAGCACTTTGGGAGGCCAGGTCTGGAGGATTGCTTGAGCTCAGGAATTCAAGACTAGCCTGAGCAACATAAGGAGACCCCATCTCTACAAAAATTACCAAAAAAAATTAGCCAGGCATGGTGGCCTGTGCCTATGGTCTCACCTACTCAAGAAGCTGAGATAGGGTGGATCACTTGAGCCCAGGAGGTCGAGGTGAGCCATGATTGCTCCACTGCACCCCAGCCTAGGCAGCAGAGTGACAGCCTGTCTCAAAAAATAAATACATAAATAAATAAAATTAATTAAAATTATAAGGGAAAATATATTTTACCACTTATTAAGTGGAAATAGTTCATCATAAAGATCTTCATCCTCATCATCTTCACATTGACTGGGTGGAAGAAGAGGAAGTTGTTTTTCTTTTTTTTTTTTTTTTTTTTTTGAGACAGAGTCTCTCCCTGTCGCCCAGGTGCAATGGCGTGATCTCAGCTCATTGCAACCTCTGCCTCCCGGGTTCAAATGATTCTCCTGCCTCGGCCTCCCGAGTAGCTGGGCCTACAGGCGCCCGCCATCATGCCCAGCTAATTTCTGTATTTTTAGTAGACACAGGGTTTCACCATGTTGGCCAGGCTGGTCTCTAACTCCTGACCTCGTGATCTGCCTGCCTCGGCCTTCCAAAGTGTTGGGATTACAGGTGTGAGCCACCGCGCCCGGCCTAAGCATTTTCAAATATGACTGATTTATAGAAAATAAGTGTTTTCGTAGTTTTATTACTGATGAGAAAGAAAATAGAGGTGTTTGTTTTATTAGTCTTTTCACGGTAAATGTATAACTTAAAACATTACGTTTTCATCAAAATAAAAGAAATCTCTAATATTTAGACACTGTGCCCCTGCTTTTCTCCTCATTTGAGTTTTATTCAGTTTTCTCTTTCAGGGTCAAGTTTTATGCAATTTTCTATTTCAGGGTCATGGGACTGGCTTGCTCCAGAGCTGCCATATTCTTTATATTCTTTTTTTTTTTTTTTTTTTGAGACAGACTCTCACTCATTGCCCAGGTTGGCACAATCTCAGTTCACTACAACCTCTGCCTCCTGGGTTCAAGCAATTCTCCCACCTCAGCCTCCCGAGTAGCTGGGACTACTGGCATGAGCCACCATGCCTGGCTAAATTTTTTGTACTTTTATAGAGACAGGGTTTCGCCATGTTGGCCAGGCTGGTCTTGAACTCCTGATCTCAAGTGATCCACCTGCCTCAGCCTCCCAAAGTACTGGGATTATAGGCGTGAGCCACTGCACCCAGCCTGCCCTGCCCTTTTATGGTGGTGGTGATGGTGTTTTTTGTTTTACCCAGATTTACTGGAACTGAGTTATGGGGGTTTGTTTGTTTGTTTGTTTGTTTGTTTGAGATGGCATCTGGCTCTGTCATGTCATCTGCATGCTGGAGTGCAGTAGCACGATCTCAGCTCGCTGCAACCTCCACCTCCTGGGCTCAAACCATCCTCCTACCTCAGCCTCCCAAGTAGCTGGGACTATAGGCATATACCACCACACCTGCCTGGCTAATTTTTGTATTTTTGGTAGAGACGGGTTTTTACCATGTTGCCCAGGCTGGTCTCAAACTCCTGGGCTCAAGTAATCCACCCACCTCAGGGTCCCAAAGTGCTGGGATTATAGGTGTGAGCCACCACTCCTGGTCCATATTTTTTTTTTAAGCCAAAAAAATATTTTCTATTCCTCTTTTCTCTCTCCTCCCTTATAATATCGTCTCTTTTTCTTTCTGTTATTGAGCATACATCACCAATTACTAGTTAAGGATCAAATAGCAATTTCATGTGCCTTTCTGGTGATATCTAAATGACATTCAAAACCTCTTCTTGTGATTTTGAAAACAAAATAAATAAATGCACTTTACAACATTTTTTATTCCATCATACTTTTCAGAAGTTTTCATTTATGTATTGATATGTTCATTTTTACATTGAAGGAAAGACCAAGAAGTGCAGTGGAACAGCTCTGTTTGGCTGAAAGTACTCGACCAAGGATGACTGTGGAAGAGCAAATGGAAAGAATAAGAAGACATCAACAAGCGTGCCTGAGGGAGAAGAAAAAAGGGTTAAATGTTATCGGTGCTTCAGACCAGTCACCCTTACAAAGCCCTTCAAATTTAAGGGATAATCCATTTAGGACTACTCAGGTATATGAATTGCATTTGATTATTATTTTGTGTAAATCTAGTATCACTGAATTTTGGAATCAGAGTTACATGATTGATAGGTCTTAAAAGGTCTGCAGTATGGATACTTATTTTATATTATTTAATTCTCCTAATAATAAGCTAAGACAGCTAAGTAAAATGTAAATAACCCTGAGTTCAAGAGACCAGAGCTAAACTACATGTTGGATGCCCGTGGACTAGTTGTGGACTTAATGTCTTCAACTTTACAGTGATGATACAGCTGCCCAGACTCCTTAGAGACACTAAGAAAATAAAAGGGTTTTCAACAAATGTAAAATGCTATGCAGGTTACCAAGATAGTCCCCAATTCCCCTCTCAATAAAATATGTATTGCTCTGTGTCCTGATTTAACATGACCTAAATTGTAGCAGGAGAGAGCTTCTAAATAAAGTTCCAAGTGTGCTGTCCATCACCTCTCAACTTCAGGCTTATAAAGTGATGCCATTTTGTTTCTTTTTGTTTTTTGCCCCTCTTTATAAATTCAGAGACAGCAGCCTAGCCAACCTGTTCAGTAGCTTCTGTCTGGTCTTTCCCTGTTTGTAGACACTTGTCACCTAGCAATAGTATCTTAAAAGTTTGTCTATAATGGCATAAACTGAATGCATCAGCTGAACATGCTTTCCTGTCCTAATGAATATCCCCTCTTTCCACCGAATCAAGTGCAGGCATTGCTAATGGAGACTAAACAAAGCAACAGTTTGAATTGTGGCACATTCTGCAAATTACAAAATGAATGGTTTTTTTTAAAAGAGTTGAGAAAAATGTGTGGAATAGTGCTATATATATAAATTTTCTTTGTTAGTTTTCATAGGAAAACTTCTTCATGAGTGGAGATCCAGCTTTGTTCTATTTTGAGAATTAACAGGCACTATTTATAAAATATACATGCATGCACAGTATGAGTATAAAAATGCTATATGTCTTTTGAGCAGACTCGAAGGAGGGATGATAAGGAACTGGACACTGCCATTAGAGAAAATGATGTAAAGCCAGACCATGAAACTCCTGCAACAGAAATTGTTCAACTAAAAGAAACCGAACCCCAAAATGTGGACTTCAGCAAAGAGGTAGCGAGATTATTTTATGAAAGGTATTCCAAAGGAATAGATTTGTGAAGATTAAATCAAGTGGTAAGGTTGAAAATAAAGTGTGTTTCTTTCAGTCACAGAGTCCATAGAGCTAAATGAAAAAATAAGCTTTCTGGCCGGGCGCGGTGGCTCACGTCTGTAATCCCAGCACTTTGGGAGGCTGAGGCAGGCGAATCACGAGGTCAGGAGATCGAGACCATCCTGGCTAACACGGTAAAACCCCGTCTCTACTAAAAATGCAAAAAAAAATTAGCCGGGCTTGGTGGCAGGCTCCTGTAGTCCCAGCTACTGGGGAGGCTGAGGCAGGAGAATGGCGTGAATCTGGGAGGCGGAGCTTGCAGTGAGCCGAGATCGCGCCACTACACTCCAGCCTGGGCGACAGAGGGAGGGAGACTCCATCTCAAAAAAAAAAAGAAAAAGGAAAAATTAAGCTTTCTTTAGTTTGATTGATGTATTCAGCCACATCAAGATATGCATTAATTGACTGGGCACGGTGGCTGGTGTGTGTAATCCCAGCACTTTGAGAAGCTGAGGCAGGCGGATCACTTGAGCCCAGAAGTTTGAGACCAGCCTGGGCAACATGGTGAAACCCTGCCAATACTGAATACAAAAATTAGCCAGGTGTGGTGGCATGCACCTGTAGTCCCAACTGCTACTGGGGAAGCTGAGGTGGGAGGATCACCTGAGCCCAAGTCGCAGTGAGTAGAGATGGGCCACAGAGTGAGATCCTGTTTCAAAAAAAAAAACAAAAAAAACGTGGCGGGCACAGTGGCTCATGCCTGTAATCCCAGCACTTTGGAGGCCAAGGCGAGTGGATCACTTGAGGCCCGGAGTTCGAGATCAGCCTCGCAAACATAGTGAAACCCCATATCTACTAAAAAATACAAGAGTTAGCCAGGCACAGTGACACATGCCTGTAATCACTACTTGGGAGGCTGAAGCAGGAGAATCGCTTGAACCCGGGAGTCAGAGGTTGCAATGAGCTGAGATCGCGCCACACTACCCTGCAGCCTGGAGGACAGAGTGAGATTCCGTCTCAAAAAAAAGAAAAAAGAAAAAGAAAAAAAGAAAAATTAAAAAAAAATGCATTAACTGAAAATTTAAAACATAATCAGTCACAGCTAGATTAAATTATCATTAATCCCGGTTAAGGAATCTTATATCCCAACAGCTAGGTCTTAGCAATATGCACCATCTCTTTTTTTTGAGACAGAATCTGACCCTGTCGCCCAGGCTGGAGTACAGTGGCGTGATCTTGGCTCACTGCAACCTCTGCCTCCCAGGTTCAAGTGATTCTCCTGCCTTAGCCTCCCAAGTAGCTAGGATTACAGGCATGTGCCACCACGCCCAGCTAATTTTTTGTGTTATTAGTAGAGACGGAGTTTCACCATGTTGACCAGGCTGGTCTCGAACTCCTGACCTCGTGATCTGCCCGCCTCAGCCTCCCAAAGTGCTGGGATTACAGGTGTGAGCCACTGTGCCCGGCCTGCATCATCTCTTTAGACAAATAACTTTTTGCATCCTAGTAGTAAAGAATGTTAATATTATTAATATACTTGAACCTAAATTTATTATCAGTAAATATTTGATAGAGTGTGATTGTTTATTTATTTTTTTGTTTGTTTGTTTGTTTTGAGACGGAGTCTCGCTCTGTCACCCAGGCTGGAGTGCAGTCCGCGATCTCCGCTCACTGCATGCTCCACCTGCCAGGTTCACGCCATTCTCCTGCCTCAGCCTCCCGAGTAGCTGGGACTACAGGCGCCCGCCACCACACCCCACTAATTTTTTTGTATTTTCAGTAGAGACAGTGTTTCACCGTGTTAGCCAGGATGGTCTCAATCTCCTGACCTCGTGATCCGCCCTTCTCGGCCTCCCAAAGTGCTGGGATTACAGGCGTGAGCCATCACGCCCGACCGTGATTGTTCAATAAACTTTATTTTGGAATTATTTTAGATATGCTAATCTAATGTGATAAGAATTCTTTGAAAAGAAAATTTTTCTTTTTATTCTACAGTTAAAAAAAACTGAAAACATTTCATATGAAATGCTTTTTGAACCTGAGCCAAATGGAGTAAATTCTGTGGAAATGATGGATAAAGAAAGAAACAAAGACAAAATGCCTGAGGATGTTACATTCAGGTAATATTTAAGAAAAGCAAAGGAATCATTCACAAAACTGTGTAACTGCTTAAAAATGGTGAACTTCAGAGTCAAAAGTACTGGATTTCAGCCCCAGCTTAGCTACCTAGGAGCTATAGAATCTTGAGCAAGTTATATAACCTCTTAAACTACACATTCCTCACTTGTAAAAATGGCAATAGGGCTGGACGCACTGGTGCACATCTATAATTCCAGCACTTTGAAAGGCCAAGGCAGGAGGATCACCTGAGCCCAGGAATTCAAGACCAGCCTGGGCAACATAATGAGACCTCATCTCTGAAAAAAAAAATTAGCCAGGCATGGTGGCATGTGCCTGTAGTCCTAGTCTGTACTCGGAGGCTGAGGTGAGAAGATCACTTGAGCCCAAGAGCTCGAGGCTGCAGTGACCCATGATTGTGCCAGTATACTCCAGCCTGGGCAACAGAGTGAGACTCTGTCTCAAAAAAAAAAAAAAAAAAAAAAAAGGCATAATAACAGTATCTATCTGACAGGTGTGTTGTAAAGATTAATACGAAAACACATGTGGCCAGGAGCAGTGGCTTATGCCTGTAATCCCAGCACTTTGGGAGGCCAACGGGGGCAGATCACTAGAAGTCAGGAGTTTGAGACCAGCCTGGCCAACATGGTAAAACCCTGTCTCTACTAAAAGTACAAAAATTAGCCAGACATGGTGGTGCATGTCTGTGGTCCCAGCTACTTGGGAGGCTGAGGCAGGAGAAATGCTTGAACCCAGGAGGCAGAGGTTGCAGTGAGCCAAGATCACACCACTACACTCCAGCCTGGGCGTCAGAGTGAGACTCCATCTCAAAAGAAAAGGAAAAAAAAAGAAAATACATGTACAGCACTTTACACTGTGCTTAGCACCTAGGAAGTATTCAATAAATGATACCTTACCCCAGGTGCATGCCTGTAGTTCCAGCTACTCAGGAAACTGAGGTGGGAGGATTGCTTGAACATGGGAGGTCAAGGCTGCAGTGAGCCATGATCACGTTACTACACTCCAGCCTCGGCAACAGAGCAAGACCCTGTCTCAAAAAAATTTTAAAAAGAGAGATAAATACCTTAAAAAAAAAAAGTCAAAAGGCATATAAGCTGTAGCAGAGTAAGCAATTCATCACTGCCTATGCAGTCGGCCCTCCATATTCATGGATTTATGCCTTTACAGTCGGCCCTCCATATCCATGGATTCCGAACCCATGGATCTGGAGGGCCAACTGTACTATGCCATTTGATATAAGGGACTGGAGCATCTGCAGATTTTGCTATCTGTGGGGGGGCCCTGAAATCAGTCTTCCCAGGTAATGATTGACATTGGTCAAAATTCTAAGCTGTCTCATAAGAGTTCCAGAAATTATGGTGATTTTCTTTTTTCTTTTAGCTATATTTCTTTTTTTGTTTTTTTTTTGTTGTTGTTTTTTTGTTTTTGAGACAGAGTCTCGCTCTGTTGCCCTGGCTGGAGTGCAATGGCGCAATCTTGGTCCACTGCACTCGGTTCCCGGAGGGAACCTCTGCCTCCTGGGTTCAAGCAATTCTCCTGCCTCAGCCTCCTGAGTAGCTCAGACTACAGGCGCGTGTCACCACGCATGGCTAATTTTTATTTTTTTATTTTTTTTTTTATTTTTAGTAGAGACGGGGTTTCACCGTGTTAGCCAGGATGGTCTCGATCTCCTGACTCATGATCAGCCCGCCTTGGCCTCCCAAAGTGCTGGTATTACAGGCGTGAGCCATCGTGCCTGGCCATTTTTAGCTATATTTCTTAACTAGCCTTCTTTTTTTTTTTTTGAGACAGAGTCTCACTCTGTCACCCAGGCTGGAGTGCAGTAGTGCAATCTAGGCACACTGCAACCTCCACCTCCTGGGTTCAAGCGATTCTCCTGCCTCAGCCTCCCAAGTAGCTGGGATTACAAGCGTGTGCCACCATGCCCAGCTAATTTTTGTATTTTTAGTAGAGACGGGGTTTCGCCATGTTGGCCAGGCTGGCCTCAAATTCCTGACCTCAGGTGATCCACCCGCCTCAGCCTCCCAAAGTGCTGGGATTACAGACATAAGCCACCATACCCAGCCTTAACTGGCCTTAAGAGTATATCTTCAATCTTTCCCTCCATTAAACATATTACCGGCACTAGAAAACAGAAATGCTGTGGTTTACTGTTATTAGGAATGCCTTGATTTCTTAAATGAATAGCAAGATTGAATTTGAAAAGTATTTGGCAATGTCTGCTAAGAAAAATATCTCTGCTGAATTTTTGTATTAAGAAGCATAGATTAAAACACAGTATATTAAAAATTGATGAGTTCATAATGATACAACAACAAAAAAATTACTTGTTGGCCATTTTGGAGGATGCTAGAGAATCAACTTTTAATTCCAAAACTTGGTACATTAAGGGAAAGGATCAAGTATTTATCATGTTTTTTTCCCAAATTGTAACCAAATAGTTTGAGGAAACTTATTTTTAGAAGAATTTCAAGTGGGAGTCAGAGTATCATTGTTTTGTGGCAGGGTGCAGTGGCTCGTGCCTGAAATCCCAGCAGTTTGGGAGGCTGAGGTGGGCAGATCAATTGAGGTCAGGAGTTTGAAACTAGCCTGGCCAATAATATGGTGAAACACTGTCTCTACTAAAAATACAAAAATTATCCGGGCATAGTGGTACATTCCTGTAATCCCACCTGCTTGTGAGACTGAGGCACAAGAATTGCTTGAGCCAGGGAGGCGGAGGTCTCAGTGAGCCGAGATCCCGCCACTGTACTCCAGCCTGGGCGACAGAGTGAGAATCTGCCTCAAAAAAAAAATATATATGTGTCATTGCTTTGCTAGCCCTAATGCCATAATGGATTTGAACAATATTCCTCAGTGGCTGCCAAAGCTATCAGCTGAAAATCTGACAAGGATCTTTATATGAATGGGTCAACCCAATAACCCCTGAACTCACTAATGTTTGTTTTTTTTTTGAGACGGGATCTCACTCTGTCGCCCAGGCTGGCGTGCAGTGGCGCAATCTTGGCTCACTGCAACCTCTGCCCCGCCGCCCGATTCAAGCAGTTCTCCTGCCTCAGCCTCCCAAGTAGCTGGGTTTATAGGCGCCTGCCACTGTGCCCGGCTAATTTTTGTATTTTAGTAGAAACAGAGTTTCACCATCTTGGCTAGGCTGGTCTTGAACTCCTGACCTCATGATCCTGCCTTGGCCTCTCAAAGTGCTGTGATTACAGGCGTGAGCCACCGCGCTCAGCCACACTGATCATTTTTAACATCACAAAAAGAAACAATCTGTTAATGCAATAGTTCATGACACCCACCTAATGAAGTGCTACTTGCCCCTCCAAAACCTAAATTTGAATAAGCCTTAAAATCATATAACTTTGGCCAGGCGCAGTAGGTCACGCCTGTAATCCCACCACTTTGGGAGGCTGAGGTGGGCAGATCAAGAGGTCAGGAGATCGAGACCATCCTGGCTAACACGGTGAAACCCCGTCTCTACTAAAAATACAAAAAGCCGGACGTGGTGGCAGGCGCCCGTAGTCCCTGCTACTCGGGAGGCTGAGGCAGGAGAATGGTGAGAACCTGGGAGGTGAGCTTGCAGTGAGCCTAGATCGCGCCACTGCACTCCAGCCTGGGCGACAGAGTGAGACTCCGTCTCAAAAAAAAAAAAAAAAATCTTATAACTTTATAGAAAATCCTGAGGGATACAATCATCAGAATCCAGAATGTGATAAACTATATAGGACAGATAGACCAAGTTCTTTTACATATAAATGGCAAAGAATAAAAGGGATCTGGGGCAGTTTGTTTTGGATTAAAGTAGACTTTAAGGAATTTGTCAGGCAATATATGGACCTTGTTTGGATCCTGATTCTAATTCTAAAATGACATTATGAGGCACCAGGAAAATTTAAGCACTGACTGGATATTTGATGGCATTAACATATTAAAAATATGTTCTGAAGTACTTACAAATTAAATATCATATGTAGAATCTGCTTTAAATGGTTTAGGGAGCAAGGATTTTAGGGCTTAGATGAAGCAAGATTGGCAAACCAAGTAATTATTGAAATGAATATACAGGTTTATTATTTGCTCTAATTCTTTTGTTTGAAACTTTCAAAAGAAAGAAAAGATTAATTGTAAGAAAATGTTCGTTGTTAAACATAGGTGGTGGCATCTTTTATAACAAAAAAAAGAAAAATTAATTGTATTCTATAGTGACAAATTTTTAAATACCAATCTATTTTCATCAGCCCTCAAGATGAAACACAGACCGCAAATCATAAACCAGAAGAGCATCCTGAAGAAAATACAAAGAACAGTGTTGACGAACAGGAAGAAACTGTTATTTCTTACGAATCAACTCCTGAGGTTTCTAGAGGAAATCAAACAATGGCAGGTAGGTAGTATACACTTCATAATTTTCTACCTGGTGCTTCCTCTGAACTTCTAAATTTATTTTCCATGGGGAGATTCTAAGAAGGGAATCGCTTAAGTACCTTGACTACAGATGAGTCAACGTTTGCCTCCCCAAGTGTACCTTCAGGAGGATGCAGCCCCTGCCAGAGTCTACCCTGGCAGAGGGATCAACACATTGGCTTTGGTTTTGCTTTTTCCTTTCAATTTTAACACATAGAGTAAACTTTTTCTAATAAAATCTTTTGGCCGGGTGCGGTGGCTCACACCTGTAATCCAGCATTTTGGGAGGCCGAGGCAGGTGGACCACGAGGTCAGGGGTTCAAGACCAGCCTGGCCAAGATAGTGAAACCCCGTCTCTACTAAAAATACAAAAAATTAGCCGGGCATGGTGGCAGCCACCTCCAATCCCAGCTACTCAGGAGGCTGAGGCAGAGAATTGCTTGAACCCCAGAGGCGGAGGTTGCAGTGAGCCGAGATCGTGCCACTGCACTCCAGCCTGGGTGACAGAGCGAGACTCCTTCTCAGAAAAGAAAAGAAAATCTTTCAGTACTTGGAAAATCTATCTGTTCTCAGGGCTAGATTCTCAGAGTATTCACAAGCCTGCCACATTGGGAACTGTGGAGGATTTAATATCTAAACTAATAGAATGGGTTTGTTTACTCCAGCATTGCTATAATCCATACCTGGCTGTTCCTTCAATTGTAGAAAATTATTATCCATGGCATTTTAAAAAAAACAAGTTGTTCTGTGCTCTATTCTCTCATATTTTTTGGACTCTTCACAAATCTTTTCTTTTTTTTTCCTGGAGGCAGAGTACTCCCTCTGTTGCCAGCGCTGGAGTGCAGTGGCGCTATCTTGGCTCACTGCAACCTCTGCCTCCCTAGTAGCTGGGACTACAGGTGTGTGCCACCACACCCGGCTAATTTTTTGTATTTGTAGTACAGATGGGGGTTACTATGTTGGCCAGGCTGGTCTGGAACTCCTGACCTCCAGTGATCAGCGCGCCTCAACCTCCCAAAGTGCTGGGATTACAGGCATAAGCCACCATGCCCGGCCCTTTTACTCTTTTTCTTTATGATTTTTTGGGAACAGGGATGGGAATTAGTGCATATTATCGCTTTGCTTCTTCTTTTTTTTTTTTTTTTTTTTTTTTTGAAGCTCTTTCACCCAGGCTGGAGTGATGTGGCGTGATCTCAGCTCACTGCAATCTCCACCTCCCAGGTTCAAGCGATTCTCCTGCCTCAGCCTCCCAAGTAGCTGGGATTATAGGTGCCCACCACCACGCCCAGCTAATTTTTGTATTTTTGTAGAGGCAGGGTCTCGCCATGTTGGCCAGGCTGGTCTTGAACTCCTGACCTCAGGTGATCCACCCACCTCAGCTTCCCAAAGTGCTAGGATTACAGGCGTGAGCCACCATGCCCAGCCAGCTTTGCTTCTTTTTTATTTTATTTTATTTTATTTTATTTTTGAGATGGAGTCTTGCTCTGTTGCCCAGGCTGGAGTGCAGTGGCGCGATCTCCACTCACTGCAAGCTCCGCCTCCTGGGTTCATGCCATTCTTCTGCCTCAGCCTCCTGAGTAGCTGGGACTGTAGGTGTCCGTCACCACGCCTGGCTAATTTTTTGTATTTTTTTTTTTTTTAGTAGAGATAGGGTTTCACTGTTAGCCAGGTTGGTCTCAATCTCCTGGCCTCGTGATCCGCCCGCCTCGGCCTCCCAAAGTGCTGGGATTATAGGCATGAGCCACTGCGCCCGGCCCAGCTTTGCTTCTTGTAGTCCATAAGTAAAAAACCATTCCTACAAAACCCCGCCACCACTCCTGCCCTTTTGCAGAAGAGTAAGAAACAATGAAATTCAAGTATTCAGGACCATTCTTCTTAGGAAAAGCATGGGGTTCTGGGCAGAACATCTTCCGTATCTTATATAAATATAACGTGTATGTTATAAATTTAAATAAAATAAACTTTATTTAATTTACTTATTTAAAATAAATTATAAATTTATATTACCAGTCATGTTCCCTTGTAACAAATACTAAGCACTGCCTTTTCCTTTGCCTCTGTCACTTACAAGGCAGTATGAGCTGGGTGCAGTGGCTCACGCCTATAATCTCAGCACTTTCGGAAGCCAAGGCAGGAGTATTGCTTGAGCTCAGGAGTTCAAGACCAGCCTAGGCAATGTAACAAGACAACGTTTCTACTAAAAATAATGCTTTTAAAAAATTAGCCGGATGGGATGGCACTATAGACCCAGCTTCTCAGGAGGCTGAGGTAGGAGGATCACCTGAGCCCAGGAGGTTGAGGCTACAATGAGCTGTGTGACTGCATTACTGCTTTCCAGCCTGAGCAACAGAGCAAGACCCTGTCTCAAAAAATAAATAAATAGCCAGGCACAGTGGCTCACGCCTATAATCCCAGCACTTTGGGAGACTGAGGCAGGTGGATCACCTGAGGTTTGGAGTTCGAGACCAGCCTGACCAACATGGAGAAACCCCGTCTCTACTAAAAATACAAAATTAGCCAGGCATGGTGGCCATGCCTGTAATCCCAGCTACTCAGGAGGCTGAGGCAGGAGAATCGCTTGAACTTGGGAGGCAGAGGTTGTGATGAGCCGAGATCACGCCACTGCACTCCAGCCTGGGCAACAAAGAGCGAAATTCTGTCTCTAAATAAATGAATAAGGTAGTGTGCACAGGAGGTCTCACTTGTTAAAAAAAAAATTGTCACTGGCCAGTTTTGGTTATTATGCAGCAGGTCTGGATCAAAGTGTTATGATAGTATTAAAACCACAACATTTAAATCATCCATAGTATTTAGCTGCATAGAACTAAAAAAAGTTCCAACAGAAAATTAACCTCAAAGCAGAAAAAAAAAATGTAAAGTATTTTTTTTGTTTGTTTGTTTTTTGTTGTTGTTGTTGTTGTTTGAGACAAAGTCTTGCTCTCTTGCCCAGGCTAGAGTACAGTGGTACAATCTCAGCTCATTGCAGCCTCTGGCTCTTGGGTTCAAGCATTTCTCCTACCCCGGCCTCCTAAGTAGCTAGGACTACAGGCACGAGCTACCATGTCTGACTAATTTTTGTATTTTTAGTAGAGTCGGGGTTTCACCATGTTGGCCTGGCTGGTCTCGAACTCCTGACCTCAAATGATCCGCCTGCCTCGGCCTCCCAAAGTGGTGGGATTACAGACATGAGCCACCACGCCCAGCCAAAAAAAAAAAAATTTTTAAGTAGTTGTCAGGAAATATTTTATACTGAATAATTAGATTGCAAATTAGAAAATAACAGGCTGGGCACATAATCCCAACACTTCGGGAGACCAAGATGGGAGGATTGCATGATGCCAGGAGTTCAAGACCAGCCTGGTCAACATGGTGAGACCCCATCTCAATTAATAAAAATTTGTTTTTAATTATTTAAAAAGAAAAAATCACAATAGAACCAAATGTATCTATTACTTCCTTCTCAAAACATGTTCTAATTTTTGTGGGATTACAGCATCAGGATTTACTTCTCCAAATGTGTCTTAAAGATTTTTATCTTCTCCCATTTTCTTTGTGTGTTTTAGTGAAAAGTCTGTCCCCATCTCCTGAGTCCTCGGCATCGCCAGTTCCATCCACTCAGCCGCAGCTCACAGAAGGATCACATTTCATGTGTGTGTAGTCTTAGAAGAAGTACGTCATTTCCCTTTGCATTTGTGCTTTAGTTTTTTACTTGAATTTTATGACTTATCTGTTGGTTTAGTGAATCAAAACTGGGATTAGTTCTGGACTGTACATAGGGATAGTTGGCAGAACAAGTAGGCATATCTTGGAACCAGGGTTGGTAACAGATTGCTAACATTGGCTCCTCTGATGATTTGCTGTGTGACAGCATTTTCTTTGTCTCTTATTTCATCATCCAGAAAAACAACAAAATTTGGAGGGTATGGCCTGTGCCAAGACTTGCAGTGTTGTGCAGCTGTGCTTCTACTTAATGTTCCTTTCCATAGCGACCTGAGAATTTTGTTTAAGTCATTACACGTTGACTATGTAATGCTTTTTACAGTTAGGGTGACATGTCTGCCCACTGGGAGTTTGCTAATTATTGTAAATGACAATGAAATGTTTATGGTACAGCCAACTTGATGGAATATTAAAATCTTTAATGTCTATCTGATATTATTTCTAAGTAATTGAATTCTATTAAGTCAGGGAGGTAATTACTAAAACCATGGATGGTATCAGGGAGAAGAAGGAATCCTTTCTTGAACAATGTTCCTTAGAGCACAGATTTATAATTGAGAATAGTTTCCTGAATTCTTACTTTTAAACTTTCTAGACAATTGCTAATTTTAACCTAGAATTTAGTACTTATAGCGTACTCTAAAAGTTTTTTAACTTTTTATAAAAGCTCTGGTGTAGAGTAAGAATGTTATGCCTTTTTCTGCATTTTCTTTCTCACAGCATCTACCATATCTAGTAAGTTTGGTGCTTTAGGATTACCACCATTTTCTGCTGAACAGCAGCAGAAACATATAGAGACATTATAAGCATTAGTACTAACATCTTTTTGTTTTTTTATTTTCTTGTTTTTTTTATGTTATTTCTTTTTTCAGAGATGTCCCCCATGCTGGAGTGTAGTGGCATAATCACAGCTCACTGCAGCCTTGACCTCCTGGGCTCAAGCAGTCGTCCTGCCTCAGCCTCACAAGTAGCTGGGATCACAAGTGCACGCCACCACACTCGGCTGATATTTCGATTTTCTTATAGAGACAGTCTTACTAAGTTGTCCACGCTGGTCTCAAACTCCTGAATTCAAGCTACCCTCCCACTGCATGAGCCACTGTGCCTAGCCTCTTTGATTTTCACATTCTCAAAATATTTCTTTTATTTTCTCTCCTTTTTTTTTTTTTTTCGAGGCAAGGTCTTACTCTGTCACCCAGGCTGGAGTGCAGTGGTGCAAGATCATGGCTCAATGGCTCACTGAAGGCTGACCTCCCAGGCTCAAGCAATCCTCCCACCTCAGCCCCCTGAGTAGCTGGGACTACAGGTGTATGCCACCATGCCAGGCTAATTGTTTTGCAGAGATGGAGTTTTCACCATGTTGCCCAGGCTGATCTCAAGCTCCTGAGCTCAAGTGATCTGTCCGCCTCAGCCTCCCAAAGTGCTGAGATTACAGGTGTGAGCCACCACACCCAGCCTTTTTTCTTCCTTTTCAAGCATTTTTTAAATTTCACTAGCTTTGGGTACAAGTGGTTTTGGGTTACATGGAAGAATTGTATAGTGGTGAAGTCTGAGATTTTAGTGCACCCATTACCCGAGTAGTGTATGTTGTACCCAATCCTTCACCGACCTTCCACCCTCTCCCTTCTGAGTCTCCAAAGTCCATTATACCACACTGTATGCCTTTGCATACCCATAGTGTAGCTCCAACTTATAAGTGAGAACATATGATATTTGGTTTTCCTTTCCTGAGTTACTTTACTTAGAATAATGGCCTCCAGCTCCATCCAAGTTGCTGCAAAATACATTATTTTGTTCCTTTTTATTGCTGAGTAGTATTCCATGGTGTATATAAACCACATTTTCTTTATCCACTCCTTGGTTGGTGGACTCTTAGGTTGGTTCCATACCCTTGGAGTTGCAAATTGTGCTGCTATAAACATGCATGTGCATGTATCTTTTTTATGTAATGACTTGTTTTCTTTTGGGTCGATACTCAGTAGTGGGATTGCTGGATCAAATGCTGGATCTACTTTTAGTTCTTTAAGGAATCTCCACACTGTTTTCCGTAGTGGTTGTACTAGTTTACATTCCCACCAGCAGTGTAAAAGTGTTTTCTTCTCACCACATCCATACCAACATCTGTTGTTTTTTGACTTTTAAATTATGGCCATTCTTTTTTTTTGTTTTTGAGATGGAGTCTCGCTCTGTCAGCAGGCTGGAGTGCAGTGGCGTGATCTTGGCTCACTGCAACCTCCTCCTCCAGGGTTCAAGTGATTCTCCTGCCTCAGCCTCCCCCGTAGCTGGGACTACAGGCGTGTGCCACCACACCCAGCTAATTTTTGAATTTTTAGTAGAGATGGGGTTTCACCATGTTGGCCAGTATGGTCTCGATCTCTTGACCTCATGATCCGCCCACCTCGGCCTCCCAAAGTGCTGGCGTGACCCACTGCACCCGGCCAATTATGGCCATTCTTGCAGGAATAAGGAGGCATCTCATTGTTGTGTACCTTCTTTTGAGAAATGCCTATTCGCGTCATTTGCCCACTTTTTGATGGGATTATTTGTTTTTGTTTTTTTTTTCTTGCTGATTTGTTTTGAGTTCCTTCCAGATTCTGGATATTAGTCCTTTGTTGGATGCATAGTTTGCAAATATTTCCTCCCATCCTGTTTTCTGGAATCTACTTCCTTTCACACCTTATTGTAGGAACTATAATCTGTGCCCTTTTTTTCAGCCCAAAGTATTTTGTTGTCTTTTCATATTTGTAACTTTTATTTGAGATTATGTCTACCTGGAACCTCAAAGAGGCTTCTGTTTTTGTCAGTTGGTATCTGTGCAGGACTGAAGTGCTTGCTGGAGAGTTACAAATAACCTAACTGTGATAGTCTTACCTGTGTTCTGCCTTTGTCACTTGTGTTTAAGCCTTTTTTCTTTTTTCTTTTTTCTTTTTTTTTTTTTTGTTGAGACCAGGTCTCACCCTGTCACCCACACTGGAGTGCAATGGTGAGATCTTGGAGCCTTGCCCTCCTGGGCTTAAGTGATCCTCCCACGACAGCCTCCCAAGTAGCTGGGACCACACGCCTGTGCCACCAAGCCTGGCTGATTTTTTTGTATTTTTTGTAGAGTAGGGGTTTCACCGTGTTGCCCAGGCTGGTCTCAAACTCCTGAGCTCAAGCGCTCTGCCCGCCTCAATCTCCCAAAGTGCTGAGATTACAAGATTGAGCCATCACGCCTGGCTATGTTTAAACTTTTAATTTAATATGTTTAGAAATGACTGTTGAGGCCAGGTGCGGTAATGCCAGCACTTTGGGAGGCCAGGGCTGGTGGATCACTTGAGGTCGGGAGTTC
Source organism: Homo sapiens (assembly GCF_000001405.40). NCBI lineage: Eukaryota > Metazoa > Chordata > Mammalia > Primates > Hominidae > Homo > Homo sapiens. The sequence goes on from NC_000012.12 coordinate 19,373,178, forward strand.
AGGACCAGCCTGGCCAACATGGTAAAACCCCATCTCTACTTAAAAATACAAAAATTAGCTGGGCATGGTGTCAGGCGCCTGTAATCCCAGCTACCTGGGAGGCTGAGACAGGAGAATCGCTTGAACCTGGGAGGCAGAGGTTGCAGTGAGCCGAGATCACACCATCGCACTCCGGCCTGGGTGACAGAACAAGACTTTGTCTCAAAAAAAAAAAAAAAAATCTGGGTGTGGTGGCCCACACCTGTAATCCCAGCACTTTGGGAGGCCGAGGCAGGCAGATCACCTGGCTCCTGACCAGCGTGACCAACATGGAGAAACCCAGTCTCTACTAAAATTACAAAATTAGCTGGGCGTGGTGGCACATGCCTGTAATCCCAGCTACTTGGGAGGCTGAGGCAGGAGAATCGCTTGAACCCAGAGGCAGTGGTTGCAGTGAGCCGAGGTCGTGCCATTGCACTCCAGCCTGGGCAACAAGAACGAAACTCTGTCTCAAAAAAAAAAAAAAATGGTGACTGTTGCTACTGGTGACGTAATAACACAAAACATAGGAAAAATAAACATTGGACTCATTTGATTTCATCTATGTAAAGACTTGATGACCTCTTAGTAGAAAAATGTATACATTAAGAGCCATTCACATAATATTTTGATTCAATAAACAGATTATGACTGTACACATATCCTTCCAATAATAAAGGATATTCAGAGTTAAAACTCAAGTATATTTCCAGGTTCCTTAAATTGTTATAGGATTTTATTTTGTTTTCTTCTTATTCCAAGAGCAGTGGCATACTGTAATGAGGTATGATTATTGTCGGATATTTTCTAGTCTCATGGTATGCAACTACCACAAATAACTAAAGGCATGAAAACTTGTATTATTTCATATCTTCCTATTATGCATATGCCATCTTTCTGAACTAGTGGTTTTGGCAGGATTTAGGAAACCTTTACAAATGACACTACGATGTAGGCAGCTCAATAATTATTACGTATTTTAGTGGAGTTATGCAAATGTTTGCTCATTTTGTTGATCTTTTGGATTCAGCTACGTTTGGTACTTTTTTTTTTTTTTTGCAGTTGCAAGATTTAATAGAGTGAAAACAGAGCTCCCCTAAAATGGGAGGGGACCCAAAGGGGGTTGCCGTTGCCAGCGGTACATTTTTTATTCTGTATTGCTATTTATAATCACATTATGTTGGCCGGGCACAGTGGCTCACGGCTGTAATCCCAACACTTTGTGAGGCCGAGGCGGGCGGAACACAAGGTCAGGAGATCGAGACCATTGTGGCCAACATGGTTGAAACTCCGTCTCTACTGAAAATACAAAAATTAGCTGGGCGTGGTGGCATGCACCTGTAGTCTCAGCTACTCTAGAGGCTGAGGCAGGAAAATCACTTGAACCCGGGAGGTGGAGGTTGCAGTGAGCCAAGATTGCGCCACTGCACTCCAGCCTGGGCGACAGAGCGAGACTCAGTCTCAAAAATAATAAGAAGGCCAGGTGCAGTGGCTCACACCTGGAATCCTAGCACTTTGGGAGGCCGAGGCGGGCGGATTGCCTGAGTTCAGGAGTTTGAGACCAGCCTGGGCAACACGGTGAAACCCCGTCTCTACTAAAATACAAAAAATTAGCTGGATGTGGTGATGTGCACCTGTAGTCCCAGCTACTCAGGAGGCTGAGGCAGGAGAATTGTTGGAACCCAGGAGGCAGAGGTTGCAGTGAACTGAGATCGTGCCACTGCACTCCACCCTGGGCAACAGAGCAAGACTCCGTCTCCAAAATGATGATAATAATAATAATAATGAAGAGAAGGAGGAGGAGGAGGAAGGAAGAAGAATTGCATTACATTATGTTTCCTTGTGGGGCCGGGTATAGTGGCTCATGCCTGTAATCCTAGCACTTTGGGAGGCCAAGGCAGTCAGATCAGTTGAGGCCAGGGGTTCGAGACCAGCCTGGCCAACATGGTGAAACCCCGTCTCTACTAAAAATACAAAAATTAGCCAGGCATGGTGATATGTGCCTGTAATCCCAGCTAGTTGGGAGACTGAGGCAGGAGAATCGCTTGAACCCAGGACGCAGAGGTTGCAGAGAGCCGGGATCATACCACTGCACCCCAGCCTAGGCGATAGTGATACCCTGTCTCAAAAAAAAAAAATTGCATTATGTTTCTTTGCTTTGTGAATTAAGCTATGGAAATGAAGAAAAATATCCTTTGATGTATTGTATTTTAGGATTTTCATGGCCATGCTTGTCAGTTCTGTTGTTACAGAATGTCACCCTTAGTTACTTTGGGAAATGGTAATTAATTAACGTTGCAGGTGTCAAAGTAATTTCCTCTCTCTTATTTTTCAGCTATACTGACTTCTGTTGAAACCATTCAAAGCTAAAGACATGGACCTTCAGCAGTGTAAGAAGATATTGTACAGTATATTTTAAATCTATGAAATTCATAGTTCTGATGCTTTTGGTCACAGAGCATCATTTTATCACTTCTGGAAAATGTTTATTCCAAAACAGCTTTAATGGCCCATATGTACACTTCGTAATCTCAAGGTTATTATTCTGACACCAGCTTGCTGCTATGATTTCAGAGCACATAAGTAAAGGTGCTTTTTAATGTGCAGTCTATTTCCAGAGCTTACTTAGTTGCTGATTTCCAGATTTCGATGTTTCTTAAGTCTAGGTGAATTTATATATATATTTTTTTGCTTTTCATTTTCTAAAGTTAGTTATTATTTCCATTGAAGCTTGTTTTCTTTTTTTTCTTCCCATTTTAGCTACTGCAGTGCTTTTGTTTCACACTTGATTTGTAAAAATTTTATATATATGTATTTAAAATGTGCCATTTTATTGCTAAGTGAAGTATGTCCTGTTTTCTGCTATAATTCTTTCTCGGTCAGATTGCAATGTCAGCAGTTACTGCCACACTCCTGTCAGCTTAAACACAAATGTTACTGCTTATCTTTTCTTAAAAAAAAAAAAAACAAAGTGTAGGTATTTTGAAGTACTGGGCTTATATTTCATTGGAATACATGTGTACAGCAATAAGCAGGTTTCCAAATCCGGTACTTAGTTTGTGTACAAATGTAATTATGTTCATTGTGTATATATTATACAATGAGCACATGTAATGTATTAAAGGCTACTTACTATTGTTTAAATGCAAATGTTCATATCTCATTTCTTTTTTTATCATGTTAAATAAATGTTGATGTTCTTAAATCAGTGTTAGAATTTTTGTTCTTTCCATCCAAAATTGAAAGTCTTAAGACTCAAGAGACCTCTAGAAGAAAAGGTACTCTGTTAATTTTATAATCCTAGACAACATCTTAAAAGATCCTTGTCGGTCCAACCCTCCCATGTCAAAGTTGAGGACCTTGAGGCTCAAAGAGATCAATTGAGTTGGCCACAATTTAATGACAGAATTTTGACCAGACTATAGTTTTTTCTGACTTTTTCTCTAAGTACATTACATTAGCTCATTACCACTAGAGGAGTTTAGTTTTGTGAAGTCTTTTACCACGTTTCTATTTGCTTCCATGTTTCAGAAAGTAACTTCAAGCATCAGTAGTCCTGCTCTGTTTAGGGATTGGACTTTGAGAGAGGTGTGTAAGGCAGCTGTTTGTCTGACATGGGTAGCTAGAAACCGTTTCATCGTAAGTAGGACCCTCAGAGATCATTTTCTCTTACAATACATTCTTTGCAGATGTTCACGCTCTTCAGAATCAATTACATTTTCTTCCCTCTGTAACCTTTTGTTCATGCTATATATTGTTCCCAGAAAACACGGAAATTTGATGCTTTTGGATTCCTGCATAAAATGGCTGAAACTAAATTGGCACTAGTCAGTCTTTTTTTCCTCCCCATCCTATGTTAAAGAGGATTTTGATTTAATTCAAAATGCAAATGTATAAAAATTCTTCTGCAAACACAATGAAATGAAAATAGATACAATGTATATTGGGAGGTGAAAGAAAACAGAAGTTAAAATGGACACCTCTCTGTGTCCATGTACATATGTGTAATATGTTTACACATACTACCTTTCTCTAAAGGTGTCACACAAAAGTCTTCTCAAAAGAAATAGTCACCAAATTATTATTTCCCTTTAGTCATGATACAATGATTGTTTCAGATCCTTTGTCAGTGTGTTGGGGAACAATTGCTATTATTCGGGTTTTGTTTGGGGTTTTTTTATTTTTATTTATTTATTTATTTATTTTTTTTTTGAGATGGAGTCTTGCTCTGTCACGCAGTCTGCAGTATAGTGGTGTGATCTCGGCTCACTGCAACCTCTGCCTCCTGGGTTCAAGCGATTCTCCTGCCTCAGCCTCCTGAGTAGCTGGGATTACAGGCTCATTTTGGGGGGTTTTGGGGGGATTTTTTGAGATGGAGTCTCGCTCTGTTGCCAGGCTGGAGTGCAGAGGCCTGATCAAGGCTCACTGCAACCTCCGCCTCTTGGGTTCAAGGGATTCTCCTGCCTCAGCCTCCCGAGTAGCTGGGATTACAGGAGCCCGCCACCACGCCCAGCTGATTTTTGTATTTCTTTGTTTTGTTTTTTTGAGATGGAGTCTTGCTCTGTCGCCCAGGCTGGAGTGCAGTGGCACGATCTCCGCTCACTGCAAGCTCCACCTCCCAGGTTCACGCCATTCTCCTGCCTCAGCCTCCTGAGTAGCTTGGACTACAGGCGCCCGCCACCATGCCCGGCTAATTTTTTGTATTCTTTAGTAGAGACGGGGTTTCACCATGTTAGCCAGGATGGTCTCAATCTCCTGACCTCATGATCCACCCACCTTGGCCTCCCAAAGTGCTGGGATTACAGGTGTGAGCCACCGCACCCAGCTGATTTTTGTATTTTTAGTAGAGATGGGGTTTCACCGTGTTGACTAGGATGGTCTCGATCTCTTGACCTCATGATCCGCCCACCACAGCCTCTCAAAGTGCTGCGATTACACCGAGCCTGGCCTAATTTTTGTATTTTTAAATAGAAACGGGGTTTCACCATGTTAGCCAGGCTGGTCTCAAATTCCTGACCTTGTGATCCACCCACCTTGGCTTCCCAAAGTGCTAGGATTACAGGCATGAGCTACCGTGCCCAGCCTTGTTTGGGTTTTTGTGGGAAGGGAGTATATGTGTGTGTGTGTCTCTTTGGTTTTATTAAGCACAACATTTTTTAACTATTCCAAGAAGGAAAAATGTTACTTACTGGGATCCCTAGAAGCCTAGGAAATATGGAGAAAGCAGCATGAACTAGTTGTGATTCTTGTCAACATTTCAGAAAGCCAGATGAAAATCATTTATTCACAAACAGTAAGTCCATCAGGCATGGTGGCTCATGCCTGTAATCCCAGCATTCTGGGAGTCTGAGGCAGGTGGATCACCTGAAGTCGGGAATTCGAGACCAGCCTGGCCAACATGGTGAAATCCTCTCTCTACTAAAAATACAAAAAGTAGCCAGGCATGGTGGCGCGTGCCTGTAATCCCAGCTACTTGGGAGGCTGAGGCAGGAGAATCGCTTGAACCCGAGGTTGTGGTGAGACAAGATCGCATCACTGCACTCTAGCTTGGGCGACATAACGAAACTCTGTCTCAAAAAAAACACAAAAACAGTAAGTCAGCACAGATGCTTATTACATGCCATAACAAAAAGGAATACTAGTTCTTCAAAATTTTTAATTAGATCAGTACCTTCCATCTTACCCAGAGTTTGCCTTATCTAACTCCCCCTTACTGGAGTGGTGCACACACAGTCCTGGAAGTGTGGAGACTAATGGTAAGGAAGGCAGACAGGTTGGCATGGCCTTTACTTCAGGTGGGGAAATCAGCATGAGGGAGCTGCTTCCCAGAGGCTTAGAAGCTTGCTCTGAAGTTCTTAGTGCTCACTCTCCTGGTGAGTTGATGGCTGTCTTAGTGCTCAGTGTCCTGTTGGGTTGATGGCTTTACAAGTCCCTCATACCTACCTACCCCCAGTTTATAGAAAGATGACAGTCATACTGCTATGGTGATCAAAAATGAAACATAACATTTTTTTGCTGGCATACCCTCAAAATTGTTTTTAAAAACTCAGCTGGGTACAGTGTCTCACATCTGTAATCCCAGCACTTTGGGAGGCTGGGATGGGAGGATCACTTGAGGCCAGGAGTTCAAGACCAGCCTGGCTGACATAGTGAGAACCCATCTCTACAAAAATAAAATAAAAAAATTAGCTGGGTACAGTGGTGCATGCCTGTAGTCCTAGCTACTCAGGAGACCAAAGCAGGAGGATCACTTGAGCCTGGGAGATGAAGGCTGCAGTGAGGTGTGATTGCACTGCTGTACTCCAGCCTGGGTGACAGAGCAAGACCCTCTCTAAAAAAACCAAAAAACAAAAACCAACTCTGTACCTCCTTGTACATTTTCAAGTTGACATCTACAACTTTTCATAAATTCAAATAGAAGAAAAGGGCCAAGTGCGGTGGCTCACGCCTGTAATCCTAGCACTTTGAGAGGCCAAGGTGGGCGGATCACTTGAGGTCAGGAGTTCGAGACCAGCCTGGCCAACATGATGAAACCTCGTCTGTACTAAAACTGCAAAATTTAGGCAGGCATGGTTGGGGGTGCCTGTAATCCTAGCTACTCAGGAGGCTGCAGCAGGAGAATTGCTTGAACCCGGGAGGCGGAGGTTGCAGTGAACCAGGATCATATCACTGCACTCCAGCCTGGGCAATACAGCAAAACTCAGCCTCAAAAAAAAAAAAAAAACAGAAGAAAAGGATGCAAGTTCTGACATACTGTCAGTACTGCCTGTTTTTTTGTTTTTTTTCTGAGATGAAGTTTTGCTCTGTCCCCCAGGCTGGAGTGCAATGGCAAAATCCCAGCTTACTGCAACCTCTGCCTCCAGGGTTCAAGCGACTCCCCTGTCTCAGCCTCCTGAGTAGCTGGTATTACAGGTGCCTGCCCACCGTGCCCAGCTAATTTTTGTATTTTCAGTAGAGATGGGGTTTCATCGTGTCGGCCAGGCTGTTCTCGAACTCCTGACCTCAAGTGATCCGCTTGCCTCGGCCTCCCAAAGTGCTGAAATTACAGGCATCAGCCACCGTGCCTGGCCCAATACTGACTTTTTAAATAAATTGTTACATCAGTCTTTATTTTATTTTATTTTATTTTGAGACAGAGTTTCACTGTTGTTGCCCAGGCTGGAGTGCAATGGTGCAGTCTCAACTCACTGCAACCTCTGCCTCCTGGGTTTAAGTGATTCTCCCGCCTCAGCCTCCTGAGTAGCTGAGAGTACAGGCACCCGCCACCACTCCTGGCTAATTTTTTTGTATTGTTAGTAGAAATGGGCTTTCACTGTGTTGTCCAGGCTGGTCTTGAACTCCTGACCTCAGGTGATCTGCCCACCTCAGCCTCCCAAAGTGCTGGGATTACAGGCATGAGCCACCATACCCAGCCCTATACCTTTTTTAATAGGGGTTTTACATCATTCCTTTTTCTTCTTGAACTTTTATTTTTACTTTATTTCTCTTATACTTTGTCGCAATAAATTATGATATGTTAAATTTAATGACTTTAGTTATTTCTAATTCCATCCATCCATTTCTGTGAAATCTTGTTCCTTGGACATTACAGTCATTCACTTCTCACCACCCTGGAGGATTTTACACCCTGAGGTAAGTATGTTTCAGAGAAGTAAGTTTTTCATGTGTAAAGAAGAACTCATGTGAGGCCGGACCCCATTCACTTCTCACCACCCTGGAGGATTTTACACCCTGAGGTAAGTATGATTCAGAGAAGGAAGGTTTTCATGTGTAAAGAAGAGCTCATGTGGGGCCGGACCAGGTGGCTCATGCTGGTAATCCCAGCACTTTAGGAGGCTGAGGCAGGTGGATCACCTGATGTCAGGAGTTCGAGACCAGCCTGACTAACATGGTAAAACCCCACCTCTACTGAAAATACAAAATTAGCCGGGCGTGGTGGCACATGCCTGTAATCCCAGCTACTCGGGAGGCTGAGGCAGGAGAATCACTTGAACCTGGGAGGTGGAGGTTGCGGTGAGCCGAGATAATGCCATTGCACTTCAGCTCCGTCTCAAAAAAAAAAAAAAAAAAAAACTCATCACAGGACCTCTGGAGCCTTGGGGCAGGAAATCAGAGAGAAGGTAACTAGAGACTGAGTTCAAGAAAATTATGAAAATTCTTCTCGCTCACAAACCCTTGAGATGTTTCTGTGTACTGATTTGAAGAAAGCTGTCCCAGACTATTTGGCCTCTAAAATATTTGTAAGTTTATTGATTTGTGCATACTTCTCACTTTACCCACAACAAGGTTTTGTTTTGTTTTGTTTTTTGAGACGGTTTTGTTCTGTCACCCAGTCTGGAGTGCAGTGGCACCATATTGGCTCACTGCAACCTTTGACTCCCAGGCCCAAGCGATCCTCTTACCTCAGCCTTCCGAGTAGCCGGGACTACAGGCACACGTCACCACAGCTAATTTTCGTACTTCTTGTAGAGATGGGTTTCACCATGTTGCCCAGGCAGGTCTCAAACTCCTGAGCTCAAGCAGCTTCTCACCTCAGCCTCCCAAAGTGCTGGGATTACAGGCATGAGCCACTGTGCCTGGCCCAAAACAGTTTTATATAGATTTAGCATATGGCAGAGAGACTCACTTTTGAGCAACTGTATGAATGTGTAAGGAATAAACTGATTCACTTAATGCAGGAACAAATGATTTTTTTGTTATGCTAAAGTAATTTGGGAGGAGTTTTCCCAGAACTGTTTCTGAAAAATGGATCAAATGCTTCATGGATAGGTTGAAAATAAATGTTTAAAGTGTATGATTGGTATTTTAAAAGCAGAAATTTTAAATGTTTTATTTAGTTTTAAAATTATTTACAGTGAAAAGTCAACCGAAAACAAAGTAAAAGGCTGGGTGAAAGGCATGGAGAAAATATGGCAGGACTAGTTTATGTAATTCAAGCCTGAGACAACACATTTAAGAACAGGAGATAGAACCCCCAGCTATGTCCCGGCGCTCAGTGACTCACCAGCTTACTGGAAAGTCCCTCGAGTCCTCTATTAACTAGATTCAGAAAAGCCTACCCAATCTCTTTGAGTGAAAGCTCACTCATTCCAGCCCTTCCCTAGAAGGAGCTTCACCTTCATTCTTCTGGTGTAGGAAACAGTATAGGCGATTATTCTAGCTTGGCAGGAGGGACCCTCCACCAACTCTGTTGCCAGGAAGCCTGAGTTCCTCCAGAACACCCTGTTGCTGCTATGGGGCCTCATTGTATATTGGGGAGGAGCACAGAGGCTGGTGCTAGGCTACCTGAGTTGGAACTGAGCTCTGCCACTTTTACTGTGTGTTCTCAGGCCAAGGTATTCATCCTTCCTAAACCTAAGTTTTTCCACGAAATTGGTCCGTGTCTTAGTTTGTTTTCTGTTGCTTATAACAGAACACCTAAAATGGTATCTTATAAAGAAAAGGAATATATTTTTTACAGTTCTGGAGACTGAGAAGTCCAAGGTCAAGAGGCCGTGTCTGGCGAGGGCTTTGTTGCTGGTGGGTATGCTACAGAGTCCCAGGGAGGCTCAGGGCATCACACACAATGAGAGGCAGAGCGTGTCACCATGCTGACAAGCTAGCTCAGGCCTGTCTTCCACGTACAAAGCTGACAGTTCTCCAGTGATAACCCATTCATTCATCAACCCACGAATAAATGAATCCCTGGCCTCGAGATGCAGTCATCTCTCTCAAAGGCCCCTGCCACATTGAGAATTAAATTTCGACATGAGTTTTGGAGTGGACTGATACTCAAACCATAACAGCCTACTAAGAGTTATTACACTATATGGTTGTAAAGACTAAATATGTTAACACATCAGGTGTAGAATAGTGCCTAGCAGCATATAAATACTTGCTACCATTAGCTGTTATTCACTAAGGCTAACCTCATCTAACTGTAACTGTTTCTAAGTTTACCAGAGCACTGTTGTTAATCATCTTAGTTAATCAGCATTTAATTTTTATTCATTTATTTATTTATTTATTTAGAGACGGAGTCTTGCTCTGTCACCCAGGCTGGACTGCAGTGGCACAATCTCAGCTCACTGCAAGCTCCACCTCCCGGGTTCACGCCATTCTCCTGCCTCAGCCTCCCAAGTAGCTGGGACTATAGGCGCCCGCCACCACGCCCGGCTAATTTTTTTGTATTTTTAGTAGTGACGGGGTTTCACCATGTTAGCCAGGATGGTCTCGGATCTCCTGACCTCGTGATCCACCTGCCTTGGCCTCCCAAAGTGCTGGGATTACAGGCAGGAGCCACCGCGCCCAGCTGTTAATCAGCATTTTAAAACTGAGTCACATGCCAGGAGCCGTGGCTCACGCCTGTAATCGCAGCACTTTGGGAGGCTGAGGCGGGCAGATCACCTGAGGTCAGGAGTTCGAGACCAGCCTGACCAACATGGCAAAACCCCATTTCTACTAAAAATACAAAATTAGTTGGGCATGGTGGTGGGCACCTGTATTCCCAGCTACTTGGGAGTCTGAGGCAGGAGAATTGCTTGAACCCGGGAGGCGGAGGTTGTGGTGAGCCGAGATCGCGCCATTGCACTCCAGCCTGGGCAACAAGAGCAAAACTCCGTCTCAAAAGACAAACAAAACTGGTCACAATTTAGAATGCATCAGACTCACCAGAAGGGCCTTTTAAAACTTTGCTATTGCTGGGCCTCGTCCCTAAAATAACTTATTCAGTCAGTCTGGAGGGAGATCCAAGAATTTGCTTTCTAATAAATTCCCAGGTAATACTAATGCTGATAGTCCAACATCACTTTGAGGTCTAGTCACTTTGAGAACTGGCATATAGTAAGCCTCTGTGTTTATTGGATTTTTGTTTTATTTGTGGGGATAAATTCAGGAGTGTTTATTTACAAAGGTATGCACAGAGTATAGAAGGACTGAAGATTGATAATCCAAGAGCTGTTTTCACTCCTAGGCCCAAAGGGAAGAGGGGAGGAGTAACTGGAATCCATAGGAAACAATCATTTGAGAGAAGCCCTTACGCTCCTTTCAAGAGACACAGCCAGCCTCGGTGTGAGCAATCTCTACAAGGATCGAGCCAAGAGAATAAATACTTTGATGGCATGCTTCCTTGACACAATTTCTTTTTTTTTTTTTTTTTTTTTTGAGACAGAGTCTCGCTCTGTCACCCAGGCTGGAGTGCACTGGCGCAGTCTCAGCTCACTGCAACCTCCACCTCCCAGGTTCACGCCATTCTCCTGCCTCAGCCTCCCAAGCAGCTGGGACTACAGGCACCCGCCACCATGCCTGGCTAATTTTTTGTATTTTTAGTAGAGAGGGGGTTTCACCGTGTTAGCCAGGATGGTCTCGATCTCCTGACCTCATGATCCACCCGCCTCGGCCTCCCAAAGTGCTGGCATTTGTGCCGGCCCCTTGTCACAATTTCTTAATGGGGCTCCCACTGGCTGAACCCAACAGGATTCAAAGGTCACAGGAGTTCTGCTGGGTGTTGCCAGGAACTCCTGGGGATCTCCAAGACCTTTTCAGGAAATCCCATGAAGTCACAACTGTTTTCATAGTAATGGTAAGATGTTATTTGCCTTTTTTACTCATTCTCTCAATAGTGAACAGTGGAGTTTCCAAAAGGCTGCATGGCCTGTGATATCTCAGCAGATTGAATGCAGAAGCAGACATGAATATCTGTCTTCTATTAACCCAGATATTAAAGAAAGTTATAGCCGGGTGTGGTGGCTCACACCTGTAATCCCAGCTCTCAGGGAGGCTAAGAGGCGGGAGGATAGCTTGAGCCCAGGAGTTCGAGACCTGCCTGGGCAATATAGCGAGACCCCGTTCTCCAGAAAAAGGAAAAAAAAAAAAAGTTATAAAAGTGAAAAACAGTGTCTGTCTTCTCAGTTTTGTTTTGGAACATAGAGGTTTTTATTTATTAAAAACTATGTTATTTGTATTAAGTTATAGCAGGTTTATTGTTATTTTAGATGAATGAGTAAATATTTTAAACATTTCTCAGTTTTCACTTCCACTGCAGTGAATACACATAGATGTAACCTACACAAACAAGCTATCTAGGATCCTCAATAGTTGTTAAGCATGTGAGAATCCTGAGACCCCAAAAGTTTGGGAACCACCCATATAGTCCATACAGCTTGGCCTCCTGTGACAGGGCACTGCTGAAAAATGTGAGATCTGGAGGTGCAAATAGAAGATATCAGCTCATCCCAGCCTGGGCAACATACAGAGACTCTGTCTCTACAACATAAATAATTAAAAAAACAACCTAGCCAAGTAAGTGCCTGTGGTCCCACTTACTTGGGAGGCTGAGGTAGGAGGATTGCTTGGGCCTGGGAGGTCAATGCTGCAGTGAGCCATAATTGCATCACTGCACTCCAGCCTGGGTGACAAAGTGAGACCCTGTCTCAAAAAACAAAGACAAAAACAAAAATATTAGCCCATCTTCCCAAGTAAGATGCCAATCGCTGTTGCCGCTTCCAAATCAGCGGTAGTCTGCGTGTGTGTGTGTGTGTGTGTGTGTGTGTGTGTGTGTGACGGAGTTTTGCTCTTGTCGCCCAGGCTGAAGCGCAACGGCATGATCTCGGCTCACTGCAACCTCTGCCTCCCGGTTTCAAGCAATTGTCCTACCTCAGCCTCCCGAGTAGCTAGGATTACAGGAGCCCCACACCATGCCCGGCTTATTTTTGTATTTTTAGTAGAGGTGGGGTTTCACCACGTTGGCCAGGCTGGTCTCAAATTTCTGACCTCAGGTGATCTGCCCGCCTCGGCCTCCCAAAGTGCTGGAATTACAGGCGTGAGTCACCACGCCCGGCGGTAGTCTGCTTCTTTTTTTTTTTGAGACGGAGTCTCGCTCTGTCGCCCAGGCTGGAGTACAGTGGCGGGATCTCCGCTCACTGCAAGCTCCGCCTCCCGGGTTCACACCATTCTCCTGCCTCAGCCTCCCGAGTAGCTGGGACTGCAGGCGCCCGCCACCACGCCCGGCTAATTTTTTGTATTTTTAGTAGAGACGGCGTTTCAGCACGTTAGCCAGGATGGTCTCGATCTCCTGACCTTGTGATCCGCCCGCCTCGGCCTCCCAAAGTGCTGGGATTACAGGCGTGAGCCACCGCGCCCGGCCGGTAATCTGCTTCTTGAAGTGAAAGCCCCAGTGTCTAAGAATGCTAGCCTGAGCCTGTAGGTTCCCCTTGGGCCCTGCAGGCTGAGAATCACTCACGGAAAATGATTTGGAAAGGCAGAGACCATACATGCAAAGGTCTAGACAGCCAGAGTCTCCCTAGACTCTCTGTTCTCTTTTTTCTGTGTCAGCTTCAGCACATACTTTTGGCCCTGCCTCTGTCCCCAGGTGTAACGGACTTAGAATCTAGCCCTTATAACCAGTCAAAACTTATTTTTATTAGCCCTGGGTGATTACAAAAACATGCGTTAAAAATGGATCGGCCGGGCGCAGTGGCTCACGCCTGTGATCCCAGCACTTTGGGAGGCCGAGGCGGGCGGATCACGAGGTCAGGAGATCGAGACCATCCTGGCTAACACGGTGAAACCCCGTCTCTACTAAAAATACAAAAAATTAGCTGGGAGTGGTGGCGGGCACCTGTAGTCCCAGCTACTCGGGAGGCTGAGGCAGGGGAATGGCGTCAACCCAGGAGGCGGAGCTTGCAGTGAGCGGAGATCGTGCCACTGCACTCCAGCCTGGGCGACAGAGCGAGACTCCGTCTCAAAAAAAATCGATGAAGACTTGACTTGTTATTCCATGTCAAAATGGAGTGGCGCCCACGAAAAAAATCCATGTTATCTATCCAAATTATCATATTACTTGAAATGTGTGATTTATGTGGAGGCATTTGTGTTGCTTATAAGAAATTACTGTTCTTTGCCTTATTAGGCTATCTGGGTCTACCCAACATAAGAAAATGAAAGATTCGTCACACTGTATTTGAAGTAGCAACCAAAGCTGTCCAAAAACTTGTTCAGCATATATGCCTTAAGTAGCAGATGCTGAAGGGACCCCAGTTTTTTTTTCTCATCTAGATTTTTGCCAAGTGTTTTGGGGGTTGTGCAGCATCTAAAAGCAGGCCAAAGAGCAGGCCTGAGACAGAGTTAATGCCTGTAATACCCTCTGGAAAATAGCAGGGACATAATGGAGTTGCTAACATTTCAAACCGGTTGGCTTCTAGCCATATCCCCGAAAACTGTCCACAAGCAAAGATGAGGGAAGCAGCTGCTTCTAGTCAAATTCCCTAACTTGAAGCTTACAAAAGAAGAAATACAAGCATTGGATAAACATATGAACAGATGCTCAGTATCTGTGGTAATCAAAGATATGCAAATTAAAATGATGAGTTATCCTTTTTTACCCATCAGATTGGAAAAGACTAAGAAGAGTGATAATGCACAGAGTTAGCAGGATGTAGGGAAAGCGATGTACTCACATGGGAATGGTGGGAGTGTAATTGATAAAACCTTTCCAAAGCCTTACAAATGTATCCTCTTTGACCCAGCAATTCTACTTCTGGGAATATATCTCCAAGAAATCACCTGGTGAGTACCCAGAGGCATTTCGCAGTTTGTTTTAGATGTGGTTTAAATACAGGGTCTACTTATCTCTGGCCTGGCAGGTGCGGTGGCTCACACCTGTAGTAATCCCAGCACTTTGGGAGGCCAAGGCGGGCAGATCACCTGAGGTCAGGAGTTCAAGACCAGCCTAGGCAATATGGCGAAACCCCGTCTCTATCAAAAAATACAAAAATTAGCCAGGCTTGGTGGCACACGCCTGTAGTCCCAGCTACTCGGGAGGTTGCAGTGAGTCAAGATTGCACCACTGCACTCCAGCCTGGGTGACAGAGCGAGACTCTGCCTCAAAAAAAAAAATAAAATAAAATAAAATAAAATAAGTAAGTAAATAAATAAATACAGGGCCTACTTATCTCATGCCATAAGAAGTCCAACGTGGGGAGGGAGTGCAGGGCTTGCTGGAGACTCCAGGGTGCTATGAAGAAGCCAAGCCCCTCTCTCCCTGTTCTATCAGCAGTGATTGCTCCAACTCAGGCATTGCCACCTGTGCAGAACGGGAAGCCAAAGAGGCATTCTCAGCTGTCTCCTTTTGTGTCTCTGTGCTGTTGTGAAATATATATTAGGTCTTCATCTGGTTTCCTGCTCCTAAAATTCTTGGAATCTCCATAGTGATGAGTGTTTTTTGAGACAGGATCTTGCTCCATCACCCAGGCTGGAGTGCAGTAGAGCAATCACAGCTGACTACAGCCTTGACTTCCTGACTTCCTGGGTCCAAGCAATCCTCCAACCTCAGCCTCCTGAGTAGCTGGGACCATAGGTGAATGCTGCCTCACCTGGTTAGGTTCTTGTTTCTTTTGGTGTTTTGTTGTTGTTGTTGTTTATTTTTTTTACTTCTTTCTCTTTTCTCTTCTTTTTTTTTCTTCTTTTCTTCTTCTTCTTCTTCTTCTTCTTCTTCTTCTTCTTCTTCTTCTTCTTCTTCTTCTTTCTTCTCCTCCTCCTCCTCCTTCTTCTTTGTGTGGTTTTATTTTGTTTGTTTGTTTTATAGGGACGAGGTCTTGTGATGTTACCCAGGTTGGTGTCAAACTCCTGGGCTCAAGCAATCTTCCCGCCTCAGCCTCCCACAGTGCTGGATTACAGGCGTGAGCAACCACTTTTAGCCAAAGAGTGTATTTTGTCTGCTAATGAGAAGACTCGTAGCTGAGGCTCCTAGATAGGCTCTGGTTGGGGATTCGTTGTCAGGGGAACTAACTAGATGACTAAAGGGTTGGACCTCTCAGCCCCACCCCTAGACCTATGGGGAAGGGAGAAAACCTGAAGGTTAAGTTGATCAGCAATGGTCAATGATTGAATCAATCTTACCTGTGCCATGAAGCCTCCATAAAAGACACGGTTCTGATGAGCTTCCAGATGATTGAATGTATGGAGGTTCCTGGAGAGTGTGGAAGCTCCACACCCCTTACCCCATACCTCACCCTATGCATCTCTTCATCTGTATCCTTTATTATAAACCATCAGCGTAAGTGTTTCCCTGAGTTCTGTGAGCCCTCCTAGCAAATTAATCAAGCCCAAGAGAGGGTCTGGTTTGTAGCCAGTCAGAAAGTCTGGGGAGGCACGGACTTGTGATTGGCATCTGAAGTGGAGGCAGTTTTAGTGGGGCTGATCCTTCCACCTGTGGGAACGGACACTATCTCCAGGTATGTAGTGTCAGAATTGAATTAGAGGACACCTAGCCGGTATGCGCTGGAGAATCTGCTGGAGGTTTGCTTGGTGGGCTGATGGGGAGAAATCCACACACATTTTGGTGAGCAGGTGTGCTATGTCAAATTGAGTGGTCTCAACACAGTCTCATATTCTCACTGGCCAGAACCAAATGACATGGCCACCCTAGCCATCGGGGTGTCTGGGAAAACAAGTGTTTCTCTTCCCAAACTTTAGAATAGAGAAAGGCAAGGAGAAAAGAGTTGAAATGGGTGTTGAGTGAGCCAAGCTGCAAAAAATATCCCACAAACTAACATCCACCTCACAAACTAAATGTCACCTGCAGCGAACTGGTTAAATAAATCAGAGACTATCCAGTGCATGTTGTTCCTTATTGTATGGTGTGGTTAATCTATGAAAAGCTGTTCACTGTATATGTAGTAAACAGGGCAGTTTATAAAACAATATGTCCTGCAGGATCCCATTTTGTTAAAGAGACATGTATACTATTCATTCACAGAAAAGCCTGGATATACACGATAATGTTCATTCTGGATCTTCTTTAAACACTTCCACATTCTATGATTTATTTTTGGCAAGAAATCACGTCTTTGTTTTAGAATAAGGAGCAGAAAGTAAATTTCCATTTTTAGTTTCCCATTGGGCCAGAAACTGGAGATAAACTAGTCAGTTAAAATCAACCTGATGATGCCTTCTGCCCCCCACGTGACCTCTAAATGTTAGCTGTAAAACTTTGTGAGTTGAGTCAAAGCCAAGTTTAAAGGGAAAACCATAAATAAGCCATTTTGGAAAATATAGCTATTGGCAATCTGTTACATTTCACTTGTATTTCTAAGAGGACACACTCCAGCACATCCCTAGTTGCCTGACTAAAGCTCGCTTGGTAAAACAAAGTGATAATTATTTCAGCAATAGGCTCAGCGCACAATCATGTAGAACCTGTTTTTGAAGGAAGACTGATTGGCATGCCAAAAAGAAAGTCTTGGGTCAGGATGCTAAGTAAAAACTTATTTGTGAAATGGTCTGGAAGAATTTGATAGTGTGAATGTATCATCTCTGAGGAAATCTCAGGAACATCAACATAAAACAAGCTCTCCTTTGAGTTTCCAGTGATTTGGTTCATTTGCTTGTTTTTTGGAATGACTCATAGTTGATTTAAAACATTGTAATAGACAACTTACACAGTTACCTTTTTTTTTTTTTTTTCTGAGACAGAGTCCTGCTCTGTTGCCCAGGCTGGAGTGCAGTGGCGCGATCTCTGCTCACTGCAAGCTCCACCTCCTGGGTTCATGCCATTCTCCTGCCTCAGCCTCCCGAGTAGCTGGGACTACAGGTGCCCGCCACCAGGCCCGGCTAATTTTTTTGTATTTTTAGTAGAGACGGGGTTTCACCATGTTAGCCAGGATGGTCTCGATCTCCTGACCTCGTGATCCACCTGCCTCAGCCTCCCAAAGTGCTGGGATTACAGGCTTGAGCCACCCACCACGCCCGGCCACAGTTACATTTTAAAATCAAACCTAGCCCTAAAAAAATAATACCAGCATAACATAAGTCTATTATCTTGTCTACTATCTTGATCTGAAGAGAACTCTAGGCTTTGGTCCTTAACACCATCTGGGCTAAAATGTTCTGGGAGACTCAAGGAAGGACTGTGATTGCTTTCAGAGAGACAATAACCAGTTCTCGTAAGATTCCTGTGGATGGACCAAAAGTAGACTCAGCACATACATTTTGTGGAAACAACATATAATCCGTGGCACATCTGCCTCCTTTTACAAAAGTAAAAGAAATAAGAATTTAAAGGAAGGAAAGAAAGTGGAATCTGGAAGCAGTAAAAAGGCTATAAGCTTGAGGATTGGAGGCAGAAGGGAGCAAGGATCAGAAGGTGCATCAGGCATCAGGTTCAACTGAAGAGAACAATGAAGGTCACAGCCAGCAATAGAACTCACTGAGAATCTTCATAAATGTCTGATGAAACCACCAAAGAATATATTGTTTAAAATCTATTTTTATTTTCTTTTATTTTACTTTATTTTTGAGACAGAATCATGCTCTGTCGCCCAGGTGGGAGTGCAGTGGTACGATCTCAGCTCACTGCAACCTCTGCCTCCTCGGTTCAAGTGATTCTCACGCCTCAGCCTCCTGAGTAGCTGGGATTACAGGCATGTGCCACCACACCCAGCTAATATTTGTATCTCCTTTTTTTTTTTTTTTTTTTTGGAGAAGGAGTTTCGCTCTTGTTGCCCACGCTGGAGTGCAATGGCGCCATCTCGGCTCACTGCAACCTCCGGCTCCTGCGTTCAAGCTATTCTCCTGCCTCAGCCCCCCGAGTAGCTGGGATAACAGGCATGTACCACCACGCTCGGCTAATTTTGTATTTTTAGTAGAGACAGGGTTTCTCCATGTTGGTCAGGCTGGTCTCAAATTCCTGACATCAGGTGATCCGCCCACCTCAGCCTCCCAAAGTGCTGGGATTACAGGCATGAGCCACCACACCCAGCCGTCTCTCTCTCTTTTATTGTGAACAGGGTCTCACTGTGTCACCCAGGCTGGAGTGCAGTAGCATGATCCTGGCTTACTTCTTACTTCAGCCTCAACCTCCTGGGATCAAGCAATCCTCCCACCTCAGCCTACTGAGTAACTGGGACTATAGGCTCATGCCACTACACCCGGCTAATTTTTAAATTTTTTTATAGAGACAAGGTCTCACTATGTTGCCCAGGCTGCTCTCAAACTCCTAAACTCAAGCAATCTTCCAGCTCCAGCTGGAAAAATATGTATATGTTTTGCTCTTTGTTGCCCAGGCTGGAGTGCAATGGTGTGATCTCAGCTCACAGCAATGTCTGCCTCCCGGGTTCAAACAATTCTCCTGCCTCAGCCTCCCAAGTAGCTGGAATTACAGGAGCCTGCCTCCACACCTGGCTAATTTTTTTTATTTTTAGTAGAGATGGGGGTTTCACTGTGTTAGCCAGGATGGTCTCGATCCCCTGACCTCATGATCCGCCCACCTCGGCCTCTGAAAGTGCTGGGATTACAGGAGTGAGCCACTGTGCCTGGACTGTTTTGTTTTTGTTTTTGTTTTTGTTTTTTTTTGAGACAGAGTTTTGCTCTTGTTGCCCAGAGTGGAGTGCAATGGCACGATCTTAGCTCACCGCAACCTCTGCCTCCTGGGTTCAAGCGATTCTCCTGCCTTAGTCTCCCGAGTAGCTGGGATTACAGACATGTGCCACCACACCCGGCTAATTTTGTATTTTTAGTAAAGACGGGGTTTCTCCATGTTGGTCAGGCTGGTCTCGAACTCCTGACCTCAGGTGATCCACCTGCCTCGGCCTCCAACAGTGCTGGGATTACAGACTTAAGCCACCACGCCCGGCCCTGAGGTATTTTAAGTAGGAGATTGACAGGACCAGATTTGCCTTTTGAATAGATAACTGTGTCACTTTTGTATATTCATACAATGAAAAGGTTATGCTGCACTGAAAATAGACTTGGATGACACGTCTCAGCATGAAAATTTCACACAGATGTAAGATTAGTGGGCTAGGGGTAGCGACCAAGTGACAGAAGGATACATACAATGTAATTTTATCTATATAAGCATAAAATATTCATGAAAATATACACACACATATATGGACACATAAATATTGTAAAAATATAAAGACCTGTGGAAAAGGATAAATGGCAAAATCAGGTTATAGTTATCTCTGGAATGCTAGGCCGGGCAAGGTTGCCCATGCCTGTAATCCCAGCACTTTGGGAGGCTGAGGCAGTGACAGAGCGAGACTCCATCAAAAGGAAGGAAGGAAGGAAGGAGGGAGGGAGGGAGGGAGGGAGGAAAGGGGAAGGGGAAGGGGAAGGGGGAAGGGGGAAGAAAGGAAGCATTATGCTAAGTGAAGAACGAATTTACAAAAGGCCACATATTGTATGATTCCATTGATATGAAATATCCATCATAGGCAAATTCATAAAGACAGAAAGCTGATTAGTAGTTGCCAGGTGCTTAGAAAGAGGGAAATGAGAAGTGACTACTTGATGGGTATGGGGTTTCCATTTGGGATGAAGAAAAGGTTTTGTTAACGAGGTCATGATGTCTGCACACTATGAATGAATGTCTGCACATCATGAATACCTGTACTTAATGCCACCGAATTGTACACTTTCAAATTGTTAAAATGGTAAATTTTATGTTATGTGCCTTTTACCACAATTTAAAGGGAAAGAAAATGAGGAGGCTCAGGTTTGTGCACTTAACCATACCACTCATCTAACTTTATGTACTTGCTCATGCTTCACAGAATGTAGAGATCCAGGCTGGGTGTGATGGCTCACGCCTGTAATCCCAGCATTTTGGGAGGCTGAGGTGGATGGATCATCTTAGGTTGGGAGTTTGAGACCAGCCTGGCCAACATGGTGAAACCCGGTCTCTACTAAAAATACAAAAATTAGATGGGCGTGGTGGCGGGCGCATGTAATCCCAGCTACTAGGGAGACTGAGCCACGAGAATCACTTGAACCTGGGAGGTGGAGGTGACAGTGAGCTGAGGTCATGCCACTGCACTGCAGCCTGGGTGACAGAGTGAGACTACATCTCAAAAAAAATAAATAAATAAAAAATAAAATTAGAGACTGTGTCTCAAAAATAAATAAATAAAATTTAAAAATAGGCCAGGGGCAGTGGCTCACACCTGTAATCCCAGCACTTTGGGAGGCCGAGGCGGGTGGATCACGAGGTCAGGAGATCGAGACCATCCTGGCTAACACAGTGAAACCCTGTCTCTACTAAAAAAATATAAAAAATTAGCCGGGCGTGGTGGCCGACACCTGTAGTCCCAGCTACTTGGGAGGCTGAGGCAGGAGAATGGCGTGAACCCGGGAGGTGGAGCTTGCAGAGAGCCAAGATCACTGCCACTGCACTCCAGCCTGGGCAACAGAGCGAGACTCCGTCTCAAAAAAAAAAAAAAGAATGTGGAGATCCAAGTTGATCAAAAAGACATGGTGTTCCCTCTGCTTGAGACAATCTCCTTTCAGGCACACATGAACTCACACCCACACACCCTTTCCTTTGTTCTAGGAAATCCTACCTACCTTTCAGCTAAGACCTCACTACTTCCAGAAATATTTTCCTGACTGCCTTATGCCTCTTGGGACAAAACATCCCTCTATTGTGTACTTCACAGCTTTAGCTTCTTCCCTATTGTAGCATTAATAGACTTGTGAGTCCCCCACTGTATCCCCACGGTATCTCCCGACTTAGCAGAGTGTTATGCACATAGTAAATCTTTGCTGAGTGAAAACATATGTTATAAATATCTTGTTTTTTAATAAAAAAGATTATTATCTCTCTGTCTCCCAAAATTACAAGGATCTGGAATCTCACAGACAGGAGGAGAGAATAGGGCGGGACACTATGGCTCATGCCTGTAATCCCATCACTTTGGGAGGCTGAGATGGGAGGATCACTTAAGCCCAGGAGATGAAGGCTGCGGTGAGCAAGCATTGGGCCACTGCAATTCAGCCTGGGCAACAGAGTGATGAGAACTTGTCCAAAAAAAAAAAAAAAAAAAAAAAAGGTTAACCAAGTTCTGAGCTGTTAACATGACAGTAATAACAGACTTTTTTTGTTTTTATTTTTGTTTTTTTGAGACAGAATCTCACTCTGTCATCCAGGCTGGAGTGCAGTGGCGCCATCTTGGCTCACTGCAACCTCCGCCTCCCGGGTTCACGCCATTCTCCTGCCTCAGCCTCCCGACTAGTTGAGACTACAGGCGCCCACCACCACGCCCGGCTAATTTTTGTATTTTTAGTAGAGACGAAGTTTCACCATATTGGCCAGGCTGGTCTCAAACTCCTGACCTTGTGATCTGCCTGCCTTGGCGTTCCAAAGTGCTAGGATTACAGGCATGAGCCACTGCATCCGGCCTGGACTTATGTTTTAAATGGTGCTAATCTAGATTAATTAATTAGAAAAACCTCCTTTGAGCACCCACCATGTTTCTAGTATTGTGTTCCATGTGGTTTAAGTTGCATAAGACACAGTTACAACCCAGAAGGATCCTGTACTACCACTGCTCAAGCAATGGGGTCACCCACAACTTCATCACTTTTCTCTCCTCCCTGCTCCAGTTGTGCAGCAATGATCCCTCCACTTCTATTCTTTCTCTCTTCCTACCAGGGACCAGTTCTTCAGCGAGGTGCTGGGGATAACAGCATGAGCCAGACTAGAGACCCTGCTTACGGTTTACTTACCCATCATCCTCAGATATCCTAGATGAGTTTTCTCATCTGTATAAAAAGGAAATAGGGACTGGGCGCGGTGGCTTATGCCTGTAATCCCAGCACTTTGGGAGGCCGAAGTGGATGGATCACTTGAGGCCAGGAGTTCAAGGCCAGCCTGGCCAACACAATGAAACCCTGTCTTTACCAAAAAATGCAAAAATTAGCTGGGCATGGTGGCATGTGCCTGTAATCCCAGCTACTCGGGAGGCTGAGGCAGGAGAATTGCTTGAACCCAGGAGGGGGAGGTTGCAGTGAGCCAAGATCACACCACTGCACTCCAGCCTGTGCAACAGAGTGAGACCCTGTTTAAACAAACAAACAAACAAACAAACAAAAAGAGGAAATAGAGTTACCTGATCCTGAACCTGGCCCTAAGGTATGCTTTCAAAATAGGTTATTTCCCTTTCCCTCCTCTCATTTGACCAAGAGCTATGAAAGAAGTGTTGTGTGCTCAGAAAGTCCAGCTCCAAGTTCAACCAGCCAAGCATGGTGACTCACGCCTCTAATCCCAATATTTTGGGAGATCAAGGTGGAAGGATCACTTGAGGCCAGGAGCTCAGGAGGTCAAGATCAGATTGGGCAACACGGCAAGTCCCCGTCTCTTAAAAAGAAAAAAAAAATTAAAAAAGAAATTGGCCGGACGCGGTGGCTCATGCCTGTAATCCCAGCACTTTCGGGGGCAGAGGTGGGCAGATCATGAGGTCAAGAGATCAAGACCATCCTGGCCAATATGGTGAAAACCCGTCTCTACTAAAAGTACAAAAAAATTAGCTGAGCATGGTGGCATGTGCCTGTAGTCCCAGCTACTCTGGAGGCTGAGGCAGGAGAATCGCTTGAACCTGAGAGGGGGAGGTTGCAGTCAGCCGAGATTGCGCCACTTCACTCCAGCCTGGGTGACAGAGCGAGACCCCGTCTCAAAAAAAAAAAAAAAAAAGAGGGAAATTAGTCACTTAGGAAAATAATACCTTTTCTTTTTCTAAATAAAATACAAACAGAGTCTTGCTGTGTTGCCGACAATTGTCTTGAACTCCTGCTCTTAAGTAATCCTACTCCTTTGACCTCCCATGGTGCTGAGAACAGGCGTGAGCCACTGCACCCAGGCTGCCTTTCTAAAATAGAAAGATGGCTTTCAAGGCTGGACGCAGTGGCTCAAGCCTGGGAGGCCAAGGTGGGTGGATCATTTGAGGTCAGGAGTTCGTGACCAGCCTGGCCAACATGGTGAAACCCCATCTCTACTAAAAATACAAAAATTGTCGGGCGTGGTGGCTCACACCTGCAGTCCCGGCACTTTGGGAGGCCGAGGCGGGCAGATTACCTGAGGTCGGGAGTTTGAGACCAGCCTGACCAACATGGAGAAACCCCGTCTCTACTAAAAATACAAAATTAGCCATGTGTGGTGGCGCATGCGTGTAATCCCAGCTACTCAGGAGGCTGAGGCAGGACAATCACTTGAACCCGGGAGGTGGAGGTTGCAGTGAGCCGAGATGGCACCATTGCACTCCAGCCTGGGCAACAAGAGCGAAACTCCATCTCAAAACAAAACAAAACAAAACAAAACAAAACAAAACAAAAATTACCTGGGCATGGTGTTGCGCACCTGTAGTCTCAGCTACTCGGGAGGCTGAGGCAGGAGACTCTCTTGAACCTGGGAGGTGGAGCTTGCAATGAGCTGAGATCTCGCCATTGCACTCCAGCCTGGGTGACAAGACTGAAATTCTGTATCAAAAAAAAAAAATTTTAAATGAACCAGGCATAATGGCACATCCATGTAGTCCCAGCTACCTGGGAGGCTAAGGTAGGAGGATCACTGGAGCCCAGGAGTTCTAGGCTGCAGTGAGCTATGATGGTGACACTGCACTCCAGCCTAGGAGACAGAGCAAGATGTTGTCTCTAAAAAAAAACAAAACGAAAACCTTTCTTTATCAAATTCTTATTTCGCCTCCGGGGACTCCGCCCCATCTAAGATAGTCTGCCTTTGATAGCTGTTTCAGCTGCCTGCTGAATCTTGCCTACAAAGATTACAAACAAATGACACATCATGAAGCCATCTTGCTGGCAGGTTGGATGAGAAAGTTTTCCATCTGAGAACTTGCTCTGGAGCTGTGCTGAAGGATAACAGGTTGTAACTTGGCTCTAAACTCTGGGACTGTTCAGCAGGTCCCAGTGGTGACCTCCAGTTATAATTAGGCAATGACCCATAAATGTGCAGACAGATTAGAAAATTAGAGGAGGCCAGCAGCGAGTCTCATGCCTATAATTGCAGCAGTTGGGGAGGCCAAGGCGGGTGGATCTCTTCAACTCAAGAGTTCAAGACAAGCCTTGGCAACATGGTGAGACCCCTGTTTCCGTTTCTACTAAAAATACAAAAATATGTGTGTGTGTGTGTGTGTGTGTGTGTGTATATATATATATATGTATATATATATAGCTAGGTGTGGTGGTGTGCACCTGTAGTACCAGCTACTCGGGAGGCTGATGTAGGAGGCGGGAGGATCACTTGGGCCCAGGAGGCAGAGGTTGCAGTGAGCCCAGATGGTGTCAGCCTGAGCGACAGAGTGAGACACCATCTCAAAAAAAAAAAAAAAAAAAAATTAGGGGAGAGAGACAGGGATTTTTTTTTCCCCTGCACCATGTGTCTCACTTAAAACATTGAGATGTGGCCTGGCACAGTGGCTCCCCCCTCTAATCCCAGCACTTTGGGAGGCTAAGGAGAGAGAATTGTTTGAGCCCAGGAGTTCAAGACCAACATAGGGAGTTCAAGGGAAACACAGGGAGACCCCATCTCTAAAAATATTTCAAAAATTAGCTGGGTGTGGTGGCTCACACCTGTAGTTGCAGCTACCCAGGAGGCTGAAGAGAAAAGATCACTTGAGCTCAGGAGGTCAAGGCTACAGTGAGCAGGGCATGGGGCCACTGCATAGCAGCCTAGGTGACAGAGCAATACTCTGTCACAAAAACAAACAAAAAACAAAGCAGCAACATAAAGAAAACAACCAAACATTCAGCTGTGAAATAATTGCCTTTAAGTAGAGTATGTACCAATTCACTCAGCTTGTTGGACTCTGATGTCAATGAGGCCAGGAGCTTACCCCCCCCGGGGGGCCAGGAGATTCAAATACAGGCAACATTTCTTCCATCATCAACATCCCTACTTCCAATTTGTCATCGCAAAAGTGCTGTTATTCCCAAGGGATTTTAAGGAGGTGATGTAGACAGGACATTTTCAACACTCCTGGGGAAAGTGTGTCTTTATATATTTGTAATGTCAGATCAGTAGTATCATCTTGATATTCAAGGGACTGCCCTATCCTAAAACATAAACTTGAGAAACTTATGTTAAGTGAATAGCATGGAAGTTAATGGTCAAATGCAGTATGTCTCTTACCAAAGGAGACTTGGACACAGAAGAGCCTCACATTTGTAAATGCTTTAAATCCTGATTTCCTTTTAGGTCACAAGTCTGTCTTCCCTTGCCAACTTCATACGTAATGCAATGGCATCAGCTTTTGGTGAAAGCTTGATTGATTCCTTCTTCTTCTTCTTTTTTTTTTTTTGAGACGGAGTTTTGCTCTTGTTGCCCAGGCTGGAGTGCAATGGCGCAATCTTGGCTCATCGCAACCTCTGCCTCCCAGGTTCAAGTGATTCTCCTGCCTCAGCCTCCTGAGTAGCTGGGATTACAGGCATGTGCCACCACACCCAGCTAATTTTTTTGTATTTTTAGTAGAGTCGGCGTTTCACCATGTTGGCCAGGCTGGTCTCAAACTCCTGACCTTGTAATCCGCCTGCCTCGGCCTCCCAAAGTGCTGGGATTATAGGTGTGAGCCACCACACCCGGCCGATTCCTTCTCTTTCAAAAGCAATCAAGAGAATGAAGCAATTAAACTTAATAACACACAGTAGAAAGAAAACAGCTTTGTTTGTGTTTCAGTCCTACCTTAGGAAGATCCTGTAGCTTTGCATTAATTTTAAAGAATTTTATGACAATAGTTATATTGGTTATTCGTATACTCCTAATTGAATCAACCTGTCCCAACAGTTCAAATTTTATGGAGTTAAAGTGTTCTTAAGTAATTAAATAGAAGGTTTCTTAGTAGGATATTTAAGGGCATTTCAAGTGAATAAGGCCAGCATTATAGATCTAAATTATGACTCGGGCTCATCTTACACATAGGCAAACATTAAGGACCTACTAGCCTACTTCTTCCTAAATTATACAGGGCAACAAATTGTTGTGATTCATTTTAATCAGTAGAGATTAATAAACTTCCTGAAATGGTTCTTTATAAGTTTTTAACTAACTCCCTCATTAAGATTTCCTTACTAATCGACCTGTAGATGTAATCAGTGCCTAGTCCTTTATGGCCTTACTAATATGCCAATGCTATGCTTGCTATATGAATATAGAGAAGACTTTTTGTATACTGATTGGAGCCAAACAGATAAAACCTAAGTTTTATTTCCAAATCTAATTTTGTGTGTGTGTGTGTGTGTGTGTGTGTGTGTGTGTTTTGAGACAGAGTCTCACTCTGTTGCCCAGGCTGGAGTGCAGTGGCGCAATCTTGGCTCACGGCAACCTCCGCCTCCCGAGTTCAATTGATTCTCCTGCCTCAGCCTCCCAAGTAGCTGGGATTACAGGCACCTACCACCACACCCAACTAACTTTTTTTTGGATTTTTAGTAGAGATGGGGTTTCACCATGTAGGCCAGGCTGGTCTCAAACACCTGCCCTCAGGTGATCCACTCACCTCGGCTGCCCAAAGTGCTGGGATTTCAGGCGTGAGCCACCGCGCCTGGCCTATTTTTTTTTTTTCTTTTTTGAGATGGAGTCTCGCTCTGTTGCCCAGAGTGCAGTGGCGCAATCTTGGCTCACTGCAACCTCTGCCTCCCGGGTTCAAGCATATCTTCTGCCTCAGCTTCCCGAGTAGCTGGGATTACAGGTGCGCACCACCCCACTGGCCAATTTTTAAATTTTTGGTAGAGACAGGGTTTCACCATGTTAGTCAGGCTGGTCTTGAACTCCTGACCTCGTGATCCGCTCTCCTTGGCCTCCCAAAGTGCTGGAATTACAGGCTTGAGCCACTGCGCCTGGCCTTCAACTATTTCTTTTAATTATTTTTGAATTTATTTTTTATTTGACTGACTTTTATTTATTTATTATTTATTTATTTATTTGAGACAGGGCCTCTGTCTCAAAATGGCATGATCTCAGCTCACCTCAACCTCTGCCTCCCAGTCTCAAACAATCCTCCTGTCTTAGCCTCCTGAGTAGCTGGGACTACAAGTGTGCATCCCCATGCCTCGTTACGTTTTGTGTTTTTTGTAGAGTCAGGGTTTCTCCATGTTGCCCAGGCATGTCTCAACTACTGGGATCAAGTGTCTGCCTGCCTCTGCCTCCTGAAGTGCCGAGATTACACTGAGATGACATGCCTGAGCCACTGCGTCCAACTGTGTTTTTGGTTTTGTTTTGTTTTGTTTTGTTTTGTTTTGTTTGAGACAGAGTCTTGCTTTGTCACCCAGGCTGGAGTGCAATGGCAATGGCACGATCTCAGCTCACTGCAAACTCCACCTCCCAGGTTCAAACGATTTTCCTGCCTCAGTCTCCCAAGTAGCTGGGACTACAGGAGACTGCCACCATGCCAGGCTAATTTTTTTTATTTTGGTTTGTTTGTTTTTTTGAGACAGAGTCTCGCTGTTACCCAGGCTGGAGTACAGTGGCACGATCTTGGCTCACTGCAACCTCCGCTTCCCGGGTTCAAGCGATTCTCCTGCCTCAGCCTTCCAAGTAGCTGGGACTACAGGAGGGTGCCACCAAGCCCAGTTAATTTTTGTATTTTTAGTAGAGATGAGGTTTCACTATATTAGCCAGGCTGGTCTCAAACTCCCGACCTCAGGTGATCTCCCGCCTCGGCCTCCCAAAGTGCTAGGATTACAGACATGAGCCACCATGCCCGGCCTGTTGTTGTGTTTTTGTTTGTTTGTTTGTTTTTCTATTTTCAAGATGAGGTCTTGCCATGTTGCCAAGACTCATCTCAAATTACTGGGGTCAAGTGATCCACCTGCCTCAGCCTCCTAAAGTGTTGGGATTACAAGTATGAACAACTGTGCCCAGCCAAGTTTTTAAATTTTATTTTTATTTCCCCCTTGAGGATGTCACTTTAATACTTACAGTTTACTGTCAGCTACCTTTGGCTCCGGGTGCTTTCAGTGATGCAGATTCTGTATGTGCTCCTTGGTTAAAGAGAATCTTTGTGCAATGGCTTCCTCAGATGCTGGTTGTAGTAGCAAGGTACAGGCTGTGTACATTGTTTCACTGTCTCTTGTGGGGCTGGAATAGCAGAGGTCTCACGAAGCTTACCTCATTCCCCAATGTGCACACTTAAAGAAGTTTTTCCCCCAGTATTTTATTCACTGGGTTGAACAGTTCAGGCTTCAAGCCAGTAGGAGTTACCCATGGGTAGAAACTGGCTGCAGCTAAAGCAGGTGGGTAAATGCAATACCCCAATGATTGGCAGAGGCCCCACTCTTGACAGAGGCAGCTGAGGAGGCTCTCAGCGAAACGCACTGTCTTTTCAGGGGGAAGAGAGGGAGCCACCTCAGCTCCCTTGCCAGGTCAGCAGGAAGCGGATCTACCTCCTAGTTACACTTCTGACCCAGCATTCCGACTGTTCTGGTGAGACAAGCACCTCTGTTCATCTGCAGGAATGCTGTTGTTCCACATAGAGAGGGACTGCGACTCTCCCTCTCATGCAAGCCTGAACCTGGATGGCACTCCTCCTGTGGGGTTGCAGTCACCCTATAGTGTTCCAGAAAGGTTGTCTACGAATGCACCTATGCCAAGTTCTCATGGGGGAAGGTCCAGCTATGTCTGCAGTGGTGGGAAAGGGAGAGGAGAAGTTCTCTTCTCCAAGACCCTTCATGAGTGCCAGGGATGCTTGACTATTGGGGTAGGGCCACAGACTTTCCTCACTGAGCCTACCACTGAACCTGTGGCTTTGCTGAAAGAAACTTCCCACAAGTGGAAATACTAGGAACTCAAGTCCTGCAGCCTGGTTTCTTTTGTCCCAGAGGGTGCTCCCTTAAGGTAGTACACTTCCCTTTCCCCTAGGAGTAGCAGTCCCTGAGGGCCAGACTACTGTGAATACTGCTCCTCTGGGTCTAGCTGCTCAGTGGGGCTGTCACACTCCAGATTGGTGCTGGGGAATGTCTGCAAGGGATCCAGAGATGTGACCTGTCCTCAAGTCTCCCAGCAGCAGGTACCAGCACCAGCTCTGATGGGGTCAGGAGGAGAGTGACACAGACTCTGAGATTTCCTTGGTTACAAATGGCTTAGTGTGTTGGCCTCCTCAAATGCCAGCTGTCGTAGTAATGTACTGGGCATGTGGACAGACTCAAGACCTCCTAGTTAGCCAAGGTGATGCAGGCAGTGGCAATAGCTGAGGTCACTCAAGTTTTCTCCTTCCTGAACACTGCGTTATTGTGTCTGCAAATGTACTGGGCTGCACTGGTTGGCCTCCAGCCAGGAATTGGTGCTTGCAAAAAGCGCCAGCTGTGGTGGTAGCAATGGAATTTGTGCTTGCCTTATGTCACCCAGGAGAAGTACTCTGGCCTCTCAGACCATGGGTAGGGCCATGGAGCTCCACTCCTAAATGTCCCAGTCCCTTGTGTTACACTATCTGTGCGGGTGGATTGGCAAAACCAGGTGGGGGCTGGGTCAGGCAAGTCCACCCTCCGGCTCCCCAGATGTAGGCACAAGCAGTGGCCTTAGTGGGGATCAGAGGGAAGTTTCCTGGCTGCTGGAGTAATGTTCCAGGGAAAAGCACAGCTGCCTCTGCTGCACGAAAGAATCTGCATGGGGAACCGAGGGTAGCAGGCGGCAGTAAGCCCCAAACAGCTCCCACCCGCAGTGTTCCACTAGCAACAGTTAGGTAGGTTCCAGGCAGCCTGCACTCAGAACTCAAAAATGCTCCAGGCCGGCGGGGCGCGGTGGCTCACGCCTGTAATCCCAGCACTTTGGGAGGCCAAGGCAGGCGGTTCACGGGTCAGGAGATCGAGACTATCCTGGCTAACACGGTGAAACCCCGTCTCTACTAAAAATACTAAAAATTAGCCAGGCGTGGTGGCTGGCGCTGTAGTCCCAGCTACTTGGAGGCTGAGGCAGGAGAATGGCGTGAACCCGGGAGGCGGAGGTTGAAATGAGCCAAGATCACGGTACTGCACTCCAGCCTGGGCGACAGAAGGAGACTCCGTTTCAAAAAAAAAGCTCCAGGCCATAAGCCTTCCTAGAGAGATAGCAACCCTGGCTTTCAGGCCACGCCCCTCCCAGCGTCCACCTGTAAAGCAAGGGCAACCAGCTCCTTCGCCGCACTTCCCGCTCGACCCTCGGTTCTGGACAACGGAGATCGTCCCCAGTCAAGGTGATTATATCGCAGATCTCACTTGGGAGCTTCTCTTAACCTGTGACCATCGCCTGAGTTAGCTGGCCGACTTCCCAGCGGTCCTTTGTGAGGTAGGATCAGGAATGGCTTCCCTCTGTCCCTGCGTGAGTCTGGGAGTGCGTGCAGAGCACTTCCCAGAGCCACTCTTTCTCACACATTCCCCATCACTCACTAAATCAGCAACAGCTGGGTAGGGTTAAGGCCTTCCCCTGTGGCCTGGGTTGCCCAGCTCTTTTAGGGCGTGTGTGGCATGGCGGCCATCGCGCTTCCTCTCAGGCTCTGAAAACTCAACAGTTTTCTACTTCACAGTGTAGGGTGCTACCCACTGCTTCTTTCAAAGGGTCTGTGGTTTTCTGTTAAGTTCCTGTGTTGCTTCTCGGAAAAATGTTCACAGTGTGAATCTCTACACACTATTCTGTCTTTCCAAGTGGGAGAGGCACGCTAACACCGGCTCCTATCCGCCATATTGGAAAAACAAGGTTTCAAAGATTTTCTGATTTACAACTGGTTAAGGAAGGGAAGCATTTATAAAGACTGGGTTCCGCAGAAAAGAACGTTGGGTCTGGCTCGTGGGTGTGGCTTTCTCCAGGCTCCTCAGGAAGAAATTTAGAACAAAGAATGCGGGAGAGTTGAGTTCTCAGTTCTCCCTTATCTGAGGTCTATGTGGCAGTGGATCCATTTGTTAGGGATCCATGTTTATGAAACGCAGGGCCATATGTTACGATATTATTTTTAGTTTCTATAGGGAACCAAACATCTCGTGATTCCAACTTCCTTGGCTACTCTTTTTTTTTTTTTTTTTTTTTTCAGACAAGGTCTCACTGTGTTGCCCAGGCTGGAGTGCAGTGGCGAGATCTGGACTCACTGCAACCTCTGCCTCCAGGGTTCAAGTGATTCTCCTGCCTCAAGCCTCCTGAGTAGCTGGGACTACAGGCATGCCCCACCACGCCCAGCTAATTTTTTGCCTTTTTAGTAGAGATGGGGTTTCACCATGTTGCCAAGGCTGTTCTGGAACTCAAGTGATCTGTCCGACTCGTCCTCCCAAAGTGCTGGGGTTACAGGCGTGAGCCACCTCGCCCAGTTGGCTATCGTTTTAGGCTACTATTACCTTCTTGCTTATCAAATTGCTTATTTACTTCTCAGCACTAGCTAGGTATCTGGAATTGTTATTTTTATTTTATTTACTTATTTTTTTTTTTGAGACGGAGTCTCGCTCTGTCGCCAGGCTGGAGTGCAGTGGCGCGATCTCGGCTCACTGCAACCTCTGACTCCGATTTCAAGCAATTCTCCTGCCTCAGCCTCCTGAGTAGCTGGGACTGACAGGCATGTACCACCATACCCAGCTAATTTTTGTATTTTTAGTACAGACAGGGTTTCACCATGTTGGTCAGGATGGTCTCCATCTCTTGACCTCGTGATCCGCCCACCTCACCCTCCCAAAGTCCTGGGATTACAGGCGTGATCCACTGCGCCCGGCTGGATTTGTTCTTAAAGAAATTCAAGATTTTCCTCTATTTTCATGCTTGTGGCAGGATGGTAGAGAGGTGGGAGGACTGGCAGGCCCCTAACAGGGGTTCCTGCTTCGTCTCACACCCCCATTATGAACATCCCTCACCAGAGGATACATTTATTAAAATCAATGAACCTATAAACCTACATTGATACTTTATCTTTTTTTTTGAGATGGAGTCTGTGTCCCCAGGCTGGAGTACAGTGGGCCATCTCAGCTCACTGCAACCTCCACCTCCCGAGTTCAAGTGATTCTCCTGTGTCAGCCTCCGGAGTAGCTGGGACTACAGATGTGCACCACCATGCCTGGCCAGTTTTTTTTTTTTTTTTCTTTTTTGAGACGGAGTCTCACTCCAGGCTGGAGTGCAGTGGTGCAATCTTGGCTCACTGCAACCTCTGCCTCCCGAGTCAAAGGACTCTCCTGCTTTAGCCTCCCAAGTAGCTGGGATTACAGGAGCCTGCCACCACGCCTGGCTAATTTTTGCATTTTTAGTAGAGATGGGGTTTCACCATATTGGCCAGGCTAGTCTCGAACTTCTGACCTCAAGTGATCCACTGCCTAGGGCTCCCAAAGTGCTGGGATTATAGGCATGAGCCACCACACCCAGCCTACATTGATACATCATTATCACCCAAAGTCCATAGTTTACATTAGGGCTCACTCTTGGCATCATACATTCTGTGGGTTTACAAAAATGTATAATGACATGCATCATGATTATATTATCATACAAAATAGTTTAACTGCACTAACAATCTTCAGATAAATAGACGCACACTTTGGGAGGCCCAGGTGGGTGGATTACCTGAGGTCAGGAGTTCGAGATCAGCCTGACCAATATGATGAAACCCCGTCTCTACTAAAAATACAGAAAATAGCCGAACGTGGTGGCATGCACCTGTAATCCCAGCTTACTCTGGAGGCTGAGACAGGAGAATTCGCTTGAACCCAGGAGGCGGAGGTTGCAGTGAGCTGAGATTGCGCCATTGCACTCCAGCCTGGGCAGCAAGAGCGAAACTCTGTCTCAAAAAAAAAAAAAAATTTTACTGAGGTCTATTTTATCAATTATTTCTCTCACGGATCTTGCCTTTGGTGTTCTATCTAAAAAGTGATCACCAAATTCAAGATCATCTGGATTTTCTCCTATGTTATCTTCTGTGAGCTTTATAGTTTTGCGTTTTACATTTAGGTCTGTGATCCATTTTGAACTAATTTTTGTGAAGGATGTAAGGTCTGTCTAGTTTCATATTTTGCATGTGGATGTCCAGTTGTTCAACAACATTTGTTGAAAAGACTATCTTTTCTCTATTGTATTACCTTTGCTCCTCTGTCAAAGAAATTTTTTACGTTTAAAAAAATGTAAAGATTGGGCATGGTGTCTCACACTTGTAATCTCGGCTACTCAGGAGGCTGAGACAGGAAGATTACTCAAGCCCAATAATTTGAGAACATTATGAACAACATAGCGAAACCCCATCTCTAACAACAAAAAAGAATTAGCCTGGCATGGTGCACACCTGTAGTCCCAGCTACTCCGGAGGCTAAGGTGGGAAGATTATTTGAGCCCAGAAGTTCAACGCAAGGTTGCAGTAAGCTATTGGTACCGCTGCACTTCAGCTCGGGTGACACAGAAAGACCCCATCTCTTTTTTCTTTTTTCTTTTTTTTTTCTTTTGAGATGGAGTCTGGGTCTGTAGCCCGGGCGCAATCTTGGCTCACTGCAACCTCCACCTCCCAGGTCCCAGCTCAAGCAATTCTCCTGCCTCAGCCTCCCAAGTAGCTGGGATTACAGGCGCACGCCACCATGCCCAGTTAATTTCTGTATTTTTAGTAGAGACGGGGTTTCACCATGTTGGCCAGGCAGGTCTTGAACTCCTGACCTCATGATCTGACTGCCTTGGCCTCCCAAAGTGCTGGTATTACAGGCGTGAGCCACTACGCCCAGCCTCCATCTCTTTTTTCTTTTTAGAGACAGGGTCTTACTATGTTGCCCAGGCTGGTCCTGAACTCCTGGGCTCAAGCAATCCTTCTGTCTTGGCCTCCCAAAGTGCTGGGATTACAGGTGTGAGCCACTGAGCCCAGCCGAGCCTATTGCTTAAAAAAGTTAAAAATGGCTGGACGTGGTGGCTTACTCCTGTAATCCCAGTACTTTGGGAGGCCGAGGCGGGCGGGTCACCTGAGGTTGGGAGTTCGAGACCAGCCTGACCAACATGGAGAAACTCCGTCTCTACTGAAAATACAAAAAACTTATCCCGGCTAGGTGGTGCATGCCTGTAATCCCAGCTACTCAGGAGTCTGAGGCAGAAGAATTGCTTGAACCCCGGAGGCGGAGGTTATAGTGAGCTGAGATTGCGCCATTGCACTCCAGCCTGGGCAACAAGAGTGAAACTCTGTCTCAAAAAAAAAAAAAAAGTTTAAAATGTAAGGAAGATGTTTCTGTTAAGCTATGCTGTTCTTTTTGTAAGGATTAAGTTTGGGACTTAGAGAATACGTATGTGTAGCTACTTAAGTATACATAAAATATCTCACCATAACAAAAATACAAAACCAAATTAGAATATTAGTTGTTTTGGAAAGGGAAACTGGGCAGTTGGGAGGCAGAAGTAGAAAGACTTTTCTTGGCCGGGTGTGCTGGCTCATGCCTGTAATCCCAGCACTATGGGAGGCCGAGGTGGACGGATCACCTGAGGTCAGGAGTTCGAGACCAGCCTGGCCAACATGGTGAAACTCTGTCTCTACTATAAATACAACAAAAAATTAGCTGAGCATGGTGGTGCATAGTTACTTGGGAGGCTGAGACAGGAGAATCGCTTGAACCCAGGAGGTGGAAGTTGCGGTGAGCCGAGATTGCACCACTGCGCTCCAGCCTGGGCCACAGAGCAAGAAAAAAAAAAAAAAAGAAAGCGTTTTCTCGTATACACTTTCTGGATTTAATGTGAATGAATCGCCTATTTCAAAAATGCAAGGCCGGGCGCGGTGACTCACACCTAAAATCCCAGCACTTTGGGAGGCCGAGGCAGGTGGATCACGAGGTCAGGAGTTCAAGAGCAGCCTAACCAACGTGGTGAAACCCCGTCTCTACTAAAAAAATGCAAAAAATTAGCTGGGCATGGTGGCGCACACCTGTAATTCCAGCTGCTCAGGAGGCTGAGGTAGGAGAATCGCTTGAACCCGGGAGGCAGAGGTTGCAGTGACCCGAGATCTCGCTACTGCACTCCAGCATGGGTGACAGAGTGAGACTCTGTCTCAAATAAATAAATAAATAAATAAATAAAGTAAAAATAAATAAAGCAAAACAGCAAAAAAAATTTTTTTTTGTTTCTTTTCCGGAAGATATATTTTATGTAAATATAAGCAAACACATATCTATCTTTTTTACCTGGCATAGAGTTTGGCATAGAATCGGGGAAAAATTGGGCAAAGGAAGTCAGGTACCCCCAAAAGAACCCAACTTGACTACAAAAGCTTGCAGCCTTCAACTAGTGATTTTTAATTAGTTTATTTAATTTTGCAACACCAAAACAAAAAAGTTTTTCCTGCATCATTTAATCTACTTGCGTTAGTGTTGCCCTGAGAGGTGGCTGCAAAATCATATTAGTTCAATTACAGAACTTCGCATTATATTAGGCATAACTATTCCCTTTGGGTCCTAATTAAATAAGGTTGAATCAACTTTCTGCCTTCAGCATTTGTGCTAAAAAAAAAAAAAAATCCCTATTGCATTATCCTACATACCCTTGGAAAAATAAAAAAAGAGAGAATGAATATCTTGTCCCAAAGGGTTAAAACCTCAGAATCATATTTTTTTAACTCACTGGAAAATGGCTTCCACATTCCACAGGATAAGGAAGGAAAACTGTGAAATCACTTTGAATGGATTTGTTCAGCAAGGGAAGAGCTGGCTCATTTTCCACGTGGACTGCCAAGTTCACCAGCCGTGGGGGGAAATGATTTTAGTCTTACTTTCTTACTTCACATACATTTTTAAACTGCAGTCTTATGGAAATGAAAATCCCATTTGGAGATCAGATTCTTCAGATGGATTTAATTTATATACCATTTGACCAAGTCAATCAGACCAGCTTAGTGGAAGGCTTTTTTCATTATAATGTCGTGGGCTTTGCCTAGGAATCTTCTTTTCTAAGTTATAGAAAGTCAATTTAGTAAGTACAGCATCTAATTTAGGCTTTGTACTTAATTACCTTGGGACTGCATTAAAACTTTCTTCTGAGCAATAATTACATTGCTTCTCCTTAAAATGCAAACTCTCTGAATCATAGTCTGATTTAACCTTCCAAAAGCTAGAGTTTCCCTAGATTGACTGGTAGCTAAAAATGCTCCAGGGACCTGATTTCAACCCATAGCTTTTTTGTGTAGTAGTTATAAAAGTGCAAAAATGGAGCAGACCAGGGCAAGAAAACAGAACATGTAGGGCTTCTCTCTCAAGAAATTAGACCCTCTCTCACTCTAAGATAGGGCCAGCGCCCTAATCTTCACTGCTCAACCTCCTTTTTCTCATCCCCCGCTATGGTTGTGGAGTATAAATGAATTAATTTACTCTTATCTGACAGAGCTGGAGCCAGTTGGATTTAACAAAAACTGCAAACCAGCACGTGCTCCCACTCTTATATGTGTACCCTGGGGTTCACCGAAGAACTTTCTGCCACTATTCTTTCCCTTCAAGGGAAGCTGGAGTAAACACACCTCCTGCCACTTCATTACATCAGAGGTTTGTCTCTCCCATTAGTAAATCCACAGAGAGTAGGGACTTCCTGTCTGCCAAATGGTGTAGATGGAAGAGATTCAAATATTTGAGACAGAACCTGCATTGCGTCTGGCCCTTTATAGATGTTTTCTCTAGCTGAGACAGCCAATTCGAATACCCTGCGCTCTCCCTAGCTTCCTTGTGCCTCTAGGAACTGCTTCTCCCCTGTTTCGTGACCTTCATCTACCCCCTTCCCCAACCAAAAGATTTTTGTATTCTTTACCAGAGACCCTACAAAATCCTGGTACATAGTAGGTGTTCAGTAATTATTTGTTGAGTAAATTAAAATACTAAATTATGACTATCTAGGACCTGTTTCCCAGGCTTCTGGAAATAATCAGGATGGTTTCAGCCCATGCGGATCTCAGTATCTAAGAATTCGGGAGCAGGAAACATTTGTAAGACCGTTTAATGCTTGAGCTTGAAGAGACCTGTCAGTGAAGTGCTAATAAATGTAAATAGCTGTGTTTGAGGAAGGAGGGACGGCTTAACTTGCATTGCAGGTGCTAAAATGCGTAATTGGTTTTGGGTAAACTAATTTTACTTAAACTAAACTTAACTTCCATATCAATGGCAGAGAAATTGCTGATGTCAGCAATGATTAAGTTCACTGGCTGTGAGGCGGTCACGGCAAAAAAAAACATTCACTGAAAGCTTATAGGGATGTTAACAGATGTGGAACAACACCCATTTTACTGACATAAACTAAAGAAAAGGCAAAGCTATTAGCAAAAGTCACTTGGAAGCTTGGACTACAATTTGAGAGTGGATCTCCTGAAATTATTTAACTCTGTAAAACAAACAAATTAGCCTATTCTCATCTATAATCCTTGTTCACTCTTAGCTGGAGTGTTAGAACAACTATCCAGCTGATTTACTAATTCGCAATATTAAAGGAAGCTTGGTCCAGAGGGAGGATGTAGCTCACTGTTTCAGCCTGGGAACCTCCTCTACCACATCCCGTGCCCTGATGGGGAGACCCAGCCTTGCCAGAGAGCCACACAGACTGAAAATGCAGAGAGAATTTCCTCTTCTGTCTTTGGTTCTTAGCTCTTACTGAGCCAGAGGAGCCCCAGGACATTTTGGCCAGGGCCTTTTTGCATCTCTAAAAGGGGATTTTACAAATTCCTGCTTCTTAGAGTTGGGAGGATTAAATGAGTTAATCCATGTAAAGTTCTCAGAACAGTGCCTGGCACAAGTAAAGACTTATAATACATACTTGTTATTATTACTATGATTATTCTTCTCTCAGGTTCTGGCACATCTAAGACCTCTACAGTGCTGGAACATCGCCCGAAGGAAACACATTCATTCACATTTCTATTAAGCTCTTCCAGGGAAACTAGCATTTAATGAGCAGCAACTATAAGACAGAAAGAAAACACTTGACATAGATTGACTCGTTTACTCCTCATAATAACTCTAAAAATTATTGCGCACATTTTAGAGGTTGGAGAACAGACTCAGACCATGTACAGTGAAGCTCAGAATTTCCTGGCATAAGGCTGGCTTGGAATTGAAAAGGTATGTCTGACTCTAAACTGGGTCCTCATTCACATCACCCACGTGAAAGGCATGAATCACCAGACTCCTGTCCGTAAGTGCTGCGCAGGTTCTGTACTACAAGGGCACTGGTGGAGACAGCAAGGCTGAGTTCTTCTTATTCTGCAGCTGCTCTCAGCAGGGCTGTATCTGTCCGGAGGTAGTGCCTTTTCCAAGTCACACAGAGGTGTTCTGTGGACTCTCAGAGGCCCTGGAATCTTGTATCTTAAGATTCAAAATTGAAGTCACATATGAACACTAGAGCTGATGTGAAGACTGCATATTTTGATTCCCAAAGTTTTTTATTTTTTTAATTTTTTTTATCTTTTATTTTTGAGACAGGGTCTTGTGCTATCGCCAGGCTGGAGTGCAGTGGTGTGATCTTAGTTCACTACAACCTCCACCTCCTGGGTTCAAGCGATTCTCCTGCCTCAGCCTCCCGAGTAGCTGGGACTATAGGCACACGCCACCACACCTAGCGAATTTTTTTGTATTTTTAGTAGAGAAGGGGTTTCACCATGTTGGCCAGGATGGTCTCGATGTCTTGACCTCTTGATCTGCCCACCTTGGTCTTCCAAAGTGCTGGGATTACAGGTGTGAGCCACTGCACCCGGCCTCCGAAGGTTATTATTATTATTATTATTTTTAATTTTATGGAGACAGAATCTCACTATGTTGCCCAGGCTAGTCTCAAACTCCTGGCCTCAAACAATCCTCCTGCCTCGGCCTCGCAAAGTGCTGGTGTTACAGGACAGAGAAATATGTTATGGAAAGGGGTCCCGAACAAGACCCTAAGAGAGCGTTCTTGGATTTCGTGCAAGAAAGAATTCAGGGAGAGTCCGCAGTGCAAAGTGAAAGCAAGTTTATTAAGACAGTAAAGAAATAAAAGAATGGGGAGGCTCTGGGTGCCTCCCCGGGGGCCCGGTCCCTGGCGCTGCCCTGGCGGCCTCATGGCCGGCTCCGAGGTGGCCATGCCGCTTTCCCCGTCACGAGGGGCCCAGGAGGCTCGCGGCAGGGGCTGCCACATGCAGGACCTGCCCCGGCGTTGGGGTGTGGGGTCCCCTGGCCTGGAGCGGGCTCGTCCTGGCGGGCCTGGATCCAAGCACAGTCTCAGCTTTTGGAGCCAGCAGCAGCCGGGCCGAATTCAGTTTTTCCGGAATTCATTTGTTCTGACCCAAGTTTAGCCGACAGGATCCTGGCGATGCAGCCCAACAGGAAGCAAAGCACAGGGAAGCAGAAATGAGAAACAGTATCTTAACCCAAGTTTTGGATCAGTCGGCCGGGCCAGGTTTAAGTAACTTAGCACTTGTAAAGCCTGAAAAAACTAAAGCAGTAGAGAATTACCTTATACAGATGGCAAGATATGGACAACTGAGAAGGTGTCAGAACAAGGTTTAATAGAAATCCTTTAAAAAGTAAGCCAACAAACAGAAAAGACAACAACAGTGAAATTCAACAGAAGAAAAGTAATGGACTCTGATGAAGAAGACGATTATTGAACTACAAGTGCTCACAGACTAGAACTTAACAGAACAATTCTAGGACAGAAGTTAAGATCTGATTAAATATTTAGTTTGTTTATTGTCTATATGCCTTTTAAAAAATAAACTTGTTATGCAAAATAAAAAAAAAGAAATAAAAGAATGGCTATTCCATAGACAGAGCAGCCCAGCGGGCCGCTGGTTGTCCATTTTTATGGTTATTTATTGATGATATGCTAAACGAGGGGTGGATTATTCATGCCTCCCCTTTTTAGACCATATTGGGTAACTGCCTGATGTTGCCATGGCATTTGTAAACTGTCATGGTGCTGCTGGTAGTGAGCAGTGAGGACAACCAGAGGTCACTCTTGTGGCCATCTTGGTTTTGGTAGGATTTAGCTGGATTCCTTACTGCAACCTATTTTATCAAGGTTTTTTTTTTGTTTGTTTTTGTTTTTTGTTTTTTTTTTTGAGACAGTCTCACTGTGTCACCCAGGCTGGAGTGCAGCGCCGCCATCTCAGCTCACTGCAACCTCTGCTGCCTAGGTCCAAGCGATTCTCCTGCCTTAACCTCCCGAGTAGCTGAGATTACAGGCGCCTGCCATCGTGCCTGGCTAATTTTTGTATTTTTAGTAGAGATGTGGTTTCACCATGTTTGCCAGGCTGATCTTGAACTCCTGACCTCGTGATCCTCCCGCCTCAGCCTCCCAAAGTGCTGGGATTACAGGTGTGAGCCATTGCGCCCGGCCAACAAGGTCTTTATGACCCGTATCTTGTGCTGATCTCCTATCTCATCCTGTGATTTAGAATGCCTTAACTGTCTGGGAATACAGCCCCGTAGGTTTCAGCCTCATTTTACCCAGCTCCTATTCAAGATGGAGTTGTTCTGGTTCACATGCCTCTGACACTGGCATGACAGGCAGCCAGCATACCTGGCCAATTCCCAAAGTTACTTTAAGAGGGCATCTCAAAATCAGTGGGCTTTCAGGATGCACTGAAATTGTATGTGCATGTGAAGTGCCTAAGATTTTCAGGGAATAGGCCTGGCACTAGGATGAGGTGAGAGAGGCACCCAGGATGCAAAAGCTAAGGAGGCATCACTCTCAACATGGGACAAGTGCAGGCTCAGCACTGGAGGGCGATGTCTTTTTCCATTTTGTGCTCTAGGCACCTCACTCTTCTCACCCTAGTCCCAGCTTTATCTGAACAATGAAGAGCTTGGGGACCAGCACAGATAATGTAGGAAAGTGGTTTGAGATCACTTGAGGTCAAGAGTTCGAGACCAACCTGGCCAACATGGTCAAACCTCGTCTGTACCAAAAATACAAAAATTAGCCAGATGTGGTGGTGGGCACCTGTAATCCCAGCTACTCAGGAGGCTGAGGCAGGAGAATTGCTTGAATCTGGAAAGTGGAGGTTTTAGTGAGCCGAGATTGTGCCACTGCACTCCAGCTTGGGCAACAGAATAAGATTCTATCTCCAAAAAAAAAAAAACAGTTTGAGTCCAAATCCCAGAGAACCTTCAGGGTCATACCTGAGAGTTTGCATGTTTCATTATACTTGTCTCTGTACTTTTCTATCTATATGGATATGGGCCAGGTGTGGTGGCTCATGCCTGTAACTTTGGGAGACTGAGGCGGGTGGATCAGTTGAGGCCAGGAGTTCAAGACAGTCCTGGACAACGTGGCGAAACCCCATCTCTACTAAAAAAAAATACAAAAATTAGCCTGGCATGGTGGTGGGCACCTGTAGTCCTAGCTACTTGGGGGGCTGACGTGGGAGAATCGCTTGAGCTGGAAGGCAGAGGTTGCAGTGAGACAAGATTGTGCCACTGCACTCCAGCCTGGATGATAGACGGAATGAGACCCTGTCTCAAAAAAAAAAAAAAAAAAAAAAAAAAAAAAAAAAATATATATATATATATATATATATATATGAAAAATTAAAAAGTGCACAGTCTAGGGGTGGTGATTTTCTAGCATTCAGAGGCCACTTTTGCAAATACTTCTGTTACTAGTATCTTGATCATAGCAACACTTTGTAATTCACCTACTAAATGTGAGAAATGGGTTTTTACTGTTAAAAAGTGACATGTTGACCAACATGATGAATGTTAGAAATCAGATTTTTTTGTCAAAATGAAGGATACTCAATATATCTGATTACCTAAAATTTTTCCAGATCCAGAGGTTTACAGAGATGAGAGATTAAATCAATACAATACAATACAATACAATACAATACAATACAATACAATACAATACAATACAATACCTCCAGAGGCTCTCTTTGCCCTTTCATTACTAGGGTGTAGGAATCCCTAGAGGCCTGTAACCCACACCCATGGCAATGATGTTTTCAGCTAAATCCCTTAAGCAGTCTCTGGCCAAGAACACTAGAGGATTCTGGATGCCTGACCCAACTGATATTCTTTCTGGAATCTTGGCTTTTTCTTGAAATTTCTGGCCAGGTGTGGTGGCTCATGCCTGTAAACCCAGCATTTTGGGAGGCCAAGGAGGGAGGATCACTTGAGAGTTCCAGACCAGCCTGGGTAACATAAGGAGACACTGTCTCTACAAAAATAGAAAAGTTAGCTGGGCATGGTGGTGCGTGCCTGTGGTCTCAACTACTTGGGAGGCTGAGGTGGAAGAATCACTTGAATCTGAGAGGTCAAGGCCACAGTGAGCCACGATAGCGTTGCCGTACTCCAGCTTTAGTGACAGAGTGAAACCTTGTCTTTAAAAAACAAAAGAAAACAAAACAAAACCCAACTTTGGTTACTTGTATCTGCCAAACAGAATTTATCTAAAAGTCATTCATGTCCAAATTGGTTCAGGTTAGTTTGGAA
This sequence comes from Homo sapiens, assembly GCF_000001405.40. Classification (NCBI taxonomy): domain Eukaryota; kingdom Metazoa; phylum Chordata; class Mammalia; order Primates; family Hominidae; genus Homo; species Homo sapiens. The sequence goes on from NC_000012.12 coordinate 19,416,291, forward strand.
TAATAGGATTTGCATATAATTGGTATTCAATATTGCTCATTACTTCCATTTCTAAGTTTTGAGCTTTTTGCTATTATAAATAATCTGAGATACAAATGGTCTTAGCTATCTTTTCTTTTTTTTTCTTTTTTTGAGACAGAGTTTCACTCTTGTCACCCAGGCTGGAGTGCAGTGGCACCATCTTGGCTCACTGCAACCTCCGTCTCCCAGGCTCAAGCGATTCTCCTGCCTCAGGCTCCCGAGTAGCTGGGATTACAGGCACATGCCACCACACACAGCTAATTTTGTATTTTTAGTAGAGATGGGGTTTCACCATGTTGGCCAGGCTGGTCTTTTTTTTTTTTTTTTCTTGAGACAGAGTCTCGTTCTGTCGCTTGGGCTGGAGTGCAGTGGCGTGATCTCAACTCACTGCAGCCTCCGCTTCCTGGGTTCAAGCAATTCTCCGGGTTCAGGATTTCTCCATGTTTGCCAGGCTAGTCTTGAACTCCTGACCTCAGGTAATCAGCCCACCTCAGCCTCCCAAAGTGTTGGAATTACAGGTGTCAGCCACCACTCCTGGCCTATCTTTTCTGTTCTTTTCTTTTTTCTTTTTTTTTTTTGAGTTGGAATCTCGCTCTGTCGCCCGGGCTGGAGTGCAGTGGCGTGATCTTGGCTCCCTGCAACCTCCACCTCTCAGGTTCAAGTGATTCTCCTGCCTCAGCCTCCTGAGTAGCTGAGACTACAGCCATGTGCCACCATGCGTGACTAATTGTTTGTATTTTTAGTAGAGACGGGATTTCACCGTGTTAACCAGGATGGTCTCGATCTCCTGATCTCATGATCCGGCCCACCTCAGCCTCCCAAAGTGCTGGGATTACAGGCGTAAACCACTGCGCCCGGCCCCTATCCTTTCAAGATAAAAATGCCTCATAATTTCCTTTTACTTACCACACACTCCAGCTAAAGTGATTATTCAAACTACTACCTAGATCTTCTAAATACACGCCGTACAACTTTCTTTTCTTTGAAACATCAGACATAAAGTAAACACCAATAAATACTGTGATGTTCTTAAAAGAATCATTCTGTATATATTTCTTAGAAGTTGATGTCGTGGATACATGTCACAGTTTTCTTATGATTCTTTCTTTTATTGAGACAGAGTCTCACTCTGTCACCCAGGCTGGAGTGCAGTCATATGATCTCGGCTCACTGCAACCTCCGCCTCCCGGGCTCAACCGATTCTCCTGCCTCAGCCTCCCAGAGTAGCTGGGATTATAGGCACGCACCACCACACCCGGCCAATTTTTATATTTTTAGTAGAGACGGGGTTTCTCCATGTTGGCCAGGCTGATCTCGAACTCTTGGCCTCAAGTGATCCTCTTGCCTCAGCCTCCCAAAGTGCTGGGATAACAGGTGTGAGCCACTGAGCCCAGCCTCTTTTTTTTTTTTTGAGACTGAGTCTCACTCTGTTGCTTAGGCTGGAGTGCAGTGGCACGATCTCGGCTCACTGCAATTTCCACGTCCTGGGTTCAAACGATTCTCCTGCCTCAGCCTCCTGAGTAGCTGGGACTATAGGCATGTGCCACCACGCCCAGCTATTTTTTGTGTTTTTAGTAGAGATGGGGTTTTATCATGTTGGCCAGGATTGTCTCAATCTCCTGACCTCTGATCCACCTGCCTCGGCCTCCCAAAGTGTTGGGATTACAGTCATGAGGCACTGCGCCCGGCCTAAGAATCTCTATTAACACAACTAGATCTTTCCCCTTCCAGGCCCTCCCAATCCTGAAGCGAATGGAGAGTCTAGCTTCTTTTTAAAGGTCTAAATAGGAAACATTCACCATCTGTTGTCTCTAAGGGTGACCCTCTATGAGACTTCATCTACATAATAAGAGCCTTGGTCTCTACAACCCCTTATCGTAACTGAGACACCCCTTTCTATTGATTACAGGTCTTTATTTTATTTATTTTTTGAGACAGGGTCTCACTTTGTAGCCCAGGCTAGAGTGCAGTGGCACAATTATGGCTCACTGCAGCCTCGACCTCCTGGGTTCAAGTGATCCTCCCACCTCAGCCTCCTGAGTACCTGGGACTACAGGTGCATGCTAACTATGCCTGGCTTTTTTTTTTTTTTTTTTTTTTGTGGATATGAGGTCTCACCATATTGCCCAGGCTAGTCTTGAACTCCTGGGCTCAAGCAGTCTTCTTGCCTTGGCCAGCTAATATGCTGAGATTACTGGCGTGAGCCACCATACTTGGCCCCAGATCTTTATAATTTAACTCTTTCAACTAACTGCCAATCAGAAAATATTTGAATCTACCCAATATGAGTCTGTAAGAATCCCCCCACTTTGAGTTGTCCTGCCTTTCCAGACCAAAACAATGTATACATCACATGTATTGATTGATGTCTTATGTATCCCTAAAATGTATAAAGCCAAGCTGTAACCCAACTACCTTGGGCATGTGTGGTCAGGACCTCTTGGCACTGTGCCTCGGGCCATGGTTTCTAGTATTTGGCTCATAATAAACCTCTGTAAATATCCTGACGAAAGGATCACTTGAGCCCAGGAGGTCGAGGCTGCAGTGAGCCATGATAGTGCCACTGCACTCTAGCCTGGGTGACAGCCTCTGAGCCAGCCTCTGAGCCAACCTCTCCTACATTGAGCACAAGACAATTTTCGTCAATATCTCAAAGATGTGCTTAGTGTAGGAGAGGTTGTCTTTGTCCGGCTAGTGGCTCTTCAGGAAGCTAAACCAGACATCGCCAGTAGTGATCTCCTCACTCTTTTCACTGGGGATGTCCTTCTTACAGGTTGACTTGTGCTGTTTCAGATCTTTAAGGGTGATATTGTTGGTCAGATCCTGGAGGAGGGTCCCATACCCAGCCATCATGCCTCTGGAGCTGAACACTCAGGGTGCAGGCACTCGTGGGTCCCCAGTTCCTGAGCAGCACCCGGAGCCTCCTCCTCCTCGGCTCCCAGCGCCGCCGCTTCCACCTGCCTCAGTTTCCTTGTAATGATAAGATATGGAAAATAGGCCGGGTGCGGTGGCTCATGCCTGTAATCCCAGCACATTGGGAGGCCCAAGCTGGCGGATCACGAGGTCAGGAAATCGAGACCATCCTGGCTACAACAGTGAAACCCCGTCTCTACTAAAAATACAAAAACTTAGCCAGGCGTAGTGGCACGTGCCTATAGTCCTAGCTACTCAGGAGGCTGAGGCAGGAGAATCGCTTGAACCCAGGAGGCAGAGGTTGCAGTGAGCTGAGATCGCGCCACTGCACTCCAGCCTGGGCGACAGAGAGAGACTCCGTCTCAAAAAATAATAATAAAAAAAAAAAGATGGGAAAAACATCTTTGTGTTAAAGTAGCAGTCGGCCGGGCATGGCGGCTCACCCCTGTAATCCCAGCACTTTGGGAGGCCGAAGCGGGCAGATAGACTGAACTCCGGAGTTTGAGACTAGACTGGCCAACATGGCGAAACCCTGTCTCTACTAAAAATACAAAAATTAGCCGGGCGTGGTGGTGTGCGTCTGTAATCCCAGATACTCATGAGGCTGAGGCAGGAGAATCATTTGAACCCGGGAGGTGGAGGTTGCAGTGAGCTGAGATCGCACCACTGCGCTCCAGCCTGGGCCACAGAGTGAGACTCCGTCCTTCCAAAACATCAGATTATCCTTGGTACGGTATCTATATACCTATATAAACTGACCATAACCTAGGACAATAATTTCAAGTGTGCATTAATAGTTTTTTTTTTTTTTTTTTTGAGATGGAGTTTTGCTTTTGTCGCCCAGGCTGGAGTGCAATGGCACGATCTCAACTCACTGCAACTTACGCCTCCCAGGTTCAAGGGATTCTCCTGCCTCAGCCTCCCCAGTAGCTGGGATTACAGGCACCCGACACCTTGATTGGCTAATTTTTTTTTTGTATTTTTAGTAGAGACGGGGTTTCACCACGTTGGCCAGGCTGGTCTCGAACTCCTGACCTCAGGTGATCCACCCACCTTGGCCTCCCAAAGTGCTGGGATTACAGGCATGAGCCACTGTGCTGACCATTTTTTTTTTTTTTTTTTTTTTTGAGACAGAGTCTCACTCTGTCACCCAGGCTGGAGTACGATGGTGCTATCTCGGCTCACTACAGTCTCTACCTCCCGGGTTCAAGAGATTCTCCTATCTCAGCCTCCCAAGTAGCTGGGATTACAGGTGTGCACCACCATGCCTTGCTAATTTTTCTATTTCTAGTAGAGACAGGGTTTTGCTGTGTTGGCCAGGCTGGTCTTGAACTCCTGTGATCTGCCTGCCTCTGCCTCCCAAAGTGCTGGGATTACAGGCTTGAGCCACTGCGCCCGGCCAATAGCTCTTTTTATGTAAGTAAAATTGTCTATTACACATAATTTAATAAAGTCCTGTTTTTACTTCCCTTTCCATCCAATTTACGTTCCATGTCCACTATCCTGCTTACACCTTTAACTGTTTTGGTTCTTTGCCCTCTTGATTGACCTTCCTGGCAAAATGCTGACACTGGGGCAATCCAGTAACCCTGCCATGGACACCTGCAGATTGTCTGCAAGCATCTCCATCACCCCACCCCACAAGCAGCCTCCCATGTCAAGGTCCTGTGGCACAGCCAATCCTAGTAAATTTTGGCGTAAGTCCCAGGCCCAACCTGGGATGTTGAAAATTTCTTCCCCAGGGTATTTAAGGTTGAGATTCAGAAAATCTTCTCAGTTTCTTCATGGCTGAAGATTTGAGTAAGAGTGCTATTCACTAATTAGAATGGCTTGAGAGGGGTTGGGCGAGGTGACTCACACCTGTAATCCAAGCACTTTGGAAGACCAAGGTGGAAGGATCATCTGAGGTCAGGAGTTCGAGACCAGCCTGGCCACATAGTGAAACCCTGTCTCTACTGTAAATACAAAAATTAGCTGGGCGTAGTGCTGGACACCTGTAATCCCTGCTACTCAGGATGCTGAGCCAGAAGAATTGCTTGAACCCAGGAAGTGGAAGTTGCAGTGAGCTAAGATTGCACTACTGTACTCCCCGCCTGGGTGACAGAGCGAGACTCTGTCTCAAAAAAAAAAAAAAAAAAAAAAGAAACAAACAAAAAAAAGAATGGCATGAGAGGGCCCAGTATTTTGGCAGGCTGAGGTGGGTGATTGCTTGAACCCTGGAGTTCGAGACCAGTCTGGAAAAGAAAAATTAGCTGGGCATTGTGGTATGTGCCTGTGGTCCCAGCTATTTGGGAGGCTGAGGTGGGAGAGTCATTTGAGCCCAGGAGGTTGAGGCTGCAGTAAACTGTAATCATGCTACTGCACTCCAACATGGATTACAGAGTGAGACTCTGTCTCAAAAAAATAAAACAAAAAGGAAACATTCAAAAAAGAAAACGAAACATTCAGAATGGATGCAAACCTTGTCACATAGCAGGGGGGCCTGGAGGCCCCTGATGTGCATGTTGTTGTTCCTGTAGTTAGTTGTTTGATGGTGGGGAGGCTAAGGAAGCTATTTAGCATGAGGAGGGTGTTCCAGGAACTCACACAGTAGAATTTACCTGCAGTACAAATATCTTCAGTATTTAAAAAGCAGTATATCAAGGATAGGTGTGGTGGCTCTCGCCTGTAATCCCAGCACTTTGGGAGGCTGAGACAGGTGGATCACAGGAGTTCGAGACTAGCTTGGCCAACATGGAGAAACCCCACCTCTATTAAAAACACAAAAATTAGCTGGGTGTGGTGGCTCGCACCTGTGGTCCCAGCTACTCGGGAGGCTGAGGCAGGAGAATCACTTCAACCTGGGAGGCAGAGCTTTCAGTGAGCTGAGATTGCGCCACTGCACTCTGGCCTGGGTGATAGAGCAAGACTCTGGGTGGAGGGGGGAGGGGAAAGAAACTTTATAAAACCAGTATGTCATACTTGGAAGATCTGGGCAACCATACTTCCTGTCATGTTGTTATATTGCCTTTGTTATAATTTACTTTAAAATACCTACTTATAAACACTGTAATGTACTAGTGTGTAAATTAACTTTAATCTACACTCGAAAGGAAGTTAGTTATTATTAGAGTTACCCTATTAGGAATTCACACCCTGGGGCTGGTTGGTTATAGTTTGAAATGCCCTAATCAGAAAATCCATACTCCCCAGGTGGCTACTTAGGCATTTCAAGGATTTTTTAAAAAATTTATACCGGAAGGTTAAGTAATTAGCAAAAGGGATGCTAGAAATACATTTTTTTTTTTTTGAGACAGAGTTTTACTCTTGTTGCCCAAGCTGGAGTGCAGTGGTGCAATATTGGCTCACTGCAACGTCCACCTCCCGGATTCAAGCGATTCTCCTGCCTCAGCCTCCTGAGTAGCTGGGATTACAGGCATGTGCCACCATGCCTGGTTAATTTTTGTAGAAATCCGTTTTCATTGGTGAAATGTATGGTGTTCCAGATATATGGGAGGGTAGAAAGATTTCACAGTCTGATAACTCTTGTGTGAAAGAGCTGTAAGAACATCTGCCCAGGCCGGGCATGGTGGCTCATGGCTGTAATCACAGCACTTTGGGAGGCCAAGGCGGGCAGATCACCTGAGGTCAGGAGTTCGAGACCAGGCTGGCCAACTTGTTGAGACCCCATCTCTACTAAAAATACAAAATATTAGCTGGGCATGGTGGTGCATGCCTGTAATCCCAGCTACTCAGGAGGCTGAGGCAGGACAATCACTTGAACCCGGAAGGCAGAGGTTGCAGTGAGCCGAGATTGTGCCACTGCACTCCAGGCTGGGTGACAGAGTGAGACTCTGTCTCAAAAAAAAAAAAAAAAAAAAAAAAAAAAAAGAACATCTGACCAGAGTATAAGTTTCATGAGAGCAGAGTTATTAATTGACTTTATTCACAGCTATATGCCCAGTGCTAAGAGCAGTGCCTCATACATAGTAGACACTCAATATATGGTGAATAAGCTGCTAGAAAACCCAGCAACCTCCTACTTTCCAGGTCTAAGTTCTATTTGATTTTATATTGTTCATCCCTCCCCATTGCCTTCAGTTCAATTTTTGGAAGCCTCTGCTGACAGATCTGAATAGAAGATTGGCTGATCCTGCTATTTGGCTAGTACTGCAGCCACGTCAGAGTGAAGCTCCCATACAAGATGCTTTAGGCATGCTTGAAGACAGAGTGAGGATTTCCTCAAGCTTACATGAGCAGATGAGATGAGTTTTTTTGGGCCCACTTGCTAATACAGGTTAATACATTTGGAATAATCTGGGCTAAGACTAACTTGCATGGTAATCTACTACCTGATATCAAGGTCGCAGGGGCAGGCATGTTTAGCTTCCACTTATATAAATCAGCGGATGCTATTGATCTTTACTAAAATAATCTGACAGCTGCTGAAGGGCCACATAGGCTGAGGTTAATGTAAAATACATGAGAGGGGCCGGGCACCATGGCTTACGCCTGTAATCCCAGCTACTCAGGAGGCTGAAGCAGGAGAATTGCTTGAACCCCCGAGACGGAGGCTGCAGTGAGCCGAGATTGCGCCACTGCGCTCCAGCCTGGGCGACAGAGTGAGATTCTGTCTCAAAAACAAATAAATAAATGAATAAATAAAAAATAAAATACATGAGAGGTGTCCAGTCCTCCTCATGTTATGTGAGACGGAAACACATAAAATTTTATATATTGGTCCCAGTATAATTAAGGGTCCCATATCTCAAGGAGGCATCAATACTGTACGGCAGCATGGAGGATGAATCTGGGAGGCTCTCAGCAGAGATCAGCATCATGAGAATGGATGTTATTTACCGGGAAGACCTTGTAGAATAAGAAGAGAGTTGGGCCAAGTAGGTAGACTTGGAAATCAATACTTAAAAAGCAAGGAGATCAAGAAGAAACCATGAAAGCTATAGATCATTGAAATGAGTGTGGTATCAGAGAAATCAAGAGAAGAGTGGCAAGGAAGGAAAAGGAGAGGGGAAAACGTGGCAAAGCATGCAACACAGAAAAGACTTGATCATGCTCATGAACAGCAGAGAAGGAGCCAGTACAGAGGACAGTGTTGAACACACAGTAGAGGACATGAAAGATGATGGGATCAAGATGCAAAGTAAAGGTTTGTTAAGTAAAGGCTAAGATGTCTTTTTTTCTTTTTTTTTTGAGACGGAGTCTTGCTCTGTCATCCAGGCTGGAGTGCAGTGGCGCGATCTCGGCTCACTGCAAGCTCTGCCTCCCGGGTTCACGCCACTCTCCTGCCTCAGCCTCCTGAGTAGCTGGGACTACAGGCGCCCGCCACCTCGCCTGGCTAATTTTTTGTATTTTTAGTAGAGACGGGGTTTCACCCTGTTAGCCAGGATGGTCTCGATCTCCTGACCTCATGATCCGCCCGCCTCAGCCTCCTAAAGTGCTGGGATTACAGGCGTGAGCCACCGCGCCCGGCCTAAGATGTCATTTTTTAAAAAAAGTACCCTAGCTAGGTGTGGTGGCTCACACCTACAATCCCAGCACTTTGGGAAGTCGAGGTGGGTGGATCACTTGAGGTCAGGAGTTCAAGACCAGCCTGGCCAACATGGTGAAACCCCATCTCTACTAAAAATACAAAAAATTAGCCAGGCATGGTTGTGTGCACCTGTAGGCCCAGCTACTCAGGAGGCTGAGGCGGGAGAATCACTTGAACCCAGGAGGTGGAGGTTGCATTGAGCTGAGATTGAGCCACTGCACTCTAGCCAGGGTGACAATGTGAGACTCCATCTCAAAACAAACAAACAAACAAAGACCTTAAAATATAGTAGCTTAAATAAGATAGAGGTTTATTTTTCTCTGTCATGTAACAGTCTAGCCACTAAACTGGCATGCAACTTTGCACCACAAGTCACTCAGGGACCCACCTTCCTTCCATATTGTTGCTTCACTGTCTCTACATGTTGAAGGTGGGTCAACGACACAGTCCTGTTCCAGCACACGGGAAAGGAAGTCAAGCTAGCATTACATCAGAAAGGGACCATACACAGAGATTACTGCTAATAAATTCTTCTACTGTTAATACCTCTATAACATCATGCTAGCTGGTATTTTGAATGTTAAAATGTGTTTTGTATTGGTGAAGCTAGTGATTTGTTAAATAGCATGATGAATATTAGAAATAGTGGAATTAGGCCAGGCACGGTGGCTCATGCCTGTAATCCCAGCACTTTGGGAGGCCGAGCTGGGTGGATCAAATAGATGAATTAGGCCAGGTCTGGCGGCTCATGCTGTAATCCCAGCACTTTGGGAAGGCAAGCTGGGTGGATCACCTGAGGTCAGGAGTTTGAGAGTTCGAGACCAGGCTGGCCAACATGCTGAAACCCTGTCTCTACTAAAAATACAAAATTAGCCGGGTATGATGGCACACCCCTGTAGTCCCAGCTACTTGGAAGGCTGAGACAGGAGAATCACTTGACCTGGGAGGTGTAGGCTGCAGCAAGCCGAGATCCTGCCACTGCACTCCAGCCTGAGTGAGACAGAGTGAGACTCCATCTCAAAAAAAAAAAAAAAAAAAAAGTGGAATTAAAGGTATTCAAGGTACGAGGGTTGTCTGTAATAGTTGGGAGACTTTCCTTATGTTTGCATGAACAGCAAATTTTGTTATCTGATATCTTAGGATGCTTTCTGATGCTTGATTCCCAAGCTGTCCTATGGTGGGATTTCTGTTTTTCTTTTTGAGACAGGGTCTTGCTCTGTTTCCCAGGCTGGAATGCAGTGGCACCATCATGGCTCACTGCAAGCTTTGCCTCCTGGCTCAAGCGATCCTCCCACCTCAGCCTCCTGAGTAGCTGGGACTACAGGCGTGCACCACCACAACTGGCTAATTTTTATATTTTTTGTAGAAACGGGGTTTCACCATGTTGCCCAGGCTGATCTCAAACTCCGGAGCTCAAGTGATCACCCACTTCAGCCTCCCAAAGTGCTGGGATTACAGGCATGAGCCACCGCAGCCGACCCTATGTTGGGATTTCTAATTCAATGATGGTGACTAGAGGGCACATGATACTGCTCCTGAAATGTGTTTGTCTGTCTTGAGTGCATCTGTCATTCAACAGCACCTAAAAGGACAGAGGAGAGAGCTGAAATTCCACTGACTTTACAGAATCGGTTATATTCACAATTCTTTGGTAACTACTGTTATCTACCTAAAAAATTCCAACACTTAGATTAACTAAATATGCTTAGGTTAATTAACTGGGTGTAAGACAGCATAAAAGAGTCTGGGAAATGTGGTCTCCAGCTGAGCTGCCATGTACCGAAGAAGAGAGGTGTGATGGTTAATTTTATGTGTCAACCTTGAATGGACTAAGGGGTGCCCAGATAGCTGGTTAAACATTATTTCTGGCCAGGCGTGGTGACTCACTCCTGTAATCCCAGCACTTTGGGAGGCCGAGGAGGGAGGGTCACCTGAGGTCAGGAGTTCAAGACCAGCCTGGCCAACATGGTGAAACCCCATCTCTACTAAAAATACAAAAATTAGCCGGCTGTGGTGTGCACCTGTAATCCCAGCTACTCAGGAGGCTGAGGCAGGAGAATCGCTTGAACCCAAGAAGCGGAGGTTGCAGTGGGCCAAGATCATGCCACTGCACTTCAGCGTGGGCAACAGAGCGAGACTCAAAAACAAACAAAATAACCAAAAAACATTATTTCTGAGACTGTCTGTGAGGACGTTTCTGGAAGAGATTAGTGTTGGAATCTGTAAACTGAGTAAAGATCTACACTCATAAATGTGGGCAAGCATTATCCAATTGATTGAGGATTTGTGGGCAAGCATTATCCAACTGACTGAGGATTCGATAGAATAAAAAGGCAGAGGAAGGTCGGGCACGGTGGCTTATGCCGCCTGTAATCCCTTTGGGAGGCTGAGGTGGGTGGATCACATGAGGTCAGGAGTTTGAAACCATCCTTGCCAACATGGTGAAACCCCATCTCTACTAAAAATACAAAAGTTAGCCAGGTGTGTTGGCATGTGCCTGTAGCCCCAGCTACTCTGGAAGCTGAGGCAGGAGAATCGCTTCTTGAACCCGGGAGGCAGAGGTTGCAGTGAGCCGAGAATGTGCCACTGCTTTCCAGTTTGGCCAACATAGTGAGTCTGTCTCAAAAAAAAAAAAAAAAAAAAAACGCAGAGGAAGGGTGAACTCTCTCTGTTCTTGAGGTGTGACATGCATCTTCTCCTATGTTTGAAACTTCTGGTTTAGACTCTGGGACTTATACCAGTGACTCCATCCAATTCTCAGCCTTTGAACTTGGTCTGAATTACATAACCAGCTTTCCTGGTTCTCCAGCTTGTAGACAGTAGGTTGCTGGACTTCTATGAGCGAATTTCCATAATAAGTAACCTTTCCTATTGCCCTTGTTTCTCTAAAATTCCCTAAAACAAGGAGGCAAAAAACCATACATACAAACATAGTATTTTTATTATTTTTTTTAGAACACCTAAGAGTCTGTCATAGTAGAAAGCTTTGGCTTTTATAGTGAAGGAAACAATAGGCAAGGACAGAGATGAGTTTATAGATAGTAGGGTGGGAAGGACAGGAAATTGAAGGATTTTACTCCTCAGAGCCTCCGTTTTCTGGGAATTAAAAAAAATCACATTTGTGTGTTTATTTTACCTGCACTAATTAGGATTTTTTTTTTCTTTTTTCTGAGACGAAGTTTCTCTCTTGTTGCCCAGGCTGGAGTGCAATGGTGTGATCTCCCGTAATCCCAGCACTTTTAGAGGCTGAGGCTGGTGGATCGCTTGAGCTCAGGAGTTCGAGACCAGCCTGGGCAACATGGCAAAACTCTGTCTCCACAAAAAAATACAAAAATTAGCTGGCATGGTGGCATGTGCCTGTAGTCCCTGCTACTTGGGAGACAGGCGGGAGGATCACCTGGGTCCTGGGAGGTCAAGGCAGCAATGAGCCGAGATTGCACCACTGCACTCCAGCCTGGGCAAAAAACCAAGACCCTGTCTCAAAAAAATAAAAGAGACAAACTGGATAAAAGATTTCTTTCTCCCTTACAAAATGTCTGAGTTTTCAGTCCACGGGGTGGATGGCATTGCAAAATGAGGTCATCTAGAGGTCCATGTTTCTTTTGTGGTTCTGTCCTTCTCCAATGTGGTGATGGTATGCATGGCTGAGGTTGCTTCACCTTCACCATCATGTCTGTGTCCCAGCCCATGAACAGGAAGGAGATAGGAATCAGACACATGTGGTGTTAGGGAGGAGGAAGGAGGATTAGCAGGTTCTGCAAAAACAGAAACAAAAGGCTGGGTGCGGTGGCTCACGCCTGTAATTCCAGCACTTTGGGAGACTGAGGTGGGCGGATCACCTGATGTCAGGAGTTTCAGGCCAGCCTGGCCAACATAGTGAAACGCTGTCTCTACTAAAAATACAACAAATTAGCTGGGTGTGGTGGTGCACACCTGTAGTTCCAGCTACTTGGGAGGGTGAGGCAGGAGAATCCCTTGAACCTGGGAGGCAGAGGTTACAGTGAGCCGACATCACACCATTGCACTGCAGCCTAGGCTACAAGAGTGAAACTCCATCTCAAAAAAAAAAAAGGAAAGAAAATGTACTTTAAAAAATCATTTAGGCGGGGCCTGGTGGCACATGCCTGTAATTCCAGCACGTTGGGAGGCCAAAGTGAGAGGACTGCTTGAGCCCAGGAGTTCGAGCCCAGCCTGGGCAACGTGACAAAACCCCATCTCTACAATTTTTTTTTTCCATTATACTTTAAGTTTTAGGATACATGTGCACAACGTGCAGTTTTGTTACATGTGTATACATGTGCCATGTTGGTGTGCTGCATCTATTAACTCGTCATTTAACATTAGGTATATCTCCGAATGCTATCCCTCCCCAATCCTCTCACCCCACAACAGGCCCCGGTGTGTGATGTTCCCCTTCCTGTGTCCATGTGTTCTCATTGTTCAATTCCCACCTATGAGTGAGAACATGCGGTGTTTGGTTTTTTGTCCTAGTGATAGTTTGCTGAGAATGATGGTTTCCAGCTTCATCCATGTCCCTACAAAGGACATGAACTCATCCTTTTTTATGGCTGCATAGTATTCCTTGGTGTATATGTGCCACATTTTCTTAATCCAGTCTATCACTGGTGGACATTTGGGTTGGTTCCAAGTCTTTGCTATTGTGAATAGTGCCGCAATAAACACACGTGTGCATGTGTCTTTATAGCAGCATGATTTATAATCCTTTGGGTATATACCCAGTAATGGGATGGCTGGGTCAAATGGTATTTCTAGTTCTAGATCCCTGAGGAATCGCCACACTGACTTCCACAATGGTTGAACTGATTTACAGTCCCACCAACAGTATAAAAGTGTTCCTATTTCTCCACATCCTCTCCAGCACCTGTTGTTTCCTGACTTTTGAATGATTGCCATTCTAACTAGTGTGAGATGGTATCTCATTGTGGTTTTGATTTGCATTTCTCTGATGGCCAGTGATGATGAGCATTTTTTCATGTGTCTTTTGGCTGCATAAATGTCTTCTTTTGAGAAGTGTCTGTTCATATCCTTCGCCCACTTGTTGATGGGAGTTTTTTTTTTTTCTTGTAAATTTGTTTGAGTTCATTGTACATTCTGAATATTAGCCCTTTGTCAGATGAGTAGATTGCAAAATTTTCTCCCATTCTGTAGGTTGCCTGTTCACTCTGATGGTAGTTTCTTTTGCTCTGCAGAAGCTATTTAGTTGAATTAGATCCCATTTGTCAATTTTGGCTTTTGTTGCCATTGCTTTTGGTGTTTTAGACATGAAGTCCTTGCCCATGCCTATGTCCTGAATGGTATTGCCTAGGTTTTCTTCTAGGGTTTTTATGGTTTTAGGTCTAACATTTAAGTCTTTAATCCATCTTGAATTGATTTTTGTATAAGGTGTAAGGAAGGGATCCAGTTTCAGCTTTCTACATATGGCTAGCCAGTTTTCCCAGCACCATTTATTAAACAGGAATCCTTTCCCCATTTCTTGTTTTTGTCAGGTTTGTCAAAGATCAGATAGTTGTAGATATGTGGCATTATTTCTGAGGGCTCTGTTCTGTTCCATTGGTCTATATATCTGTTTTGGTACCAGTACCATGCTGTTTTGGTTACTGTAGTCTTGTAGTATAGTTTGAAGTCAGGTAGTGTGATGCCTCCAGCTTTGTTCCTTTGGCTTAGGATTGACTCGGCAATGCAGGCTCTTTTTTGGTTCCATACGGATTTTAAAGTAGTTTTTTCCATTTCTATGAAGAAAGTCATTGGTAGCTTGACGGGGATGGCATTGAATCTATAAATTACCTAGGGGAGTATGGCCAATTTTCACGATATTGATTCTTCCTACCCATGAGCATGGAATGTCCTTCCATTTGTTTGTATCCTCTTTTATTTCATTGAGCAGTAGTTTGTAGTTCTCCTTGAAGAGGTCCTTCACATCCCTTGTAAGTTGGATTCCTAGGTATTTTATTCTCTTTGAAGCAATTGTGAATGGGAGTTCACTCATGATTTGGCTCTCTGTCTGTGTGTTATTGGTGTATAAGAATGCTTGTGATTTTTGCACATTGATTTTGTATCCTGAGACTTTGCTGAAGTTGCTTATGAGCTTAAGGAGATTTTTAGCTGGGTGTGATGGCGCATTCCTGTAGTTACAGCTACTCAGGAGGCTGGGGCAGAAGGATAGCTTGAGCCCCAGAGGTTGAGGTTGCAGTGAGCCACTGCACTCCAGTCCAGGCAATAGAGCCAGACCCTGTCTAAAAAAAAAAAAAAGAAAAAAATTATTTAAGGATTATTTAAGGTAGTTTACCAAGATGTAGACATGACAAAATAGATATACAGGCAAGTAAAGAAATAAGGGAGAAAGTGAAAAAGGAGGAAAAATAGGGGTATGACTAAAGCTAGCAAGGAAAATAGCTGCCATACATACTTAAGAAAGGAGGGCTGGTTGCTTTATTTTGGCTGAAGGCCAAGTTGATTTATCCAGACTGCTGATAGACTTTTATTTTATATTTCACTTATTAAATATTAAGTTTAGGTTTTTCTACCCTACCTTCCCAGGGATTTGATGGATAAAGTACTAACTGGTATTGTGACTTGTATGTTACAATAAACAATCTGTCAATTTCAATTTTTTTAATAATCGAGAGAGTTTTGAACATCACATGAAGTTTTTTGGCAAGTCAGATATAAAATACACGAAAAGACAAAAAATGTGGCAGCTATGCTATTCACCTTTCACATTTTGCCTATCTTTTTATCTGAAGTTTATAGAAAAGGCATTTTACTAAATTCAAAGTGAGAACTACTAATACTACACCTACATATGACCTCCTTATGGTGGACGGGTGTCAGCCAAAGCAGTTAAGTTTCAAAATGGCTATACTGATAGACTTTAACTCAAAAACTATAATCATTATTTGGTCATGTTTTGGTTGGATTACAATCTACAGAATGGGAAAACTTGCATCAGATTTCTAGTTCTTTCCAGCTTTAAGATCCTATCATTTCCATCATCCTGTAAGATGTTATCTCTTTTTATGCATACTTTCTTTAAAGTCCAAGTCACTCAGAGAATGAGGTCATTATGCTGCTATTGATCTTGCTCACCATGGCAATATCAACACACAGAACCTAAATAAAGGAGCCTAAAATAAAAGTGCAAAATGTAACACAGCTGCCAATTTTAGAGAATTTTTCAGAAGTATGTCATTTGTAGTATAGTAGGAATCTCAGCTCCAGTCTAAGCTGGGTCTGTTGCTGGGCTCAAGCATGTCTGGGCATGTCTGGCAAACTGGCGAGGCAGGACTACAAGAAACCTGCTGCCATGGGGGCTGAAGCTGCTTCCTGGAACAGAACTCATTTTAGTGGAAGAGAGAATTAGAGAAGCCCTACAAGAAAGACTTAGTCATTGAATGGAGAGTAACAAATGCAGCGTGGGGTAGCTGTTACTCAAATCTGTCGCCAGTCTAGGCCCATGAAAGCATGTCTGGATCCCTAAGAGAAACAGAGCTCTGAGTAAAAACATAAAGGGCTGTTTCACTAAAAACCATATGATATTGGGCACAAGCAGTCTGCTTCGGGGTTCCCCTAACACAATGATCTCCATTTCTTCTGACTGTACTATGACTTTGGCTGTTTTGTTTGTATCCCAAATTTTGGCAGGGCATGGTGGCTCATGCTTGTAATCCCAGCACTTTGCTAGGCCAAGTTGGGCGGATCGCTTGAACTTGGGAGTTAGAAACCAGCCTGGGCAACATGGCAAAATCCCATCTCTACAAAAAATGCAAAAATTAGCCCGGCATGATGGCATGCACCTGTAGTACCAGCTACTCAGGGGGCTGATGTGGGAGGATGGCTTGAATCCAGAAGGTTGAGTCTACAGTGAGCCATGATTGCGTCACTGCACTCCAGCCTGGGCAACAGAGCAAGACCCTGTCTCAAGAAAACCCAGAAGACAAAGTAAACACACACACACAAATCCTGGTAGGTGTCTGCAGTACCTAGAATAGCAGAGCAGAGGAAGGGGTCCTGGGAGAGGATTTGACTTAGTGAGAGACCCTTGCCCTTCTGGGACTCCCAGAAGGCTGGAGATGTCCTGACTACCTTAGTAGGCTTGGTAGGTAGATGAACCAATGAAATTCAAATTATTGTTGCTAATTTGACCCCATCAGTGCTGTGGTTGATGAGTTTGAATATGACTCCTAATCAAATAGCCCTTATGCAATAGTGTGTTATTGGGCAACTTACAATTACCTATAGCATCACACGTTCACCAAGCTGGAAAAAAAGAACTGTAGAACAGTGATTCTCAATTTGTGAAAGACCAGTATTTAAAAAAAAAAATTTCTGGGCTGGGCACAGTGGCTCACGCCTATAATCTTGGCACTTTGGGCGGCCAAGGCAGGCGGATCATTTGAGTTCAGGAGTTCGAGACCAGCCTGGCCAACATGGTGAAACTTTGTCTCTACTAAAAATACAAACAAATGAGTCAGGTGTGGTGGCGCATGCCTGTAATCCCAACTACTTGGGAGGATGAGGCAGGACAATTGCTTGAACCCAGGAGGCAGAGGTTGCAGTGAGCCAGGATCTCACCACTGCATGCCAGCCTGGGTGACAGAGTGAGACCCCTTCTCCAAAAAAACAAAAAATTCTAGTGGACTGGTACTTTTGTAAAATACAGTAAAAATGAATTCCCAGTGTAATAAAATAAAATAACTGATGACATAGAAAGTATAAACTCTAAGGCCAGGCACGGTGGTTCATGCCTGTAATCCTAGCACTTTGGCGGGCTGAGGCAGGTGGATCACATTAGGTCAGGAGTTTGAGACCAGCCTGGCCAACATAATGAAACCCCATCTCTATTAAAAATGCATAAATTAGCTGGGCGTGATGGCAGGCGCCTGTGATCCCAGCTACTCGGGAGGCTGAGGCAGGAGAATCACTTGAACCGTGGGTGGAAAGGGGTGGGAGGGTGGCAGGTGGAGGTTGCAGTGAACCGAGATCATGCCACTTTGCTCTAGCCTGGGTGAAAGAGTGAAACTCCGTCTCAAAAAAAAAAAAGTATAAACTCTAGTTTTTAAATTTTTATTTATTTATTTGTTTGTTTATTTGAGATGGAGTCTCGCTCTGTCACCTAGGCTGGAGTGTAGTGGCGCGATCTCGGCTCACTGCAACCTCTGCCTCCTGGGTTCAAGTGATTCCTCTGCCTCAGCCTCCCTAGTAGCCGGGACTACAGGCACACGCCACCATGCCCGACTAATTTTTTTTATTTTAGTAGGGACGAGGTTTTACCATGTTGGCCAGGATGGTCTCGATCTCCTGACCTTGTGATCCACCCACCTCACCCTCCCAAAGTGCTGGGATTATAGGCATGAGCCACTGCGCCCAGCCAACTCTAGTTTTTTTATTGTTAGATTAGTAATTTTTTTTTTTTTTTGAGATGGAGTTTTGCTCTTGTTGCCCAGGCTGGAGTGCAATGGTGTGCTCTTCACTCACCACAACCTCCACCTCCCGGGTTCAAGCGATTCTCCTGCCTCAGCCTCCCGAGTAGCTGGGGTTACAGGCATGTGCCACCATGCCTGGCTAATTTTGTATTTGTAGTAGAAATGGGGTTTCTCCATGTTGGTCAGGCTGGTCTTGAACTCCCGACCTCAGGTGATCCACTCGCCTTGGCCTCCCAAAGTGCTGGGATTACAGGCGTAAGCCACTGTGCCTGGCCCTTAGATTAGTAATTTTATGCAGACATAAAACTGCTCTGTCAAGTTGTTATAAAAGTTTATAAAAGTTTATGAAAGCTACTTTTAGTACCTATGTAGCTACAAACCGGGAATGCACAGTTTATGAATGGGTACTGAGCTGGGGAATGACTTTGGTCCTCAGGATCATCAAACCTGTCACCTGATGCTGCCAAAAGAAACTGTCACACAGAGGTTCTGCTCTAGTTCAACACTTCAGTTATTTAAATTTTGAGAGTGAAATAATGACATCCTGTCACTGTGGTTATGGAGGAGTGTGGCCTTGTTCTAAGGAGATGCATGCAGAGCAGTGATGTCTGCAACTAAACCAAGAGGAAGACAGGGAAACTCTCCAGTGATGGGAAACACAATTTTCTGCAAAATGCCAATTCCGAGACAGTTCATTTTAGTCTTCAAGTATAAATACCACAGCTAAAATATTCGTTTGTGGCTTTGATACTTGCCATTTCCATGTGTCTAATCTCCATTCACTTTTGACACTTTTTTTTTCCCTTAATAAATCCTTCACTGGAACTTTTCACACTTTTCATCCTATCTCCTATATATTAGATTCTACAGATGTACAATATAATCTAATCATATCATACCTTTATTAAAATATCTTAGTACATACCTGTCAGAACTTTTTTTTTTTTTTTGAGACAAAGTCTCACTCTGTCACCCAGGCTGAAGTGCAGTGGTGCTTGGCTTACTGAAAGCCTGGACCTCCCTAGGCTCAGGTGATCCTCCCACCTCAGCCTCCCATAGCTGTGTGCCACCATGACTGGCTAATTTTTTTTTTTTTTTCTTGAGACGGTGTCATGCTCCGTCACCCAGGCTGGAGTGCAGTGGCGCAATTTCGGCTCACTGCAACCTCCACCTCCCGGGTTCAAGTGATTCTCCTGTGCCTGGCTAATTTTTTTATTTTTTGTAGAGATAGGGTTTCACCTTGTTGGCCAGGCTGGCCTTGAACTCGTAACCTCAAGTGATTTGTCTGTCTCAGCTCTCCACAGTGCTGGATTACAGGCATGAGCCACTGTGACTGGTCCCCAACATCAACTTTTTATTCATGTCCTTCTTCAATCTAATATTTAACTATTTTTAGCTTTCTTGCCATGATTTCTTATGGTTAATTAACCTTGTCATGAATAAATGTTGATGCTTTTCCGTATATTGCTTCTCAGTTTGAGTTCCCCAACACAGAATTCTGTTCGCTCTTCAAAATCCAGCTCAAATTAATGAAACCAGATATAGTTATTGTATGTCTTACTATACACTTTGTCGAAATCCTACATTTTTCATGAAGCTTTCCTTGATTAACTCGGCCAAACATGAACCATAATCTCCAGGGCTTAACACAGTGTCTGGCACATACATTTGTTGGGGCTCAGAAAATGATACCCCAAAGTATGGTGCTTTGGCATGCTGAGTACTTTTGTCAGAGGTGTTCGAACCACAGCGACTCGCATCGTGAATACGGGATGGGTAAAATAAGGCTGAAACCTACTGGGCTGCATTCCCAGGAGGTTAGGCATTCTAAGTTAGGATAAGATAGCAGGTCAGCACAAGATACAGGTCACAAACTCCTTGCTGGTAAAAGGATGTGGTAAAGAAGCTGACCAAAACACACAAAAACCAAGATGCGATGTAAGTGACCTCTGGTCATCGTAGCTACTCATTATGTGCTAATTATAATACATTAGCATGCTAAGAGACAACTCCCACCAGTGCCTTGACAGTTTACAAATGCCATGCCAATGTCGGGAAGTTACCCTATCGTCTAAAAAATGGAGAAACCCTCATTTCCAGGAACTGCCCACCCTTTTCCTGGAAAACTCATGAATAATCTACCCCTTGTTTAGCGTATAATCAGGAGATGACCATAAAAGTGGCCAGCCAGAAGCCCTCAGTGCTGCTCTGTCTATGGAGTAGCCATTCTTTTATTCCTTTACTTTCTTAATAAACTTGCTTTCACTTTACTGTATGGACTTACCCCAAATTCTTTCTTGTGTGAGGTCCAAGAACCCTCTCCTGGGGTCGGGATCGGGGCCCCTTTCTGGTAACACTTTGTGTTTTCTTTTGTTTTCTTTTCTTTTTTCTTTTTTTTTTGGGGGGGGGATAAGGTCTTACTCTATTGCCCAAACTGGAGTGCAATGGCTCTTGATCACTCACAGTTCACTGCAGCCTCAATCTCCTGGCTCAAGCTGTCCTCCCACCTCAG
Organism: Homo sapiens; assembly: GCF_000001405.40. Lineage (NCBI taxonomy): Eukaryota > Metazoa > Chordata > Mammalia > Primates > Hominidae > Homo > Homo sapiens. The sequence goes on from NC_000012.12 coordinate 19,436,710, forward strand.
CCTCCCAAGTAGCTGGGACTACAGGTGCACACCACCACACCTGGCTAGTTAACAACAAAAAAAAGTGTTTTGTAGCGATGGAGTTTCATCCCATTGCTCAGGCTGGTCTCGAACTCCTGGGCTCAAGTGATCCCCCTGCTTCAGTTTCCCAAAGTGCTGGGATTACAAGAGTGAGCCACTGCACCTGGCCCCCATGCTGAGTACTTTGAACTAAAGGAGATTGGAAAGCCTGAGAAGCAAAGTCTCTCACTGAACCTCTGTCCTGCTGTCTCCTATCCCTGTTACTCACCCTAGGCTAGTCATATAAACCAGAACTCCTTTCCCCACAAAGTAAGCCATGAAACGAAGAAAGGTCACTCTCTGCCTTCTCATTTGAAGACTCTCATTCCAGAGAAGTCTGCTCTATACCTGGGTGTGGAAGGAATGCTACACAGAGAGGTCAAGACGAATCTGGACAGGCCTTGCTGGGTTTCCACACTCAGTCTATTACTATTAGTTCATTCTCTTTTTGTACAATCACATTTCTACATGGATGTCCACTCTGTTGAATCTAGGCATACAAATGGACAGCTTTCTCTGGGTCTTTACTTCTGAAGGCTCCTGTGTCACATAAGACTTCCATTAAATTAATTTGTTACACTTTTCTCTTGTTAACCTGTCTTTTGTTGTAGAAGTGTTGGCCATGACCCTTATGATGGGTGAGGAAAGGTATGGAGTGCAGTGGCATGATCATGGCTCACTGCAGCCTCAACCTCCAGGGCTCAAGTGAACCTCCCACTTCAGCCTCCTGAGTAGCTGGGACTACAGGTGTGCCGTAGAGACAGGGTCTCGCTATTTTACCCAGGCTGGTCTCAAACTCCTGGGCTCAAGTGAGCCTCCTACTTTGGCCTCCCAAAGTGCTGGGATTACAGGTATAAGCCACCCTGCCGGCCTTCTGATAGTTTTTAATTTACAGTTTACAGTGTATTTCACTTTAATACATTCCTTATCTAAGATTGCCTTTGAGGTTTAAAATGTTGGAAGTTAATACCTTACATTGTATGTGCCTCTGAAGGTATCTGTAAATGATGTCCCATGTTATTATTTTTGCATTCCCTTAGAGGCAACATTTTATATAACAGTTGTCCAAAGGCCTAAGGCAGAGGATGTAATACTGGGTACTCACGGTATATGACGACTTTCCCAAATGGGAAATGAGCATGGAGGCTCTGTTTTCAGGCAGTCAGTTCTATCCTCATTTTCCTTGAGTAGAAGCATCCCTAAAATTGGCCTGAAAATGTGTCCTTGGGTCAGGGTGTAATGTGGGCTCTTTTCCAGTCTCCTTTCTTCCAATGACCTCTTCCCTACTTTACAAAAGAAAGGCATAATTCTTCCTCATGCTAAATCTTAGTAAGGTGCAATACCCGGTTATGCAAAAACCTCCAGGACACCAAAGAAAGGCACAATTGACTGGTGAATAAGAATGGGGTAACACATCCTTTCACAAGTCAGGTGGTTTTCAGTTGCTTGCTTTCAACAAGTTGAAAGAGAACCTAATCAGAGTTGTCAGCTGACAGATCATTAAAAGTATTTTTTCTTTGTTAGATCTTTATGCGATTTTTGGGCATATAATGCGAAAGGCATTCAAAGAATTGTGTGGCATTACTATAACAAAACTCCATTCATTCTCATCTGCTTTTTTTATGCGAACAAGTTTTCTCAACACTTATATCCATGGAATTGAAAACTTGGAATAGAACTGATGCTGAACTATTTCTCAAAAAAATCCATCCACTGAAGGTCATAATGTATATTAGAAAAAAGTCCACCCAAGTTCATTTCTGCAAGATGCATTGCCAATAAAATTTTGCTTTTGTGTTTAGTACTTACAAACATTTGAAATAGATTTGTTTTGATCGGTTGAAATAAGAGCTTTATGATCACAGAAAATATAAAAAACAACCCAGATACTTCAATTTATGTTCACATTTTTATTACAAGTAAGACGATCAAAATAGTTCAAATATAAAATATATTACTAGGATAAAATTCTAGAGGAGATATGCAACGTCAATATGAGTTCCAGAAAACAATATTTGGAAATTGTATTTTCCAAACTGTATTTTAAAAAAATGGATATTAGTGGGTGTTAAATCCCTATGGTATTTAGAATCCATTGGCTATACAGTATTTAAACAATGCGACAGATGAAATATTTATAAGCCGGAAAAATGTAGCTGTCATTCTAAACTGTATAAGAACATACACAGCTTTACGAAATTGTTTTAGAAGGCTCATGAAGTAAAAAGTTTGAGGACCCTGAACCAAGATGTTTGCTCTGGGTTCAGGATGTCAACATCTCCAGGGGTATTCAAACATAGGGTGTATTAAAACCTGTCGCCCTGTGTTGCGCATAAAAATTTAGTACCTTACACCGTAGTGTTTTAATTTTTGCCCATTTTAAACCGCTCTCTTCGTAGACTGTAGGCTCGTTCTATTCCTGGCTCAGCTCCTGTACAGAGGGGACACTCCTCAAACACCCCCGGAATGAATGAGTTTATCGTGAGAACTCGGAAGGCTGCTAAAATCCCCGGCCAGCGTTGGAGTTTTCAGTCCGCGTGTCCCTGGGCTTCGAAGCCCGGCAGGGCGTGGGAAGGCCCCGAGGAAACGCTGAGCACTTGCAGGCGCCGGGGCGGGGGCGGGGGCGGGCACTGGGCAGCGGGGCGGGCGCCGGGCGGGGGCGGGGGCGCAGAACCCGCAGCCGGGGGAGGTGCTGCCTCGTGCCGCCGCGCAGGCGCGCAGCAGTCTCCGTGTGAGTGCGCGTAGTCGCGCGCCTGTCCCCGCGCGGGCTCCGTAGCGCGTGTGCAGGCTGACGCAGCTCGCGGGCCCTCCTCCTGCTCTGCAGCGGCGTCGGCGGAGTTTTGGGCGTTTGGGAGGGGGGCGAGGGAGAGAGAGTCGAGAGAGGGAGGCGGCGGTGGGGAGGAGGAGGAGGAGGAGGAGCAGGCGCCGCCATGGCCGCCGCTATCACCGACATGGCCGACCTGGAGGAGCTCTCCCGCCTGAGCCCTCTGCCCCCCGGCAGCCCGGGTTCGGCGGCGCGGGGCCGGGCTGAGCCCCCCGAGGAGGAGGAGGAAGAGGAGGAGGAGGAAGAGGAGGCGGAGGCCGAGGCGGTGGCGGCGCTGCTGCTGAACGGCGGCAGCGGTGGGGGCGGCGGAGGCGGCGGCGGAGGAGTGGGGGGCGGCGAGGCAGAGACGATGTCGGAGCCGAGCCCCGAGAGCGCCAGCCAGGCCGGGGAGGACGAAGACGAGGAGGAGGACGACGAGGAGGAGGAAGATGAGAGCAGCAGCAGCGGCGGGGGTGAGGAGGAGAGTAGCGCCGAGAGCCTGGTGGGCAGCAGCGGCGGGAGCAGCAGCGACGAGACCCGCTCGTTGAGCCCCGGCGCCGCCAGCAGCAGCAGCGGGGATGGGGACGGCAAGGAGGGCCTGGAGGAGCCCAAGGGACCGCGGGGCAGCCAGGGCGGCGGCGGGGGCGGCAGCAGTAGCAGCAGCGTAGTCTCCAGCGGCGGCGACGAGGGCTACGGGACTGGGGGAGGCGGAAGCAGCGCGACCTCCGGGGGCCGGCGGGGCAGCTTGGAGATGTCGTCGGATGGGGAACCCCTGAGCCGCATGGACTCGGAGGACAGGTCAGTGCTCTGAAGCGTTTCCCCTTCCCTTCCTCCTCTTGAACTCCCGGGCCCCTCAGAGGGGGACCAAGGCGACGTTTTGCCGCGATCCCCCTGCTCCCCGAATCCTCGGCCCCTCCCCCAGACTCTCAACTCGGAAATCTCTCGCCGTCGCCGCCGCGCCCCTCTCGCAGCGCATCGCGGCTTCCAACTCTCAAACCGTTCCCCCCCAACTCTCCTTTCCCCGCCCTCTTTCCCCTCGGCGCTTCGCTCCTCACGGACCTCAGGACGGCTCTAACTCGGAAACAGTCCCCAAACGGGCCCAGATCCTCTGGCGGAGCAGAAGAGGGCCTTGATGTACACACGTCGGTACTCAAGGTTAGCTTCTTCCAACCGTGTTCGGGAACACTTGTCAGAACTACAATTGACAAGTGTTTCCAATATGGCTGGTCTCGCCTGGATTTAACAGAACTTCCTTGTCCATGGGAGAGACCCCAGCTATCACTTTTCTCTACTTAAACAAAAAAAGGACTGTTCTTTTATATTAAATCATTGCCTCCCAAATCCCTCATTTGTAGTCAGTCATGTGGTCTCCAACGTGATTTTAACAATCTTTTCTATTTGTTTTGGGAGCATATCTGGGAAAAAGTTTTAAACACGTATAAATGGTTGTGGAAAAGAATAGTGAATTGATGGCCTTTTAAGATAACTTTGCGGAATCAGAGAGTTGGAATCGTAACAAAATACAGTCTTGAAGGTACAACGTAGTTTGCGGCTTTATAGTAATGTTTCAACATGAGAGTCATGATTTTAAATGATAATATTTAAAGTCATGCATTGGAGAGGTCTCGGAAGGAATGAGTATTATTTTTCTTACTAAAGCTTGTTAGAAGTAACTGGAGAGTGACAAAAATGCGCATTTTTTCAGAACATTTAAAAAGTGTGATAGTGTATGTTTCAATTGTCTTATCATTACTTTTGATCTGTTTGGGTTAGTTGGTTTTTAATGTACTTTTAAAAAAACGAGAATCACATGCATATTATGCCACTTCTAAAGTGTATTAGCGTTTATTTTGACCATCTATGTTTTGACAATCACATTTTTTTTAAACATGCTCTCCAGAAAAGTATAGCAATGGAAATTTTAGTGGTCGATAGTGATTTTCATTTAAGAGTTTAATATTCTAAAGTTCTAGGAATTCTGATTAATTGATTAAAAACGAACACCTTAGTATTTAATGCTACAAGTAATACAGAGTCCTGGATATTTTGAAAATCTGGCATTAGATTCTGTTTGACATTAACGTCTAGTTAAGAAAATATCTTCGGGTAAAGTAGACTGTATAAACCTTAGAAAAATTGTGTTGAACTGTGTAGGCATGGGTAGGAAGGAGAATGTCTTCAAGAAAATTAAAAATTGATGTAAACTGCACAATGAAGCATGTGCTATTTTTACCATTTTATGCTCCTCTGATACCATTACATATCTGAAAGTTGACATTAGTTTATAAAATCAGCGTTTTTCATTTACTCAGTATACACGTATTATGCTTGCCTACCACTGTACAAATTAGATGTCTTCCATTTCATTCCCACAACTATGGTGCAAGATAGGTATTATTTTGACTTCTGTTTAACAGATGAAGAAGCAAGTTGAGTATCTTACTCAGGACAGTAAATACAGCATGGAAATGGTGGGCTGGATATGAGCAAAGGTTCTCAAGTCCCCTATTATTTCCACTGAAGAGTTAAAATAATTCGCCTTAAATAAGTTGAGGCCGGGCGCGGTGGCTCAGGCCTGTTAACCCCAGGACTTTGGGAGGCCGAGGTGGGCGGATCACCTGAGTTGGGAGTTTGAGATCAGCCTGGCCAACATAGTGAAACCTTATCTACATTAAAAATACAAAAATTACCCGAGAGTGGTGGCGCGCGCCTGTGTTCCCAGCTACTCGGGAGGCTGAGGCAGGAGAATCGCTTGAACCCGGGAGGCAGAGGTTGCAGTGAGCTGAGATGGTGCCACTGCACTCCAGCCTGGGCGACAGAGCGAGACTCCGTCTCAAAAAAAAACCAAGTGATATGTGTCAGAGTTTTGTTTTTAGTTAGTGTCCATTTACTACATCACTTCAGGAGACGAATTATTGGTTAAGTACATTTAGGAAGTGGAGTTGTGGCTTTTATTTGACATTAATGAGATATTTACTTGAGTATATAATTTTTACATCTTATTTCAGAATAAGAAGTAAAATACGGGTGTCACAAATCCAACTACAGTTAAAACTTGATAACCAAGCAAACTTGGTTTTCTTAATGCTTAATTTTAGAGACTACAGAATACTGTTTTTAATGTCACCATTTCAGGGTAATAGATTTGTCACTTGTATGAAGAAGGCTTACTAGTGAAACTGGCTTGGGGTCTTAATAATCTTAATTCTGAAACATCTTCTTGTTGCCTTTGAGATTTTTCTCCCAGTTATTTTGAGTTTGGAAAGGATCCCTAATTCTTATAAATTACTGTAGATTACATCAATCTGTGGATTTTATAGGTTGATTTCATGGTAAGAAAACTTCATTTTTGTAACCAGTGGAAGGATAATCTTAGTTTTAAAGTGCTCTATAACATTTTTAGGCATTCCTATTACAAAGATTCTATTATAATGCCCATTTACCTTTCCCATCGTTTTGGTTACGTTGTGCTTTTTAGTTTATCTGATATGCTCTAGAATTTGTTGAACATCTTTGTTAAATATCTTTTTCTTTTTTTTTTTTGAGACGAGTCTCACTCTATCGCCCAGGCTGGAGTGCAGTGGTACGATCTCGGCTCACTGCAACCTCTGCCTTGTGGGTTCAAGCGATTCTCCTTCCTCAGCCTCCTGAGTAACTGGGATTACAGGTGAGTGCCACCACCCCTGGCTAATTTTTGTTTTTAGTAGAGATGCGATTTCACCATGTTGTCCAGGCTGGTCTTGAAATTCCTTGACCTCAAATGATCCTCCCACCTGGGTCTTCCAAAGTGCTGGGATTACAGGAGTGAGCCGCCACCGCAGGCCATGTTAAATATCTTAAGTGCTACTTTTAAAAAGATAATTAGGCCGGGCATGGTGGCTCACCCCTGTAATCCCAGCACTTTGGGAGGCCGAGTCGGGTGGATCATTTGAGGTCAAGGAATTCCAAGACCAGCCTGGACAACATGGTGAAACCCCATCTCTACTAAAAATACAAAAAAATGAGCCAGGCATGGTGGTGCAGGCATGTAATCCCAGCTACTCAGGAGGCTGGGGCAGGAGAATGGCTTGAATCTGGGAGGCGGAGGTTACAGTGAGCTGAGATTGCACCACTGCACTCCAGCGTGGGCGACAGAGCAAGACTCCATCTCAAAAAAAGATAATTAAATATAAAGACATAGATATTAGAGGTTATGACCTGAGATGTCATTTATGGTATTGGAAGGTTTTGTGGTAAAAAGTGACTAATTTATGAAATGATTAAATACCACTTGGTACAAAAAGTTGATTTTTTTCCCCCCAGAAGAAAGTTTTTCAAAACCAGTGTAAGTTTATAGCGTGTTTATTTTAGTAAATTTAGAAATTCTTGAAATTTATATGTAATTTTATTTTTACTTTGGTTATAAAGATAGTAGGGAGAAGTATTTTGGTTATAAAGATAGTAGGGAGAAGTATTTAGCTATGTGAAACCGCTAAAAACTAGCTTTTCTTTACTCTGAACTTTTTTTCTCTTCAGTGAAGCTGAAGTACTTTTTAAAAAAGTTATGCTCTTAGGTTAATTTCAGAGGCTATGGTAACTTTAAAAAAAATTTAAAAAATTTTAAACATAATTTTATTTTCATTCTTCCAACACAGTATCATGTAAAAATAGTTTAAAATATGGTTGAATGAATGAGTCATCCAAAAAGTGATCAAATGTCAGCACTTGTTACTGAACGTGTATTTATGCTAAAAAAGTTAATGCCGAGAAAATAGAAGACAGTCTCAAGTTCAAGTAGTAAATTAGCTTTTAAATGGAATTTTAATATTTAAAATGCCCGTGGAGTTAGTTAACAAATTAGTACTAGCTATTGAATCAGTTAATATATGAAAGTACTCTTGGCCAGGCATGTGGCCCACACCTGTGATTCCAGCACTTTGGGAGGCCGAGGAGGGCAGATCACATGAGGTCAGGAGACTAGCCTGAGCATGAACCACCAGACCTGGCGCAAATCTTAATATTACTGCCTATATTTCAATTTTTGAGTAGTATATCTTTGAACTTTAGTTCCTCAACTACAAAACAGGTATTACTCTGAAGTGTTGTTTTGTGGTTCAAGTGAAATAATTTCTGTTAAAGAGCGCTGTGAACTGTTTGGAGGAATCCATCCACGTTGCTTGAATGCGTGCATCTTTTCTGTTGTAGAATGGTATTTTGGAGGGCAGGGACATTTTTGCTTTTTTAGTATCTTTGTAAGTACCTAACATAATATCTTGGGTGTGGTGAATACTCCATTAATTACTAGCATTAAATTGAGAATACCAACAGTAGTATGTATGTATGCATTTATGTATTTATTTTGAGACAGAGTCTTGCTCTGTCACGCAGGCTGGAGTGCAGTGGCGCGATCTCAGCTCACTGCAGCCTCTGCCTCCTGAGTAGCTGGGACCACAGGCACCTGGCCCAACAGTAGTATTTATTTAACGTCTTACTACTTGAGGTCTCTTGTCTATGAAAGGGGGACAATAATGGTTCCTATCCTGTAAGATTGCAATGTGAATTGTAGAGTATTTGGTACACGTTCATTAAGTGTTTACTGTGTGATGGGTATATTCTACAGATGTATATAGAATCCATGTTATGTGACAGATGCTTTATTTTTTTTGATATAGGGTCTCACTCTGTCACCCAGGCTGGAGTGCAGTGGTGCGATCTTGGCTCACGGCAGCCTCTGCCTCCCGGGTTCAAGCAATTCTCCTGCCTCAGCCTCCTGAGTATCTGGGATTACAGGCGCATGCCACCGTGCCCTGCTCGTTTTCTTTTTTTTTTTTTTTTTGTATTTTTAGTAGAGAGGGTTGCACCATGTTGGCCAGGCTGGTCTCAAACTCTTGACCTCAAATGATCCGCTTGCCTCGGCCTCCCAAAGTGCCGGGATTATGGGCATGAGCCACCGTGCCCGGCCTCATGCCAGGTACTCTTCTAAATGCTGGGGATACAGCAGGGTATAAAACAAAACCCTTACCTCATGAGTGGCAGAGAGAATCACTGCACAAATGAATTGATAATAGCTAGTAACGTCTGTTATTGTGAAGTGCTGTACGATCTGGAATGCCCAAAAGTACTGTATCAATCAGGTGTTAGATGTATGACAAGAGTCTGCAAATGAGTGTTGCAGAAATTTGCAAAAGGATATGGTAGACTAAAATATTTGATTACAGCATGTACATTTTAATCAGTTTTCTATGACTGTTCTGTGGTGGGCCTAAAAGCCTTCATATGAAACCTTTCATTTTAAATTGTTTTTAATATGTACGTGCAGCTAGTTATAAAAAAATATAACTAGCTTTCTTTTTTTTGGACGATAACTAGCTGAACGTACATATTAAAAACAATTAGAAAAGAAATGGAATGCTTCATGAATTTGCATGTCATCCTTGTGCAGGGGCCATGCTCATTTTCTCTGTATTGTTCCAAGTTTATCATATATGTTGCTGAAGCAAGCATGCCAGTTATCTATTGGTAAAAAGTTTTGGAATAAGTTTTCTAGTAATGGCAGTGGTCTAACCTATGATTAATTTATTTTTGCGATGAATAGTTTGTATTTGTGAAAGTAGTAATTATATTGGTCTTAAATACTAAGACCCATTGCGCCCCATTTAGTGATAAGAAACATGACGGTATCTCCTCAGATACTTTGTTTTTAAAGAGCAGGCTAAAGAGATTATTGTATTCTGTTTTTTCTGTAAATTGCGACATGGTGCATTCAAATTAGAACTGGAGGCAGGTATGGTTACTCACACCTGTCATCCCTGCACTTTGGAAGGCCAAGGTGGGAGGATCCCTTGAGCCTAGGGGTTCGAGACCAGCCAGGACAGTGTAACAAGATCCCATCTACAGGCGGGACACGGTAGCTCACGCCTGTAATCCCAGCACTTTTGGAGGCTGAAGCAGGCAGATCACAAGGTCAGGAGATCAAGACCATCCTGGCTAACACGGTGAAACCCCGTCTCTACTAAAAATACAGAAAAAAATTAGCTGGGCGTGGTGGCGGGCACCTGTAGTCCCAGCTACTTGGGAGACTGAGGCAGGAGAACGGCGTGAACCCAGGAGGCGGAGCTTGCAGTGAGCAGAGTTTGCGCCACTGCACTCCAGCCTGGGCGACAGAGCGAGACTCCGTTTCCAAAAAAAAAAAAAAAAAAAGATCTCATCTACAAAAAATGAAAAAATTAGCCAGATGTGGTGTCACATGCCTCAATTCCTAGCTACTTGAAAGGCTGAGGCAGGAGGATCACTTGGATCCAGGAGTCTGAGGCTGCAGTGAGCTGTGATTGTGCCACTGTAGTCAAACCTGGGTGACAGCAAGACTCTCACAAAAAACAAAAAAACAAAAAAACAAAAAAATTAGAGTTGGAACGTGTTGTATAGTTAGTGACTAAAGATTTTGTGTGGGAAGGGGGACAGATTTTAGGCTTGCGTAAATGATGAAGAGAGAATTCTAGAAAGCCTAACTGAAAACATGTAGGCAGGAATGAGCGTAGCATGTTCAGGAGACTTCCTGCCAACATCTAAGGATGCGCCACTGGACCTGGGAAGTAAGAATTAATGGTGCAAGTGAGGCCTTTCATGCCAACACAAGTGTGTACGTCTCTCAGTATAGGTTTGTGAATCAAATTCTTTTTATTCTCTTCACTTTCTTTCTGTGTAATTCCCTAGTTCACATTCAAGTCTTACGTTGAACAGGCTGGTTCCTTGTTAGACATATTGTCAGCATTCCGAGTTCTTTCTTGCCCTCACCCCAATATGGGTAATTGTTTACCATTTATCTCCACTGCTGGGTTGTGTGCTCCCTGAGAAGAAAAACCATGTCTATCTTGATTGGCACTTTATCTGTAGCACCTGGCTATGTAAACGTTATTTCTGAATACGTTTTCTTGAGGATTTAATTTGAACAATAGTTTGCATTGTTTTTCCAGACACAACCGTCACTAGAATAACTAAAGGAACATTGAGTAGTGAAAGAGCATGGACGTAATCTAACTTCTCAGAAGTTGCTTCCTTATCTGTAAAATAGGAGCAGTGTTAGGATTAAGTGAGATGACATGCAAAGGGGTTACGTATTTACTTCGTAGAGTCATTTATATATCCCCATTTCTCATGCAGAGATGGTGCAGTGGAAAGAATACTCCAGCTGAGGATAAGCGATCAGTATTGTAGTCTTGACTTTATTGCCGTCAGGAAATGTGGCAAATTGTTTATTTCTGTGAAGCTCAGATTGATTCTTTTTCTTAAAAATGAGGGTTTTTGACAAAACAGTATAAAGTAATTTGGAGCTCGAATGCGAGGGTGCTGCTGTAGAGTTGGCAAGTACTTTAAATACAGTTAAACAAATAGATAATGGATTATCTTCTTTAGACAAACTCGGAATATTGCCGTGTGTGGCTTTGTTATATCCAGGATCTCAAGGATATCTTAGGTAGGTTCTTTTGGGTTTAAAAATCACCATATTTCTTTTTAAAACATTTTTTTATTTTTGAAAATGGAGACTAGGTCTTGCTATGTTGCCGAGACTGGTTTTCAACTCTTGGGCTCCAGTGATTCTCTCTGCTTGACCTCCCAAAGTGCTGGGATTACAGGCGTGAGCCACTGTGCCTTGCCAGAAGTCATCATATTTCTACTTCATATTTATGATGTTGTATTGAAATATCCATTTGTGTTTATTTCCTCTAGGCTATAACATTTTAAAAGTAAAGATCAGGCCGGACATGGTGGCTCACATCCGTAGTAAAAATACAAAAATTAGGCGCATGCCTGTAATCCCAGCTACTTGGGAGGCTGAGGCAGGAGAATAGCTTGAACCCGGGAGGTGGAGGTTGCAGTGATCTGAGATCGTGCCATTGTGCTCCAGCCTGGGCAACAGAGCAAGACTCCATCTCAAAAAAAAAAAAAAGTAAAGATCAGGTCTCATATATACTTGCAGAACTTGCCTTCTGCACTCACTCAGTATGTCGTAGCCTGTATTCATTCTCAGTAATTGGTTGAATTCAACTTAATGTGGAAATACCTGATTGCATATTTCTTTCTCAGTTTCATTAGTGTGGCTGATTAAAGAAAAAGAGAACAGTTTTTTTTTGTTTTGTTTGTACTTCGAGACAGGGTCTTGCTCTGTCACTCAGGCTGGAGTGCAGTGGTACCGTCACAGCTCACTGCAGCCTCAAACTCCTGGACCCAAGTGACTGTCCTGCCTCAGCCTTCCAAATAGCTGGAGCTACAGGCATGCACTACCATGCCCAGCTGCTTTTTTCATTTTTTGTAGAGATGGGGTCTCCGTGTGTTGCCCAGGCTGGTCTCGAACCCCTGAGCTCAAGCAGTCCTCCCACCTTGGCCTCCCAAAGTGCAGGGATTACAGGTGTGAGCCACCACACCTGGCCATCATTACTTTTCATAAATATTTTTTAAAGTACAAAGAGTAGATGAATTGGCAATAGATTTTTTAGTGTTTTAAATTAATCTTGGAAATTGTTATATCAACATGTGTTTTGAGGTGTTCAGTCAAGAATGACAGTAGTCATTCTTGTCAGAAATGCATACTGAAATCATCTGATATTTTTCCTCAAAATTTCCTTAGGAAAGATCTTTTTATGATTTAATACTAATTAAACCTTCAGATGCAATTGCTTCTTTATTAAATGGGGGGTGTTCTTCATAGTGGATTTCTTTTTTTAAACATACCATCTTTGTGTATATACATTTCTCTGGAAATGTTTGTGAAAAGGTAAAGATAACTTCCTTAGTGTAATTGTGTTGAAGTGGAATGTTTCTAGTGTTTGTGAAGATATCAATTGCTGGCTGATATTTTAAGCTGGATGAAAAATGTGGGTGAAGTAATCTTAAAGGGTGATAGATTTGATATGAGAAATTTAAAGTAATGTGCTCAGTGCGTAGTGGTGATAAAAGAATGTAGCCTACTTGTTTTCCATAGACTATATTTCATCATTGTTGCATAAAGTCCCTTTTGGCCAATTTAGTGAATGCTGCTGGGTCTTCAGGAAAGAAAATCGTTTGTCTTTAACCAGAGAAATAATTGTGGGGATAGAAAGTAGTCTTTTTCTTGATGATAAAAATTCATTTTAGCTTTTTAAATTACAGTGGTAATAGCTTGTAGTAATAGTGGTAATATCTTGGTTTTGGCTAATGATTTTTAGTGTGCTTCCAGTTAATTTTTTTTGAATTATTTTAGTGTGACAAAGCCATATATTTTACTTGCCTTAAAAAATACTACTTAAGTTTCTCGCTAAAAATGATGAGCATTTACTACGTGCAAGGCTCTAACTAGGTTTGGGAGTTTACTCTGAATAGAGGTTTATAGGTGGCTACAAATTAACTGGATCATATGGGAGCAGAATTCCTTCCACCTTAGATGAATAAGAAGGGCCTTAGGGAAATTTGACTTATTTATAACACACAGATGTAATAAAATAGGCACTTGTCTTTACTTTTTTTTCCTAACTGAGTTTATAGACCAAAAAGCCTACAGCACCACCGCAGTTTTGAAAGCAAAATCAGGTAGCCTTACAGAATCTGATGTGTCTAAATTCCTTAATCCTGTTTAAGACCAGTTTTATAATTTGTTCTTTGTCCTTCGTAAGTAGAAAAAGTGACCACCCCATTGCCCTGGGAAGGAATGTTTGGAGTTGGATTTGATGTTGTCATTGTTAGGCTCAAATCTGTTTCAGTGGCCTAAGTTCTAAATTTGGGACAATTTCTTTCTACCCTCAGTGTTGCTTTCTATGACCTTGAATTTTTATGAAGCTAACTGACGTGTAGGAATCAAATTTAATAGTTTTTATTTTTAGTAAAACTGTCTGCCTGAATGGGTCAAATTTTATGTAGATGTTAAATATCTCTTTTGTGTTATGCACTATGAATGTACAAAACCAAAGAACTTTTGCTTGTGTGCTACACTAGATAAAAGTTTTGCATACTAGATGAAAATGTCAGCCTGGCACGGTGACTCATGCCTGTAATCTCAGCACTTTGGGAGGCTGAGGAGGGAGGATAGCTTCAACCCAGGAGTTTGAGACCAGCCTAAGCAACAAAGTGAGATCCCATCTCTACCAAAAAAAAAAAAAAGAAAAAAAAAAGACAGATGTAGTGGTGGTGCATACTTGTAGTCCCAGCTACTCAGGAGGCTGAGACGGGAAGATCGTTTGAATCTGGGAAGTTGAGGCTGCAATGAACTATGATTGTGCCACTGTACTCCTGCCTGAGTGACAAGAGTGAGACATTGTCTCAAAAAAAAAAAGGGTCATTTTTTTTTTTAGTTGCACTAAAGGAGTATTAGTGCCATTTTGATGTATACTATAGGCTGTATTTCAATTATTTCTTAAATCAGTAATTCATTCAAGTTTCTCCTTTGAATATATAGTAGTATGACAGTTTTTTTTTTGGCATTACTGTTTTGCACTTGTTTGACTATGGGCAAATCTTAATTTATCTGAAAGAAAAGGATACGAATAACAGTTTATTAGAGTTGTAAGCATTACAGAGTTAATACACATCAAACATTGTTCCAGTTATTATGGCTGCATGACAGCCCTTTTCCAACATTTAGTAGTTTAAAACGACAGCATTTATTTTACTTATGAATCTATGATTTGGGCCGGGTTCTGCAGGGTCAGCTCATTTCTGCTCTACTTGGTATCAGCTCGTGGAAGCAGCTTAAAGACTGGGGACTGGAATCAGAATGCCCACTGACTCATGTCATGTATCTGTCACATGTCTGGTGCCTGGGCTGGGAAGACTCAAAACAGCTGGGGGTCAGAACAGCTGGGGCTTCTCAGGCATCCCTCTCTAGCTCTGTGTATGTTCTTCACGGGATCTGTTCCACTTTGCGGCTTCAAGGGAGCCAGATTTCTTAAATGGTGGTTGAAGACTCCCGAGCTGAGTGTTCCAAGAGCGAGCCAGGCTGAAACTGTGTTCCCTTTTATGACTTAGCCTTGGAAGTCTGGCATCATCACTTCTGCAGTAGTCTCAGGCCTGATTAAATTCAAGGGGAGGTAATACAGACCACACCTATTAGTGCTGTATAATAAGAGGAGTTAAGGATGGGGTCTTTCAAAAGTGACCATCTTTTAATTTTTTTTTTTTTTTTAAGAGACAAGGTCTCGCTTGCTGGGTTGCCCAGGCTGGAGTACAGTGGCTGTTCACAGGCACAGTCATGGCATACTGCAATGTTGAGCTCTGATACTCAAGCCATCCTACCACCTTAGCCTCCTGAGTAGCTGGGACTACAGTTGTGCATCACTGCACCTGGCATTAAAGTGGCCATCTTTTGTTTTATTTTTATTTATTTATTTTTGAGATGGATTCTTGCTCTGTCACCCAGACGGGAGTGCAGTGGCACAATCTTGCTTCACTGCACCTCTGCCTCTCGGGTTTAAGCGATCCTCCTGCCTCAGCCTCCTAAGTAGCTGGGATTACAGGCATGCGCCCCCACACCCAGCTAATTTTTGTATTTTTAGTAGAGGTAGGGTTTCACCATGTTGGCCAGGCTGGTCTCGAACTCCTGACCTCAAGTGATCCGCCCACCTCAGCCTCCCAAAGTGCTGGGATTTTTATTTTTATTGGGATGGAGTTTCACCATATTACACAGGTTGGTCTTGAACTCCTGGATTCAAGTGATGTGTCTGCCTCGACCTCCCAAAGTGCTGGGATTACAGGCAAGAGCAACTGCTCCTGGCCAAAAGTGGCCATCTTTAAAAAAATACGATCTCACACAAGCACATAGAACAATGCAGGATATATAGCAAATGCTGTGTTAGCTGTTAATATAAAAAGTAGAAACAAGATTTAGAGTGCCTTTTGCTATTTTATATAGTAGGTTACATAATTGCTTTTTTCCCCTTAATAGTCATAACCTGTAACAAGCAAGGTTGTTAATGGTTTTCTTTTTCTTTTTTTTTTGTTGTTAATGGTTTTCTTGAAGTACCTGTTTCATTTGGTTGTTTTAACTTTTAATCCCTTTGTCAAGCCTAGACTAAATATTAGGGCAAATAATTATAATCTGTTCCAATGAATGGAGACGAGAAATGGTAACTCAAGTAAAGAATTTTTACTCTTAGAGTTGTGCATTAGGTGTACAACTTCAGAGTTCTTAAGATATAGGGGATTCTTAAATGCTTTTGCAATGTTTTGAATTTTACCCTTTAAGAAATTGATTATAAGGGCGGGAGAGACATAGTGTAATCTTTCTAGTATAAGTGGCAGTTTTATAGATGAAAGGAATATCACCTGTTAGCTGAATGATAGTTTACCTGTTAATATGATTAGATTAGGATTTCCTTTGTATCATTGTAATGTTTACCTAGTTTGATAAATAGGCCTGTGAAAAACTATTATAGACTTACGTTCTTTTTTTTTTTTTTTTTTTTTTGAGACGGAGTCTCGCTTTGTCGCCCAAGCTGGAATGCAGTAGTAGCATGATCTCGGCTCATTGCAAGCTCCGCCTCCCAGGTTCACGCCATTCTCCTGCCTCAGCCTCCCGAGTAGCTGGGACCACGGGTACCCGCCACCAGCCCCGGATGATTTTTTTGTATTTTTAGTAAAGATGGAGTTTCACTGTGTTAGCCAGGATGGTCTCGATCTCCTGACCTCGTGATCCACCCGCCTCAGCCTCCCAAAGTGCTGGGATTACAGGCGTGAGCCACCGTGCCCGGCCGACTTAACGTACTTTCTTAAAAGTTTTTTTGTAGAGATGGGGTCTTGTCATGTTGCCCAGGCTGGTCTCGAACTCTTGGCCTCAAGCAGTCCTCTCACCTTGGCCTCCCAACATGTTGGGATTATAGGCATGAACCACTGTGCCTGACCTATATACTTTCTTTTTTTTTGAGAAGGAGTCTTGCTCTTTTGCTCAGGCTGGAGTGCAGTGGCTCGATTGAGCTCAGCTCACTGTAGCCTCCGCTTCCTGGGTTCAAACGATTCTCCTGCCTCAGCCTCCTGTGTAGCTGGGATTACAGGCACGCGACACCATGCCCAGCTAATTTTTGTGTTTTTATTAGAGATGGGGTTTTGCCATGTTGGCTAGGCTGGTCTCAAACTCCCAACCTCAGGTGATCCACCCGCCTTGGCCTCCCAAAGTGCTGGGATTATAGGCGTGAGCCACCGCACCCGGACAAATGAATTTAAATTTGAAGTGGGTGTTTGTGGATGATACATGTTTATGTCAGTTTTAGCATCCAGTTTCTTTCTTTCTTTGTTTTTTGAGACAGAGTATTGCTCTGTCACCCGGGCTGGAGTGCGGTGGAGGCGGGATCACAGCTCACTGCAAACTCCACCTCCACGGCTCAAGTGATTCTCCCCCCCTCGGCCTCCCAAAGTGCTGGGATTACAGGCTTGATCCACCATGCCTGGCCCCCAGTTTATGTCTTTATTCTGTTTTGGCTGCTTGGTTCTGCAAATCTGATTTGGAGATATGGACAGTCTCCATGTCTCCATGTGTACCTTAGTTTGTTCTTTTTTAAAAATGGAGACGGGGTCTCGCCATGTTGCCAGGCTGATCTCCAACTCCTGAGCTCAAGCCGTTCGCCGCCTCTGCCTCTCAAAGTGCTGGGATTAACAGATGTGAGCAACTGCGCTGACCACATTAGTTCTACTGATTTAGGAACAGGGATTAGTAGTAAGGACGTTTTATTTGGAAGACAACATTGTTTATTGACTTTAATTGTTTTCACTTCCTGTCACAAATGCAAAAGTGACCAGAACCTCACACTGAACTCTTAATACTGTTTTATGTCAACTTTTAATTGTTACCACACACACACACTTGGCTAGACCCTTAAGTGAAGGGAGGATTCACAAAGTAATTGTGGGGAAAGGTCTTTAATTGGTTAAGGTATAAGGTATACGATTTGCAAGCATGATTTTATGTGAATGAAGATGTGAAGGCTTAAATTAGGGTGGTAGAAACACCAGTGCAGCAGAGCCGTAGCCTTTTTACTCAGTGATGTATTCATAGAAAATTCTGAAATTCGTAGATTTTAGTTTTTTTGAATGTCAATAAATTATGCTTGATTTCAGGTTATATACTCTAAATCCTTCAAGTCCTTGTCCTCTACCTTCCTTTAAAGTTAGATATTACAGTGCTTGCTTTGGCGGCACATACACTAAAAAAAATAAAGTTGGACATTTCAGTAGGCTAGACCTCACCAAAGATACGGCAGGTGGGTGGAGGGGGGAGAACGACCCAAAGTTACCAAGGAGGAGCTACAACACAAATGAATTTGCTCACAGAACTGAAAAGAAGACTGCCGATAAGGCTTGCCCCTATCCATTTGACCTCAGACTGAATTTCAAATTCAGCAGTTAACCTCAGAATAAAATAAAAGTATTCCCGTTTAGAAACATATTCTTTTGATCTGTTTTAGGGAGGTGCTCAAGCTTTGGTGGTTCTCAGATTTTTTTTTTTTTTCATGAGATAGAATCTTGCTCTGTCATCCAGGCTGGAGTGCAGTGGCACAATCATAGCTCACTGCAGCCTTGGACTTCTAGCAATCCTCACCTTAGCCTCCTGTGTAGCTGGGATTACAGGCACATACCAACATGCCCAGCTAATTTTTTTTTTTTTTAAGAGACAGGGTCTTGCTATGTTGCCCAGGTTGCTCTTGAACTTCCAGCTTCTAGAAATCCTCCCGCTCCAGCCTCCCAAGTTGCTGGGATTGTAGGCGTGAGCCACTGCGCCTGGCAGAAGTCATATTTCAATAGCCCTTTAAGATAATTGTGTTGCTATTTGGTAATAAGACAACACTTGGCAAGTGGTAGTTTCTTAAAGATTATTTGCAATGTGTAATCAGAAACCATGTTAGTGAACTTTTCTCAGTTACTTTAAGACCATAGTTTTGTCCTTCTCAGTCATGGTAACATAAGCATCCATGTATTGCTTCCTATGCTCATGCACCTTGTCATTTAGCAAAGTGATCTTTATAACTTTCTCAGTATTGGCAACCCTGTCAGCCCTGGTCACGTCCACCAAGCAGATACTTGCCTAGAAGTAATTTAAGACTCAAAGTTGGGGCTGTTCTGGATGTATGAGTGAGACAGGCTTCGAATTTCCAAAGGAAACCATTTTTATAAAATCATACAGTTGATCGCTCTAGCTGTTGGGTGGAAAACTGGTCTGCTAGATAGTTTCTAAACTAAGGGAAAAGAGGAAAAGGAGAATGTTGTTGATGTTGAAAATATCTCAGGTTGCTCCCTAAATATTCCATTGACATCTCTAACAACGTGTGTGTAGGTGTTTTTTAAACTTAAAAATTTGGTTTACCATTTTACCATATGAAACAATTTCTTAGATGGTCTCATCAGTTTCAGTTGGGTAACAATACTAGTCAAAGAGATCTTTTTTTTTTTCCTCATTAAACTTTTTTAGGGGCTCTCAAAATTCCTTGACAAATTTTTAGTCAAGTTGTTTCCATTAAAAAGTACTGATTTTAAAAACTAATAACTTAAAACTGCCACGCGCAAAAAAGAAAACCAAAGTGGTCCACAAAACATTCTCCTTTCCTTCTGAAGGTTTTACAATGCATTGTTGTAACCAGTCTTTTACTACTAAACTTAAATGGCCAATTGAAACAAACAGTTCTGAGACCATTCTTCCACCACTGATTAAGACCGGGGTGGCAGGTATTAGGGATAATATTCATTTAGCCTTTTGAGCTTTCTGGGCAGATTTGGTGACCTTGCCAGCTCCAGCAGCCTTCTTGTTCACTGCTTTGATGACATCCACTGCAACTGTCTGTCTCATATCATGAACAGCAGCGCGACCCAGAGGTGGGTAGTCTGAGAAGCACTCAACACACACGGGCTTGCCAGGAACCATATCAACGTTGGCAGCATCACCAGAGTTCAAGAAGTTAGGGCCATCTTCCAGCTTTTTACCAACATGGCGATCCATCTTTTCCTTCAGCTCAGCAAACTTGCATGCAGTGTGAGCCGTGTGGCAATCCAGTACAGGGGCATAGCCAGCACTTATTTGGCCTGGAAGGTTCAGGATAATCACCTGAGCAGTGAAGCCAGCCGCTTCCATTGGTGGGTCATCTTTGCTGTCACCAGCATCATTGCCATGACGAACATCCTTGACAGACACATTCTTGACATTGAAGCCCACATTGTCCCCAGAAAGAGTTTCACTCAAAGCTTCATGGTGCATTTCGACAGATTTTACTTCAGTTTTAATGTTGACTGGAGCAAAGGTGACCACCATACCAGGTTTGAGAACACCAGTCTCCACTCGGCCAACAGGAACAGTACCAATACCACCAATTTTTGTAGACATCCTGGAGAGGCAGGCAAAGGGGCTTGTTAGTTGGATGAGTTGGTGGTAGGATGTAGTCCAGAGCCTCAAGCAGCATGGTTCCACTGGTATTGCCATCCTTACAGGAGGATTTTCGTCCCTTGAACCAAGGCATGTTAAAACTTGGCTCCAGCATGTTGTCACCATTCCAACCAGAAATTGGCACAAATGCTTCTGTGTCGGGGTTGTAGCCAATTTTCTTAATTTAAGTGTTGACTTCCTTAACAATTTCCTCATATCTCTTCTGGCTGTAGGGTGGCTCAGTGGAATCCATTTTGTTAACACCGACAATTAGTTGTTTCACACCCAGTGTGTAAGCCAAAAGGGCATGCTCCTAGGTTTGTCCATTCTTGGAGATACCAGCTTCAAATTCACCAACACTGGCAGCAACAATCAGGACAGCACAGTCAGCCTGAGATGTCCCTGTAATCATGTTTTTGATGAAGTCTCTGTGGTTAAGTCTCTGTGTCCTAGGGCATCAATGATAGTCACGTAGCACTTGCTGTTCTCAAATTTCCACAAGGAGGTATTAATGGTGATACCACGTTCACGCTCAGCTTTCAGTTTATCCAAGACCCAGGCCTACTTGAAGGAGCCCTTTCCCATCTCAGCAGCCTCCTTCTCAATTTTTTCAATGGTTCTTTTGTTGATGCTACCACATTTGTAGTTCAGATGGCCAGTAGTGGTGGACTTGTACGAATCTACGTGTCCAATGACGACAATGTGGATATGAGTCTTTTCCTTTCCCATTTTGGCTTTTAGGGGTAGTTTTCACAACACCTGTGTTCTGGCGGCAAACCCATTGTGAAAAGAAAAAAAAGCTAGTCAGAGAGATCTTTTCGGTTCCTACTAGTCAAAATGTCACAGCAGCATCAAGCGGGCACTTGTTAGAAATGCTTTATCTCAGGACCTACCCTAAACCTGCTGAATCAGAATCTGCAGTTAATAATACTGAATGCAGAATCTGCATTTGATTTGTATACACATGAAAGTTTGAGAAACACTGCTTTAGATTATCTAAGCTATCTGCATAGTGTGAGTGTATTGTCTGGCTTAGGTATTCTTCCAAATATCAGGGTGTATAGGTCTTCACATTTCATGAAATCAGTAGGTGTTCATTGAAAAGGAGAATTAACTGTGTGAAAAAATTTAACATATGTATGGTCCTAGAAATACTATAAGTTTAGGTGGATTGTCTCTTGTTACATAACGTATTATAGGAGGAAGGGCACTGCTTTCTGTGAAATTGCTATCTAGCTCAGGGTCCTGTCACAATCAGAAGTTACCTGTCATTTGTTTTCTGTCCTCTACTGTTGCATCAGGTCTGTTGCCTTCATCAGTCGAGAGAATGGAGAGGACCACTGGTGGCAGCATGGGTCTGGGGCCAAAAGGGAGCCTAGAGGCTTAGGATTGGATACTTCCTAGAAGTTGGAGGAGCCTAAGAGGGGTTGTGAAGCAGAACTTCTGTTGGCCCTGTTCAGCTTGGGGGAGACTCTGTGTGGGATGTCTTGAGTGTTCCAGGACGTGCCTCTCACCTTGTCTGCCATTGTATTCACAGCTTAGTCCCCAGTGGTAGGCAAAGCTCATGCTCTTAACATTTACATTATGTTGTCTTTATGAGGAGCTATATCCACATGAAGTATTGTTTCAAGTGTGTGATATCACACATAGACTCAACAATGATTACCGTTACCAGATTTTGGACTTTTTTATATGGTTCCTTTTCTTTGGCAAAGGTAATAAGCAAAAGTACATGAAGTACTATGTAGACAGACAGATTCCATAATGATGTTTCGCAGCTATATAAATCTCTCTTAACCTTACTGTGTCCAGTTAAAAAAAATCGATTTGGTTTTCAACTAATTTTGGACTTTTTAATAAAAGCAGTATAGGTACAGCATGGTTAAAATGGTATAAAAGGGTATATACAGTGAAAGATAAGTTTCTCTCCCACTCTTCCCTTCCCCCAAATATTTACTAGGTTTCGTATATCTTTCTGTGCCCTTGGAGACTAGCTATGTCTCTGTCTCCCTCCCCAACTTAGGTATGCAAATTGGATCATGACTACCCTGCACTTGTGTGTGTTTTACTTAACTATACCTTGGAGATTGTTCCATATCACATTGAGTTTTTATTGCTTTTCCTGAGATTGTTTATAAATTGGTTATGATTGGTTGTTCACTTAGAATTATTAGTATTTGCCTTGGAGTTAAATTAGTATAGTTTATGTAAGTATGTGCTTTACAGTTGAATGTTTTAAAATATTTAAAGCAAGTGATAGGGAAAATAGGTAACCATTTCAGGGTTAAGGGCCTCATGAAACTTGAAATTTCTTTTTTTTTCTTTTTTTTGAGACAGAGTCTCGCTCTGTTGCCCAGGCTGGAGTGCAGTGGTGCGATCTGGGCTCACCGCAAGCTCTGCCTCCTGGGTTCATGCCATTCTCCTGCCTTAGCCTCCTGAGTAGCTGGGACTACAGGCTCCTGCCACTATGCCTGGCTAATTTTTTGTGTTTTTAATAGAGACAGGGTTTCACTGTGTTAGCCAGGCTGGTCTCGATCTCCTGACCTCGTGATCCGCCCGCCTCAGCCTCCCAAACTGCTGGGATTACAGGCGTGAGCCACCGCGCCCGGCCGGGGGAAACTTGAAATTTCTAGGGTTTAAATAAAATATGTATTTCGGTATAGAAAAACCACCATACCCAAGGTTAGTCTTGCAACAACAAACAATATATGTATATTCAGATATTCAAGAGCTGATTCACATTTGAGAGTTTTACAGAGATTACAGAGTTTTAGAATGAAGCCTTAGAGTTGCACTTTAGAATCTATATTGACTAGGCAGGTAAATATATATTTATTGCATTTAACTAACTAGGTAGGTAGATAGATGAGCTTAAATACTAGAATATCCTTTAAAGGAAAACCTGAGACATTTTTCATATCTGAAGCATCCTACAAAAATATCTTTGCTTTTAAAAATGGATACGTTTCTAGCATGGGCAGCAAAACAAGACTCTGCCGCTACAAAAAAATAGAAAAATTAGCTCGGTGCAGTGGCTAATGCCTGTAGTCCCAGTACTTTGGGAGGCCAAGGCAGGAGGATTGCTTGAGCCCAGCCTGGACAACATAAAGAGACCTCATCTCTACAGAAATTTAAAAAATTTAGTTGGCCATAGTGGTGCACACCTGTAGGCCCGGCTACTCAGGAGGCTGAGGTGGGAGGATCACTTGAGCCTGGTAGGTCAAGGCTGCAATGAGCCGTGATAGCACCACCGCACTATAGGCTTGGCAACGGAGTGAAGACCCTGTCTTAACATCCCCCCACCCCTCACAATAGGTACATTTGATGTTAGACACAGATCATTATAAAGCTTACTTAAGCTAACAAAATTCATGTAAATTTTCTCAGGTGTGAGTGAATAGGTTGTATTGGTATATAGGTGAACGTTCTTTTTGTTTTTTGAGACAGAGTCTCGCTCTGTCGCCCAGGCTCGAGTGCAGTGGCGTTACCTTGGCTCACTGCAACCTCCTACTGCAACCTCCTCCTCCCAGGTTCAAGCAATTCTCTGTCTCAGCCTCCCGAGTAGCTGGGATTACAGGCGTGTGCCACCATGCCCAGCTGATTTTTGTATTTTTAGTAGAGATGTGGTTTCACCATCTTGATCAGGCTGGTCTTGAACTCCTGACCTTGTGATCCACCCACCTCGGCCTCCCAGAGTGCTGGGATTATAGGCGTGAGCCACCACGCCCGGCCTGAAAGTTTTTTTTTTTTTTTGAGACAGAGTCTAGCTCTGTCGCCCAGGTTGGAGTCCAGTGCCGCTATCTCTGCTCACAGCAGTCTCCGCCTCCTGGGTTCACACCATTCTCCTGCCTCAGTCTCCCGAGTAGCTGGGACTGCAGGCGCACACTACCATGCCTGGCTAATTTTTTATATTTTTAGTAGAGACAGGGTTTCACCATGTTAGCCAGGATGGTCTCGATCTCCTGATCTTGTGATCTGCCTGCTGCGGCCTCCCAAAGTGCTGCGATTACAGGCATGCGCCACTGTGCCCGGCCTGAATGTTCTTTTTTTTTAAGAAGGTATATACTGTGGTTGATTGTCATGATGCCTGCAATTTTAAAATGATTCAGAGAAACAGATTACAGATAGCAAATAGGGTAAAATGTTAATTGAATTCAGATTTAGCTGTATTTTGTGTCTTTGAACTTTTCCATGATAAAAACTTGGCGGGAGGGAAACATACCTCTTTAAAGTTAATATAATTTTCACAACTTGACTTGTGTTGTTTCTTAAATTGCAAGCAGATACACACCTTTTCATAGATTTAATCTGAAAACATTCTTTCTCTTGACCCTTATGATTGAAGTGACTTTCATGTAATTTATTTATTGAGAAGATTTTGAAAAAAGAAAATAAGTGAATTGCTTTTAAAATGAAGGCGGAAGTGTGATACATTTTATTAAGA
The DNA here is from genome assembly GCF_000001405.40 of Homo sapiens. Classification (NCBI taxonomy): domain Eukaryota; kingdom Metazoa; phylum Chordata; class Mammalia; order Primates; family Hominidae; genus Homo; species Homo sapiens. The sequence goes on from NC_000012.12 coordinate 19,461,364, forward strand.
TGTGAATTTTTGAGCATTTTGACCACTAGTATATACTTTTTTTAGTAAATAAAAGAGTTACTACTGTGTAATACTTTATTTTATTTTTTGAGATGGTGTTTTGCTCTTGTTGACCAGGCTGGAGTGCAATGGCGTGATACTTTATTTTATTTTATTTTATTTTTTGAGACGGAGTTTTGCTCGTTGACCAGGTTGGAGTGCAATGGTGCGATCTCGGCTCACTCCAACCTCCGCCTCCTGGGTTCAAGAGATTCTCCTGCCTCAGCCTCCTGAGTAGCTGGGATTACAGGCACCTGCCACCACACCCGGATAATTTTTTGTATTTTTAGTAGCAGTGGGATTTCACCATGTTGGCCAGGCTGGTTTCAAACTCCTGGCATCAGGTAGTCCACCCGCCTCGGCCTCCCAAAGTGCTGGAATTACAGGAGTGAGCCACTGCGTCCAGCCATATGTAATACTTTAGTAAATAAAAAGTAAAAGGGATTGATTGGCATTTTCAGTCTTTTTTTTTATGGCTAGAGATGAGTTAAAAAAATAAAATTTTAGGGCTAGGAAAAGATTTTTTATTTGGACTTTAGAAAAATCAGAGACCAGTTTTCTCTCTTCTGCTTTTTTATTTAGCTGGGAAAATACTGCAAAATTTCCCCAATTCTTTGACATGAAAAGAAGTAGGATGTGGCAGCAGTTATATTTTCAGATTAATGAATAGAAGAGATTTCAGGTCAACAAGTGATTTGCAGAGCTATAAAGATAATGCTTTGATTGTGAATTATTTACAGCTGGAAACTCTTACTTTCTTATGCTTCTTTGAACTGTAGAAGGGATGAGATGTGATAAGCTGTGTGTGTGGGGGTGTGGGTGTGGTTTGTTTTCTGTAAGATGTAGTATTGAGTTCATGCCTGCCAAAAGTTGCTTAAATTATTCCATTTCTGATTTTGAGGTACTGTCGTGTTTCTGTCTTGATTTGTACTTCATTGCCAACTAATTAATTTAAAAGCATTGTTGTTTTCTCATGGAGAATATGGTTACTATGCTTTGTTCACATGGAGCAGAATGTCAAGTGGTAATCTTAATTAAATATTTATAAGATCATATTCATGTTAGTGAATTTCTAGGAATAACACAGCCTTTTTTCTTCTTTTGTAGCATAAGCAGTACTATAATGGATGTAGACAGCACAATTTCCAGTGGGCGTTCAACTCCAGCAATGATGAATGGACAAGGAAGCACTACTTCTTCAAGCAAAAATATTGCCTATAATTGTTGTTGGGACCAGTGCCAGGCTTGCTTCAACTCTAGCCCAGATCTGGCAGATCACATCCGTTCCATACATGTAGATGGTCAGCGAGGAGGGGTTGGTTTTGTCATTTCTTTTTTTCGCTCCCTGTTTTCGTTAGTTTTATTAATTTATAATTGCTAGTTAGGCTTTTTTGCTGAAAGTAATTTGGGATTATTTTTACACAGGCTTAGTTTTTTCAAGTGAATTTTTAATAATTATTTCCCATATACTTGATAGAATCAAATAAAAATAGGGTATGTGCTGGATTTTAGTTTGTTTTTAGATACGTTATTTTGAAGAAATTAGACTTTTAAAAGTATAGTAGGTGACAGTATTATTAATGAATACAGTGTATTCCAGGGTTCTGATGTTTTGAGTTGAGAACATTTAGAATTAGCACTTTCTTGATTTTCCTTTGTTAGAGGATCCTAAATTATTCCTGACGCTTAAATTAACTGGGGAGACTATTGGTACCAGGATTAGTGTATGCAATTCTATTAAATAACAACCTGAACTCATTATTTGTGAGTGAGAATTGATCATCTTTCCCAGGTCTTGTCAGAGCTGATTTAGATGGAAAGTTCTGATTAGTTAGTATTGACCTATATGTCCTTTCAGGAATACATTTAATTGTGTCAGTTCATGTAACTTCTATTAGGTACTGAATAAAGAGCTAAGCAAATTGGGTAAGCCAAAAGTAATGTGCCAAAATATTAATTTATACATTGTTTCAACTTTACCTAGAATTTTGTTGAATAGTTATCACACTTAGTGCATTTTTCAGAAATTAATGTCACAGTGTAAGGGCAGGTAATTTATTAATATTAGGCCACACATTTCCTATCAGCCTGGCATCACTATTGAAGAACAGATAACTAACACAGTAAAAATCATCATGGTTTAAGTTAGTGGGTAACTGTTTCCAAGGTTCTGTTGATATTTAGAGTATAGTATTGATCTTTTTTTTTTAAACATCCAACCGGGTCAACGTTTCTAACATTTTAAGCAGTGATGTCATACTTGAATTTTTTTTTTTTTTTTTTTTTTTTGAGACGGAGTCTCACTCTGTTGCCCAGGCTGGAGTGCAGTGGCGTGATCTCAGCTCACCGCAGCCTCTGCCCCAAGTGATTCTCCTGCCTCAGCCTCCCGAGTAGCTGGGATTACAGGTGCCCGCCACCATGCCTGGCTAATTTTTGTATTTTTAGTAGAGATGAGGTTTTGCCATGTTGGCCAGGCTGGTCTCGAACTCCTGAACTCAGTTGATCCGCCCACCTCGGCCTCCCAGAGTGCTGGGATTACAGGCGTGAGTCACCGTGTGTGACCGAAATTTCTTTTAAGACATATTCATCCCTGTCACAATATATTATAATGTGTCAGCAGTTTTTTGATTACTCAAACTTGATAAGTATAGCAATTGTACATTTGTCTTCTTGTTAGAGTTAATATGTATGATGTCTGAGTAACCAGTAAAATGTTATACTTACCTATGATCTGTTAACTAACTGTGTCCATCATATGGTATTTTCAGTGTAAAACCCAGCTCAGTGGTTGGGCTACTTTGGTAACCCAGTCTTCTCCCCCAAGCCATATGTCAGATACTTAGTGTGAAGTATCTTAGCAAGTTGGTTTTCTGGCTTTTGTAGATCTGCTTTTTGTGAGCCAGTGCTTGATGTCACTTGGTATATACCATTTTTGAGCATCATGGCATGATGCTTTTTTGTCACTTGACTTAGCAACTGTGTATAGAATCATGAGCTATTTGGAAGATCACTGGGCTTCTCTTAGTAGATGTGGGAGAGGGAGAATTTCACATTTCTGAGTCTTGGAATCCCACAAGTTGAGCTGGCATACAACCTGATGAGAATTTCAGCCCTTCCCAGATTTGTAGAAAAAATGCAGTTACAGTCTGATTTTTATTTTATTTTTATTTTTTTAAAATTAATTAATTAATTTTTTTTTTTGAGACAGAGTTTGGTTCTTGTTGCCCAGGCTGGAGGGTAATGGTGCGGTCTCAGCTCACTGCAACCTCTGCCTCCCGGGTTCAGGTGATTCTCCTGCCTCACCCTCCCGAGTAGCTGGGATTACAGGCCTGAGCCACCATGCCTGGCTAAATTTTTTTGTATTTTTGGTAGAGATGGGGTTTCACCATGTTGGCCAGGCTGGTCTCGAACTCCTGACCTCAGGTGATCCACCCGCCTCGGCCTCCCAAAGTGCTAGGATTACAAGTGTGAGCCATCGCACCCGGCCAAGACTGGTTTTTAAAATAATTAAATATGTCATGTAATCACAGTAATTATATACCTGTACCTTATTGATATTATAGAATTAGACATGAAATGTTGGCATTTGTCCCGTAAGTGTAATATTGAAATGAAAAATCTCCCATGTGATTTCTTGAACCCTTATTCAAAAATATCACTTGATTACCAATAATAAGATTCTCTAGCTGATTTTAAGAGTGATGCTGTTTGGCCGGGCGCGGTGGCTCGTGCCTATAATCCCAGCACTTTGGGAGGCTGAGGCGCGCGGATCACGGGGTCAGGAGTTTGAGACCAGCCTGGCCAATATGGTGAAACCCCGTCTCTACTAAAAAATACAAAAATTAGCTGGGTATAGTTGCGTCCCCCTGTAGTCCCAGCTACTCAGGAGGCTGAGACAGAAGAACCGCTTGAACCCGGGAGGCGGAGGTTGCAGTGAGCTGAGATCACGCCACTGCACTCCAGCCTGGGTGACAGAATGAGACTCTGTCTCAAAAAAAAAATAAATAAAATAAAAAGAGTAATGTTATTTTGATCAAAGATAGGAGTCCTGATCTTTGAAGGACATTATTTGCTAAACTATAAATGTAAAGGATCAAATAATGTAGGAAATGCATCCCAGTTTTTTCCTACATACCAGTCATTAGAATATAGACTATGGTTTGTTTGTTTGTAGAGATGAGGTTTCACCATGTTGCCCAGGCTGGTCTCCAACTCCTCGACTCAAGCGATCTGCCCGCCTTGGCCTCTGAAAATGCTGAGATTACAATAGACTATGTGTTTTGAATGATAAAATATGAATGAGAGTTTGGAAACTTAGTACTACTATAAAAGACAAGAAAACTTGATCTGATTTTGTGCTTTGAGATTGGCTTTTGTGATTGTTTTTTCTTTTTTTTTTTTTTTTTTGAGATGGAGTGTTGCTCTGTTTCCCGGGCTGGAGTGCAGTGGCACGACCTCAGCTCACTACAGCCTCCGTCTCCTGGGTTCAAGCAATTCTGCTGCCTCAGCATCTTGAGTAGCTGGGATTACAAGTGTGCACCACCACGCCCAGCCAATTTTTGTATTTTTAGTATAGATGGGATTTCACCATATTGGACAGGCTGGTCTCGAACTCCTGATCTCAGGAGTTCCTGAGGAGGACTTGATCATCCTCCTCAGCCTCCCAAGGTGCTGGGATTACAGGCCTCTGAGCCACCATGCCTAGCGGGTTTTGTCTTTTGAAGAGTAGTTGTTGGTAGGAACATCAGATTTTTTTCTTTGAAATGAACTTTAAAAAAACAAAAACATTTTCGGCTGGTCACAGTAATCCCAGCACTTTGGAAAGCTGAGGTTGGTAGATCGCTTGAGCTCAGGAGTTTTGAGTCCAGCCTGGGCAACGTGACAAAATCCTGTCTCTACAAAAATTAGCTGGGTGTAGTGGCACACGCCTGTGGTCTTAGCCACTCCGGGGGATGAGGTGGGAGAATTGCTTGAGCCCAGGAGGTTGAGGCTGCTGTGAGATCGTGCCACCGCACTCCAGCCTGGATGACAGAGTGAGATCCTGTCTCAAAAAAAAGAACAAAAAACATTTTTAATGTATAGTTCAGGGGCTTTAAGTACATTCACCTTATTGTGTAATCGCCACCCGCTCTCTGTCTCCAGAACTTGTAAATTATCATCCCAAATTGAAATCTATACCCATTAAACAAACTTACTCTCTGCTCTTACTAGCTCCTGGTAACCACAGTTCTACTTTCTATCTCTGTGTGTTTGACTGTTGTAGGTATCTAATATAAGTAGAAAACACCTGATTTTGTTGGCCTAATTATTTTTTTAGATTTCTTATTTCTTCTTTCTCTCTTAAGTGTTAAAGTGTCATCATGGAACAGAAACAGATGAGGAAAAAATTGGTAACCCTAGAAGATTTTATGCTTCTGATTATTGAAAGATGACAGTTTTACTGGAGCAGTAAGTTAGCAAGATCTAAACTATATTAATTTCTGTTCTTTTTCTCATTCCACTATAATCTTTGCCCTGGGGAGAAAAGCAAAACCATTATATATCCACTTAGCATTGTTTTTTTCCCCCTTTTAAGTTGTTTATGTTGCTATGTTCATGTGGACTTCTTTGGAGGCTGAAGTCAAGTGGAGTTTAGATTTTCCTGGCCTGATTTCTACATTAAAATTAAACTAATCTAAACACCAAATTATGAATACACTTTTTTTTCTTAAACAGAGATGAGGTCTCACTGTGTTGCCCATGCTGGTCTTGCCTTGGCCTCCCAAAGTGCTAGGATTACAGGTGTGAGCCACCATGCCCAGACCAATACACCTTTTTTTTTAAAAACATCATGAGAGTGCTTTCTGCAATTTCAAAAATAAAAACAAAACAGGCAAAGAGAGAATCAAACCTATCTCTAGTGTTAAGTATGATAGAATTTTGTTATTGTTGCCCAGGCTGAAATGCAGTGGTGCAATCTCCACTCACTGCAACCTCCACCTCCCAGGTTCGAGTGATGCTCCTGTGTCAGCCTCCTAAGTAGCTGGGACTACAGGTGTGCGCCACCACACCTGACTTACTTTTGTATTTTTAGTAGAGATGGGGTTTCACCATGTTGGCCCGCCTAGTCTCGAACACCTGACCTCAGGTGATCCACCCGCCTCTGGCTCCCAAAGTGCTGGGATTACAGGCCTGAGCCACCGTGCCCGGCCTAGGTCCGTACGTCTATGTGTGACTGGTTTCTGAAGATTAGACTCTGAGTTATCTTACTAATCGAATTTCAAATCCCAGTGTCCTCTTAATATAAGTCTTGGAAAGTGGGGAACTTGTAGGACTTTAGAGGCTCAGTGTAAAATATATTACTGTTCTTTCTTAGCTATTTCTCACATAAAAACAATTTCTGGAAAGAAAGCCAGAGGTTTAGGTTTCTTGATATAGGATTTATTTTCTGTGTCATTTGAGGTTTACTTTTGCATATATTCTTTGGTGTGTTTTTTTGTTGAGAGGCAAAGCGAGGAGATTGTGGGCAAGGGAGGAATATGGTACAGTATTATTGGAAGACTTGAATGAGTCCAGTTAACTATAGCACTCAGGAGGTCAAGGTTGCAGTGAGCTATAATTGTGCCACTGCCTTCCAGCCTGGATGATAGAGCAAGACTCTGTCTCATTAAAAAAAAGAAAAAGAAAATAAAAATTGGGCTTGGTGGTACCGTGGAATCATCCATCCAACCCCTCTGCCTGACTTTGTGTGTGTGTGTGTGTGTGTGTGTGTGTGTATGTGTTTTTAATGAGACAGTCTTACTATGTTGTCCAAGCTAGTCTTACTATGTTGTCCAGCTCCTGGGCTTAAGCAGTGCTCCCATCTCAGCTTCTTGAGTTCCTGGGATTCCAGGCATATATCACCACACTCACCTGGCCTATCTGACTTTAGATGGTGTCTCTCTTTTCTTTTTGTGTAATTTTACTGAAAACAAGATCATTTACTCAGTATAATTAGGCCTTTATTTTGGCATGTAGATTATTCTGTTAACTTGCTCTGCATTTAGAATATATTTGGCTGATTTTAATTTACTGGTAATAACTGAATTTCCTTGTGCATACTTACTCTGACAGATTAACATTGCACTTTTTTGCAGTGGATTTTTCATTTATTTACAGAAAGATTTCATGGATTCATTTGTGTTCTTCAGGTGCATAGATGTTTGTGCATTTATCTATATTATCATACAAGCCATTTTAAGTATAGGCCATTCAAATACATTCAGATACATACACTGGTACAAGGATACACTGGTTCATACACTGGTTCAAGGATATTGACCAAAGTGAAGGAGACTCAGACTACCCTTGGCTCCTAGGTTTGTACCATTCTTATTCACTTTGGGCATTTTGGAGAAGATTCCCAGAGGCAAAACCTGTTCTGACAGAAACTCAGTACTTTGTAGAGTTCTCAACAGAAAGCCAAAACCTCCCTGTAACACTGAAATTTTAGACATCTACATCTTACATGTAAGGAACTTGAAGATTTCTTTAGCAGTCCAAAAATATATGTATGTTTTTTGAGATGGGGTCTCACTCTGTCACCCAGGCTGGAGTGTAGTGGCGCCATCTCAGCTCACTGCAACTTTCGCCTCCCAGGTTCAAGCGATCCTCCTCCCTCAGCCTCCCAAGTAGCTGGGATTACAGGCGTGTGTCATCACACCTGGTTAAGTTTTTGTATTTTTAGTAGAGGTGGGGTTTCGCCATGTTGGCCAGGCTGGTCTTGAACTCCTGACCTCAAGTGATCCACTCACCTCGGCCTCTCAGAGTGCTGGGATTACAGGCGTGAGCCACTGCACCTGGCCCAAAAATATTCTTTTAATGGCTGTGTGGGTTTAAAATTTTTTTTTCCTGGACATTCTGGCAGGAAAACCTGATGGCAGTTACTTTGAGAAGGAACCTTCAGTGTCTAATATAAACCCAGTTGTTTCATTGGCTGGTCTTTCTGAGATAATATAACATCTTATATTTTCATAGTGTTTTGGACTTACCACGTGTGCTCAGAGTATTTCTGATGAAAAAGGAAGTAGATGATTCTTCCAAGATTACATAGCTGCAAAGTGAAAGAACTGGATTGAATTCAGTTTAGCAGTGGCATGATCTTAGCTCACATAGCCTCAAACTCCTGGACTCAAGCAATCCTTCTACCTCTAGTGTAGTAGTTGGGACTACAGGCATGCATCACCACGTCTGGCTAATTTAAACATTTTCAGAGTTGGGATCTTGCTTTGTTGCCCATACTGGTTTGAAATCTGTCTTCTAGCCATCATCTTGCCTCAGCCTCCAGAGCAGCTGGGATTCTACGCACAAGTCACTGTGCTCAGCAGGTTGTTTTCTATTTCTGTTATGTCTGATACAACCTAATACAACACAATTTGCTGTACCATGAGAGACTGGACTTGGGACCCCTGTGTCTTATTCTGTTAAAATAGCCAGACCTTAATTCATTTTAAAATAGAAGAACCATGGCAAATTATATTCTTGAACATACTTCTTCCAAATTTGGATGTAATTGGAATCCTTTGGTATTTGATTTTTCAGGGTTAATTTTAACAGTAGGAGAGTTTCTAAAAATAGCATAAAAATGTTTTTCAGATATTATACGTCTAAAAAGTCTCAGATTTGAAGAAGACCCTTTTGTCAGATTTGGGAGTATTTTTATCAAAACGTCGTCCTAATACAGGCTAAGAAAGAAAATATAGCCTCGAACAGTTTTGTGTATTTTTGTGGATCTTTCTTTTTTCTTTTTTTTTTTTAAGACGGAGTTTTGCTTTGAGTGCAGGTTTGAGTGCAATGGCGCAATCTCAGCTCACTGGAACCTCCCCCTCCCAGGTTCAAGCGATTCTCCTGCCTCAGCCTCCTGAGTAGCTGAGGTTACAGGCATGTGCCACCACACTCGGCTAATTTTGTATTTTCAGTAGAGACATGGTTTCACCATGTTGGTCAGGCTGGTCTCGAACTCCTGGCCTGAAGTGATCCACCCACCTCGGCCTCCTAAAGTGTTAGGATTACAGGCATGAGCCATTACACCAGGCCTTTTTTGGATCTTTCTACACATTTCACCCCAATATAGCTAAACACAGTTAACTTTGATCTCTTTACGCCTACTTCATTTGGTATAAAATTCACTAGGCTGAAGATTTTGGTTTTTCTTTGAATCTGAAGGTGTTGCCTTAATCGTGTTACTAGACATTATTCCATGTAGAGTCTAAACCATACTTAATAAGGCTGTATCAGATGTGATTTCAGACCTGCCATTATCTCTATAGTCATGTTTGCTCATAGGAAAAAAATTAGAAGCCAGATACTGCTGTTTCTACCAAATTTAGTGATTGAGTGTTGTTAGGTAGAGGCAGTGCTTATTTCGAAGGAACTAAATCTTATCTTTAAGAGTATTTCAGAGTAGGGCGGGGGGGTCACTTAAGAATCCTTTTAACATTAAGGAGAATCCTTCTGTCAAAAAAGTTGTTACAGGAATGATGTTGATATTGTTCCCAAATACTTTCTTTAAGGCATTTCTGTTTACGTATTAGGTTGGTGCACAAGTAATTGCGTTTTTTTTCAATTAATGGCAAAAACGGCAATGACTTGTGCACCAAACTAATAATATGATTTCTGAGAGAATTTTAAACCAACCCCTGATTCCTCCTCTTTGTTACTTGGATTGCAGAGTAACACTTTGAATCTAGTAGTAGTTGTGTTTTTTTTTCTTGAGAGATGATCTGTCTCTTACTGCCCAGGCTGGAGTGCAGTGGCATGATTATAGCAGTTCATTGTAGCCTTGCCCTCTCCAGTGCAAGCAATTCTCCCACCTCAGCCTCTTAAGTAGCTGGGACCACAGGTGGGCACCACCATGCCTGGTTAATTTTTGTATATTTTGTATAGACAGGGTTATGGCATGTTGCCCAGGCTGGCCTCATTCCTGGGCTCAAGCAATCCTCCTGCCTTGGCCTTCCAAAGTGCTGGGGTTAGAGGTGTGAGCCACTGTGCCTGGTGAGTCTAGTAGTCTTGATTTCAAAAATTGATAGCATTAATTACCCATGTGTGATTATTAAACAATATTGAATTAATTTCTATAGCATTTAAGTTTTTTTTTTTGGAGAGAAGGTCTCACTGTGTCACCTACACTGGAGTGCAGTAGTGCCATCATGGCTCACTGCAGCCTCCATCTCTTGGACTTAAGCAATCATCCTGCCTCAGCTGCTAGCCCTATGCCCCACCACCACCCCTGAGTAGCTGGGACTACGAGTGCATATGCCATTATGCCTAGCCAATTTTTTTTGTTACTTTTGTAGAGACAGGGTCTTGCTGTGTTGCCCAGGCTGGTCTCGAACTCCTGAGCTCAAGCCGTCCCCCTACCTCGGTCTCCCAAAGTGCTGGAATTGCTGGTGTGAGCCACCACATCGGGTGCATATAAGTATTGCTTTGTATTTTTTTTCTGTTCCTACATTTATTTTTAAAAGTTACTTTTAACTCTGAGAACCTTGGCCATTAGTTTATAAACATGTTCTAGGGTTGGGAATTTTGAGTATGAAGGAGGAAACGTTATGACTTCCTTTATCTCATACTTAAAGAAACTAGCAAATTCGTTGTGGAGTCAGGATATGCAGTAACTTCTCTAAACAGTCTTGTCAAATGGCAGTGGTGGTATTGCCTTGTTATACCTATTTGACATAAGATGGTATTGTTTTTGAGTAAAAATTGACCTCAATTATTTGTTTATAGACTGTCAGTTTTTCTAGTCTATTAAAAATTTTATTTTAGGCTGGCTGAAGAAAGATTCTTCAGTTCTTTGTATATCTTTCTTGTGTTCTATATGTATGTAGTATATTACAGTCTTCAAAGTGTGACTCTGTAATTGTTCTTAACCTTAGAAAAGAACAGAGCCTTTCAAGATAATGATTCTTTCAAGATAATGATTGTGGTAGACCCTTCTTTACCTGATGTTGGGAAGCAGTTTTCAGTGTTTGGTTTGATGGAAATAGCATCAGTTAGGAAATTGACATGTCACTGGTAGGAAGATGATAAAGATTAATTTGTTAGTTTTGGTGCTTTCCACACCTAGTTATACTTAGTACCCTGAACCTAGAATGTGGATCTGTTATGAAAGTAGGGTAGCTCATGTCTGTTGTTTTTATTACTATATTCACTTAATATTTCGTATTCTATTTGTTTCATTACAAAATTTCATATTCCAGACAGGGTCTCAAATATCTCTCTATGTCATAATCGAGATAGAAATAATTCTTCATGATTAGAACAATATGGGAACAAATATTGTCAGTATGCATGTGAGACCAGGATATCACCAGTAAAAGATTGTAATTTGATAATTTTCATTCATTCTTTGAAGTTGAAAATATCAGTATCTTCTAATTAACATTTATTGGTCATTTCATTAATTTTTTTATACCTTTAAAAAGGTATATTTTTACAAAATATACCTTTCATAAAAGGTAAAAGGTGTATTTTTCCTATTTAAAATTAATAGATGTTTGTTCTTTTGTGCAGTAAATACAAAAATGTAAATAATGGCCCATGGTCTCAGTTCCAAGGGATATATTGCTAATATTATATATATTTCCTTCTGAATGGTATTCTGTGATCGGTGTGTTAATTCCTTATCGAAGGTGTGGACAGTAGCATTAAGGGTGGCTTATACTAGGATGTTTTGACAGTTTATGTATATTAAGCATTTTGATTGGCTTGTACATTCAGTAGCTCTTGTCAGTTGAAGAGTTGTAACATGTTAATTTGAATGTATGAGGAATCAAACTCTTCTTGAGATAAGTCATGAAAATTAATATGGTTCTGTTTTTCTTAACAGGTATTTGTTTGCTTATGGAAAGGTTGTAAAGTATATAACACTCCATCTACCAGTCAAAGTTGGTTACAAAGGCATATGCTGACACACAGTGGAGACAAACCTTTCAAGGTAAGGATGCATGTATATAAAATTTATTTATTTATTTATTTATTTATTTATTTATTTATTTATTTATGACAGAAGAGTCTCACTCTGTTGCCCAGGCTGGAGTGCAATGGTGCCATCTTGGCTCCCTGCAGCCTCCACCTGCTGTGTTCAATTGATTTTCCTGCCTCAGTCTCCTGAGTAGCTGGGACTACAGGCGTGTGCCACCACACCTGGCTAATTTTTGTACTTTTAGTAGAGATGGTGTTTCACCATGTTGGCCAGGATGGTCTTGAACTCTTGACCTCAGGTGATTCTCCCGCCTTGGCCACCCAAAGTGCTGGGATTACAGGCATGAGCCACTGCGCCTGGCTGTTTTTTCTTTTAAATGTTAGCTTAAGCTGACATGTTTCCTAATAGGCATAATTAAAAGCTCCTCTAAATTTTTTTAAAAACAACCATTTGTTTTAACATTCTTGTACACGCATTGAATTTCAAAAGTAGATGGAGATAAAGCTCATTTGATCAATTTTTTTCTATTTGAAGTACAGGAGAAATGTTGCTGTTGGATTAGGGTCTTGAAAATAGCTAGTGGGTAGACTAATGACTGGAAGCCATGTTGGTTTTTTTTAATACCTTGTGGTCTGATTATGTTTTCTTATTGTTAAAGGTTTCGGCATTTTCATTAGCAAACAACATTGACTATTATATAAAATAAATAAATTGTAGGACATTAAAGGATTTGATTCCTTTCACTCAGTTTTGAGGTCACACTACTGAGCTTAGTTGTAATTAGTTGTAAATCACTTTTGTCAAATTAGATGTATTCTGGGAAATCTTTATAAAGAGCAAGTTTCTGTAAAAATCTTTTCCATTTATCTTTATGAAAAATTAAGTATTTTGGTTTCTATTTATGGAAAGCAGCATATACCATAGAGATTAACAGTTTATGTTTAAAGGAGTTTAATAGTTGTTAAAACCACATTTACTGGAATGAATACTGTGCCAGTTATTTCCCTTGGGTTTTGTAGAGAGTGAGGTAATTCTTGTGGAGTTGCTTTTAAAAACAACCTTTTTGGAAAAAGCAATCAGCAAGTTAAAACATTATAGCAAAGGTTTACACTAAGAATTATTTGTCTCTCTCTTTTTCCTGTTTCCCCCCTTCCTCCCAAATATATAATTATTATTTGTTTCTTGTGATTTTTTTTCTAGTATTTCCTTATGCAACCATAAGCAGATAAATATGTAGTCTCATTCTCCTTTCTTTCTTACACAAAGTCTAGTAAATTAAATACTGTCTGTGCCTTGCTTTAAAAAGAAACAAACTTAATTTTAGAGCAGCTTTAAATACACAGATTACTTGTTTTTCTATATACTTGTTTTTCTATATACCAAGTTTCTTCCATTCTTGAAATACTATATTGTATATGGGTACCTTGCTTTTTTGTTTTAATTTGAATAGTTTTTTTTTCCCCCCTCAAGATGGAGTCTTGCTCTGTTGCCCGGGCTGGGGTACAGTGGCATGATCTTGGCTCACTGCAACCTCCGCCTCTTGGGTTCCAGCGATTCTCCTGCCTCAGCCTCCCGAGTAGCTGGGATTACCGGCATGCGCCATCACGCCTGGCGAATTTTTATACTCTTAGTAGAGATGGGGTTTCACCATGTTGGCCAGGCTGGTCTTGGACTCTTGACCTCGTGATCTGCCCACCTTGGCCTCCCAAAGTGCTGGGATTAACCACACCTGGCCCTAATTTGAATAGTTTTTGGGGAACAGGTGGTTTTTGGTTACATTGGATAAATTCCTTAGTGGTGATTTCTGAGATTTTGGTGCACCTGTCACCTGAGCTGTGTACACTGTACACTGTACCCACTGTGTAGTCTTTTATACCTAACCACCCCCACCCTTCCCTCCTAGTCCCCAAAGTCTATTATATCATTCTTATGCCTGCTCATAGCTTAGCTCCTAATTATAAGTGAGAACAAAACGATATTTGATTTTCCTTTCCTGAATTACTTCACTTAGAATAATGGTCTCCAACTCCATCCAGGTTTCTGTGAAAGCCATATTTTGTTCCTTCTTATGGCTTGAGTAGTATTCCATGGTATGTATGTATGTATGTGTGTATGTGTGTGTATATATATATATACTGCATTTTCTTTATCCACTTATTGATTGAAGGGCACACTTGTGTGTGCAAGTGTCTTTTTCATATAATGACTTTTCCCAGTAGTCATTCATATAATGACTTTTTCCCAGTGTCATTCATATAGTGACAATCCCAGTAGTGGGATTGCAGGATCAAATGGTAGTTCTACTTTTAGTTCTTTAAGAAATCTCTGTACGGTTTTCTATAGTGGTTGTATTATATTCTCACCAGCAGTGTAAAAGTGTTCCCTTTTCACCACATCCATGCCAACATCTGTTGTTTTTTGCCTTTTAAATTATGGCCATTATTGTAGGAATAAGGTGGTATTGTGTTGTATATCTTCTTTTGAGAAATGCTTATTCATGTAATTTGCCCACTTTTCGATGGGATTATTATTATTTTTTTCTTGTTGATTTCTTTGAGTGCCTTGTCAATTTTGAACATTAGTCCTTTGTTGGATGCATAGTTTGCAAATATTTTCTCCCATTCTGTGGGTTGTCTGTTTATTCTGCTGATTATTTCTTTTATGTGCAGAAGCTGATAATCTGCTGATTATTTCTTTTTATGTGCAGAAGCTTTTTAGTTTAATTAGGTTTCATCTGTTTGTTGTTGTTCTTATTGCATTTGCTTTAGGGTTCTTGGTCATAAACTCTTTGCCTAAGCCAATGTCTGGAAGAGTTTTTCCAATGTTATCTTCCAGAATTTTTATGGTTTAAGGTCTTAGATTTAAGTCTTTGCTCCATCTTGAGTTGATTTTTGTATAAGGTGAGAAATGAGGATCCAGTTTCATTCTTCTACATGTGGCTTGGCAGTTATCCCAGCAGCATTTGTTGCAAAGGGTGTCCTTTCCCCACTTTATGGTTTTTAGTTTTTATTTTTTTGAGACTGAGTCTCGCTCTGTCACCCAGGCTGGACTGCAGTGGTGTGATCTTGACTTACTGCAACCTCTGCCTCCCGAGTTCAAGCAATTCTCCCGCCTCAGACTCCCGAGTAGCTGGGATTACAGGTGGCTGCCACTATGTCTGGCTAATTTTTAAATTTTTAGTAGAGACAGAGCTTCACCCTGTTGGTCAGGCTGGTCTCGAACTCCTGACCTCAAGTGATCCGCCCGCCTTAGCCTCCCAAAATGCTGGGATTACAGGCGTGAGTCACCAATATTTGGCTTTATTTCTGGGATCTCTATTACATTGGTCTATGTGTCTGTTTTATTCCAGGACCATGCTGTTTTGGTAAGCATAGCCTTGCAGTATAAAAAGTCAGATAATGTGATACCTCCAGATTTGCTCTTTTTGCTTAGTCTTGCTTTGGCTATCTGGGCTCTCTTTCGGTTCCATATGAATTTTAGGATAGTGTGTTTCTAGTTCTGTGAAGATTGATGATGGTACTTTGATGGGAATTGCGTTGAATCTGTAGATTGCTTTTGGCAGTATTGTCATATTCACAATATTAATTCTACCCATCCATGAGCATGGGATGTGTTTTCATTTGTTGGTGTTGTCGATGATTTCTTTCAGCAGTGTTTTGTAGTTTTCCTTGTAGAGGTCTTTCACCTCCTTGGTTAGGTATATTCCTAAGTATTTTATTTTTTTGTAGCTTTTGTAATAGGGGTTAAGTTCTTTAGTTGTTTCTCAACTTCGTCATTGTTGGTGTAGAGCAGTGTTATTAATTTACGTTGATTTTTGTATCCTGAAAGTTTACTGAATTTATCAGATTACAAGCTTTTTGGATGAGTCTTTAGGGTTTCCTAGGTATATGATCATATCGTCAGCAAACAGCGACAGTTTTATTTCCTCTTACCTATTCGGATGTCCTTTATTTCTTTTCTCTGATTGCTCTGGCTAGGACTTCTAGTACTTATGTTGAATGGAAGTGGTGAGGGTGGACCATCCTTGTCTTCTTCCAGTTGTCACGGGGAATGCTTTCAACTTTTCCCCGTTCAGTAGAATATGGGCTGTGGGTTTGTTTATTACGTTAAGGTATGTTACTTCTGTGCCAGTTTTGTTGAGGGTTTTAATCATAAAGGGATGCTGGATTTTTTTGTTATATGCTTTTTCTGCATCTATTGAGATCACATGATTTTCAGTTCTTTTTATGTGATACATCACATTTACTGACTTGTGTATGTTAAACCATCTCTGCATCCATGGTATGAAACCCACTTGATCATGGTGGATTATCTTTTTGATAGGCTGTTGGATTCGGTTAGCTAGTATTTTGTTGAGGATGTTTGCATCTGTTATCAGGGATATTGGTCTGTAGATTTATTTTTTTGTTATGTCCTTTCCTGATTTTGGTATTAGGGTGATACTGGCTTCATAGAATGACTTAGGGAGGATTCCCTCTTTCTCTGTCTTTTGGAATAGTTACATTAAGATTGGCACCAGTTTTTCTTTGAATGTCTGATAGAGTTCAGCTGTGAATCCAACTGGTCCCAGAAGGGTCGTGTATTTCCCAGAGTTTATCCTCTCCTCTACATTTTCTACTTCGTGCATGTAAAGGTGTTCATAGTAGCCTTGAATGATCTTTTGTATTTCTGTGGTATTGGTTGTAATATCTTTTGTTTTGTTTCTAATTGGGCTTATTTAGATATCGTTCTTCTTTTCTTGGTTAGTTTCACTAATGGTCTGTCACTTTTGTCTTTTCAAAGAACCAGCTTGTTCATTTACCTTTTGTATTGTTGTTGTTCTTTTGGTTTCATTTAGCACCACTCTGGTCTTTGTTATTTCTTTTCTTCTACTGGGTTTGGGTTTTGTTTGTTCTTTCTTGTTTCTCTAGTTCCTTGAGGTATGACCTTAGATTGCCTATTTGTGACCTTTCAGACTTTTCTTTTTTTTTGAGACAGAGTCTCACTCTGTCGCCCAGGCTGGAGTGCAGTGGCATGATCTCAGCTCACTGCAACCTCTGCTTCCTGGGTTCAAGTGAGTCTCCTGTCTCAGCCTCCCAAGTAAGCTGAGATTACAGGTGTGGGCCACCACACCCAGCTAAGTTTTGTATTTTTACAGGGTTTCACCATGTTGCCCAGGCTGGTCTCAAACTCCTGACCTCAGGTGATCCACCTGCCTAGGCCTCCTAAAGTGCTGGAATTATAGACGTCAACCACCTTGCCTGGCATTTGATGTAGGCATTTAATGCTATGAACTTTTCCTCTTAGCACCGCTTTTGCTGTTGCCCACTGGTTTTGATAAGTTGTGACACTATTATTGTTCAAATAATTTTTTAATTTCCACCTTGATTTCATTGTTGACTCAAGGATCATTCAGGAGCAGATTATTTAATTTCCATGTGTTTGTGTAGTTTTGAGGGTTCCTTTTGGAGTTAATTTCCAGTTTCATTCCACTGTGGTCTGATAGGATACTTGATATAATTTAGATTTTTTAAAAAATTTATAGAGACTTGTTTTGTGACCTATCATATGGTCTATCTTGGTCTATCCATGTCCTGATGAAAATAATGTATATCCTGGCCAGGCATGGTAGGTCTCGCACTTTGGGAGGCCGAAGCAGGTGGATTGCTTTAGCTCAGGAGTTTGAGACCAGCCTGGGCAACATGGCAAAACCTTGTCTCAACAAAAAATAAAAGAATTAGTTGAACATGGTGGTGCACACTTGTAGTCCTAGCTATGCGGGAGGCTGAAGTGGGAGGATTGCCTGAGCCTGGGAGGCAGAGATTGCCATGAGCCAAGATTGTGCCACTGCACTTTAACCAGGGTGACGGGCCTCAAAAAAAAGTATATTCTGCAGTTTTTGGTAGAATGTTCTGTAAATACTTGTTAAGTTAATTTGTTACAGGGTGTAGTTTAAATCCATTATTTCTTTGTTGACTTTCGGTCTTGATGACCTGTCTAATGCTGTCAGTGGAGTATTGAAGTCCCCCACTATTATTTGGAAAACTTACTTGAGGGGAATAACTGAGGAAAACTTCCCTGGCCTTGCTAGAGATGTAGATATCCAAATACAAGAAGCTCAAAGAACAGCTGAGAAATTCATCACAAAAAGATCATCACCTAGGCACACAGTCATCAGGTTATCTGAAGTCAGGATACAATTATTATTACATAATTATGTTGCTAGGATTATTATTATTTTACTGTGTTTATTGTGTTGCTGTCTATCCTATTTCTTAGGTTTAGTAATTATTTTATAAATTTGGGAGCTCCAGTTGGGTGCATATATATTTAGGATTGTTATTTTCCTGTTGGACTAATTCTTTTATTATTATTTAATGTCACCTCTTTGTGGGTTTTTTTTTTTTTTTTTTTTTTTTTTTTTTTACTATTGTTGCTTTAAAGTCTGTTATATTTGATATAATAATAGCTATGCCTGCTTGCTTTTGGTTTCTATTTGCATGGAGTATCTTTTTCCACCCCTTTACCTTAAGTTTATTTGAGTCCTTATGTGTTAGGTGAGTCTCTTGAAGACAGCAGATACTTGGTTGGTGGAATTTTATCCATTTTCCCATTCCATACCTTTTAAATGTAGCATTTAGGCCATTTACATTCGGTGTTAGTATTGAGATATGAAGTACTGTTGTATTCATCATGCTTGTTGTTGCCTTAATAGCTGTTTTTTTTTCTTCATTGTGTTATTGTTTTATAGGTCCTATGAGATTTATGCTTTAAGGAGATTCTTTTTGTCTTGTTTTTGTCATGGAGTCTCACTCTGTTGCCCAGGCTGGAGTGCAGTGGCACAATCTTGGCTCACTGCAACCTCAGCCTCTTGGGTTCAAGCAATTCTGCCTGCCTCACCCTCCCAAGTAGCTGGGATTATAGGTGCCCACCACCACGCCTGGCTAATTTTTGTATTTTTTACTAGAGACAGGGTTTCTCCATGTTGGCCAGGCTGGTCTTGAATTCCTGACCTCAGGTGATCTGCCCACCTCGGCCTCCCAGAGTGCTGGGATTACAGGCATGGGCCACTGCGCCCTGCCAAGGAGGTTCTATTTTGGTGTGTTTCGAGGTTTTATTTCAAGATTTAGAACTTCTTTTAGCATTTCTTGTAGTGCTGGCTTGGTAGTGACAAATTCTCTTAGCCTTTGTCTGAAAAAGACTTGATCTCTCCTTCATTTATGAAGCTTAGTTTTGCTGGATACAATATTCTTGGCTGATAATTATTGTTTCAGGCAGCAGAAGGTGGTACCCCAGTCTCTTCTGGCTTGTAAGGTTTCTGCTGAGAAGTCTGCTGTTAATCTGATAGGTTTTTCTTTATAGGTTATCTGATGCTTTTGTCCCACAACTCGTAATATTCTTTCCTGCATCTTGACTTTAGATAACCTGATGACTGTGTGCCTAGGTGATAATATTTTTGGGAGGAATTTCTCAGTTGTTCTTTGAGCTTCTTGTATTTGGGTGTCTACCTCTTTAGCAAGGCCAGGGAAGTTTTCCTCAGTTATTCACCTCGAGTAAGTTTTCCAAACTTGTAGATTTCTCTTCTTTCTCAGAAACACCAGTTATTCTTAGGTTTGGTTGTTTGATGTAATCCCACATTTCGTGGAGACTTTGTTAATTTTTTTTTAAGTGTCTTTTCTTTGTCTTTGTCTGATTGGGTTATTTCGAAAGCCTTGTCTTTGAGCTCTGAAATTCTTTCTTCTACTGTTATTGAAACTTTGCAGTGCATCCTTTTTTTTTTTTTTTTTTTTTTTTTTGAGACCGAGTCTCACTCTGTTGCCCAGGCTGGAGTGTAGTGATGCTATCTCCACTCACTTCAACCTCCGCCTTCCAGGTTCAAGTGATTCTCTTGCCTCATCCTCCCGAGTAACTGGGATTACAGGTGCCCACCACCACACCCAGCTAAGTTTTGTATTTTTTTAGTAGAGGCAGGGTTTCATCATGTTGGCCAGGCTCGTCTTGAACTGCTGACCTCAGGTGATCCACCCGCCTCTGCCTCCCAGAGTGCTGGGATTACAGGCATGAGCCACTGTGCCTGGCCTTCAGTGCGTTTTCTGTTTCTCTTAAGTGTGCCTTTTATTTCTAGAAGTTGTGATTGTTGTTTCTTTTCTTTTCTTTTTTTTTTTGTGAGGCAGAGTCTTGTTCTGTCACCCAGGCTGGAGCGCAGTGGTACAGTCTTGGTTTATTGCAACCTCCCACCTTCACCTCCTGGGTTCAAGTGATTCTCATGCCTCATCCTCCCGAGTAGCTGGGATTACAGGCACTTGCCAACATGCCTGGCTAAATTTTGTATTTTTAGTAGAGACGGGGTTTCACCGTGGTGGCAAGGCTGGCCTTGAACTCCTGAACTCATTTGATCTGCCTGCCTCAGCCTCCCACAGTGCTGGGATTACAGGCATGAGCCACGGTGCCCAGCCTCCAGTGCATTTTCTGTTTCTCTAAGTGTGACTTTTATTTCTAGAAGTTGTGATTGCTGTTTCTTTATGATATTTTTTCTCTGGAGAATTTTTCATCCGTATCCTGTATTGTTGTCTTTAATTTGGTTTTCACCTTTCTCTGATATCTCCTTGAGTATCTTAATAATCAACCTTCTGAATTCTTTATCTGGAAATTCAGAAATTTATTCTTGGTTTGGATACATTACTGGGGTTATAGAACCCTGTTTTGTCATATTACCAGAATTACTTTTCTGGTTCCTTCTCATTTGTTTAGACTATTTCGGTGGAAAAGACTGGATCTCAGGGCCTGCTGTCTCCCACTTCCTCTAGGGATGGGGCTTCCTGAGAGCTGGACTGCAGTGATTGTTATTGCTCTTCTGAGTGTAGCCATCCAGCAGCAGGGCTACTAGGCTCTGGGATGGTGCTGGGGAATGCCTACAAGGAGTCCTGTGATGTGATTCATCTTCAGGTCTCCGAGCTGTGGATACCAGCACCTGCTCTGCTGGAGGTGGCAGGGGAGTGAAGTGGACTCTTTGGTGGTGTTCGGTTGTAGATATGTTGAGTGTACTTGCTTTCTTGAATACTGGTTATGCTAGCAATGAACTTGTAATGTGGACACACTCAGGACCTCTGGTTGGCCAGGATGTCGCAGGCAGTGGAATTAGCTGTTGTTTTCCGCTTCCTGGGATCTGGGTTATTCTGTCATGAGTTGCTCTAATGGCCTGAATTGGTTGGCCTCCAACCAGGAGGTGACACTTTGAAGAGTGCACCAGTTGCAGTAGTAGTTAAGTAGGGAGATTGCTTGCCCTAAGTTGGCCTGGGCAAGTATTTTGGCTTCTGGCGAGATGGGTGGGGCTATGTTTCCTGTTCTGCTAAAGGGGCAGGTAGAGAAATACCATCAGGTGGGAGCAGGGTTAGGCGGAACTGGGCTCAGACTCACTTTCATTAGGCGGGGCTTGCCACAGCCACTGTGGGAGATAGGGCGTTGGTTTTCAGGCCAGTGGGGTTATGTTCCATAGGGGATTTTGGCTGCCTCTGCTGTGTCATATAGTTCACCAGGGAAGTGGGGGGTTGTGAGAGTCCTGGTTGCGAGAGACCTCATTCAGCTCCCATGCAGTGGGTGAAGCCACTCTCACTCCCTTGGTGTACTGCTCAGACCTTGCCCCAGGCTTCCCTGCTGAGAAAGCAAGGCCTTCAGACCTCGCCCCTCCCCGTCTGCCTACTCTGTCAGCAGCTCTGCGCTGGTATCTGCAGCAGTTCCTGTTCCCTCGCCACCTCCCTTTTCTGCTCAAGAAAATCCATGTCCAGCTGAAATTGTTACTATCTCATTTAGAAGCTTCTTTTGCCCTGTTACCCTTCCCTAATTCTACTGGCTGTCTTCTGCTAGTACCCTTGTGAGATATAGTCGGGGATGGCTTCCCTGGGCTCTAGCTAGAGGCTGGGAATGCTTACAAGGCATTTCCCACTGCTGCTTCTACTTTTATATTTTGCACGTTCCCTTAAATCTGTTTCAGCCCTAGGTAAGGTTAAATCCGTCTCGTCTCCCATGATCTGGATTTTCAGATTCCCCAGTGGGGTTGTGTGTGTGGAGGCAGGTTTTCTCTCTCTTACACTTTGGGAACTCACAGT
This sequence comes from Homo sapiens, assembly GCF_000001405.40. NCBI lineage: Eukaryota > Metazoa > Chordata > Mammalia > Primates > Hominidae > Homo > Homo sapiens. The sequence goes on from NC_000012.12 coordinate 19,483,429, forward strand.
TTTTTACCTGTCTCACGGAATTTGCAGCAGTGTACCGCTTCTTTGAAAGGATCTGTGAATTTTTTCGGTTTGCCTGGTATATTCCTGGGGTGGTTCTTGAAGCAAAAGTTCACGGTGCGAGTCTCCACATGGTGTTCTCTCTGCCAAAGTGGGAGCTGCATGTTAGCCCTTTCTCCTATCTCCATCTTCCTCCTCCCGATTGTACCTTGCTTTTTGAATATACTTTATGCTGGGATCTTTTCATATCAGTTCATAGTGAATAGTCTCATTTTTTCAGCTTCATCGCTTTCCATTGTGTAATATTAGCGGTTTAACCAAACTTTGTAGATACACTTGGGTTGCTTCTTGTCTTATTGTTACAAATAGTGCTATAGTGATGAATCCTGAATATGTATCATTTTGTACATGTATAATTATGTATGTAGGAAAAATCCCCTAAAATGATGTGAGTGGGTGGATCAAAGGTTAATGTAAACATTGCTAATTTTGATAACTTGCCAAATTGTCGTTCCCTAGAGCTAGTGCCGTCATCAGTAATGTTAGAGTGTCTGCCTAATGTTGGAGTGTCTCCAAGGCTTTGCTGAGAGAGGATTGTCAAACTTTTGGATTTTTGCTAATCTCATAGGTGAGACATTACATCTTTTTGTTTGTTTGTTTGTTTTTTGTTGGGATACAGAGTTTGGCTCTGTCGCCCAGGCTAGATGGAGTGCAGTGGCATGATGTGGGCTCACTGCAACATCCACCTCCTCAGTTCAATTGATTCTCATGCTTCAGCCTCTGGAGTAGCTGGGATTACAGGCAGGCACCACAACGCCCAGCCAATTTTTTTTTTTTTTTTTTTTTTTTTGGTATTTTTAGTAGAGATGGGGTTTCACTACATTGGCCAGGCTGGTCTTGGACTTCTGGTGATCCGCCTCCCCTTGGTCTCAGAGAAGTTACATCTTAATAGTTTATTTTTTTGAGACGGAGTCTTGCTGTGCTCTGTTGCCAGGCTGGAGTGCAGTGGTGTGATCTCGGTTCACTGCAACCTCCGCTTCCCATGTTCAAGTGATTCTCCTGCCTCAGCCTCCCGAGTAGCTGGGACTACAGGTACCCACCACCACGCCCAGCTAATTTTTGTATTTTTAGTAGAAACGGGGTTTCACCATGTTGGCCAGGATGGTCTCGATCTCTTGACCTCGTGATCCGCCCGCCTTGGCCTCACAAAGTGCTGGGATTACAGGTGTGAGCCACCGCGCCTGGCCCATCTTAATAGTTTTAATTAGTATTTCTTTCATTATGGGTTAGGTTGAACATCTTTTCATATGTCTAACCGTTCAGATTTTTTTTCTTAATTTTTTTTTTAAGTAAGTGGTCTCTGAAGAAAAAAATGAAGGAGGTAGTAAATGAATAAATGAATGAATAAGTAAATCAATGGTCTAATTAATTTTCTGGGGCACAGGTCCTATTACTTTAACACCCCAGTGTTTCCTGTAGTCATACTGCAGATCTTGGCCGTGACATTTGCTGGAAATGTGACTGCGAACTGCTTTTTTAACTTCCTGTCTAATGTGTAGTTGGTAGTACTAATTACATCATGAAGTTCTTGTTCAGTGTGTGCACACTAAATATAAGAGATTATTTATTAAAGTAAAAGAATCATTTAAATCATTTACATCTTCATTGTATTTCCATGTGTGTATGTGTGTGTAAGTATATTTTAAGGCAGCCTTTCTGCTGGTTGATGATGATGTATATGCAGGTTAATTTCAAAGCCTATACAAATGTTTTGTGTTTTTTGTTTTTTCCAAATCCTCTTCTAGAAACTGTAGACGTTTCCTATTGGAGAGGGGAAAGAAATTGTCTTTGAAAGAAAAAAAGTTAAGGTATATGATTTAGTGAGGTATTGTTCCATACATGAATCATAGGAATTATTTAAATCAACAAAACATTGATGTCTGAAGTACCTGGCACTATGCTGGGCAATATGGAAACGAGGTAATGAGAAAAACAGAGTAGGCCGGGTGTCCTGGCTCATGCTGTAATCCCAGCACTTTGGGAGGCTGACACAAGCAGATTGCTTAAGCCCAGGAGTTTGAGACCAGCCTGGGCAACATGACGAAACCCTGTCTGTACAAAAAAAATACAAAAATTAGCCGGGCGTGTTGGCATGTACCTGTAGACCCACCTACTCAGGAAGGTGAGGTGGAAGGATCACTTGAGTCTGGGTGTTTGGGGCTGCAGTGAGCTGAGACTGCACTCCAGCCTGGGTGACAGAGAGAGAGAGAGAGACCCTGTCTCAAAAAAAAAAAAAAAAGAAAAGCAGGCCTCTATACTCAGGGAACTTGTAGTCTCTGGGTTTATACAGATCTAAAGAAACTTAAATAATGAAATGTAAGTTCTTCAATAGTGACCTATGAGATTCTCTGGGTTAGGGATCAATTAAATTATAACAGGGGCTGGGAAAGGATAGTAGAAGATGAGTGGCAGGTGACTATAGAGAGAGGAAGTGATAAGGTGATGTTTGAGGTGAGCCTCTGCTTTTTTTTTTTTTTTTTTTTCATTTTGTTTGAAGGTCTGATATAATGTATAGTTGTGTCTAATGCACACTTGTTTAACAGTTTAATGATTTGTTTCTTATGTTCGTATGCACATTTGTAACTACCATCCTGATAGAGAATATTTCAGTAAGACAAGATTTCTAATGTCCTTTTCTGGTCTATCTCTTCTCCTGCCCTCCACCCATCTGCCCAGACTATATTCTAATTTCTTTCATACTTACTTTATGAACTCTTGTATGAACTCTTAGTTGTGTGAACTCTTGTATCTGGCTTTTTGTTCACTCAACAAAATATCAGCGAGATTTGTACGAATTGTATCAAGCAGTCATTTAAAAACATTGCTCTGTAGTATTCCACTGTACAGATAAATCCATTCACTTCCTTTTGGGCATTTGGATTGTTTCCAATCATTGGCTGCTATTTTTTTTTGTTTTGTTTTTTGAGACGGGGTCTCACTCTGTCACCAATGTTGGAGTACAGTGGCCTGATCTCTACGCACTGCAGCCTCAATCTCCCTGGCTCAGGTGTTACTCATACTACAGTCTCCCAAGTAGCTGGGATTCAGGCCTGTGCTACCACGTCCAGCTAATTTTTTGTAGAGAGAGGGTTTTGCCACGTTGCCCAGGCTGGTTTCGAACTCGCAGGCCCAAGCGATCCTCCCCCTGTGACCTCCCAAAATGCTGGCATTACGGGCATGAGGCACCATGCTCGACCATCTTTGGCTACTATTAACCAAGTTGCCCCATGGACATTCCTTTACATGTCCTCTAATTACACACACATATTCATTCCTCTTAACTATATGATATCTTAATACTACCAGTCCTTTCTTTTCTTTTCTTTTTTTTTTGAGATAAAGTTTCTGTAACCCAGGCTGGAGTGCAGTGGTGCGATCTCAAATGTAACCCCCACCTCCTGGCCTCCAACGATCTACCCGCCTCGGCCTTCCAAGGTGCTGGGATTACAGGCATCTACCGATCCTTTTAATTTTGGCCATTCTAGTGGATGAGTAGTGGTATCTCACTGTCGCTTTAATTTTTGTTTCAGCAATTTGCAATGATGTTGACCACATTTTGTGCTATGGGTATCTGAATATTCTATTTTGGGTGAAGTGCCTATTCAAGTCTTTGCCAATTGTGTTCATTGGGTGGTTTGTCTTTTATTATTGAGTTAATAGAAATTCTTCAGAAATTTTGAATATGTCTTGTGTTAGATATATGTATTATAAATAACCTTCTCCTAGTCTTCGGTTATCCTTCTCCCTGTTTCTAATGGAGTCTATTGTGTTATGGTGAAAAGGGGGATCATTTCAGGTATTTTTTTTTAAGTACATAATTTATATACATAAAATTCAACATTTTTAAGGTTACTGTAGTTCAGTGATTATTTAGTATATTCACAGTTTTGTAAAATTATTACCACTGTCTGGTTACAGAAAGTACGTATGCTTTTGAAAGAGAAAAAAGGGGCCAGGTGCAGTGGTTCACACCTGTAATCCCAGCACTTTGGGAGGCCAAGGCGGGTGGATCATTTGAGGTCAGGAGTTCGAGACCAGTCTGACCAACATGGTGAAACCCTGTCTTTTCTAAAAATACAAAAATTAGCCAAGTGTGGTGGCATGCACCTGTAATCTCAGGTACTTGGGAGGCTGAGGCAGGAGAATCCCTTGAAGCTGGGAGGCAGAGGTTGCAGTGAACCGAGGTCACGCCACTGCACTCGTCTGGGTGAGAGAGCGAGACCCCACCTTAAAAAACATAAAGAAAAAAAAAGAGTGAAAAAAGGGAGCATTTAAAAAAGTGAACTGTTTAGGGAAGAGCATGTAGTTTCATATATGTAAGCGATTATTGTAGCAATTTGAAAATATTTAAAAACAAATATTTCTGATTAGTGAGCTTTGATTATCTAGAAGTTAAATATTAATGCAATTGGTGAAAAAAGTTGAGATCTCATGTTTGTTTTGTGGTGCGCAAGATGAAGTAAGGGTCAGAAAGAATTATAGCAAAGACTCGATTGATGCATTGCAGAGCCTTGCACATTGCATATGTATATTATTATATTACATATTTTGACTAAATTAATTCTTACAATAATTCTTTGAGTTAATTACTGTTGTTGCCCTCATTTTTTACATAAGGAACTGAGGCAAGAACAGATTAAATTTTTTTTTTTTTTTGAGGCGTAGTTTTGTTCTGTTGCCCAGGCTAGAGTGCAGTGGTATAGTCTCAGCTCACTGCAACCTCTGGCTCCTGGGCTCAGGTGGTCCTCCCACCTCAGCCTCCAAAGTAGCTGGGACCACAGGCACATGCCTGGCTAATTTTTGTATTTTTTTTTTTTTTTTTTGTAGAGACAGGGTTTTGCCATGTTGGCTAGGCTGGTCTCGAGCTCCTGGGCTTAATCGATCCGCTCACCTCGGCCTCCCAAAGTGTTGGAATTACAGGCGTGAGTCATCGCTCCTATCCATATTAAATATTGTTTGTGGTCATGGTCAGTGGCAGATTCTGAATTTCAGAGGCAGAAAGAATCCGGGGTTGTTAATTATGTTACTCTGGTGTATTTGTCGAAACCAAGAAATCAACATTTCTTTTTGGAATTTTTCTTCCTTTAGATCGCCTCCTCATTATTTGTAAGACTGGTGCTTTCTGATTTGTGTTCTGATAGCCCCTTGTTGATCTTCAGAAGGACTTCTGGGAATATGAATAAGATGATCTTAGCACTTACAAAGACAGTCTTAGTATTGCTTCGTCCAAATAAATTTGTTCGGAAAAAGAAAAAACCAGTTCAGTAATTCTGTGTTTCAAATTTTAGAAAAGCTACTTGGCCACCAGCATATTTTTTTTTTGTTATTTGAGATGGACTCTTGCTCTGTCACCCAGAGCAATGGTGCGATCTTGGCTCACCACAACCTCCGCCTCCCAGGTTCAAGCTATTCTCCTGCTTCATCCTCCAAGTAGCTGGGATTACAGGCATCTGCTACCACGCCCGGCTAATTTTAGTATTTTTAGTAGAGGCGTGGTTTCACCAAGTTGGCCAGGCTGGTCTCAAACTCCTGACCTCAGGTGATCCACCTGCCTCGGCCTGCCAGAGTGCTGGGATTACAGGCGTGAGCCACCATGCCTGGCCAACATACATTAATATATAGGGTATTTCAGTGGGAGACCACATTTAAAACAGTCAATGTTTGTATTAGTCCGTTTTTCACACTGCTATAAAGATACTACCTGAGACTTAGTAATTTATAAACAAAAGAGGTTTAATTGACTCACAGTTCTGCATGGCTGGGGAAACCTCAGGAAAACTACAGTCATGGTGGAAGGTGAAGGGGAAGCAGTATCTCTTCTTCACAAGGTGGTGGCAGAGAGAGTGCAGGGGAACCTGCCATTTTTAAAAACCATCAGATCTTGTGAGAACTCCCACACTATGACAAGAACAGCATCGGGGAAACCGCCCCCGCCATGATCCAGTCACTTGGGAGGTTTCTCACCCAGTACATGGGGATTATAATTCAAGATGAGATTTGGATGGGGACACAGAGCCAAACCATATCAGTGTTCAACAACCAGCTTTCCCCTCATCATTGAAATCGGTTTCTTTTTCATCAGAACACCATGTGTAGTGGCTTGAGTTCAGTGATGATATATTTATGAGTGAAAATATAAAACATATTTGAAAACTAAAACCATACTCAGCAACATGAAATGCTCATGTAAAGAGGATGGTACTAGACTATTTGAAGCAACAGCAGATTTGTCTCTGCCTCATATTCTGTGTAGGATGTTGATTAGTTGATGCCTAAAATTATTTTTTCCTTTAGCAGAGAAGAGTTTGTATTTAAGTGAAATATGTGTGATTCTATTATATTTTTCTTTAATGTAAGCACTCTTTAGTTCTAAATTTTACTTCTGTTTTTTTTTAATGATTTTTGATTGATAAATGACCAAAATCAAAGATAAAACAATTTTCTGTTAGAATTCTCATTACTGGTTTCATTTCTAGAGACTGAATCATTGATAATTAAAATAAACTTTTTTTTTTTTTTTTTTTTTTTTTGCATGGGGGAGGTTAGAGATGGAGTCTCCCTTTTTTGCCCAGGCTAGTCTCAAACTCCTGGGCTCAAGTGATTTTCCCACCTTGGCCTCCCAGAATGTTGGAATTGTGCGTGCACTTGGACTAAAATAAACTCTTGATGGTAACATTACTCTCTGAGTTCTAGATGCTACTAGGGCCTATTCTTTGCTGTCTGGAAGGATGCTGGGACAAAATGACTCTTAAGACTTACAACATTTCTCAATTCAGACTAGCCAAGTTTCAAATGCTTAGAAGTTACCTATATCTAATAGATGTACGTATTGAATGGTACAAAACTAACCCATTAGGGTAATTAAACACTCTCAATTCAAGTATCAAGCAATTTTGAGTATCAGGTTTTTTATCGTGACTGAGTGTCACTCTGTTGCCCAGGCTGGAGTGCAGTGGCATGATCTTGGCTCACTGCTCTGCATCCCAGGCTGAAGTGATTCTTGTGCCTCAGCTTCCTGAGTGGCTGGGTTACAGGCTTGTGCCACCATGCCCGGCTAATTTTTTTTTCTTTTTGAGACAGAGTCTCACTTCTGCCCAGGCTGGAGTGCAGTGGCATGATCTCAGCTCACTGCAACCTCCCTGGCTAATTTTTGTATTTTTATTAGAGACAGGGTTTCACTGTGTTGGCCAGGCTGGTCTCAAACTCCTGGCTTCAAGTGATCCACCCACCTCAACCTCCCAAAGTATTGGGATTACAGGCATGAGCCACTGTGCTCGGCTCAGGTTTTAAATTAAAAGTTAAATTGGCCATTATGGAAATGCAGTTGAAAACCACAAGATACCACTTCACACTCACTAGGATGATTTTAATAAAAAAATGGAAATAGTGTTGGCGAGAATGTGGAGCTAGCTGGTGATTATACAACATTGTGAATACACTAAATTCCACTGAATTGTACACTTTCAAATGGTTAATTTTGTGATGTGAATTTCACTTTAATGAATAATATTAATTTAAATGAAATAAAGTTAAAAATTCATTTACTCAGTTACAATAACCATATTTAAAGTGTTGAGTAGCAATATTTGGCTAGTGGTTCGTAGGTTTGCAGTGACCTTGGCAGTGGACCAGGTAGTTCTGTGGCAACGTGGTACTCTACAGAAGAGATGGCAGCTTTAAAAAGCGTTATTATTTCTTGGTACTCAAAATATGTGTGGTAAAATTTTAAATTTTAAATATAGAAATCATTAAATGCTGACTTCTCATGGTCAGAGTCTGTAGGTGAAAATTCTTGATGCAGCCTATTTGAGGACCATGCCATTCTTAGGGTTGTTGTATGAATTAAATACTAATTTCAGAGCAATGAATATGGCTAATTGCCTCTATTCAGGGTTTCCCATAGCCCTGTGCTTTAGTTAGGCCTTACTGTACTCCTTTGAAGTTATACTGCTTTATATGTATGTTTTGCGGAACATATAGAAGCTCTTTTAGTGTAGTATCTATATCTTATTCATCTTTATCCTTCTAGCATATTATGTAATACTGGACATAGATAAGTATTTGAACTAAAGTCTTGAATCATTTCTACCTCTTTTTTAACTTAGTGTGCACCATAGAGTAAGTAAACATTTTTCATAGAGACGCTGAGGGCCATAAGGAGCCCCCAAAATATATTTTGTATGTCAAAATAGAGTAATTATTAATGGATACCATATAAGAAGAATGTGTGATTTTTTTTTTTATCAGCATCAGTAAACATATAACTGTTCTGCTAATATACTTAGTAATATCTATGATTTGCAAGATGCTTCTGGGAATATAAATATTCATAAATATACATCTCTGTGTTCAAAATGGAAAGTGTGAGTTGACATAGATATGCAGTGAAGTGTGAGGACAGCCTCAAGGGAGAATTAGCTCTTGTCCATTTGTGGCAGATTTAGAGAGACTTTATGAGGAAAGTTATGATTTTTACAAATAAAGGGCTGTGTTGTGATTTTAGCAGCTTACAATTGGTAGAGGTACCTCGATTGAAGGAAAGAGCCTGAGGCATGTGATTTTTTTAAATGCTATTATCTAGATGAACTTTTACAAGATGAACCGCCTGGGGATAACAAGATGAATATATTTGGTTTTTAACATGACACATTTATATGCTTAGAGTTTGGTAAGTCAAAAACTAAGTAAATTGGTTAAATGACTAATGGAAAAGTCATTATCCATCCAACTGTGGATATTTTCTGTTTTGTTTTGTTTTAATTACCACGATTCATTTGTTAGAAGACCTGCAAATTTTTTTCCCCCAAGATATAATTAGAAATCACACACTTATACCGCAGTTAATTTGTATATATTAATTCTGGTGCTACCTGAACATTCTGCATTCTTTGTTAAAATAGCACATCTGTCAGGTGACTCGGGTAGTTAACCTTTTGATTTCTTAACATTGCAAGTACAGAAGGCTAAAGAGGCAGTATTTAATGGATATTGTAGAGGGCGGCATATGACCAACACTGAGCATGTCTTTTCTAAGAGAGAGGCTAGATCTAATTGTTTAACAAATTAAAAAATTTATACAAACAAAATATAAATAAAAAAACAAAATAAAATAAAAAAAATTTATTTATTTTTAAAATATTAAATGTAGTCCGTATGGGTTTTCATTTGAAGTTTAAGAAATTTATAAGAAAGTAATTTACAAAGACAAGGCAGGTGTGGTGGTGCACACCTAGCTCTGTGGGGGGCCTAGGCAAATGGATGGTTTGAGCCCAGGAGTTCAGGACCAGCTTACCCAACATGGTGAAACCCCCTTTTGACAAAAAATGCAACAACAACAAAATATTAGTAGAGTGTGGTGGCGTGTGCCTATAGTACCACCACCTGGGAGGCTGAGGTGGGAGGATCACTTGAGCCTGGGAGGTTGAGGCTGCAGTGAGCCGAGATCATGCCACTGCACTTCAGCCTGGGTGATAGACTGAGACCCTGTCTCAAAAAAAACAAAACCCAAAATACAAAATACATTAAAAAGTCAATATTGAACTTTTCTCTCACCTGTTTTAATAGTGTGTAACACTAGGAAGTCTGCTGAAGGTTTTGAAGTAGCATGTAACGTAAAAAAAATACTTTAAAAATCCAGAAATACAGCTGGCTTACACCTGTAATCCCAGCACTTTGGGAGGCCAAAGCAGGCAGATCACATGAGGCCAGGAGTTCGAGACCAGCCTGGCCAATGTGGTGAAACCATAGCTCTACTAAAAATACAAAATTAGCCAGGCATGGTAGCACACACGTGTAATCCCAGCTACTCGGGAGGCTGAGGCACAAAAATCACTTGAACCCAGGAGGCAGAGGTTGCAGTGAGCGGAGATCACACCACTGCATCCCAGCCTGGGCAATAACAATACGCTGTCTCAAAAAAATAAAAATAAAATTCAGGAATCCAGTCATTGCCAGGATATCTAATTATTTGTTGCAAAAACAGCTTAGTGCTTCTGCTATAACAATGATTAATTCAAAACCAGATTTTTCTGGGAAGAAGATCCCATTATTTTTGTATTGCATATAGTGGAAATAGCAGTAAACTGGGAGGTCGTGAAACTTGTTGCATTTTCAAGCTTTGTCTAATGTATGTCATCTTACTTGGCAACTTACTTCGTAAAGTGAAAAGACTACTAGTCCCTTATGCTTCCTTTCTGGAATTAGTTCTATTGTACTACTTATTTACTTCCGAAAATACTAGATATTCACTCATTGATATTCTTCTCGTGCCCTACACAGCATGCCTGACGTTATTTCTGTTTTATTTTCTTTTAGTGTGTTGTTGGTGGCTGCAATGCCAGCTTTGCTTCTCAGGGAGGGCTAGCTCGTCATGTACCCACACACTTCAGTCAGCAGAACTCCTCAAAAGTTTCTAGCCAGCCAAAGGCCAAAGAAGAATCTCCTTCTAAAGCTGGAATGAACAAAAGGAGGAAATTAAAGAACAAAAGACGACGCTCATTACGTAAGTGTTACACTGAGAAAATCTGGTGTATTTCATGGTTTTAAAAGATATCTTAGACTTTTATGCAAATCCACTTTGAACTTCAACTCCTCTTCTATTAAAAGTAACAAACAGGTAGGATGCCTGTCTGTCAGTGAGAGTGAGAATTCAGTGGCACATGTTTGTAGTAGCTAAGGGAGTATATGTGGCCTTCAAATATAAACTGTATAAAATTAGATTTGGGGGCTACTCTGATTCTCTTCCAAAATAACATTTAAAATATAGTAACATTGGTATTTCTAGAAATATTTTAGAAAATTTGAACATGTTAAAAGTAAATATCAAGTGAAAGTTAAGTAATCTATCTACTCCAAAGTAGTGTGTGTACCTGAGCTGGGAGGTAGAGGCTGCAGTGAGCCGTGATCGCGCCACCACACTTGAACCTGGGAGACAGAGTGAGACCCTGTCTCAAAAAACCAACAACAAAAAAAACCACCACAAAGCAATGTGTGTGGATAACAAAGCAGTGTTGCTTTTTTTTTTTTTTTTTTTTTGAGATGGAGTCTCGCTCTGTCAGCCAGGCCGGAGTGCAATGGCGTGAGACAGGGTTTCACTGTGTTGGACGGGCTGGTCTCAAACTCCCGACCTCAGGTGATTGCCTGTCTCGGCCTCCCAAAATGCTGGGATTACAGGTGTGAGCCACCACACCCAGCCGATAGCAAAACAATTTGAATGTAATGGGTGTCATAGTACCTAGTCTATTGTAACATATGTATAATGTTTATGTGTTTACTTACCAAAATGTATCCTTGATGTTTAGGATAGAAAATAAGTAGATGATAAGGCTTGTAAATGCTGGGAGTAGGAACAGACTTTGCAACCTCAGAGTGTAGCTGGTCACTGCTTCTTTGTGTCAGCTGGTTAGTTTGTGGCTTTATTTTATTATTATTATTATTTTTTTGATGGGGTCTCACACTGTCGCCCAGGCTGGAGCGCAGTGGTGTGATCTCGGCTCACTGCAACCTCCGACTTCCGGGTTCAAGCAGTTCTCTGTCTCAGCCTTCCGAGCAGCTGGGATTACAGGCACCCGCCACCACGACTGGCTAATCATTATATTTTTAGTAGAGGTGGGGTTTCGCCATGTGGCCAGGCTGGTCTTGAACTCCTGACCTCTTGATCCACCCGCCTTGGCCTCCCAAAGTGCTGGGATTACAGGCATGAGCCACTGTGCTCGAGCAGCTGGTTAGTTTTAACTACATATCCTCAATGAAGAAATACCAATGGGTGAATGAGTGAATAAAGCTTTCATTGAAAGGGAGTCTACTCCAAAGGTGAATTAGAAAGAAAAAATAGATTGTACTTTACCCTTTTTCTCTGGGGATTGATTAGTATAGACAAGACTCCAGACACTAATTCCAGACTACGAAATTAGTCTGTAAAACATTGAAATCTTTTTGTTACTACAGATTTATAGCGGACAAATGAACAAACCAGAAAACTTTATATTTCGTTTTTATTTTTTTTCTACCTCATTAACTGAGAAAAGTAAACTTTCTTAAACTCTCTTAAATTTCATTCTTGCTTTTTTTTTTTTTTGATACAGGGTCTTACTCTTGCCCAGGCTGGAGTGCAGTAGTGAGATCATGGCTTACCGCAGTTTCAGACTCCTGGGCTCAAGCAATTCTCCCACCTCAGCCTCCCAAGTAGCTGGGACTACAGGCCTGAGCCACCATGCCTGGCTAGTTTTTATTTTTGGAAGAGATGGTGGGGGTCTCTCTGTGTTCTCCAGGCTGGTCTTGAACTCCTGGGCTCAAGTGATCCTTCCACTTCAGCCTCCCAAAGTGCTAGGATTACAGGCATGACCCACCATACCTGGCCTTAAGTTTCTTTTTGTTAAAGTAATCATGTTTAATTTTAATCAACGTTGGCTATTTATGGTACCATTTTCATTTTGACATCCTTTATAAAAACAGAAATTTAGCATTGCGATCATTTTACTTGTGTTAATATCAAGTAGCTTGCAGTTGCACACAGAAAATTGCTAAATATATATTATGGTACTCAAAAACCAGATGACTTTTCCACCAGTTTCACCTATCCTCATTATTATTTTAGTCTCAGTGTATACAGTAATCATTTAAATTTTCTGACTTTTCACATTATATACTTGGAAATATCTATGCAATTCGCTACTCTTTGTCTTGTAAAGAGAAGAGAGATTCAGTTAAATACCCAGTTCTTGCTTAGAAACAAAGTACTGGTGCCGGCTTAAGTATATGTTTCTTTTGACGGTGGTGTTTTTCCTCATATTAACTTAGCTAGTAAGGCAGGCTGCGTAGGGAGAGTTGGCAGAGAGAGGTGGTGGATGAAAATACCTTTTTGTCATCTGTTTTATTGAGGAGAATGGGGTTAGTCCTGAATATATTACTTTATAAACTTTAAAAAGGATCCAAGGCCTTTTCACTGTGGGGAGCCATTGTTAAGACAGTGCTGTGATTTGAATTAGCATGGTTAACAGCTGCTGCATTTCACTCTTTCTTTAAAAGCATACATATCTGTAGCAGTTAACTTTACCTAGTATCTTCCTCATGTAATTCAAGAAGACAGTTTTTACGAAACTGTGAAAAATATACCTTATAAATAGCAGCACTGCAGCAAATGTAATTTTCTGTTTGATAAAATTTGTTTTTTTTTTAACCTTTTTTTTTTTTTCTGAGACAGGGTCTCTCTCTGTCACCCAGGCTGGAATGCAGTGGTGCAATCATGACTCACTGCAGCCTCGACCTCCTGGGCTCAGGTGATTCTCCCACCTCAGCCTCCCAGGTAGCTTGGGCTACAGGCACACACCACCACACCCAACTAATTTTTGTATTTTTTTTTGGTAGAAGTGGGGTTTTGTCTTTTTGACCAGGCTGGTCTTGAGCTCTTGAGCTCAAATGGTCCACCCATCTCAGCCTCCCAAAGGGCTGGGATGACAGGTGTGAGTCACCGCACCCGGCCTGATAAAATTTATATATATACATATTTTTAATTTTTATTTATTTTTTCATTATTTTTAAAAATCTTTAAAATATATTTTTAATGCTTTTTAAATATACTTTAAAGTGGAAAGAATAGTATAATAAATACTTGTATTGCTCTTCACTTAGAGATTTACCAATATGGTACATTTGTTTTATCTTCCTACCTATATACTTTTTTGGTCATGGACCCAAAATTCTTAAGATGCATCTCCTAAGAATAAAGATATTTTTCTGCATAACCACATCATCATCATTACACCTAAGGAGAAGATAAATCATACAATATATGTAATTTTGAACCATGGGAAAATAGTTTCTATTTTTGTGGTTTCCAAAGGTGTTTTTTTTTTTTTTTTTTTTTTTTGAGACAGAGTCTCACACTTACTGCCCGGGCTGGAGTGCAGTGGTGCGATCTTGGCTCACAGCAACCTGTAATGTTAGGTTGTCAGTTTGTGATCTTTCAACCTTTTTGCTTTGTTCTGTTTTTGTTTTTTGTTTTTTTGAGACAAGGTCTCACTTTGTTGCCGAGGCTGGAGTGCAGTGGTGCAATCTTAGCTCACAGCAACCAGTGCCTCCCAGGTGCAATCAATTCCCGTGCGTCAGCTTCTTGAGTAGCTGGGACTACCGGCACACACTACCATGCCGGGCTAATTTTTGTATTTTTAGTAGAGATGGGGTTTTACCATGTTGGCCACCAAGTCTCAAACTCCTGGTATCAAGTGATCCGCCTCCTGCCTTGGCCTCCCAAAGTGCTGGGATTACAGGCATGAGCCGCTGTGTCCAGCACCAAAGGTTTTTGATTATATATCTTATTAGTTAAAAAAATACTGAGCACACAGTCTTAACGTATGTAATTTATACATTGTATACGGGTAATACTACTACTGCACATTATACAAAATTGCCAAGAAGGAATATTGAAAAAGAATGAGATGAAGAAATTAACAAGGGTATTCTATTCTTTACGTACTCTAATGGATCATGACACACACCTACTTTGGAACTACTGTTCTAGTTTGGTATTCTTGATAAATGCAGTGGAGATAGTGTGGTTAAGGTCTGAATGCATAGGCTGAAGATTGAGGACTCCTTTCATTATTGTGAATTTAAGTGATGGCTTCAATGTTTAAATTTGAGTGAGGAGTGGTTAATTTTAGTGATTTAGAGTGATGAGTTATTATTTTCCCCAAGTGTTTATTCTTAGGAAAAAGCATATATTTGGAGAGCTTGGAGAAAGTTACACATTTTTTTTCGAGTAGCCACTTATCTAACAGGAAAGTGATGTATTTCTCAGAACTCTCCCTTGCTCACCCCTGGAAATGTCAAGTACTTTTTTCTTTCTGATTTCTCATTGTCACTGCCTTCTTAGTCTTTTGGCTTCTGCTCGTTTATTACTAGTTGGTGTTTTGTTTATTTTTTCTTGAGGAAATATCTAGAGAAAAGACCTGTTTGTTTAGGTATGTTCTATTTGATGTGCCAACTGGTGAAAATATTCCCCCATAAAAGCTATGGTGGATTTGTGTAGATGTTTTGAGAACTCTTTGAATAGCCATAGTGTGGGAAATCAGCATATATGTAATTCAGAATATGCTGTACCAGGGAATCAAGCCAACTCTTTTATTAGTGAAATTGAATTTTCAATTACAGATCTTGAAAAATTACATGTATTAGTAAGCTCCACAAATGTAAAATAATCAACTTATTTTGAGCAACTTTCTTATTAGGAATAAGAATAGAATAATTTATTATAATTAGTGGGATGAAAATTGAAATTTGAAAAATGTTCTTACCAAATTAAATCTTCAGTGTATAATTTTTTTGATCACACTAAAATACTGCCTACTCTATATTTGTGAAACGTTTTATCCTTTAAAAAAAATTCCATGGTGGAACATGCCTATAGTCCTAGCTACTCAAGAGGCTGAGACAGGAGGATTACTTGAGCCCAGAAGTTAGTTTGAGGCTACAGTGAGCCATGATCACGCCACTGGACTCTAGCACCTTGGGCAGCAGAATGAGACTGTGTCTAAAAGAAAAAGAAAAAAACCAGTTATATAAGCTGATTAATACAAATGGCCTTATGATTTATAAGGCATTTTTATATGCATTTGTTTTATTTAATTACAATTGAAAATTGTTACAATAATTTACATTTTACAAATAATCCACAGTGTAATGCAGGTTAAGTAGTTTGCCCACAGTCACACACGTGATAACTGGTGGAGCTGATTGGCAGCTTTGGTGGACTGATCGGCGTCCAAAAATTTGTTTGTAATTTTATTAGATCATTGTTCAAATAGTTGTTCATAATCAAGAAAATACTTGTCAAAAACCTCAAAATAGGCTGGGAGCAGTGGCTCATGCCTGTATACCCAGCACTTTTGGAGGCCGAGGTAGGCAGATCACATGAAGCCAGGAGTTCAAGACCAGCCCAGCCAACATGGTGAAACCCCAGCTCTACTAAAAATAACAAAAATCAGCCGGGCTTGGTGGTGTGCGCCTGTAGTCCCAGCTACGCAGGAGGTTGAGGCATGAGAATTGCTTGAACCTGGGAGGCAGAGGTTGCAGTGAGCTGAGATGGCGCCACTGCACTTCAGCCTGGGTGAAGGAGTGAGACTCTGTCTCTTAAAAAAAAAAAAAAAAACCTCAAAATAATATTATTGTATTGTCAGATTTGTACAATTTGAAATTACATGGTAACACAAAATGTTCACAAAATTTATTTTGTATGTTTGGCAATGGTGAGTTTGAAATCCTGATATATAGATGGTGTTCCTCAGATCGCTGATAACAGACCTTATGCTGAGGCGAGATGTTGGAGTAAAAGATAACATTTTATGAAAAATGAAGTAGCTGAGATGTGGAATCATGAGGTTTGAGGTTAGAACTTAACTCACCAAGGGTCAGAATTAACCCACATTCACTCATTTGTTGAAATAATGCTTTTGCATATTAGTCTTCTTATCTAGAGTCCATGTTTTGTAAGCAAATAATAATCTTGAATTTAAATACTATTGATAGATATGTATTTGTTAATTGTTTCCATCTTTATTACTTATTACTGTTATGTTTTTCTAAATATTCTTTACTTTTTATGTTGACTTTTAGCACGGCCACATGATTTCTTCGATGCACAAACACTGGATGCGATAAGACATCGAGCCATATGCTTTAACCTCTCAGCTCATATAGAAAGTTTAGGGAAGGGACACAGTGTTGTTTTTCATAGTACTGTAAGTATTCTTTTATTTTTTCAAATTAAATATAAAACTTTGCAAAAAAATATTTCCACAATCATTTCTAAATCTCTCAAAATCTAAGAAAGTACAATTTAACAGAAATCACAAAACCTTTTGTTTTATCAGTATTTAAAACATTGTATTATTGGTTATAAAGCACACATTTCTTATAATTTTACATGTTTGTGATTAAACTGAATATGTTAGCCTTTAGTTTGAGTTACTTAGGAATAATGGGATGACACACCATACAGTGTTACTAGGCATTACTGGTCTCTGACATTAGCTAAACCAGGTGTCTTTTCTCACCTGGTTTCCTCATTTGCAAAATTAGAACATGAGACTCCTTTTACCTCTAAAAAGTTTCATTCACATTTCTGTGTACTGCATGGAGCCACCTCTTACCCCACGTACCCATCCAAAGTTTATGTTAAACAGAATATAAGATTATATTTGCTATCAGAGCTTCATGAAGGAAAGGATTTTAGTCTCTTTTGTTCCACTCATCTATCCCAAGTGCCTAGAATTTTGCCTGGCACATGGTAGGCACTCAGTATAGTTGTTGAATGACTATGTTGTCAACAGAGAAGAAGAAAAGTACCAAATTTGAAAAAGAATAAATACATTTTATTTTTTGGTTAATTAGGAGTTGTAATAGAGAGTTATTCTTTCTTCCATGCCTCTTCTCATTTTGTTTTTCAGTCATTTTTAAATTGGTGTAGTTTGGTGTAATTAAGTTAATAAATGTACATTGTAGATCATACTTTTGGTGATTTGAATCTCTGAAAAATATGTGTTTAATTTAGGCTGACAAAATACAGGCCGGGCGTGGTGGCTCATGCCTGTAATCCCAAAATTTTGGGAGGCCTAGGCAGGTGGATCACCTGAGGCCAGGAGTTCGAGACCAGCCTGGCCAACGTGGCAAAACCCTGTCTCTACTAAAAATACAAAAAATTACCTGGGTGTGGTAGTGGTCATCTGCAATCCCAGTTACTTGGGAGGCTGAGGCAGGAGAATTGCTTGAGCCCAGGAGTTGGAGGCTGCTGTGAGCCGAGATCGCACCACTGCACTCCGACCTAGGCAGCAAGAGCGAAACTCCATCTCAAAAAAAAAAAAAAAAAATACAGCCAGGCTTCATGGCTCACACCTATAATCCTAGTACTTTGGGAGGCCAAGGCAGGCAGATTGCTTGAACCTAGGAATTCAATACCAGCCTGGATAATATGGCAAATCCCTGTCTCTACAAAAACATGCAAAAAATTAGCCAGGCATAGTGGTGTGCACCTGTAGTCCCAGTTACCCAGGAGGCTGAGGTGGGAGGATTGGCTGAGCCCAGGAGGTCAAGGGTGCAGTGAGCTGTGATCATGGCACTGCACTGCAGCCTGGGCTACAAAGTGAGACCCTGTCTGGAAAAAAAAAAATTATATATACACTAAATTTGGGTTACTTTTATTTTTTATATTTCAATTGAAAAGTGCATGAAAATTGAAATACAAAAGGTCCTTATTGATATCAATATGTTGTTTGGTTTGAACCTCTATTTCCGTCGTCTCCTATAAAAATGAGTTTGTTTTTTTTTTTTTTTTTTTTGCATTTTCATGTTTTCTTCTGCGTGCAGTCATCCCTCTGTATTCACAGGTTCTGCGACCGTGGTTACAACCAACCACGGATTGATCATATTTGCGGGGACAAGAACCACAATAAAAATCATACAAATTAAAAAGTACAGTGTACCAACTATTTACGTAGTATCGACTTAATTATATGGGAGGTTTTGCATAGATTATATGCAACACCATGTTATTTTATATAAAGGCCTTTTAGAGCATCCTTGGATTTCACTATTCAAGGCAATTGGACATGTCCTTACTTACTTCCCAATTATATATGTTTTCCTGTTATTTGTACCTACTTTTTTTTCTTTTGAGACAGAGTCTTGCTCTGTTGCCCAGGTTGAAGTGCAGTGGCATGATCTAGGCTCACTGCAACCTCCACCCTCTAGGTTCAAGCGATCCCCCTCCCTCAGCCTCCCGAGTAGC
The DNA here is from genome assembly GCF_000001405.40 of Homo sapiens. Taxonomy (NCBI): domain Eukaryota; kingdom Metazoa; phylum Chordata; class Mammalia; order Primates; family Hominidae; genus Homo; species Homo sapiens. Next base: position 19,502,267 of record NC_000012.12, read on the forward strand.
CGGATTACAGGTGCATGCCACCAAGCCCAGCTAATTTTTGTATTTTTAGTAGAGATGGGGTTTTGCCATGTTGGCCAGGCTGGTATTGAACTCCTGACCTCAAGTGATCTGCCTGCCTTGGCCTCCCAAAGTGCTGGGATTACAGGCATGAGCCACCATGCCCGGCCTATCTTGAGTTAATTTTTTATATGGTGAGAGCTCAGTAGAGGTCCAGTTTCATTCTTTGGCATATGGTTAGCCAATTTCTCCAGTGCCATTTATTGAATTAGGGAGTCCTTTCCTCACCGTTTTTATTTTTGTCAACTTTTTTGAAGATCAGTTGGTTGTAGGTGTGCAGTTTTATTTCAGGGGCTTCTGTCCTATTTCATTGGTCTGTTTGTCTATTCTTTTTTTTTTTTTGAGATGGACTTTCGCTCTTGTTGCCCAGGCTGGAGTGCAATGGCATGATCTCGGCTCACTGCAACCTCTGCCTCCTGGGTTCAAGCGATTCTTGTGCCTCAGCCTCCCAAGTAGCTGGGATTACAGGCGTGTACCACCACGCCTGGCTAATCTTGTATTTTTAGTAGAGATGGGGTTTCTCCACGTTGGTCAGGCTGGTCTCGAACTCCCAACCTCAGGTGATCCAGCCGCTTCAGCTTCCCAGAGTGCTGGGATTAATAGGCGCGAGCCACCACGCTTGGCTGTTTGTTTATTTTTGTACCAATGCTGCACTGTTTTGGTTACTGTAGCCTTGTAGTGTAGTTTGAAGTCGGGTAAGGTGGTGTCTCTGGCTTTGTTCTTTTTGCTTAGGATTGCCTTGGCTCTTTGCGCTCCTTTTCATTCCATGTGAATTTTAGAATACTTTTTTGTAATTCTGTGAAAAAATATTGGTAGCTTGATAGGAATAGCATTGAATCTGTAAATTCCTTTGGGCGTTGTCACCATTTTAATGATACTGATTCTTCCAATCTGTGAGCATGGAATATTTTTCTATTTTTTTGTGTCATCTATGATTTCTTTTAGCAGCCTTTTGTAGTTCTCCTTGTAGAGATTGTTTACCTCCTTGGTTAGATGTATTCCTTGGTGTGTGTGTGTGTGTGTATGTGTGTGTGTGTGTTATGGTGAATGGAATTGCATTCTTGATTTGGTTGTCAGCTTGAGTGTTATTGGGGTATAGAAATGCTACTGATTTTTGTACATTGATTTTTTTTGTATCCTGAGACTTTGCTAAAGTTGTTTATCAGGTTTATGAGCTTTTTGGTGAAATCTTCAGGTTTTTCTAGGTGTAGAATCATATTGGCAGTGAAGAAAGTAAATTCGATTTCCTCTTTTCCTATTTGGATGCCTTTTATTGATCTTACCTGATTGATTGCTCTGGCTAGGACTTCCAGTACTGTGTTGAATAGGAATGGTGAGAGGAGACATCCTTGGGTTTTTTTTTTTTTAAACATTTATTTTTATAGAGACAGGATCTTGCTGTGTTGCCCAGGCTGGTTTTGAACTCTTTGCCTCAAGCAGTCCTCCTGTCCTAGCTTCCCAAAGTGTCGAGATTACAGGTGAGCCACCACGCCCTACTGATATCCTTTGTCTTTCTTTCCCTTTCCAAGACAGGGTCTTACTCTGTCATCCAGGCTGGAGTGCAGTGGCACAAACATGGCTCACTGTAGCCTCAATCTCCTGGGTTCAAGAGATCCTCCCACCTCAGTCTTCTGAGTAGCTGGGACCACAGGCATGAGCTACCACACCTGGCTAATTTATTTTTGGTAGAGGCAAGGTCTCACCATGTTGCCCAGGCTAACCTTGTCTTGTTTATGGACTAAATTTAAATGGAGGCGTGCTTGACATAATGTAGGTTATTAAATGTATCATTTAAATTAATTTATGTTTTTAGTTACTGCATAACCAATGTTGTCCCCTAACTTGAATTTTTCAGATAATGAAACTAGGAACTAAAAAGGTTGTATTGTCTTTCCTATTGTGATCTAGTATAGTTGTATATATTTTTTTGAGACGGAGTCTTGCTCTGTCGCCCAGGCTGGAGTGCAGTGGCGCGATCTCGGCTCACTGCAAGCTCCGCCTCCCAGGTTCACACCATTCTCCTGCCTCAGCCTCCCGAGTAGCTGGGAATACAGGCGCCCCCCCCACCACGCCTGGCTAATTTTTTTGTATTTTTTTTAGTAGAGACGGGATTTCACCGTGTTAGCAAGGATGCTCTCGATCTCCTGACCTTGTGATCCACCCACCTCGGCCTCCCAAAGCCCTGGGATTACAGGTGTGAGCCACCGCACCTGACTGACTAGTTGTGTACTTTTATTACATAGGGTTTATGGACCTTTACCCACACCCTATTCATGGATTCCAGGATGAGAACTCTTGTGGTATTTAGATTGATATGTGTGATACTACAGGGAAGATAGATCCTGCTTGAGCCTGGCAGGAGAGCCTGGTTAGGAGCTCACCCTTTTGTTCTTCCTTGTGTTGCCAATTTATTGACAGCAAATATACCAATTAAATGGACACTATTAAATAACTTTATTTAAAAAAAGGCAAGATAGAAAATGGAGCAATAGGTATCAGTACATTCCACTCAAGTTTTAGAATATTTAAAGGTAGAATTGTATATTTTAGAAATTAGATAAGGATATAAAGGAGAGAGTGATAGAACAAAATTTGGAGTCAAAGGCAAGAAAGTGGAAAATTAGATGCAAAGGAAAGGAGACTTTTTCTGAGATTGGAAGACACAAGAGACATGAATTTGAGGAAAGGTGTCCTTATTCTCTTTTAAATAACATAGGAAATACATTTATCTAAATAAGGATGAAAGAGTTGGCGGGTAAAATACAGGATTTGGAGACCAGAAAGAGTTAATATGGCTGCTCTGGGGACTTTGTGGGGATTCAGCAAGGTTAGAGCCTTGCTCACCGAGGCTGGTTGAAGTCCTCCTTTGAAATTTGGGAACATAGTTTTATGATATGGTAGGTCTGTAATACAGATTTTTTTTGTTTTAACAGGTCAGTAAGATGTTGTCACCATGTCCAGAGTGTGGCATCAGAGCTAGTTTGTTCATTCACTTATTAAACTGTTTTAAATATTAAGGTGATCATTAAATATTGAGCACCTACTGTGAGCCAGGTACTAATGTAATGACATAGCAGTGAACAAAACAGATTAAAACCAACCAAACAAAAAATACCATGCAGCTACTCTAATGGAAGAGACATGATAAAACAAGATAAATTAGTAAAATTGTAAAAACTTGTAATGAGGGCATAAGCCATTCAATTATTAGTGGGGTATAAGCATTTTAGCTAGAGGGAAGATGAGGTGTAACATCTTGAGGTGGGACAACAGTGAGTAGGCAGAGTAGGCAGCGTAGCTGGAGGGAACAAGGGAAGAGGAGAGAGTAGGAGTTAAGTTTGAGAGGTAATAGGCAGAACCTTGGTGGACTAAGACCTTAGCTTTTATTCTGTGTGAGATGGGAAGCCATTGAAGGGGGTTGAATAGGCATGGTCTGATTTTGTTTGTTTGTTTGTTTGTTTTGTTTTTTTGAGTCAGAGTTTCACTGTGTCACCCAGGGTGAAATGTGGTGGTATCATCATGGCTCACTGTTGCCTCAAACTCCTGGGCTCAAGCAGTCCTCTCTCCTCAGTCTCCCAGGTAGTTTGGTCTGTAGGAGCACACCACGATGCCTGGCTAATTTTTTGAGTTTTTTTTTTATTTTTTCTTGTAGAGATGACATCTTGCTATGTTGCCCAGGCTGATCTCAAACTCCTGGGCTCAAGTGATCCTCCTGGCTTTGCCTCCCAGAGTGCTGGAGTGAGCCACCGTGCCTGGCCTAGTTTTTAAAATAATATATATAATATCTTTTTGAGACAGAGCCTTGCTGTGTCACCCAGGCCGGAGTGCAGTGACACCATACTGGCTCACTGCAACCTCTGCCTCCCAGGTTCAAGTGATTCTTGTGCTGCAGCTTCCCTAGTAGCTGGGACTGTACTAAATTAGCGTCCCCATGCCCAGCTAATTTTTGTATTTTTAGTAGAGATGGGATTTCGCCATGTTGGCCAGGCTGGTCTCGAACTCCTGAACTGTAGTGATCCACTCACCTTGGCCTCCCAAAGTGCTGGGATTACAGGCATGAGCCACGGTGCCTGGCCCTTTTATTTCTCTCTTAGTAAAGAAACTTGCTGTCAATAATTTTTATTGAGGTACAATTTATATATAATAAACTGTACCCATTGAAAGTATACATTTCTGTGAGTTTTGAAAGTTGTACTCACTGAGGCAAGCACCACCACAGTTAAGATAGAATAGTTCCAGCACTCTGAAGTTTTCTGGTGTAGCTTTGTAGTACATTCCTACCTCCACCTCCTGCCCTAGAAAACCTACTGTTGTTCTTTTCCCTCATGCAGGCTTTAACATGTTCACTTTGGTTTCTGTGTTGAGAACAAATTGTAGAAAGTCAGGGGTGAGAGTAAAGGGGAATTTGTCTTTTCAGTATTTCAAGTGAGAATGATAGTGGCTTAGACTGGAATGTTTGCAGTGGAGATAAGGGTTGGATTCTGGTTATCTTTTGGAGTTACTATGGACAAGAATTATGGATGGATGAGATACTGGGTTTTAGAATAAGAGGTAACAGCAACTCCAAGGCTTTTTGGCCTGGGCAGCTCCGTGGCAGAGCCGTGGAGGCTCTCAGGCAAGCAGATTGGGGAGAGGGGAGTATCAAGAGATCTAATTTGGACATATTTAGAGGCCTATAGGGCATTCAGTGGCTCTGTCACTTAGGCTGATGGCTATAAATTGAGAGCTCAGAGGAGAGAGGTGTGGCTACAGATAGAAAATATGGGAATTTTTAGTGTATTTGTGGTATTTATAGGTATCAGACTGGATGAGATTACCTAGGAAATAAGTGTAAATAAAGAGAAAGTTAGCATAAGGATTGAAGTGTTTGGGGCTTACCAAACATTTAATGATTTAAAGGGCAATAGATTTAGTGAAATGGTGGTCTAGTAATGAGCTAGTGTCTCTACAGATAAGGGAGAAGTGATGTAAAAGGGAAGCACTAACTTGCATATGCTTTCATTAGAGCAGCTCCTTTTGATGAAATCCTTAGCTTCACCATGGGAGGAATAGCGATGGCTCCAAAAGAAGGAAAATGAAGGAACCAAAAATAGTGGTAATAATATTAGAAGTCTAGAAAGAAAATAAAAAATTTGCGCAGACTCAAAATAGTCCATGAAAATGAAAAGCTTTTGAGCTATGGAAAACATCTGAGAGGGCTTAAGAACATTGACACTTACATATATTGTAAGCTTAAAAACCTAGGAATGAGTGATGTCCACCCTTAAGTCACAGTGAGGAGGCAGAGGTACCTTAACTGAGGAAAAGTCACAAAGGTGGAATGTAATCTGAAGAATGATTTTTTTTCCTGGGGAAGGAAAGTGGAAGGAAGAGACATCCATAATGAGATAAGGTCTTCGCTGGACACAATAGAAAGGAAAGGAGCTAGGTGAGCAAATTGGAGCTCCAAAGTTCTATAACTGGGAAGGTTTTGATGGAGGCAGTACATGTTAAACAGAATCAATTCTGTTAGTAGTAAAAAACATTCAGTACTAACTGCAAATTTAAGTTACTTTGTTATCAAATTAACTTTTATAGAAAATAATACAAATAATGAAACAATTGGTTAAAAGAAGGCTATGAGGTACTATACTGTTTGGTTTGCCTAATGTGCCTTATTTCATTAATTGAAATATTTTCTTTCGAGCCTTCTCCAGAAGAGGTCAGCAAAATCCTAGTTACCAATCAGTTGGCTTGCTGTGCTTGGTTGGCTTGCATTGTTTTTGTGTATTATTTCATTGTAGAGGTATTTTGTTTTAGCAGCTCCAGACCTGTGTTTGGGCTTTTAAATTTTGTTGCCAAGTCTAGAATCAGAGTATTTATTTGACTACAGACTTTTTTTGTTGTTTTTAAAAAAACCATATTTTAAAAAATAAAAACTAGAAACGGGGATTCACCATGTTGTCCAGGCTGGCCTCGAATTCCTGGGCTCAAGCAGTCCTCCTGCCTCAGCCTCCCAAAGTGCTGGGATTATAGGTGTGAGCCACTGCGTCTGGCCTCACCATAGGTTTTTATATAGTGGAGACAGTGTTTTGTTTTTGCTTAAAGCTCTGCTTTTACTCAGTCCTAATATGTTTTCAGGATTACAAGATTATTTTGTTTGGGTGGTTGGAACTTGATTAAAAAAATTGAGATTAAGACTATTAAAACACTAAAGTTCTAATTTTGTTTATATGGAAATTTTAAGAGTTTGACGTTATTGTTTTGCCTGATTTTATTTTATTTAAGCATTATCTTAATTTTCAGAATCTGGTAATGAAAGGAAAATATATTGCTTTTCTTATACTTTTTTGGGTCTTTCTGTTAGATCGATGTTAACTTGCATAGATTCCTTAAGCTTAAACCTAGACTGATTGGCCTACCTTTCATTTAAAATAAAACCAACTACAGCAAAAAACTCCAGGAGATAAACAAATGCCTTAAGTTGTAAATTAGAGACTTTTCCTTCTCATTAGTATTTTTTCTTTACTGTTTATTCATTTAAAAATATTTCAAAGGCTTTCTTCTTCCTCTTCCGGAACGTTGTCTGCAGGCACTCAGAATGGTCCAGCATTTGACATACTGTCGTAGGCTTTTCTACAATACAGCCTCTAACAAAACAAGTCTGTCCCAGACCCTTGGTAATAGAGTTGTTTACCTTTTTACTAAGAACGTTGGGAAAGCACCAAAATCTGCATGTGGCATGTGCCCAGGCAGACATGGAGGGGTTCGTGCTGTGAGACCTAAAGTTCTTAATGAGATTGTCCAAAGCAAAGAACATGTCAGCAGGGCCTGTGGTGGTTCCATGTGTGCTAAATGTGTTTGTGACAGGATCAAACATGCTTTCCTTATTAAGGAGTAGAAAATTGGGGTGTAAGTGTTGAAGGCACAAGCACAGAGTCAGCTAAATTGAAAAATGCAACTTTTTTAAGTAATAAAAATGAAAAGACTTGAAAAAATTTCATCTACTATGAATGCTTTTGGTTGGCTAAGCTAAGCCACATACTTAGTAAAACAAATGGCATTTTCATTCTCTTAATAATAACATGGCTTTGGCTTGATTAGTTAAAGCTTCTTTAATTCACATATATTTGTGAAAATATATGATTAAAAGTGAAGTTGAGGCTGGGTGCTGTGGCTCACACCTGTAATCTCAGCACTTGGGAGGCTGAGGTAGGCAGATCAGCTGAGCTCAGGAGTTTGATACCAGCCTGGGCAAAATGGTAAAACCCCGTCTCTAGAAAAAATAAAAAAGACATACCTAGGCGTAGTGGCTGCGCCTGTGGTTCTGGCTGCTCAGGAGGCCAAGGCGGGAAGAATACTCAAGGCTAGGAGACAGAGGTTGCAGTGAGCTGAGATTATGTCACTGCACTGCCTGGGTGACAGAGTGAGACTTTGGCTTGAAAAATAAAAGTGAAATTGAGACAGGGTTGTTGAAAAACCTTTTACTTCGATAATATTAGTAACATGGCTACTTTCTTTTTTTTTTTTTTTTTTTTTTTTTTGAGATGGAGTCTCACTCACTTTGTTGCTTGGACTGGAGTGCAGTGGCATGATCTCGGCTCACTGTAGCTTCCGCTGCCCAGGTTTAAGCAATTCTCCTGCCTCAGCCTCCTGAGTAGCTGGGATTACTGACGTGCACCATCACACCTGGCTAATTTTTATATTTTTAGTAGAGATAGGGTTTCACCATGTTGGCCAGGCTGGTCACAAACTTCTAACCTCAAGTGTTCTGCCCACCTATCACTTGTTTTTATTAGTGTGTGTGTAAACCCAATGTTAAATGACTGCATAGTATTCCAGTATATTGCATTGCATTCTCCATTTATTGGAAATGTTTGGGTTAGTACCTAAGGTAGAGACTGAATTGTCTACCATATTCTACATTCCACACTCGGTGAGGGAAGGTAGGCACATAAAGCAATGGCAGTACGGTGTAATACATGCTAATGTAGAGTAAGCACTCAGCATTTTGAAGACATGGACTAGAGACTTTTCACCCATTATTGGAGTTGTGGGGGAGGGGCAACGCAGAAAAGGTGATAATGCATGTGTCCTATGTATAATTGTGTATGCGCATGGGCAGACACGGCATATGCCAGGCAGGAAAGTGTTGGGATGGTGGGAGTAAAAATTTGATGTGAATTTTATTTGACTTAACTGAGACCTATAGTTGCCTAGGTTAATTGCCTGAGTTAAAATGAGTAATCAAAAAATGAAGCGTACGTAACTTAAACATTTTTGCTGAATATGTAAATGAATGTTTAGTAATTTGTTTTATATAGAGCCAAAGTCATACTTTGGAGTCTAGATATGTTAATTGGGGTTTCTGGTCACATTTCTTGAATAAAACACATTTAAATGTGTACATAATCTAATGGTTTGCAGCTTTTATTTATTAAAGCGGAGCCAGAACTTGTAGACAATTGAAAAGCTATTAGAGATACCCTAATGAGACATGTTACAGTTTTTGTTCTCAATTTTTACTGTAATTCTGCAGTACATCGCTTTTTAAGGTAGTGACTTTTTTTTTTTTTTTTTGAGGTGGGGCCTCTGTTGCTCAGCCTGGAGTGCAGTGGCGCAGTCACAGCTCCTGGGCAGGTGATCCTGTCACCTCAGCCTCCCAAGTAGCTGGGACTACAGGCAAGCACCACCATAACCTGGCTAATTTTTTGTATTGAGACAGGATCTCCCTATGTTGCCTAGGCTGGTCTAGAACTCCTGGGCTCAGGTGATCCTCCCACCTTGGCCTCCCAAGGTACTGGTATTGCAGGCGTGAGCTACTGAGGAAATGACCTTTAGTAAGCCTTCCAAAAGCTATGAACTCCAGTTTTCATATAAATAAGTCTTTAGTTTTAGTAGAGTGGGATTTGTTTTGTTTTACTGTTGTGTGCCCAGCACTCTAAAATGGTATCTGAATATGATAACTGTTCTTCTGTAAAACATTAATGCTGCTGGTGCACAGAAAGCCCCGGAGAGTTGGTTGTTCCATTAAGTTAGAGAGCAGGACAGTATTTCTATTATGTTCCATAGTTTGGGAAACTGTTCTCAGTATGAGGCTAAAGGCGTTCAAGGCAGAAAACCATGAAATAGCTGAGGCCTAGAGAGGCCAGATCCTGAAGAGTTTTCTGCACCATACTAAGAGTGACCCTTTCCTAAGTGCTCGGGGGAACTGTTGAAGAGTTTGTCAGGAAAGTGATGCTACTGAATTTGTACTTTGGAAAAAGCCTTCTGGGCACTGAGTGGGAGGTAGCTTTGATGACTTGAGGAGGTCCAGAAGAATGGAGACCTGAACTTGGGTTTATGGCAGCTTGGATGGAGAGAATGGGTATTAATGAGTACAGTTCCTAGATCTTAGTGTTGGAATATTTGCTGTCCCCTTTTTGGGCCTGAAGTGCTCGAAGGTGTTCACTGTAACACAAACATCCTTGGCCACAGAGCTTTTACTGAATCTAGGTTTTTTTTTTTAGGATAGATTTCCAAACAATTAATTTATTTTATACTAAACACTACTATAGGTGGTATGACACAAAGGTTCACAGGATAAGAAATATTCCTGTGTCATGGAGTTTTCAGTCTTGTGGGAAAGACAAAGGTTTGAGTGCTACAAGACAGGGAAGAACTACAAAGCAGGCAGGATTACTATCTCTTCCAGGGTATGAACACTTAAGTTCTTGATTAGGGGTGAAAGTTTTTTTTTTTCTCTGAGATGGAGTCTTGCCCAGGCTGGAGTGCAGTGGCGTGATCTTGGCTCACTGCAACCGCCACCTCCTGGGTTCAAGTGATTCTCCTGCCTCAGCCTCCTGAGTAGCTGGGACTGCAGAAGCCCACCACCACTCCCGGCTAATTTTTGTGTTTTTAGTAGAGACGGGGTTTCACCATATTGGCCAAGCTGGTCTCAAACTCCTGACCTTATGATCCACCCGCCTTGGCCTCCCAAAGTGCTGGGATTACAGGCATGAGCCATCGCGCCCAGCCCCAAAAGTGTTTTTTAACAATACATGAAAATGATGTTTTACACATTGTTTTTATGATTTCTTTTCATGTCATTATCAGGTAATAGCTAAGAGAAAAGAAGATTCTGGGAAGATCAAACTTTTGCTTCATTGGATGCCTGAAGACATGTAAGTATTTGAAATATTATGCCTTAGTAATAAGTTCATGTTTTATTTTTGTTAAAATCTTACACACAAAAATTATTTATTAAATTCAAATAAAAAGAAATTACATTTTACAACGTTTTGAGGTTGTCAGGATTAAAGAGATAATCTGAAAGGTCTTACACTATCAGGTTCACGTTTTACGCTTCAAAACTTAAGCCCCCCCTCTTTTTTTTTTTGCTGGAGGCGGTGGCTCACACCTGTAATCCCAGCACTTTGGGAGGCTGGGGGAGGCCGGCAGTTCGAGACCAGCCTGGCCAACGTGGTAAAACCCTGTCTCTACTAAAAATACAAAAATTAGCCGGGTGTGGTGGTGCGCACCCATAATCCCAGCTGCTCGGGAGGCTGAGGCACGAGAGTCACTTGAACCCGGGAGGCAAAGGTTGCAGTGAGCCGAGATCATGCCACTGCATTCTAGCCTGGGTAACAGAGTGAGACTGTCTCAAAAACAAAAACAACAAAACAAACAAAAATCTTAAGCTTTTTAAATCTTGTGTGGTGTTTTTTGTTTTGTTTTTGTTTTTTTGTTTTGTTTTTTGAGATGCTCAACCTGGGCATCAGTGAGACTCTGTCTCAAAAATAAAAAAGTAGTTAGAGAAAATTTAAATCATTTTTAGCATTTTTAGTGACCTCCAAGCAGTATACAAGCAGCCATAGCTGTGCCTTTGTTTGAATCTTTTATTTAAAAAATTTGTAAATGTTCTTTAGTGCACAGTGAATGGTATTTTATAGAAAAAGCAATTGACTAATTTTCTAGCAGTGATTACATTTTTCTTTAAGTTTTAGTGCCCATTTAGAGCTTAGTTCATATATTTCATGTATTTTTTTATCTTTCTTATTAAAATTTTCTTTTTATAAAAGGAAATGAGGGTATATTATAGACATATTGGACAAAATTAATAAGCATCAAGAATAGAATAAATTTCATTGAAGGAGATTTCATTATGTGTACCTAATTCACGTATGTGGCCAATGGCTGGGCGCAGTGGTTTATGCTGGTAATCCCAGTGCTTTGTGAGGCTGAGGCAGAAAGATTGCTTTTAGGGCAGGAGTTTGAGATCAGCCTGGGCAGTATAGTGAATCCTCGTCTCTACAGGAAAACAAAAAAAGAAATTAGCTGGTTGTGATGGTGTCGCCTGTAGTCCCAGATACTCAGGAGACTGAGGCGGGAAGATTGATTGAGCCCAGGAGGTTGAAGCTGCAGTGAGCCGTGATTGTACCACTGCAACTCAAGCTTGGGTGACAGAGTGAGACCCTGTTCAAAAAAGTCAAATTCAAATGTGTATATTCCTAATGTTTTGGAAATTGATTAATCCAAATATCAAAATACATTCATTTGAATTTTCTTGTAGAGTTGAATTTCTTTGAATTCAGTGTTATGGCCGCATGCATTTTTTTTTTTTTTTTTAATGGAGTTTAGTCTTACAGGGTTTTTATTTATTTCTTTTTTTTTTTTTTAAATGGACTTTAATCTTACAGGTTTTGTTTCTGTTTTTTGTTTTTTTGGTTTTTTTTGGAGAGAGAGTCTCACTTTGACGCCCATGCTGCAGTGCAGTGGTGCACTCTTGGCTCACTGCAACCTCTGTCTCCTGGGTTCAAGCGATTCTTGTGCCTCGTTCTCCGGAGTTGATGGGAATACAGGTGTGCGCCACCATGCCCAGCTAATTTTTGTATTTTTAGTACAGATGGGGTTTCACCATGTTGGCCAGTGTGGTCTTAAACTCCTGGGCTCAAGTTATCTTCCCCCCTTGGCCTCCCAAAGTGCTGGAATTAGAGGAAGGAGCCACCGCACTGGGCCCTTTTATTTCTCTCTTAGTAAAGAAACTTGCTGTCAGATTTCCAGCAAGTCAAAATCAAGTATGAATTTCACTCATTGAGTTAAAAGCTAGCCAGTGTGTTCTGACAAATTTCTAATTTGATAAGATATTGCCACTGAAAATGTTTAATTTATTCCTCAATTCATGTTTAAAATTTAACACTGCCATTTCTTATCTGGGACTCCAAGTCCTGCTATTAAGGTTGATAGCTGAGCTTCCCTGGCTTCTGGGAAACTTGTTCACTTAACGTGGACTGATCAAAGTAGCAGAAAATGCCAGAATGTGAAGGCACATGGAAGTGTAAATCTAAAATTAATGTTACTTTATTATTGACTTGTTTTTTAATTCATAGTCTGCCTGATGTGTGGGTGAATGAAAGTGAACGACATCAGTTAAAAACTAAAGTAGTTCATTTATCAAAGCTACCCAAAGATACTGCCTTGCTTTTGGACCCAAACATATACAGGTAATTTAATTCTTGCCTTTATGTTTTACTTTTTGATTTGTAATTTTCTCTCCCCAAATTTTGGATAAATTAGGACTTAGTTTTAAGTGCTGAATTTTAATACCAAGCATATCTCATTACTTCCTGGCTTTTTTTTTTTTGGATGTGGACTCACAAAGAGTTAAAAATTGTAGAATCCAGAAAAACAGTATTTTGCTAATAAAGTTTATATGCTTGTTTAATCCCAGATTTATCTTAAGTATGTTAGATTGTAATATACATAGTAATTTGAAAATAAGTGCCCTTTAACAAGGTAATTCTTTTTATAATAACAGACTTTTGTGGACCTAAGAATATGTTGCATGAGTCTGAATACCAAAACTGTTTGATTTTTTTTAGCTTACCCTTTCTCCAAACTTTCCAAAAGAGCAATTCAAATATTATTTGTTTTTTAAGACATAGCTTAGAGTGTTCACATTTCTAGTAATTTTATGTTTTGAGCTTTTTTTAGTGTGCTGTGCTTATGAAGGTATGTGGGGGAAGGAGAAGAGACCAACATTTCTCTTTTATGTGCTGAGTCACTTTGCTAGGTGCTTTGCGTATACGTCATCCTCACGGCTGCTCTGTGAAGTAGGTTTTACTATCTCTGCTTTACAGGTTGGAAAACTGAGGCAAGAGGTTAAATAGTTAATCTGCCCAAGTTTGCACGAATGTGGTTGAACTCCATAGTGCCTGTATCCAAATGATGTACACGAGAGTGATTAAAAAAGTGGTGGAAATGCTTAAAACCAGCTTTTAAAAGGCACTCTTATTGAAAGGACTTTATATCTTTTTTCAATGAAACTTTGTAAATTTTAGCTATCATAAAGATAGCAAATTTTATATTAATTAAGTGCTTTGAAGGGTATATTCATTCCACGATGCACCTTTTTGGAGTGCTATTCACCTGGAGATTTCCTGTAATTTGAGACATTATTCTGTGAGTGAAATTCCAACATAATGGGCATTGCTATGTAGAAGCATAGTTTTCCCTATTACAATAAAAGGTTTTTTTGGCTGGGCCCAGTGGCTCATGCCTATCATCACAGCATTTTGGGAGGCTGAGGTGGGCAGGTCGCTGAAGTCTAGGAGTTCGAGACCAGCCTCGGCAACATAGTGAGACCCTGTCTCTACAAAAAATACATGGTGGCACATGCCTGTGGTCCCAGCTACTCAGGAGGCTGAGGTAGGAGGATTGCTTCAGCCTGGAAGTTCGAGGCTGCAGTGAGCCAGGATTACACCACTGCACTCCAGCCTGGCTGACAGAGCGAGAACCTGTCTCAAAAAAATTTTTTTCTTCTCAAACATCTTTTGGTGAAAGTGCTAATTAATACAATAAAACTTATTCTTTGTGGAATGAACTAGATCATCAAGGAGAAGAAGATTGAGAGTAATCTACCAAAAATTTGGGAAGGTTACGAGTTACTTCTCTATAAAGAAAAATAATTGAGTGTTGTTGATTTATTTGTACCTAATTTAGAGTTATTTCTGTTTACTCTTTGGAGAGATGAATTAAAATTAGCATCCTAAAAGAGTGATATTTTGGGAGAGCCACTCTTGCCTTTTAGAACTAGTCGTAAACCTCTCTTAGAGAGTTGTCAAAGGGCCATGAATCTTAAATTAAGATTAATCTGTGTTTCTGCCTGCATCCTGCTTCCTTCTTTCCAAGAGTCTTGCTTTCTCACCAAACCAGCTTATTTTTTTTCTGTTCTTATGCCATATAGGAAGCAATTTAGACATTTTAGTGAAAGTGACTTAAAACAAAATTTAAGCTTGAACTGATGTTCTGAAGTGCATAGGAACAATGTTGCATATACTCAAATTTATGTGTGTGATTCCACAAGTCTTGTTGATTTTATTCTTGGAAATGAGGTTGTTCTTAAGATATATTAGGTGCTTCTGTAGATTTAATTTTCCTTACCTGTATCAAAAAAGCCGTCTTGGCCCGGTGAGGTGGTTCACGCCCATTATCCCAACACTTTGGGAGGCCGAGGTGGGTGGATCACTTGAGGCCAGGAGTTTGAGACCAGCCTGGCCAACATGATGAAACCCTGTTTCAACTAAAAATGCAAAAATCAGTCGGACGTAGTGTTGCACGCCTGTAATCTCAGCTACTCTGGAGGCTGAGGCACGAGAATCACTTGAACCCAGGAGGCGGAGGTTGCAGTGAGCCGAGATCACGTCCTACACTCCAGCCTCAGCTACAGAGCAAGAGTCTGTCCAAAAAATAAAAAAGGCCATCTTAAAACTTAATTTTGACTCTAAACCTCTGTGCTTTCACTATTCTGGAAATCAGAATTGAGTGTACTGTAAAGTGGCATAGAGTCATAGAAGCCCCTACATTTGTCCTAGTGTACAATCTTTTCTTAAATTTCTGGATTTTGACTGGGAAAATTTGTGAAATTAATTAAAAGAAGAAAAACAATTATTCTTACTTGTTTTTAGGAGAAATAACTTCCTGCTTGTGCACATGTCAAAATGAAAGTATGGCAAACCTTCTGCAAAATAGATATATTCCTTCAAAATGAGTCTAACAGGAATATACAGTTGGTCCTGTGTATCCACAACTTCCACATCCATGAATTCAACCAACTGCATATCAAAGCTATTTAGGGGAAAAAGATAACAATACAACAATACAAAATAATACAAATAAGACCAATATAGTGTAACAATGATTTACATAGCATTTATATTATATTGTTATAAGTAATCTTGAGGTGATTTAAAGTATACAGAAGGATGTATGTAGGTTATTTGCAAATACTGCTGTTTCCTTGGATTTTGGAATCTGCAGGGGATTCTGGGGACCCCCCACTCCCACTGTGCATGCCGAGAGACAACTGTATTTATTTGGGATTTAAGCACTGGGGTTTGTTGTTTTTGAGACCACTTCTCTCTCTGTTTCTAGGCTCATCTTGAACTCCTGGGCTCAAGCAGTCTTTCTGCCTTGGCTTCCCAATGTGCTGGGAAGATTACAGGCATGAGCCTCTGGGACCCAGCCAAGCATCAGTTTTAAAGTATTAGTTGGCTAAAATATATGTATTACACATGGAATTCTTTCTTAGAAATGCACTAGCAGGCTACATTTAAAACTTTTATTAAACAACTATATTATGTAACTAAGTATAGATCCATATGTATAAATGTTTTGGAAATACATTTTTATTATAATCTATGATCATCACATTGCCTGTATCTTATTAATATTTTTAATGTCTCTTGAAGCACTCAAATGTGTTTGATTCAGTTGAATAAAAGGATTTCTTTTTCTCTTTTTCTAGAACAATGCCGCAGAAGAGGTTGAAGAGGTAAAAAATAAATAAATACATAAAAAGCAAACAAGCGGGGACACCTGCAGTCTTAGTCACTGACAATGGGTTTAGGGAAAGTTGCACATTAGAGTCAACCCCTTCTTTTTTTTTTTTTTTTTTTTAAATCCAGTATTTAGGATAATATTTATGCTTAGTGTAAACATTCTGTGAATGAAGTAGACTCTTCGGTGGAATATATTAATATATTACTGTATATCCACATTTTCATGGAATGGTACTGTGGGAGACTGAGCAAACACTCTTTTGGCAACTTAGTAGAACAGCTTCTTAAAGGCTTTGCATGCTTGCTGCTTTAAGCTGCTTTTTTTTTTCTTTTCTTCCCTTTAGTGATTTCAGTAGTTTATATTGGAAAGAAAAACAATTACAACATGTGCCCTTACAAATACCAAAAGCACTGTAAGGATATTTGTCTTGACAGTGTTTATTGATTTGAAGTCATATTAGGAAATATTTAGACAATGAAAATTATCAAGAGATAATTTACCTTTCAATTATGATAAATAGATGTGATTGGTTGCCATTTGTGTTCTTTTGCAGAACTCTGATAAGAAAAGTGTTCAATTTGTATTTAAGCAAACAGTGAACGACGTTTGCAATCAACTAAAAATTCGTCTATCGAATTAGGGCTGAAAATTACTGTTAAAGAGTGTTGCAGTATGTCTGGTGGCTCCCTTTTCAGGACTAGGGCTTTCTCATGGAGTACAGTATGTTAATATTTACCTATATAACTAATCTGTTAACGGTTTTTGAAAAACCTTTCAAATTATTTGAATAATCTTCATATTTTCATTTAACCTATATGACTCTAATTTTTTTTCTGAGGAAATCATTTGGTTTTTGAGTTGTTTTTTCTTAATGTAAGAAAAATTGTATTTTTTTTACAAGTATCTTCAAACTGAATCTTTTATGCACCAAAGTTGGTCTTGAAAAGGAAAATAAAATCACTTTCTTGCTTGGTAAGCAAGAAGCCATATCGATTTTTTTTAACTTACAGAAATGGAAATATGTGTAACTTGTTAGTATTGTATTAAACAAATGTTGCATAGAGATAATAGAACATTGCTTGTAAATAATTCAGCAGATTTGTAATATATTTTTATATTTTGAAATGTACTGTAGATGTTTTCTAGAGGCATGAAAGTTAAATGTATATATTATGGTAGAAATAATATTGAAGGATATTGTACTTCACTAGTGCTGCCAGAGGAATTGTTAATAAAAGCACCTTCTTTAACAATAAATGTCTTTCACAGACTTAAGGGACTATGTACTACTGTTAATATCTCTAAGAACAAAACACATTGAACATCCTTCCAGAAAGTCTTTGAGGGAGGACCTATACCCATAATAGAATTATGGCACTCATTTCTGACAGTGATCAAGAAATCAGTTATTTCCTTACTGTTGGAAGGACATTGTAAAGTATGTGGTTATATGCAGTGAAACTGCAGAAAATACTCCTGGTTGAGGAGTTTTCACTTTACTACAGTGATATAAAAACCAGCAGTTTTTACACTAAATTTTTTAAAGAAATATTAGACAAAAATATAGAATTAAAACCTTTGGTTCCAAAATGGGAAAGGTTCCACGATACATAAATCATTTCTCATTTGCTTTAAAAAATTTAAAAGTGTAAAAATTATGAGAGACTTTATTCGTTAACAATGGGGGTAAAGAGCTATATACATGAAAATGAGTCTTATAAAATTAAGTGAAGTGCAAATAAAAGCACTGCTACTATAAGACATTCTGGAATGGTTGTTTAATAAGGGTATTATCCATTTGATCTATAGCAATGTGATTTTATTTTTAAAAAGAAAAGCAGTGTGTTTTCTTTTTTTGTTGTTTTCTTTTGCTTAAGCACTTCATCAATTGCTTTATTCTGTATCTGCGAAGTAATCTGCAATCTCTTTTGTTCTTTTTAAAATTTGATTTGTTATAAAATTGCCAAATAGAAGTGTTTCAGATACATAGTTTGTACCTGTATTTTTATTTTATTGCCTCATGTTCTTGTAAGTCATTCTTAATTGACCAATGATTGTAGACCTTGCTTGAGTATTTTTTCTAATAAAACAAAGCAAATCACATTTAGCTTCAAATTGTAACAATTCAATTGAATTTTAAAATGACACCTGAAAAGATACATCTGATATTTTCTATATAGAGCACAGTAAATAAGTTTTTTCATTGTGTAGAAATACTTAGATGTCAAAACCAGATTTCGTGATCCTTGATTAACTTCTGAGTACTCAATCAATCATAATCCTTTTGCTGCTTATCTGATGTTGGTTTGATACTGTTAACACACCAAAAAGAATATGGAATTGAAATGAGCTAGCTTTATAACTTGTATGTATACATATATACACATAACATCCAATTATGACTGGGTAATAAGTGTGAAAATTTTAATTTGTGGTTTTCATTTATTAATGTCTGCCCATCTGTATTGTTGCTCCTACCTTCAAATATGACACCTGAAATAATAAGTCTGTTGTCCAGAATTTATGTATTGTTCAGCATCAAGCAAACTACAGCTCACAAGCATACCCATTTATATGTTGTCTATGCCTGCTTTCTCCTGCAGTGGCAGAATTGAGTGGTGAGACCTTAGGTCCTGCAAGCCCCCAATTTTTACTACAGGTTGGCAATCCCTAATCCAAAAATCTGACATAAAAAATGCTCCAAAGTTCAAAACTTTCTGAGTGCTGACATCATGCTGCAAGTGGAAAATTCCACGCCTGACCTCATGTGACTGGTCATAGTCAAAACAATTAAGACTTTGTTTCATGCACAAAATTATTAAAACTGTTGTATAAAATTACCTTCAGTCTATGTGTATAAGGTGTTTGTGAGATATAAATGAACTTTATGTTTAGTCTTGGATCGCATTTCTGAGTCTCATTATGTATATGCAGATACTCAAAAATCTGAAAAAAATCAAAAATCTGAAATACTTCTGGTCCCAAGCATTTCGGATAAGGGATACTCAGCCTGTCTCTGGTCCTTTAAGAAAAAGTTTTCGATTCCTTTGTCTAGTTGACAAAAAGTTTGGAAACATAAACTTAGACCACACAACTTGCATTTTAATATGACAATGTTGATCTTGGTAATAAGCCAGTACATTAAATTTTAGTGAAAGCTGTTTCATGTATTTTACAGTAAATACTGCCATATTAGGTACCTACAACAAATGGTGGTTTTTGGAAACTTTTACGGTGGGTTTTTAAAGTTATTAATAGTCCATCATTTCATCATTTGTGTTTCTGTATTTATTTTGCTAAGAACTAAATAAGATTTTGTACATCAGATTGTGTTTGAACCGTAAGGCACATCTGCTTTATCTAAAAGAATCTTAAGGTGGAAATAGTGTAAAATTTAAAATTTTTTATATTTCTAATAAACTTTTTATATATAAATGTTACCTAAAGTGGACACATGTTACTTCTGAATTTCACATGAAAGGAAATTAAAGATGGACAATAATTATCTCTCAATATTTTAAGATTTGTTTTACTAATTGAAAACAGTATGTCAGTAAATCTTTGGCCTTAGTGCTTTTTTCCCCCTTTTACACATTAATAAAATGTTTTAAATATGGTAATACTCTTAAAACGGTAGAATTTGCCACAGTTGTTTAAAGCATTTTTATTTTTTCTTTGAATTCTTAATTCATGGTGAACAGATGTTGGGTTCTTAAAATATAAAAATGAGAAAATATGTATTAAAAATACTTGATAGAGGGTTTTCTCTTTAATCACAACTTAAAAAAAGAAACCTTTAATACCTCTGCATAAGTTCTCTGAAAGAACTTAAATTCTTAGTTTATATGAAAACTGATATGTATGTCTGTGTAACAAAGCCTGTTGGGTACAGGTCTACAAGGAGATACTTTGTTTCTAAAAAAGGAGTTAAATCGTGTCACCTGAATTTTTTTTTTTTGAGATAAGTGGACATTTTGGGGATTTTGGTTAAAACATATTTCTCTATTCTAAAAATTACAGAATATGTATTCATAAAAGGGAAGAAATTGTTAGAAAATTTCCTGTGTACGTAGTTTGTTTTTAAATTAAAGAATCTTGTGACCTGGTGTAGGACATTTTGCATTTGTAACACTGCAGTTTTAATATATTTGCTGTTTTTTTTAAAATTAGAATATGTTTAAAATTTAATGGTTATGAGGCTCTGTAGCCTTAAAATGTTTTATAGTAGTAAAATGTATTATTTTCATCTTAAAAAAAACTAAATATTTACATTGCATAATTTATTTATTGAATCAAGTTTACGTGGTCTAACACATGGTTCTGTTAATCTGAAAATTGAAAAGGATTTGTAAGCAGGTTAGAGCAGGAATTGCAACCCAGATTTTTTTTTTTCTAGGTCAGAATTCTTTTCACTATACCAAACTGCTGCTCACAGTGTGAGAACATGAATGTACATTGTGATACCACTATAAAGTTGTGTCCAGTGTTTCTGCCACAGCCAGTCTAGCATGATCATTCATGGCACAAAATAGTCTGTAAAATTTGTTAAATGAGTATTATAGGTGAGTAATTTTTACAGTAAAATACTTTGGAGAATTAACAGTGATAAAACAGTAGTAGGGTTGAAGTGACCTGGCTTAAGCCACATTCTGTGATAGTGTCAGGTACCTTTTCATAAGAACCTTATATACGGATATAGTGGTTCATGCTTGTAATCCCAACTACTTGGGAGGGTAAGAAGGGAGGATTGCTTGAGGCCAAGAGTTCCAGGCTACAGTGAGCTATGATTGGACCACTGCATTCCAGTCTGGGTGACACAGCGAGACCCCACCTCTTTATTTTTCGCTACGGAGTCTTGCTCTCTTGCTGAGGCTGAAGTGCAGTGGTGTGATCTCAGCTCACTGCACCCTCTGCTTCCGGCTTCAAGTGGTTCTTGTGGCTCAGCCTCCCACGTAGCTGGGACTACAGGTGCGTGCCACCATGCCCAGCTAATTTTTGTATTTTTTAGTAGGGACGGGGTTTTGCCATGTTGGCCAGCCTGGGCTTGAAATCCTTACCGCAGGTGATTCTCCCACCTCTGCCTCCCAAAGTGCTGGCATTACAGGCATGAGCCACTGTGCCTGGCCCCCGCCTCTTTAAACAACAACAAAAGTTCTAATAAAAGGAACTGTGCTTCAGTTTGTTTAGACATTCTTAGTGTAAAGGGTTATTGATGTTATGTTTTTACATATTGGATGTAATATTTTGGCTTACTTGATTTTATTTAAAAATGTTCCTTTTTGTCCTGTTTTATGATGTAAATAACTTTTTTTTTTTTTTTTTTTTTTGAGACAGATTCTTACTCTGTCGCCCAGGCTGTAGTGCAGTGGCGGGATTGTAGCTCGCTGCAGCTTCAAAACGCCTTGGGCTCAAGTGACCCTGTCGCGTTGGCCTCCCGAGTAGCTAGGCCTCCAGGCATGCACCACCACGCTGGCTTTTTTAATATATTGCCCAGGCTGGTCTTCAACTCATGGTATTACAGGTGTGAGCCGAGCCACTGCACCTGGCCCAACATTTTTTTTTTAAAAAACACTATTTTGAAGGAGCTATGCAGTATTTGGTTTCCTGTTTTTTGAGATGGAATCTCTCTCTCTTGCTCAGGCTGGGGTGCAATGGCACAATCGCTGCTCACTGCAGCTGCTGCCTCCCGGGTTCAAGCGATTGTCTTGCCTCAGCCTCCTGAGTAGCTGGGATTACAGACACACACCACCACGCCCGGCTAATTTTTGTATTTTTAGTAGAGACTGTTTCACCATGTTGGCCAGGCTGGTCTGGAACTCCTGACCTTGTGATCCATCCACCTCAGCCTCCCAAAGTGCTGGGATTACAGGCATGAGCCACCATGCCTGGCCAGTTTCTTTCTCCCTTCCTCCATCTCTCCCTCCCTCCCTCCCTTCCCTCCCTCCCTCCCTCCCTCCCTCGTTCCGTCTTTCTCTCTCTCCTTCCTTCCTTTTTCTTTCTCTCTTTCTTCCTTTTTCTCTCTCTTTCTCTCTCTCTTCTCTCTCTCTTTTTTTTTTTTTAAACAGAGTTTCACTCTTTTGACCAGGCTGGAGTGCAGTGGCACAATCTTGGCTCACTGCAACCTCCACTTCCCAGGTTCAAGCAATTCTCTTGCCTCTGCCTCCGAGTAGCTGGGATTACAGGCACGTGCTACCATGCCGGGCTGATTTTTGTATTTTTAGTAGAGACTGGGTTTCGCCAGGATGGTCTTGAACACCTGACCTCAGGTGGTTTGCGCCCCTCCGCCTCCCAAAGTGCTGGGATTACAGGTGTGAGCCACCGTGCTCGGCCTGGTTTCTTTATTTGAATGTTTTGTCTTGATCCCAGAGCGTTGCTGCTTTCAGAGGACCTTTTTTCCTCTTCAGTGTTCAGATGCTTCTGCTAAAGAATACCTATGTTTAACTAGTCTTTATTATGAAATTGCAGTGAACTTACGTATTTCTGTTGAAAACTGAATTTATATTTGCATGCCTAATGCATCTTGTGTGTACATAAGATTATTATATTTTGGGGGCCTTTTTTGGTTAGAAAAACTATTTTTAGAGGAAGGTGTGTAGCTAGGAAATAGTAATAGATTGTAAAACTGTGATAGCTTACTCTTGAGAGCTGGGCTCAGTGCAAGTAATTTAGTATAGACATCATCGAGCATTGCAGGAGAATGGGTCATAAGGTTCCCAGCTTGTGTCTGCTTGAATTTCATAAATTAAAAGAGAGCCTAGTTATTTTTTTAATGCCCGTAAAGTAAATGTCAGTCTTTGTAGAAGTTAGCTTATTTAAATTTCAGACTTTTGAATTCTTACGTGACCTCCACAAATCTGAAAGATCTGATTTCTTTTTAAATGTAATTTCAGAAGTCAGCAGTTTTTTCAGAATTTGTCCTAAGGATCAATAGTATTTTTTAAAGTAACTTTTTATATTAAGTTATAATGACCAAATTGAAGAAATCAATTATAGAAAGTAGGAACAAAATGGAAGTCTTTACTTTCAGTTAACCACACCTTCCTGGTCTCCTGATTAATATTTTTCTTTTGTGCTTTTTAAAATTGTTTAACACTCAGTTCTATGGTTTGGCCTTTTTTTTTCTTTTCTTTCTTTTTTGTTTTTTTTTGAGACATTCTTGCTCTGTCGCCTAGTCTGACTCGGCTGTGGCTTGATCTCGGCTCACTGTACTCTCCGCCTCCTGGGTTCACAAAATTCTCATACCTCAGCCTCCCGAGTAGCTGGGACTACAGGCACGGCTTACTCAGGGCACTCAAATAGATCTTCCTTTCCTTTCCCTTTCCCTCTTTCCCTTTCCCTTTCCTTTTCCTTTTCCCTTCCCCTCCTTTCCTTTCCTTTTTTTTTTTTTTTTTTAAAAAAGATACTGTCACCGAGGCTGGAGTGCAGTGGCATGAATATGACTCATTGCAACCTCCACTTCCCTCATTTAAGTGATTCTCCTGCCTCAGCCTCCTGTGCCTTAGCTGGGATTATGGGCATGTGTCACCATGCCCAGCTAATTTTTGTATTTTTGGTAGAGATGAAGTTTCACCATGTTGCCAGGCTGGACTTGAACTCCTGACTTCAGATGATCCGCCCGCCTTGGCCTCCTGAAGTGCTGGGATTATAGGGGTGAGCCACCACGCCTGGCCTGAAAATATACTTTGAATGATATTTGTGTAGTTTAATTTCCTAGAAGACACTGTTAACTGACTTAAAGAATTTTGTTCATTATAAGTTGTGAGTTGCATTATAAGTTTTGGCATTGCCAAAATGTTTTCCTTAAAAGGTGGTACCAACATAAACTTCCATCGACTGAGTGTGAGTAAATATTGTTGCTCACACTGTGTTACTATTACTCTAGTCTAAGGTGGACAAATGACATAAGTATCTTTCAGTCCATTTAGGTTGTACAGTTAGATGAGTTTTGACAGATGTCTATGTAATCACCAAACAAGATACAGAACATTTCCATCACCTTGCATAGGTTCCCCCATGCTTCCTTCCTTTGATCCTTAGCCCCAGGCAACCACTGATCTACTGTGTGGCACTAGAGATTGGTTGCATTTTCTAGAATTTTATATAAATGGAATAACAACAGTGTATACTCTTGTGTATGTTTTCCAGCATAAATGATTTTGAAATGCATCACATACTGTAAAAAATATTTGCATTTTTTACTTCTCCAGTGATATTGAACATATTTTTTCCTGTAGCTTTTAGTTATTTATACTTGAAGTAGATACTGGAGACACTAAAAATTATCTAAACTCTTCTGACTTCAGATTGCCCTTTAAGATTTACTAAATAAATAAAAAAGACTTCTTGTTCTGGAGTATGGCTGGGCAGCATTAAAGACATTAAGGCAGCTTAAAAATGAATTTTTGTCTGTTTAATCAGTTTCAGTTTATTATCAGTTTTTAAGGTATTTATGTGGCTTATGATGGGGGTCTTTATGTTTCTTTGTGCTGGAGATGTTAAAACAAGTATAATTTGTTACTGTTATACTAGCAATGTTATCAAGTCAACTTTTAGCCTACAAAATAAAAATCCTATTAATAGAGAGCAAAATCTTAGAGGACTTGGAAATACATTTAAAAACTTTCCAGAAAGATAATCCTCAGACTACCCAAATGGTATAAATTGAAATATACATAGAAAAATGTACCCATTCAATATCAAGCATCCGCAAATTGCAAGGCACTGTTCTAGATGCTACAGATTCAGCAGTGGAGAAAATAAACATTCTTGATCTCACGGACCTTAGAATTGTGTGTATGAGAGATGGCAGACAATATGCAAGTGAGTGAAACGTATGGTGTAAATGCTATGAAGAAAAAATGGGGACAGGGATAGGGGAAGTGAATTTGTGATAGAATTTTAAGTAGGGTGCTTGGTAAGGCCTTACTGAGCAAAGCCCTGAAGGAGCTGAGTGAGAATACATGCAGGTATCTGAGAGTAGAGAACCCCCAGCTAAGAGAACAGCAACTATAAAGCCCCTTGAAGCAAGAGCATTTATTAAAATGCTTTATGCTTGCTGTTCTTTTATACTGTCCCAAGCGTGATTACAGGTGTTGGAGGTGCTGCACTGAACAAAACGTTAAAATACAATTCCACCTTTTTGGAGCTTAACATTTCATCATGCTTGGTGTGTTTGTAAAGCTGAGGTTGATGTGAAGAGACTGAGGAGGTGGAAAGCCTTAGGAGAGTTTTGAGGAGAGAAGGGTTATGATCTGAACTATGTCTTAAAAGGATCACTGATTACTCTGAAGAATTAACTAATAATGGGAGCAAAGGCAGAAACAGGAAGAGCAATAAAAAGTCTCTTTTTTTTAAGTCATTGATTTTTTAATCAGTGGCTTGAACCAGAATGGATGGTGTTAAATAATGGTTGGTTTTGCTGTGAACCTAAAACTGCTGTAAAAAAAAAAAGCGATTTGGATTTGGATTTTCATTTGAAGGTAGATTTGTTGATAGCATGGTTATAGTATGAGAGAGTCAGGGTGGACTGCAGCGTTTATGGCTTAAACTACTGGTAGGATGGAACTGCTGTGAGATAGTGATAGCAAGAAGGACTGCAGTGTGGAGCAGGTTTGGGGAGGGATGAGTTTCAGAATTAAGCTTTGAATGTTTTGTGATTGGGATGCTTATTAGATATCCAAGTTGGGGGGGTATCATGAGTCAGAGATGTATAATGGAAATGATGTCAGGAAGGCTGAGGATGTAATTTATATATATTTTTGAAATCTGTGGTAAGTCATTACACATGCATAAAGGTAAGTTTATCATTTCACCTCCAGTGAACAGTTCTAACTGCTTGGGATCAGCTTGAACAAGAGCAGGACGCTGGACACTTGAGTTGCAAGCAGTACGGATTTAACCTAAGACCTAGTAGAAATATACTTCTGATAAGCTTATCAGCTGCCAAGTGGTGGTCAGGAATGATTGGTCCATGGTTCAAGTTGCTGGTGATTAAAAAAAAAAAAATTAGAAACAGAAAGAAAACTGCTTAGCTTTTATTTCCTGTGTACTGAATACCAATTTAAATCAGCCATCCTGCCAGGCGCAGTGGCTCATGCCTGTAATCCCAACACTTTGGGAGGCTGAGATGGGTGGATTACTTGAGGTCAGGCGTTCGAGACCAGCCTGGCCAACATGGTGAAACCGCGTCTCTACTAAAAAATAAAAAAATTAGGCTGGGCGCGGTGGCTCACGCCTATAATCCCAGCACTTTGAGAGGCTGAGGCAGGGGGATCCGCACTTTGAGTGGTTTACAGGCACGCCAGGCATGGTGGTATTTCTATTATTTTTTTGAGACAGAATCTCACTCTGTCGCCCAGGCTAGAGTGCAGTGGCGCGATTTCAGCTCACTGCAACCTCCGCTTCCCGGGTTCAAATGATTCTCCTGCCTCAGGCTCCTGAGTAGCTGGGATTACAGGCATGCGCCACCATGCTCGGCTAATTTTGTATTTTTAGTAGAGACAGGGTTTCTCCATGTTGGTCAGGCTGGTCTCCTACTCCCCATCTCAGGTGATTGGTCTGCCTTGGCCTCCCAAAGTGCTGGGATTACAGGCATGAGCCACTGTACCCGGCTAGCAGGAAGTGATTTTTCAAAAGATGTAGGAAGAATAAGGTGAAATTTGCAAGAGGAAACAGGAAATGTAAAAAAATATAAAAAGTTTACCACAATTTTATGAATTTTTAGTACCCAGCATATACTTGGTACTTGGGATATAAATGAGTAAGGTGTTTTGTTTACACTTTCCAGATGTGGGCACAGGAAGAGCATAGTGACATTAGCGTAATTTCTATACAGTGTGAAGTGCCCTGTTGGAGGTACGCCTGGAGTAATGTGGAAGCACAGAGAGCACTTGACCCACCTCTAGAGCATTCAGGCAGGCTCACCTCAGAGGTTACCTTTGAAGTAATACCTGGGACTTAGTGATGGGGAATGGAGGGGAAGATGGAGGGGTTTAAGACAGGGATTTCTGTGACTGTAGAGTGGAACAAGAGCTTTGTGTCTAGGTGACGGCCAGGAGTGGTGGGAGCTAAGTCTGAAGAGGTAGAGAGGACCAGTTGTTGAGGGCCTTGTGTTCCAAATAAGCTAGAGCTTGGGCTTTATGTGAAAGATTTACTGGTAAGATAACTGTTTTGATGTACCTACGTGACTGGTGATGGGGAAACTAGCCCAAAGGCTGCTGTTCTGCCCTGCTCCCCAGTGAGGGAAAAACATAAAATAAATCACTTTTTGAAAACATTCAAGACTTACTGAAGAGTAAGATTTGAAAATATTAGAATTCATTACTGGGGAAATTAATTTTTTTTAACAGTTCTTAATAAAATATGTTACCTATTAAATCAGTTCCAACTTCCTTGGGTATCGTGGGGGGTACCTGAACTTACTCATGAAGGTGGTGGCCTTTCTGGCTATGTATTGGTCTTATAGTAGCCATATATGTTTTCTTTCTATGTGGGATGTTAAAGTACTAGAATAGCAGTGCTAGAATAAATTTCCCATTTTATCTTTGTGAGAAGTAATAAAACACCAAAAACATCCTTAAAACACTAAAATACACAAAAATATGGTATGCCATTATGGTATGTCATATTCAAACTGGTAGAGAAGTCCAGCCTACACCTATTTCCAAATTGGGGGAAAGTAGGCTCATTAACATGGGACTGAGCCAACAATTATTTTTTTCCTCCAGCATGATGGATGGCTTATTTTGTGACATTGTGTAGATTGTATAGGAACTTAGCAACATAGGAGATATTTCCTGAAATAGAGAATGACATTTGGCATAGAGAGTTAGTTGATATTTACTGTTTATAACGAAATTTGAACATTAGACATGTATTCCAAGCAGATTGTACAAACAGGAAATAATTGATTTTTTTTTTTTTTGCCAGAAAAGGGAAAAAGTGAAAGTACAGAAATGAATCATATAACAAATATGTGTGTACCAGGCACTTCCTGTGGCTGGGAATATGGACTAGCAGGCCTGCATTGGATACTTGATTATGAAGATTAGAGGTTGAGATACTTCTAGAACGCTGTTTCTGGCGTTGTTTCATCCATCTCTTGGAAAAAATATAAAACTATTAGTTTGGTATCTTACCTTTTAATCTTCTCCCACCCGTAATTCAAAAAGGTTTCATGATACAGCAAGATAACAATTTAAAAAATGAATAGAAATAAGAGAGGAAAAATTTTAAAGTAAGGCGCAGCTGGAGTGATCTCTACGAAATGCATGCTCTTAAATTTTATATGCTTATCAGAGGTTGGCCATAAACTTGCTAGCTTTGAACTAATTTATGAAGGAGTGCATGAGGATGTTGGAAGATTCATAGCATTTATAACTGGGTAGTAAGCATTTAGAATTAGCTGGACAGTGGGCTAGGGGAATTTGTTTAGCCTTCACATTTAGTCCTTACAGTTAATGTATGAAATGTGGGTTTTACTATTTTTGTTTTACAAATGAGATACTTGGGTAACTTGTCCAAGACATACAGTCAGCAACAGTTCTGCTTGACTATAAATCCAGAAATCTTACTAATGTGCCACTTTGATAAATAGTTAATTGAATGTATTTTGCAAGGCTGTGTTAAAAGAATAAGCATCTTTGAAAGTATATTAATCAGTGTCATACACATTCTAACCAAGCTTTGCTCATCTCTCTGCATGCTTTGAAACTATTTCCAGTTGTTATGCAACTGATTGCCTAGGGATTGAAATGACTTTTAGTTGATGACAAACAAGATAAATATGTTGCAAAATCATTAAAAATACTTCACCTTCACTGATTCCTTCTCTACTGCTCTTTTTTCCTTTATATAGACCTGAGTTTCTCACCTGTATCATTATCCTTCTCTCTGAGAAACTTCTTTTAATATTTGTTGCAAGGCAAGACCACCGGCAACGCATTCCCTCAAATTTTGTTTGAGAAGGTCTTTATTTCTCCCTAATTTTTGAAGGATAATTTCACAGGATATAGGATTCTAGATTGGTGGGGGGTTTTTTTCCCCCTCTCTCAACGCTTTAAGCATCTCACTCTCTTCTTGCTTACATGTTTTCTGAAAAGGATGATGTTATTCTTATCCTTGGTGCTCTGTAGATAAGGTGAGTTTTTTCCTCTAGCTCTTTCCAAGATTTTTCTTTATCTTTGATTTTCTGCAGTTTGAATATGAAATGCCTACTTGCAAGTTTTTTGCATTTATCCTGCTTGGTGTTCTCTGAGCTTCCTAGATTTGTGGTTTGTTGTCTGATATTAATTTTAGGAAATTATCAGTTATTATTGCTTCATATATTTCCTTTGTTCTTCTGTCTCTCCTTGTATTCCCATTACATGTATTTTACACATTTTTAATTAGGTTGGTGCAAAAGTAATTGTGGTTTTTGCCATTACTTTGAATGCCACTTTGCCATTACTTTGAATCCCACTTCTTGG
Organism: Homo sapiens; assembly: GCF_000001405.40. NCBI lineage: Eukaryota > Metazoa > Chordata > Mammalia > Primates > Hominidae > Homo > Homo sapiens. The sequence continues at coordinate 19,531,588 of NC_000012.12, forward strand.
ATATTCTGTTTCCTTTTCCTTTTCCCTTTTCCATTCTCCCCCTGCCCCTGCCCCACTTTCTTTTTCTTTTCAGTTTTGGAAGTTTCTTTTGACATATCCTCAAGTTCAGAGATTTTTTCCTCACCTGTGTCCAGTCTCCTAATGAACCCATGAAAAGCATTCTTTATTTCTATTACAGTGTTTTTTGCTTTCTAGCATTTTTTTATTCTTTCTTAGAATTTCCATTTTTCTGCTTATATTACCCATCTGTTCTTGCACATTGTTTACTTTTTTCATAAGAGCCCTTAGCATATTAATTATAATTATTTTAAATTCTTATCTGATAATTCCAATGTCTCTGCTATATCTGAGTCTGTGTTTCTTAAAAAATTGTGGTTTTTGGCTGGATGTGGTGGCTCACACCTGTAGTTCCAGCACTTTGGGAGGCCGAGGCAGGTGGATCACCTGAGGTCAGGAGTTCAAGACCAGCCTGACCAACGTGGTGAAACCTTGTTTCTACAAAAATGCAAAAATTAGGCATGATGGCGGGTGCCTGTAATCCCAGCTACTTGGGAGACTGAGGTGGGAGAATTGTTTGAACCCAGGAGGCAGAGGTTGCAGTGAGCCGAGATCCCGCCATTGCACTCCAGCCTGGGCAACAGAGCGACGCTCTGCCTTAAAACAAAACAAAACAACAAACAAAAAACTGGTTTTTGCCTTTTGGTTTGCCTTGTACTTTTTTGTTGAAAGGTGGACATTTGTTGAAAGGTGGTCATAAATAGGCCCTTAATAAAGTGGTGGTGAAGTGTTGGGGATGAGGAAGCATTCTATAGTCCTACAATTATGTCTCAGTCTTTTAGTGAACTTGTGCCCCTGGGGCTGTGACCTTTACAAGTGCTTTTCAGTTTTTCCCCCTCTTTAATTGGGATAGGATGACTAGAGGGGGCTGTGGTTTAGATGGCTGAGTTTCAGTGTTCCCATCTATAGGACCTTTCCCAAATTGGTTGGTCTCTGATAAAACGTTAGTAAGTTAAGCTCTGGTTAAATAGTTTCCCTTAAAGAATTTTTTTTCTTTGAGGGCAGGCCTTATTAAGAACAGAATGCTCCGGGTATATTCCACATGGCTGGTTTTCTCATCCCCCTGCTGAAAATGTGTGGGTTTTTTTTTCTGTCTTCACTGTGAGAACCTGGTAGAAGTTCTGGAGATGAACTCACAAAAGTATGTGGGCAGAGGGGGATGGTAGGCACTAAGACTGGGCCCTTTGGATTTTTAAACTTTTAGACTTGTCCACATTGAGCCTCCAGCAATTTGACAGATTTAAGAAGAGTTGTTGCTGGACGTGGTGGTTCTCGCCTGTAATCCCAGCACTTTGAGAGGCAGAGGTGGGTGGGTTGCTTGAGTTCATGAGTTCCAGAGCAGCCTGGGCAACATGGCAAAACCCTGTGTCTACAAAAAAAAATACAAGAATTAGTCAGGTGTGGTGGCATGTGCCTGTAGTCTCAACTACTCAGAAGGCTGAGGTGGGAGGATGGCTTGAGCCTGGGAGATAGAGCTTGCAGTAAGCCAAGATTGTGCCACTGTACTCCAGCCTGGACAATAGAGCCAGGCCTTGTCTCAAAAAACACAAAAAGAGTTCTTGATTTTCGGCTCAGTTTTTTACTTGCTGGGATGGATTGATGACTTCCAAGCTCCTTACATGCTGGACTGGGAGCTGGAAGTTCACACCATTAGAAATAAATAGTAGTTTGTTAACATCCATTGCCGTGGCTTCACTAGTGTGAATGAGAGTTAAGCAGATACAAGGATCAGGGATGTATTCTCAGACTGTATGTTATGCAATTTATATCAGCTTAGATTAAGCATTCTCAGGCAAAATTAAAGTACAGTATTTCTGTTTTTATGATTAATTGTTTTCCACTCTGTTTAAAATGCAGGAACTCGAAGAAGAAGGAGGAATCAAATGAGGAAAAAGGAGAAATCAGTTATCTTAGGCAGTTTGAGCTGCTAACAAAGTAGCATAGACTGGGTGGCTTATAAACAACAGAAATGTATTTTCAGTTCTGTAGATTGAAACTCTGAGATCAGGGTGTCAGTATACCCAGGTTCCGGAGAATGTCCTCTTTCAGGCTGTCTTGAGACTGCTGTCTTCTTGTAGTCTCACATTCTAAAAAGCTTATGGGAGGAGAGCTCTCTGGGGGTGTCTTTCATGACACTAATCCTATTCATGAGGGCTTTACCCTCATGATGCCTCCCAAAGGCCCCAGGAGGGCCTTACTATCTTATTACTATTACATTGTGGGTTAGGATTTCAACATGGCTTTTGGGGAACTCAAACAGTCAATATCATCCCACCCCTCCTCCACAATTCATGTTCTTGCGTGCAAAATACATTAATTCCGCCCAGCAACCTCAAATGTCTTAACTCATTCCAGCATCAATTCTAAACTCTAAAATCCAAAGTCTTGTCTAAATTAGATGGTAATCAGGTGGTAATGTCGGAGCAGCGACCTGAAGAGCATGAGGGAGCTAGGCCTGGGCTACGTGGCAGAGTGTGTTCCAGGCAGGTGGTGCGAGCGCAGAGGCCTGAAGCGTGGGGACGGGGGGCAGGGGCGGTGGCTGGTGGTGTGGCTGGAACACAGCCAGCGAGGCACGACTAGGGGCACACCATGAAGGGCAGGGGTTGGCGAAACTTCTCTGCAAACTTTTTTTTGTAAAAATGTATTTTTTTTATTTTTTATTTTTTGCCGGGTATGGCTGGCGTGTAGGTTGTAAAAGGGGTCTGTCTCCACTACTCATCTCTGTCGTAGTGGGAAAGCAGCCATAGATGTTATATAGAAAAATGGGCATGGCTGCATTCCAGTAAAAGTTATATTTACAAAAGTAGAGAGTGAGCCAGATTTGGCACATTGGCCATGGTTAGCTGCTTGCCGATATAGGGGCTCATAAGCCATTGGAAAGCACCTTGGATTTTATTCTAAATATGATGGAAGTTTTTGGAGGGTTATGAACAAGTGAGTGAAATGATAGGATTTCTTTTAAAAGGATTACAGGCCAGGCAGAGTGGCTCACACCTGTAATCCCAGTACTTTGGGAGGCCAAGGCAGGAGGATCACTTGAGGCCAGGAGGGTTTTTTGTTTGTGTTTTGAGATGGAGACTCACTCTGTCCTTCAGGCTGGAGTGCAATGGTGCGATCTCAGTTCACTGCAACCTCTGCCTCCTGGGTTCAAGCAATTCTCCTGCCTCAGCCTCCTGAGTAGCTGGGATTACAGGTGCACATCACCATGCCTGGCTAATTTTTTTTTTTTTCCAGTAGATACAGGGTTTTGCCATGTTGGCCAGGCTGGTCTCGAACTCCTGATCTCAGGTGATCCACCTGCCTCGGCCTCCCAAAGGGCTGGGATTACAGACATGAGCCACCGTGCCCAGCCAAGGCTAGGGGTCTGAGACTGCAGTGGGCCATGATTGTGCCACTGGACTCCAGCCTGGGTGACAGAGCGAGACCCTGTCTCAAAAAAAAAAAAAAAACCCAAAACCAACAAAGGATTACAGGTTGCTTTATGGAGAACAGAACATATCCTCCACACAAATGGAAAGAAGAAAAGCTATTTGGGGTTTCATATGAATCTAGGAAAACGACCATGGTGACTTGGACTCAGGTAGTAGCAATGGAGTTGGCAAGAAGGGGTAACAGTAGATGTATTCGAGATGAAGTGCGTGTGTATGGGCTAGCTAAATATGATGCTAGTATTAGTGCAACTGAGTGAAAGATGGAGCATCTTACTAGTTTAGAAAAGACTTTACAAGAATGAGCTTTGGTGGAGAAATTGAGTTTGGTTAAGTTTGAGATGCCTATTAAGCATCTAAGTGACAAAATGGAGCATGCAGTGGGGTGTATTCCAGTCTCCTCTCTTTCAGAGAAAGAGGAGAAGGTATGAAAAATAATGATCTGGAAGAGTGAATGGAATAAGGAAATCCAACTGAAATATTGGACAGTTCTGAAATAACACATGAGGTTTGCTGTCAAATTTAGAGTGAGAGCAAATACCGTTGTATGTTTTCCCCTAGTTATAATGAGCTGTGTGGGTACAGGTATGGAGTAGGTGGAGAGCTGGGTTTAACTGAAACTGAGGTTTTATTAGGCAGATAGAGTGAAGGGAAAGAGGTCCTAGGAAAATATGTGGTTTGTACCAATTTGGATGAGGAAGGAAGTGAGGTCGTGATAGTGAGACTGTGAAAGATTGAGAGATCTTAGGTACTGATGGGGTTGAAGAATTGCTGGACTTATTGTTACTAGAGGAAGTGAAATGGAAAGTCAGAAGTTTGGTCAGAGATGCTTAGAATTAAGTTTTGCTCATGATACATCAATTGCCAGCACAAAGATCCAACATATTACCGTGAGAATGGGTGATGGTGGGGCACTGAGGCTGTGATCAATGGATTTAAGGGAGTTGAGTAACTGAGAGGTCAGAGTGTGGCATTAATCCCCTTAACATGCATTTCAGAATCAGCAAAAATGATTGTAAGAGTTGTAGAGATCAACACACGAAGCTTGGAACCAAGTGTAAAATCTTCAGTGAATATGAATGATGGGGAGTGAGCAGGAAGATGGTTGTAAATGTTAATTCCAAGCGGCCTTGTGACTTTAGGCCAAGTCACTTAACCACTCAGGTGTCCATTTCCTTGTGTGTATAAATGATGAGTGAAGACCCAGTTTTTAAACCTGAAAACCTAGACTGTAGTAGGTATTGGAGGAAGCAAGAGTGGGTTGGGAAGGGAAAGACAGGGGATTTTCCTCTAGTGCTGTGATTACCTCTGCTCATTATTTACCTCTGGCATCAGTTTAATAAACTCTGATCCAGGATGTTCTTCAGTGGCACAGTCACAAAGTTATCACCAAGGTCAAAAGACTACTTGGCAAAATCATATATACATTTCTGTTATTATAACCAGCTGTTGTATCCCATGTTAAATTTGTCTATATTATTTGGTCTTTACTGTAATGTTGTATTTTAGCAGATCTTTACTAAATTAAGTGAATGTAGTGAAGACTTTCTAAAATAGCTATTTTTAAGAATGTATTGATCACCCTTTATGCAAATATGGCATGATGAAAGTAGAAAGTAGTGGTAGTAATTCTGCATATTAAGCTTAAAGTGTGGGGCATTTACTATATTTTTTAATGCAAATAATTCTAATGGTTATAAAGTCAGTTGTTAAGGATATTGTAATCGATTGATCAAGCAGTGTGTGTTTTAGCTAAGGTTTATTTATAACAGGATATGATAGTAGGAAAATGAATCCATTTCTGATGAGATTTTTGCAATTTGTCCTTCACTCTTTAGAAAAGATCGCAATCTCAGATATAAAGTATTTCTAACTTTAAGTAGCTTCTAAAAAGTGATCTCTAGCTAGGTGTGGTGGCTCACGCCTGTAATCCCAGCACTTTCGGAGGCTGAGACAGGTGGATCACCTGAGGTCAGGAGTTTGAGACCAGCCTGGCAAACATGGTGAAACCCTGTGTCGGGTGTTCTTGGGGGGTGTTGCTTGAGCCCAGAAAGTCGAGAATGCAGTGAGCCACGATCACGTCACTGAACTCCAGCCTGATCAACAGAGCAAGACCCTGTCTCAAAAAAGAAAAGAAAAAAAAAACTGTATAAAAGTAACAAAAGTTAGACAAATATTTTTTGCAACATGTGACAGAAGAAAAGGATTAACACACTTACATAGGGCCGGGCACGGTGGCTCATGCCTATAATCCCAGCACTTTGGAAGGCCGAGGTGGGTGGATCACCTGAGGTCAGGAGTTTGAGAACAGTCTGACCAACATGGTGAAACCCTGTCTCTTACTAAAAATACAAAAATTAGCTTGGCGTGGTGGTGGGTGCCTGTAATCCCAGCTACTCAGGAGGCTCAAGCAGGGGAATTGCTTGAACCCGGGAAGCAGAGGTTGCAGTGAGCTGAGATTGCGCCATTGCACTCCAGCCTGGGCAACAGAGCAAGACTCTGTCTCAAAAAAAAAACAAAAGAAAAGAAATACACTTACATAGATGAATAATAAAACCAGGCACGGTGGTTCATGCCTGTAATCTTAGCACTTTGGGAGGCTGAGGCAGGAGGATGACTAGAGCTCAGACGTTCATGACCAGCCTGGGCAACATAATGAGATCTTGTCTCTATAAAAAAATTTTAAAAAATAGCCACATGTGGTGGCACGCACCTGTAATCCCAGCTACTCAGGAGGCTGAGGTGGAAGGATTGCTTAAACCCAGCAGGAGGAGGCATATATATATATATATATGTAATTGGCCAATAAACAATATATCCAGCCTTTGTTGTAATAAACGTAAATTTTAAAAATGAACTGCCCTTTTTACCTATCAATTTTTCTCTTTAATGGTAATATTCAGGGTTGGAAAGGGAACTTAAAACAATGCTGCAGAACATTTCTAGAAAGGAAATAACAAAAGACACTAAAGACTGAAAAATGTTTCTCCTCTTTGAGTAAATATTTTTCATTGTAGGAAATTAAATAAATACAAATACAAGGATGTTTATTAAATCTTTATTGATACTGGGAGACACTGGAAACTATAATATTCAACAATAGGGAACTGGCTAACTATAGCACACACACACTGGAACACCTCATGGGTATCAGGAGTCCAGTGACGTGCTGATGCTCAACACATTATATGTTATGAAACCAATCAGGGAGAAAAAATCTTGTCTGTACATAAAAGGAAATATCCTAATATATCACATACTAATAACGTTTATTATTAAAACGTGATTATACTTTTTTTTTGTTTTGAGACAGAGTCTTGTTCTGTTGCTCAGGCTGGGGTGCACCATCACTGCTGTCTGCAACCTCTGCCTCCTAAATTGCTAGGATTACAGGTGTGAGCCACCGCACCTGGCCATCTTTATGTGTTTCTATGCATAGAGTTTTGTTTGTTTGTTTGTTTATAAAGAGGGTCTCACTCTGTCACACAGACTGGAATGCAGTGGTGCAAACACAGCTCACTGCCTTCTCTACCTCCTGGGCTTAAGTGGTCCTCCTGCTTCAGCCTCCAGTGTAGCTGGTACCACAGGCATGCACCACCACACTTGGCTAATTTTTTTATAATTTTAAAGACAGGCTCTTATTTTGTTGCCCAAGCTGGTCTCGAACTCCTAGGATCAAGCAATCCTCCCACCACCCAAAGTGTTGGGATTACAGGCATGAGTCACTGAGCCCAGCCTGTAGAGGTATTTTGAAGAATACATTTTAGAAGTGGGATTCCTGGGTCAAAATTGATACATACAGTGCTGGCAAGTTACCCTCCCAAAGGGCAATACCAATTTGTAGTCTCAGGAAAGGGAATATTTATTTTTTTACACTTTCATCAATCTTGGATACTATCAGTCTTTATAAAAATTTTTTTGGTAAATATGAAGGTCAGAGATTTTTACTTCTTAAAGTCTATGAAAAAAAAACCTTAAAAACAGTCACCATGGGCAGGAGGATTGTAATAATCAGCTGTGATCCTTACTGTTGCTGCTTGATGTTTTTAAAATAAATTCTGTTATAGTCATCTCCAGGCATTTTTCCAGTTAGATAGGCTATGCATTCATCTCTTTTCCCCATATCCCTCCCCAAAATTAGAGCATCTGGGGAGTGTCAGTTATCCCATAAGACTTTCATTCATTCCCATGATGAATGCATCAACCAGCACAGTGCTGATTTGCAGGAGGAGGACTTGAATGGGATTTTGGCCTCCTCCCCATTTAGGCTAGGCCTGCAGTCAAATTCAAAGTACAACTGACAGAAATTTCTTGGATATTTAAATTCCAGGCCTTGTGCTAGACATTAGGGTTATGGAAGTAAACAAAACACACCATACTGCCTTCACTGGAGTTACAGTCTAGCTAGGAAGACATGCATACTGAAGTAATTAAAGTCGGGTGAGTGTGAACAAAAGGGAAGTTAGCAAAAACAACTATGGAGTTACAAAGCAAGGACAATAACCTAGTCTCTGATGAAGGGATTTGCCAGGCGAAAAAACAGTGTGCATGAAAAATGGGAGTGACCATGGCAAGAGGGAGAGTGGCACAAAGCAAGGCTGGAAAGTTAGGTGCTAGATCACGCAGGGCCTTAGAGGTCATAGGATTTCATCCCGAGACAGCCATTGCAGGGCATTTAGTATGGTAGGGCATGATCAGATGTTAATTTATAATGTTATGAGAATAGATAGGAGAAAGTGTGTGGATACAAGGAGGCCTGTGGGATGACCATTGCCATGGGCCAGGTGAGGGAAGATGTTAACTTAGATTGGTAGAAGTAATGATGAGAAGAAATGAGTGGATTTGAGAAATACTTGGGAAATATATCACTAGGATTAGGTGAGGTTTCTGGCTTGAGCAACTGCATGACTTGGTCCCATTGTGTTGAGAAAGGGAAGCGAGCTCTGGAGGACTAATCCCTAGGTTTGGCCTACATTGATTGTTTATAAACAGTGACCAAGAGACAGACTAGTTGGAGGATTTTTTCCTTTGTCCCTTTGTTCTCTGCTTAAGGCAGAGAATCTTAATCACCAATCAGATATTACCTGACCTGCTTTTCAGCTCTCTGACAAAGATGTGTGTGAATTACAGAGTGGATATTTTTGTTTTTTTTTCACATTTTGTCCCATTTGTTTCTTCTTTCTCTCTGACTCAATTCCCCTCATTATAAAAAATTTTGATTGATACTTAATAATTGTACATATTTATGGGGTACAGTGTGATGTTTTGATACATGTATACATTGTGTAAAGAACAAATCAGGGTAATTAGCACATCCCTCACCTTAAACATTTATTTCTTTGTGAACATTTGAATAGCTCTCTTCTAGCTGTTCTGAAATATATCATGCATTATTGTTAACTCTAGTTATTCTACTGTGCATTAAAACTCCAGAACTTATTCTTTCTATCTTACTGTAGCTTTATACCAATTGACTAACCTTCCCCCTGCCTCCCTATCTTCTGGTAACCACTATTCTACTCTGTACTTCTGTGAGAACAACTTTTAAGATTCCACACATGAGTGAGATCATACAGTATTTGCCTTTCTGTGCCTGGCTTATTTCACTTAATGTAATGTCCTCCAGATTCATTCGTGTTGTCACAAATGACAAGATTTGATTCATTTTTTTAATGGCTGAATTGTATTCCATTGTTATTTTCTTCATCCATTTATCCATTAATAGACATTTACTTTGATTTCATATCTTGGCTATTGTGAATAGTGCTGCAATAAACATAGGAATGCAGATATCTGCATACTAATTTCATTTCCTTTGGCTATTTATCCAATAGTGGGATTGCTGGATCATGTGGTAGTTCTAAGTTATTGAAGAATCTTCATATTGTTTTCCATAATGGCTGTATTAATTTACATTCCCACCAGCAGTGTGTAAGTGTTCCCTTTCCTCATGTCCTCACCAGCTCTTGTTATAGTTCATCTTTTTGATAGTAGCTATTCTAACTGGAGTGAGGTAGTATCTCAGTTGTAGATTTGATTTGCATTTCCCTGATGACTAGCAACGTGAGCATTTTTTCATATATCTGTTGGCCATTTGTGTATCTTTTGAGAAAAGTCTATTCAGGTATTTTGCACAATTTTAAATCAGGTTATATATTTTTTTGTTGCTGAGATGTTTGAGTTCCTTATATATTTTGAATAATTAACCCCTTATCAGGTGTATAGTTTGCCAATATATTCTCCCATACTGTAGGCTGTCCCTTTTACTCCGTTGATTGTTTCCTTTGCTGTATAGAAACTTTTTAGTTTGATGTAATCCCACTTATCTGTATTTGCTTGTGTTACTTATGCCTTTGAGGTTTTATTTTAAAAAATCTTTTATGCAAATGGACTAAAAAATAAAAATAAACCCTTGCCTTGATCAATGTGATGGAGCTTTCCCCTTATGTTTTCTTCTAGTAGTTTTATTGTTTTAGGTCTTACATTTAAGTCTTAAATCCATTTTGAGTTAATGTTTTTTAACATGGTGAGAGATTGGGGACTAATTCCATTCTTCTGCATGCCCTCCCACATATTTTGTTGAATAACTTGAGTGCTAGTTATAGATATCACTCCTAAATACTCCAGCTTGTATCTTGTAAGATACAATGATCACATTCAAAACATTTAATATGAATACTGCACATATCTAGTGAGTAGCTCATGTTCAAATTTCCCCTTCTTGTCCTAATGACCTTTGTAGCTGTTTCCCCCTTTATTTTTTTGAGACAGGGTCTCACTCTGTCGCGATCTTGGCTCACTGCAACCTCCGCCGCCTAGGTTCAACTGATTCTTGTGGCTCAGCCTCCCAAGTAGCTGGGACTACAGGTGCATGCCACCACTCTCAGCTAATTTTTGTATTTTCAGTAGAGAAGGGTTTCACCATGTTGCCCAGGCTGGTCTTGAACTCCTGACCGCAAGCCATCCGCCCACCTTGGCCTCCCAACGTTCTGGGATTACAAGCATGAGCCACTGCCTCTGGCCTATAGCTGTTTACAAAATGAGGACCCAATCAAGGAGCAAGTGGTATATTTATTTATTGTATCTCTTTAAATCTCTTTTAATTTATCTAGGACAGTTCCTTAAACTAATTATGTGTCTTTTATGACATTGACAGTTTTTGAAGTATCCAGGTCAGTTGTTTTACAGAATATCCCTCAATTCAGTTTTGTCCAACAGCTTTCTCATGATTCAGCTAGTAATACATAGGCGATATTTTAGCCATTTCAGTGTAATGCAAGAAGAGGCACATGATATCAAGTTTGCCCAGTTATTTTTGGTGCTAGGTTGATCATTTGGTAAGCTGTTTTCTGCTGTGATTCTCTATATCCTGTTCTCCATCAAACTTACATCCAGCAGTTTTAGTATCCATTGATAATTATAGCCTGAATCAGTTATTATTTTTGTGGTTATAAATGGTGACTTTCTATTTCTATCATCTTTCTATACTTATTTGTTGGCGTGCTTTCATCTTCCTTTCCCCCTTTCTGACGTGTCCCCATTAGTTTTTTGAGCACTTCCTTTGTGGCACAAGCTTTTCTAGGCTTACTGTCTACTTTCCCTCTTCATTTTTACACGTTTCCAAATATCTCTCTATAGAGCCTGAGATAAGAGGAAAGAACAGCTGGGACTGCATCTCAGAGGCCCCTGATGTAATGGTGGGCGGTGCTTTTAGTATCTTCAGGTGCAGGAGAAACAATGGTAACCATGACAACCACCACAGTCCCCGATTTTCCAAGCACGATGAACTCCCCAAATTCTTATATGATCCTGGACAAACAGATGGGATGACCTTACTCCAAATAACAAGAGGGAGAACCAAATTGAATTTTCCATTAACCCTACTAGCTAAGGGTAGATTGGGACCACAGTTAATTTGACTAATAAAAATACAGAAATGAAACATTGTCTTATTACCAAATATGAAGCAAATTCATACCTACTCACCAAACCTATGGGAGTCAAGTGAAAACTGCTTTGCAAATGGTGCTTTGCAAAGCACTTTGCTTTTGAAGTATTTTTGTAAATGATTAATTTCTCTCATTCCCTCTCTAATTAAGAAAAAAATCCCACCCTCAAATATATAACATATTCATTAATTTTCAGCCTTATAGTGAAACCAGATTATTCTGGTCTCTTTTTGGAAATATATCTTTTTTTTTTTTTTTTTTTTGAGACAGAGTCTCACTCTGTCACCCAGGCTGGAGCACAGTGGCACTGTCTCAGCGCACTGCAACCTCTGCCTTCTGGGTTCAAGTGATCCTCCCGCCTCAGCCTCCCAAGTAGCTGGGATTACAAGTGCGCGCCACCATGCCTGGCTAATTTTGGTATTTTTACTAGAGACGGGGTTTCATCATGTTGGCCAGGCTGGTCTCAAACTCCTGTCCTCATGTGATTCGTCCGTCTCAGCCTCCCAAAGTGCTGGGATTACAGGCATTAGCCACCGCGCCAGGCCAGAAATCCATTTTTTGATAGAGGGGCTGTCTGTCGTATTCATTCGCAAGGTGATGGCAGGTGACCTGGCTGAATGATGACTGCCAGAAACGTATTTAGGTATTTATTTATTTACTTATTTGCACTCTTACAGCACTTGTTATGCTCCTTATAAAGTTGAAGATCTTCATATATCTTGGCATATGGGTTATGTGGGGATTCTTGCTTCTTCCTTTTGTCCTCCCTATGTGAGTATTTAGCTAGTGGAGAGAAGCCATATTGGATTTGTTTCTGTTCTTCCAGCATTTTCTACCCTTTTCTGCTTTTTTTTCTTTTCTTTTTTTTAATTTTTGAGAAAACACAATGATATTTGTTGATGGTAACGACATTGTTATGCTTCTGCAGCTTTCAGCATGCTCTTCTGCCGCTCTCCACAACCTTTCCTTCTGGAAACCTGCCCTTGATCATTCATCCTTCTGATCTTGACTTGAGCGTCACTTCAAAACGGCCTTTCTTGGTGCCCTTTTGTCTAGGTTAGTCCCTCCTGTTTTAGGTTAATGTCCTGTGGCACCCAAGTACCTATCATGTTTGTTTCTATCTATGTCAACAGTCTGAGCGGAAGAGAAAGCCCCCCTGGGCAGAAATGTACAACCATGGCTCTTTCCGGGCAATGTGGAGGACGATGGGCTTTGGGCCAACATCCTGGCATGGCACAGTGAGCACAGCCTCTTCCCTAGACTGTAGGTTCCATGAAGCCAAGGGCCTGTTTCTCTTGCCCTCCCCATTCCCCTTTCCATTGTTTGTGTTGTCTGGCACTCAGTTGGCATAAAACAAACTGAAGTGAAGTTGCAAATAAATGTTATTTTCACTGGTATTCTTGCCTTTTATTATGGAGACCTTCAAAACTCAGTTTTCAGTTACCACAATAGCAGATATTTTTTGACTCATAAGACAAAGCTGGAGATAGGTGTGACCTGGCCCTTGTTCATAAGCCTGGGATGTGATTTGATTCTTAACTCATTGCATGTGGAAAGTTCATTGATGAGGTAATTGGAGCTCAACTCCTGATCACTTGAGCAAAGATAATAACACTGTTGAGAATCTGTTATTAGTTGCTGTGGTGAGAAAAACCAATTGTATCTAACTGGTGTTTAGGTTTTACTAGGGTAGAATATATTTTGGTGTATCTTGAGTATCTAAAGAACTGGTCTATTTCTGGTTAATGGGATAATCTAGGAATTTAGTCAAAGTATGCTCAGCATGGTCTGGGAGCTTATTAGAAATGCAGAATCTCAGACCCCACCTCAGACTTATTGACCCCAGAATATGCATTTTGTTTGTTTGTTTTTGGTTTTAGACAGGGCCTCACTCTGTTGCCTAGGCTGGAGTGCAGTGGCACGATCATAGCTTACTTCAGCCTCAATCTCCCAGGCTCAAGCGATACTCCCACCTCAGCCTCCTGAATAGCGGGGACTACAGGTGTGCTCTACTGTGGCCAGTGAGTTTTTTAAAAAGTTTTTAGTAGAGATGAGATCTTCCTATGTTGTCCAGGCGAATTCCTGGTCTCAAGTGCTCCTCCCACCTTGCCCGCGAATGTGCATTTTAACAAGATTTCCAAGCGATTAATGTGTCCCTTAAAGTTTGAGAGGCACTGCTTTAGTATATTGATTTTGTCACAGGCAATTGAGGGTCCCTAAGGAGAACTGTTGGTAAATATTCATTAATTCATCCACAAAGCAAATATCTTTTAAGCATGTAATTTTTATTAGGCATTAGTAGTACTGGTCATAATAATAACAACAATAATACAAGGAGAGTAATCTAATGAGCCAGGCATTTTACGCAGTATATTATTTCTAATTGTCACACCAACCTTGAAAGCAAGATGGTATTAGTTTTATTTTATGGTGCAGTTCCTGGGGGTTAAGTATGCACGCCCATAACTCAGCAAGTGCATGACGGAGCCATGATTTCAGCCCAGTCCCATCTGACATGACCCCTATCTTTCTACCAGTTCTGTCCTAGAAACAGATGGTGTAAGATCTTATGCTGTGAATTCCTTGATAAGCACACAGCTCATTTTTGGTATATATATATATATGTATGTATGTATATACGTGTGTGTGTGTATATGTGTATATATATATATATATATATGAAACATGATCTGTTTACTTATGTTCCAGGCTAAGGCTTCAAATGGGAAGGAAGCAGAAAGGAGAAAGCAGAAACTCCTATGTAAAAATGTTAACACTTCTGTGTCCACACCAGGTATAATAAATGGCACAAAATACCCATTTGCCTCACAATCTTTTTGTGGAGGAGTAAATTATTTCAAAACATTGCATCTGAAAAGTCCCTAGAGAACTTTGCATTTCTCAATGTTTTGCAGAAAATCTTTTGTTTGACCTCAAAATCTCAGTGGTAATTTCAGGTGAAAATCAGAATAGAGAGCAATGTGATACGTGATATATTCATCTGCATGACTACGAGCTGGTCACTGATTTCTCTGGCTGGTCGCTGATTTCTCTGGCTCTCGGCACATATCATTCACTAGGAGGTAAATAGAGAACACTGCTTTGGATGCCTCTCCGTGAAGTGAGGCAAGATAATACTATTTATTACCAGTCAGAAGTCAGCTTGCTTCATGTCCTCAGAATGCTGCCTGAGGTCCTGCTCTGTGTCTTCACCTTCTTGTTTGCCTGGAGAGATTCCAGCTACAGGCCATTCACACAATGAAATGCCTTTGATTTCTATTCCAGAGTATTGGGACATGCATGTTTGCTGGGCAGTAAACATAGTTTTCACAGTTATAGTCATATTTTCCAATGCTGCAAGAAAGACCATTTATGATTTTAGCACCAAAAACCCAAGAAGATTGTTTTCTTTTTTTTTTTTTGAAGATTGTTTTCTTATTAGCCTTATTAGCAAAAAGAAAAAAAAAGAAAGAATAGAAAAAACCCTTACAAAATATTGGCCAGTTCAGGTGAAGCAATAAAGATGTTTGAGGGAAAATGATTCTAATCGTTTTAAAGCTAAAGCTGAGGAATTGGGCTATCTAAATGTAGCTTTAGGATTGCCATCGGTTGCACGAGCTTGCTTTCTGTTTGTGAAGGAGAACTTGCCTGTTGAAGAAATGCGGCACACAAGCTGTAATATAACAGGAAAGGAAGGCTTTTTGTGCCAAGAAATCACTCACGTGAGCTGGGATCCTTTTAACAAATCTGGTGGCAAGCTCTTTCTGAAAGCTTGAATGAAGAAGGAGATAATCTAAAATTGTGTTCATGGCAACCACCCTCAGCCTTTCATATGGAGTTTGCAGGGCCTGTCTGAAGCACATATTCAGCCCTTGCCGTTCAGCTTTTGTGCAGCCAAATGGTGCACAAAGACGGCTTCTCTGGCTAATTGGAATAGCTTCCAGTGGGTGGTGATGGTTTTTACATTTATAGCAAGTTCTAGATCTGACTAGAGATACAGCACACCCCCAAAAATGAGCCATCGGTACTTCTGGGGTGGAGTTAACCAACCAGTGCCTCTCAGAGTAAGGTTCAAGTTCAGACCTGCAAGGGCATACAGTTCCAGGAGGGGAACAAGCTCCTTCAGAGTTGTTTCTTCCCCCTATAACCAAGGACTGAACTTTTTCCTCTATCACATTTGGCTCCATAATTTTCTTAAGTAGTGGCCCCATCTGCAAATAATGTTTTACTTAGGATATTTTTATGTTGATGAAAACTCAAAAGCTTTCAGCCTTCAACTCCCTGAGCCTGGGTAAAACTCCACCCTTCTTCATATTTGTAAGTCTGTTTTCTCATCCTGTTAACATTCCTCTTTGAAAGGGAAACACACTGTTTCCATCTCAGGCCTGCATACTTGACCTTCCATATCACTGATGATTTGAGAAATAAAAAAGGAATTGCTGCCCCTGCATTCTTTTCCCAATTTGAGTCCTTTCTCAGTGAGGTCCCTTTGACCTTGACCTCTGGAGAGAATTCAACAAAGGCAAGAACTGGGCCAAGAATTAAGTTGGATGAGACTTCTGAATAGTGTCCAAAACACTATACTGGGGCTTCTAACATCCTGAATAAGGACCAAAATGACCCCTAAAATTTACTGTCCTCAGCAGCACAAGCATGACAGGAAATATGGGGGTTGTTACTACTTTTTTCTTCCTTTTAAATAAGTATAATATCCCAGGGTAAAAAAAAGTATTGTTTTGTTCATATAGAAAGTAGTAGACATAAATCCTCCATTTCTTCCTCCCTCCCTCCCTCCCTCCCTTCTTTCTTTCCCTCCCTCCCTCCTTTCTTCCTTTTTTCCTGAAGCAACAGAACAGTTTGGTTTGAAGTTTGCTTTTGCCATCATGAAAGGCAGAATTTAGCTCTTCATCTGAATAAATAATACATAATTTTAGATTTGTGATAAATTCTAGACCTGTCTAGGATAAGAAATATATTTTTATTTAAATATGAAAGGCAATCTCTTGAGAGCATTATGTGGGAACCATGCTATTTAAATATCTTTATGCTGGAAAGAATGTCTTCTTAAATAATTCTAAGCTTCCACCTGGAGAATGAAGCCTTGTCACAGGGTCAAGAGAAAAATACTGAACTAGAAATCAGGAGATGTAAAAGTCCTAGCTTCAAGCTCAACGGCAAATAAATTACTTCTTTCTTTCTTTTTCTTTCCTTCTTTCTTTCTTTCTTTCTTTTCTTTCTTTATTCCTTTTCTTTCTTTCCTTTCTTTCCTTCTCTTTCTTTCCTTCCTTCCTTCCTTCCTTCCTTCCCTTTCTCTCTCTCTTTCTTTCTCTCTCTTTCTCTCTCTCTCTCTTTCTCTCTTTCTTTCTTTCTCCAAGTCTCACTCTGTCACCCAGGCTGGAGTGCAGTCGCATGATCTCTGCTCACGGCAACCTCTGCTTCCCGGGTTCAAGTGATTCTCCTGCCTCAGCCTCCCAAGTAGCTGGGAGTACAGGCATGTACAAAAAATACTAATTTTTGTATTTTTAGTAGAGATGGGGTTTTACCATGTTGGCCAGGCTAATGTCAAACTCCTGACCTCAAACGATCTGCCTGCCTAGGTCTCCCAAAGTGTTGGGATTACAGACGTGAGCCACCACACCTGGCTTCAAATTTTCTTTGTTGTCTTGGGCAAGTCATTTTCTCTCCCTTTACACCTTAGCGAACTGATAGGTAAAATGAGGTGGTGGAACTAAGGCAGTGTATTTATTTATCTATTTTGAAATTTCCATTTTTATTTTAGGTTCAGAAGGTGTACCTGCAGGTCTGTTACATGGGCATATTGTGTGATGCTGTGATTGATTTGAACTTCTATTGATCCCTTCCCAGAGATAGTGAACGTAGTACTCAATAAGAAGGTTCTCAGCTCTTGGCTCCCTCCCTTCTTCCCTTCCTCCTTTTAGAGTCCCCAGTGACTATAGTTCTCATCTTTATGGCCATGTATGCCAAAGATGTAGCTCCCGCCTGTAAGTGAGAGCATGCGGTATTTGGTTTTCTGTTTCTGTGGGAATTGGCTTAGGATATGGCCTCCAGCTGCATCCATCTTGCTCTAAGGCAGTGAACTTAAGTTCTCCTTTTTAATTTTATTTTTTCCATTGTGATGTCCTATTGTCAAATGCAATTTTACGTAAACTCTAGTATGTAACAGATTAAAACTATATTTTATTAGATAATTTATGAATTCACAATTATAATCTTTATCCAAAAGTTATGCAATGAGAACAGAGGCTGTTTTGGTGTTCATAAACAATTGAAATGGGAGTTGCATTCGTTTCCCAGGACTGCCCTAACCAACTACCACAAACTGGTGGCTTTAAGCAACAGAAATTTGTTCTTTACCCGTTCTGGAGTCTATAAGTCTAAAATCAAGGTGTTGCCAGGCCATCGGCCCTCTAGAGTATTAGCGGGGAATCTTTCCTGGCCTCTTCCAGCATCTGGTAGTGCCAGGCTTGGTGTGGCATGTGGCAGCAAAACTCCAATCACTGCCTTTATATGGCCGCCTTCTCTCTGTGTCTGAGTTATCACGGCATTCTCCTGTCTGTGTCACTGTTTTCTCTGTCCCCTAGACTGGAGTACAGTGGTGCAATCTCCGCTCACTGCAACCTCCACCTCCCGGACTCAAGCAATTCTCCTGCCTCAGCCTCCCAAGTAGCTGGGTTTACAGGTGCGCACCACCATACCCGGCTAATTTTTGTATTTTTAGTAGAGACTGGGTTTCGCCATGTTGGCCAGGCTGGTCTCGAACTCCTGACCTCAAGTGATCCGCCCGCCTCGGCCTCCCAAAGTGCTGGGATTACAAACGTGAGCCACCGCACCCGGCCCTGTTTTTCTTTTCTTATAAGGACACCACTCATATTGGATTAAGGGCCTATCCTAATTGACTATCACCTCATCTTAACTTGATTACATCTGATTCAAGTTAGGAATGCAACATATTGTTTTGGGGGACACAAATCAATATACAGTAAGAGTTATAGATAACGACTGCAGTGTTATACTAACATTATTATCTAACTTATTTTTGTATTTTGTTTGGTGGTACCATATGGAGAAAAATTTTGGCCCACACAGATAATTAATTAAAAATGGTAGTTTTTTTTTTTTTAAACATTTAACCATGTCACTTTGCAATCTCAATTTCAATTCCTTCAGTCAAACTGATCCAGAAGTCTGAAAGAACAACATTAGGGAATTTATATACCAGTGTTAAATTACTGACAATATCTTTAAAAACACTCACCTTCCTTACTGGGGAGTATTCACTTTTTAAAAGGAGCTGATGAATGGACTCCCGGGGAAGCTTAAATCATCGTCATATTTGGCCAACGCTGTGTGGCCAAATGTCATAATAGCCTGAGTTATTCAATGGTGACTTTTTTTTTGAGACAGGGTCTCACTCTGTTGCCTAGGCTGGAGTGCAGTGGTGCGATCTCGGCTCACTGCAACCTCTGCCTCCCAGGTTCAAGAGATTCTCCTACCTCAGCCTCCCGAATAGCTGGGATTACAGAGGCATGCCACCATGCCCTGCTAATTTTTGTATTTTTGGTAGAGACAGGGTTTCACCATGTTGGCCAGGCTGGTCTCAAACTCCTGGCCTCAAGTGATTCACCTGTCTCAGCCTCCCAAAGTGTTGAGATTACAGACGTGAGCCACCGGGCCCAGCCTCAAGGTGACTTTTGAAAACATCTTGTTAGTGGCATGTTCTGTCAGACGTTCCCTTGAGATTTCAAAAGAGTAATAATAGTTTTGTATTTTAGTGTAAACTTGGTTTCAGCTGTGTTGCTAACACATTCCTGCTGTTGTGAGCAGTGATGTGGAAACCATGTACCACTGAATTAAAAGTAGCATCTAGGTACTTTACCTCGTACAGCTATGTTCCAGAGATGTTTACTTACTGGAGTTTTTTTAAAAACAAAAATGTTATTTATATTTTTATTGGAAATATCTGTACCAGAACCTTGTCTTGAAAGTATTAAAAACTTCAATGTTAAAACATACATTCTAGAACTGACCATCCTTATTAGTATAAATAACTCTGAAAGGTGCTCAGTTTACAGGCAATGCCTTAATACGGTTAACAATTATGAAGCTTTACCCAACATCTTTCAGAATATTGCAGAGAAAACTATTAAGCACAAATACAATGACCACGAGCGTATTTCAGCAACTGCTTTATCTGAGCAACTCTTTTCACTCCACCAGAATAGACTTGGTTACATTTTCAACAGGTTACTCAATGGCGTATTAAAACTGAATGTAAACACTTTTTCCCCCTCCAGTTGTATTTTAAATAATAACTCTTCTTTATGCTCATTTGTGTGGCTAAATATAAAAACAAGCAAAATACAGAGATCGGCAAATCCACATTTTCATCCAGGTGAAGTGAAATTTAAATTTTATTTATTTTTTGGAAAAATTTAGGTTTTAAAGGAATTTATTAGATACATATTTTGTTTTGTTTTGTTTTGTTTTGAGATGGAGTTTCACTCTCGTTGCCTAGGCTGGAGTGCAATGGTGCAATCTCAGCTCACTGTAACCTCCACCTCCCAGGTTCAAGTGATTCTCCTGCCTCAGACTCCCAAGGAGCTGGGATCACAGGTGTGTGCCACAATGTCCGGCTAGTTTTGTATTTTTTTTTTTTTTTTTTGAGACAGAGCTTCGCTTTTGTTGCCCAGGCTGGAGTGCAATGGTGCGATCTCAGCACACTGCAACCTCCGCCTCCTAAGTTCAAGCGATTCTCCTGCTTCAGTCTCCTGAGTAGCTGGGATTACAGGCATGCACCACCACACCCAGCTAATTTAGTATTTTTAGTAGAGACAGGGTTTCTCCATGTTGGTGAGGCTGGTCTCGAACTCCCGAATTCAGGAGATCCACCCACCTTGGCTTCCCAAAGTGCAGGGATTACAGGTGTGAGCCACTGCACCTGGCCTGTATTTTTAGTAGAGACGGGCTTTCACCATGTTGATCAGGCTGGTCTCGAACTCCTGACCTCAAGTGATGCACCCACCTCAGCCTCTCAAAGTGCTGGGATTACAGGCGTAAGCCACTGCACCAGGCAAATATGTATTTTGGATGTGTATTTTTGGATTAGATCAGTGATACCAGCCAGTATGGTATGGTCTCTCAAGGATATTTGCAGATATGTGGGGGCAATTTTGGTTGTCTTAATACCTAAAAGTGCAACTGGGGCTTAGTTTTCTGGCACCAAGGATGCTGGGTGACTTGCACCTGTCCCACCTTAAATGCCAATAGGGCTTGGACTTTATCAGAAAATGAGACTAATTATGTTTTTGTAAATGCCTGTTTATTTAACATAGCCCAGACCTTAATAAGCTCTTTTTGATAGAATAAAGAGCTTTCATTTTCACATTTAAATTTTGTTCATATAAAATTTTTTCGATAACTCTAAGTAGTTCAATTAGGCAGGAACATCTGAGTTACTTACTTTTGAACTTACTGTGTTTTGTTTGAAAATCATGTAATTTGGGAGGACTCTGGAACTGTTGTGTAAGATTTCACTGCATGAAATACAAGTTGAGCAGTTTTAGTCACACTAAAAATGAAACTGGGTGACAGATCATTCCCACTGTACTTTCTTACCTTCAAAAGATTTTCTGTGAAACTTAGAGGCACTTGCTCTCTTATCATATGCTGTGTTAGAGCGGTGTGGTTGGCCAGTAATTGAGTAACAATGCCAGATTGGCATTTTTCATCAGGAGGTGCAGTCTTGTTTTATTTATCATCATATTTCCTCATTAAGTTTAATTTTCTTTTTCTTTTCTTTCTTTTTTTGAGATGGAGTTTCACTCTTGTTGCCCAGGCTGGTGTGCAATGGCGCGATCTTGGCTCACCGCAACCTCCGCTTCCCGGGTTCAAGCGATTCTTCTGCCTCAGCTTCCTGAGTAGCTGGGATTAAAGACACCCGCCACCACGCCCAGCTAATTTTGTATTTTAAGTAGAGACGGGGTTTCACCATATTGACCAGGCTGGTCTCAAACTCCCGACCTCAGGTGATCTGCCCACCTCGGCCTCCCAAAGTGCTGAGATTACAGGCGTGAGCCACCGTGCCCAGCCAAGTTTAATTTTTACACCAATGATTCATTTCTGCTTTTACAGGTGATTACTTTATCTCACTAGAAAAAAAAAATGTAAAAATCTAAACAAAAAGTGTCCAAAACTTACAATAAGCCTTAATCTCGAATAATTACCATGACATGTGTTACTTGTGTGCTTATTGCTGTACAGCCTTCTTTGGCTTTCTGACAAGAGCAACTGCTGAGCAGAAGCACTTCAGCCTCGTCTGGCATTTGATGAATTTGATTAATGTGTGCTATGGTAAGTCTATTCCCCTGTATAATTTTATGGGAGAGGCCATGTGCAAGTCTGAATTTAAAAAAAAGAAAAGAAAAAGCCTTGTGCAGAATTATTACCTACTCAATACATTATATATATGCCAGAGATGGCTAAAGCAGCTATATGTCAAGGTCTGCAAAAACATGAAGAAGCTGGCATGGAAATTAACACGTTGGTGGTCTGCAATGTGTTCAAAGTTGGTGTTTTTAATGACACTTAAAAATAGTTAAAATATGTAATGGCTGATTTCTGACCAGACTAAACTCTCAGCCTGTCTAATGTTAGGCAGCTTGATCTAATCAATCTCATCCTTTTCTTTTCCTCAGTCCAATCTTGCAATTGCTATGTCAGTTTCAGTTCACAATAATACCAGTGCAGACATGGCTCCTTAAGATTTTCTCCTTTTCCCTCACGCGGGTCCCAATTCTAAATTCCCAAGGGCTGACATGATTGACATTTGCCATAGCCTGAGGAGGGAGCATTTCCTTTTGTGGTCTTTCCTTGGTTTGTTTTATTGGGCAGTGAATGGCAAGTCTGTCTGTGTTTCTTTGCTTCACCCCAAACACCTTGGCAAAAATGAAAGCCTTCTAATTTAGCTGTGTCCTCCTTTACTTATGTCAGGAAGCCTGAGCCATAACCTTTGATTAAAAAAATTTTTTTTTGTTTTTTGTTTTTGAGACAGGGTCTTGCTCTGTCACCCAGGCTGAAATGCAGTGGCACGACTGCAGCTCATTGCAGCCTTGACCTCACTGGAGTGTAGTGGCATGACTGCAGCTCACTGCAGTCCCAAGTAGCTGGCACTTACAGGCAGGTGCCACCATGCCTGGCTAATTTTTAAATTTTTTGTAGAAACAGGGTCTTGCTGGCTGGGCACGGTGGCTCACACCTGTAATCCCAGCACTTTGGGAGGCCAAAGCGGGCGGGTCACGAGGTCAGGAGTTTGAGACCAGCCTGGCCAACATGGTGAAATCCTGTTTCCACTAAAAATACCAAAAAAAAAAAAAAAAAAAAAAAAAAAATTAGCTGGGCGTGGTGGCGTATGCCTGTAATCCCAGCTACTCTGGAGGCTGAGTCAGGATAATTGCTTAAACCCGAGAGGCAGAGGTTGCAGTGAGCCAAGATCATGCCACTGCACTCCAGCCTGGGTGACAGAGCAAGATTACGTCTTGAAAAAAACCCCAAAACAAAAAACAAACGAAAAAACCCAGGATCTTGCTATGTCGCCCAGGCTGGTCTCAAACTCTTGGGCTCAAGCAGTGCTCCTGCCTCAGCCTCCCAAAGTGTTAGGATTACAGGTGTGAGCCACTGCACCTGGCCTTTTAAAAATTTTTTAAATTTAAATTTTTGTGAATACATAGTAGGTACATATGTATGGGGTACATGAGATAGTTTGATAAAGGCATACAATGCATAATGATCACATTATTATGATTATGTAAATGAGGTATCTATCACTTCAATACATTTCTTGTTTGTGTTATAAACAATCCAATTATACGCTTTAGTTATTTTTAAATGTACAGTTAAATTATTGACTACAGTCACCCTGTTGTGCTATAATAAATACTAGATCTTATTCATTCTTTCTATTTTTTTGTACCTACTAACCATTCCCACTTCCTCCCCAGTCTCCCCCACTACCCTTCCTAGCCTCTGGTAACCATCATTTACCCTGTTCTACTCTGTATCTCCATGAGTTTAATTGTTTTAATTTTTAGCTTCCACAAATAAGTGAGAAGGCAAAGTTTGTCTTTCTGTATCTGGCTTATTTCACTTAACATAATGACCTCCAGTTCCATCCACACTGTTGCAAATGACAGTATCTTGTTCTTATTTTATGGCAGAATAGTACACCATTGTGTATAAGTACCATATTTTCTTTATCCATTCATCTGTTCACAGACACTTTGGTTGTTTCCAAATCTTGTGAATAGTGCTGCAGTAAACATGCAAATGCAGATCTCTCTTTGATATACTGATTTGCTTTTTTTTTGAGACAGCATCTTGCTCCACTGCCTAGGCTCCTGGAGTGCAGTGGTGTGATCATGGTTCACTCAGGCCTCAACCTTATGGGCTCATGCAATCCTCCTGCCTCAGCCTCCCAAGTAGATGGGATTATAGGTGCGCAGCACCATGCCCAGCTAATTTTTATATTTTTTGTAGAGATGAGGTTTTGGCATGTTGCTCAGACTGGTATTGAACTCCCGAGCTCAAGCGATTCTCCTGCCTTGGTCTCCTACAGTGGTGGGATTAGAGGCATGAGCCACTGCGCCCGACTGGAATTTCCTTTCCTTTGGATAGAAAACTAGCAGTGGGATTGCTGGATCATATGGTAGCTCTATTTTTAGTTTTTTGAGGAGCCTCCGAACTGTTCTCCCCAGTGATTATACTAATTTACCTTCCCACCACCTGTGTACAAGGGTTCTCTTTTCTCCACATCTTTGCCAGCATTTGCGATTGCCTGTCTTTTGGATAAAAGCCATTTTAACTGGAGTGAGATGATATCTCATCGTAGTTTTGATTTGCATTATCTGGTGATAATGATGTTGAGCACTTTTTCATGTATCTGTATGCCTTTTGTATGTCTTTTGAGAAATGTTGATTCTGATATTTTGCCAATTTTTAATCGGATTATTAGATTTTTTCTTATAGAGTTGTTAGAGCTCCTTATATATTCTGGATATTGATCCCTTGTCACGTGAGTAGTTGAAAATATTTTCTTCTATTCTGTGGGTTGTCTCTTCACTTTTTGTTGATTGTTTCCTTTGCTGTGCAGAAGCTTTCTAACTTGATGTGATCCCATATGCCCATTTCTGCTTTGGTTTCCTGTACTTATGAGGTATTATTCAAGAAATCTTTGCCCAGACTGATGTCCTGGAGAGTTTCCCAATGTTCTCTCTCTCTTTATTGTTATTATTATTATACATAATAGTATTTAAAATATTTTCTTTTAGTAGTTTCATAGTTTGAGATCTTAGATTTCAGTCTTTAATCCACTTTGATTTGATTTTTGTATATGGAGAAAGATAGGGGCCTAATTTCATTCTTTTGGGTATAAAAATCCAGTTTTCCCTGCACCATTTATTGAGGAGACTGCCACTTCCCCAGTGTTTGTTCTTGGCACTTTGTCAAAAATGAGTTCACTGTAGACGTACGGATTTGTTTTGGGGTTCGCTGTTCTGTCCTACTGGTCTATGTGTCTGTCTGTTTTTATGCCAGTACAATGCTGTTTTGGTTACTATAGCTCTATAGAAGTCAGGTAATGTGATTCTTCCAGTTTTATTCTTTTTGCTTAAAATTTTCTGTTTTTTTTTGTTTGTTTTTGTTGGTCTTTTTTTTTTTGTGGTTCCATATAAATTTTAGGATTGTTTTACCTTTTTTTCCCTCTTTTTGAGACTGGGACTCACTCTGTCACCCAGGCTGGAGTGCAGTGGCATGATCTCGGCTCACTGCAACCTCTGCCTCCTGGGCTCAGGTGATCCTCCCACCTCAGCCTTCCAAATAGCTGGGACTACAGGCCTGTGCCACCATACCCAGCTAATTTTTGTAATTTTTTTTTAGTAGAAAGGAGGTTTTACCATGTTTCCCACGTTGAAATTTGGGATTGTTTTTTTCTTTTTCTGTGAAGAACGTCATTGGTATTTTGATAGAGATTGCATTGAGTCTGTAGATTGCTTGGGTAGTGTGGACTTTTTAACAATATTGATTCTTCCAATCTATGAAGATGGAATATCTTTACATTTTTTGATGTCCTCTTCAATTTCTTGCATCAGTGTTTTATAGTTTTCATTATAGAGATCTTTCATTTCTTTGGTTAATTCCTAAGTATTTAATTTTATTTGTGGCTATTGTAAATGGGATTACTTTCTTGATTTCTTTTTCAGATTTCACTATTGGCATATAGAAATGCTACCGATTTTGGTATGTTGATTTTGTTTCCTGTAACTTTATTGAATTTATTTAATAGTTTTTTGGTTGAGTCTTTAGGTTTTTCCAAATATAAGGTCATATCATCTGCAAACAAGGGTAATTTGACTTCTTCCGTTCAATTTGGATGATCTTTATTTATTTCTCTTGTCTGATACCTCCAGTGCTATGTCGAATAACAGAGGTGAAAGTGGGCATCCTTGTCATGTTCCAGATCTTAGAGAAAAGGCTTTCAGTCTTTCCCCATTCAATATGATAATAGCTGTGGGTCTGTCATATATGGCTTTTATTATGTTGAGATATGTTCCTTCTATATCCAGTTATTTGAGGGTTTTATCATGACGGGATGTTGAATTTTATCAAATGCTTTTTCAACATCAGTTGAAAGTAATCACATGGTTTTTGTCTTTCAATCTGTTGATATGATATATCCCATTGATTGATTTCTATATGTTGAACTATCCTTGAATCTCTGGAGTAAATCACACTTGTTCATGATGAATGGTCTTTTGAATGTGTTGTTGAATTAGTATTTTGTTGACGATTTTCACATCAATATCAGGGATATTGACCTATAGTTTTCCTTTTAAATGTGTAATTGTCTGGTGTTGGTATCGGGGTAATACTGGCCTTGTGGCATGAGCTTGGAAGTATTCCTTCCTTCTTTATTTTTTGGAATAGTTTGAGTAGGATTGAAGTTAATTCTTCTTTTTTTTTTCTCCCCTCCCTGTCCCTCACCAATCCTCTGCCCTACTCCGATGTTAATTCTTCTTTAAATGTTTGGTAAAATTCAGTAGTGAAGCCATCGGGCCCAGGTCTTTTCTTTGCTGAGAGACCTTTTATTATGAATTGCTTCAATCTCATTACTCGTTATTGGTCTGTTCAGGTTTTGGGTTTCTTCATGGTTTAATCATGGTAGGTTGTAAGTATCTAGGAATTTATAAATTTCTTCTAGATTTTCCTATTTATTTATTTTTAATTATTTATCAATTTTTTTTATTTCCACAGGTTTTTGGGGAACAGGTGACATTTGGTTACATGAGTAAGTTCTTTAGTGGTGATTTGTGAGATTTTGGTGCACCCATCACCCGAACGTATACACTGAACCCAATTTGTAGTCTTTTATTCCTCACCCGCTTTCCACCCTTTCCTCCTGAGTCCCCAAAGTTCACTGTGTTATTCTTACACCTTTGCATCCTCATAACTTAGCTCTCACTTGTGAGTGAGAATGTATGATGTTTAGTTTTCCATTCCCGAGTTACTTCACTTAGATTAATAGTCTCCAATCTATCCAGGTTGCTATGAATGCTGTTAATTTGTTCCTTTTTATGGTTGAGTAGTATTCCATTGTGTATATATATATACACCACAGTTTCTTTATCCATGCTAAAAATGTGTGTGCCAATCAATGAAAAATTTGTAGCTGAAAAAGACTACAAAAACAAGAGCTCAGGCCCTCTTGCCTCCCCCTCCGCCCAAAACAATGAGAACTTACAATTTAAACTCACAAAGCTTATGAAACCTATTACTAATGAGACAGGAAACATAGAGAA
This sequence comes from Homo sapiens, assembly GCF_000001405.40. Classification (NCBI taxonomy): domain Eukaryota; kingdom Metazoa; phylum Chordata; class Mammalia; order Primates; family Hominidae; genus Homo; species Homo sapiens. The sequence continues at coordinate 19,558,891 of NC_000012.12, forward strand.
TCTTGAGAAAAACATAGCTCAAGGTAGAAAAGGCCTTACTTTCATACATAATATTAATCCTGGCAATAGAAGGGGAACAAAAGATTGCAGCACTAAAATTAAGAGAAAATCCAACATGAAATTAAACTTTATTAAATAAATAAATCAAGATAATGAGGAAAAGTTTATTGGTACCCCTTTCAGTAATACCAGATAGTTTATTTTTTTGAGAATAACTAGAAAACTAGACAGAGTGAAAAGAAAGTATGCTTGGCTGGGCCTGGTTGCTCACACTTGTTAATCTCAGCACTTTGGGAGGCTAAGGCAGGCAGATCACTTGAGGTCAAGAGTTCCAGACCAGCCTGGCCAACATGGCGAAACCCCATGTCTACTAAAAATACAAAAATTAGCTGGGTATGGTGGTGCATGCCTGTATTTCCAGCTACTCAGGAGACAGAGGCATGAGAATCGGCTGAACCCAAGACGTGGAGGTTGCAGTGAGCCCAGATCACGCCACTGCACTCCAGCCTGAGTAATGGAGTGAGACTCTGTCTAAAAAAAAAAAAAAAAAAAGGAAAAGAAAGTATGCTGGATAGCAATGGAGAGCTAATGAGGCAGTAAAGGAATTATGGGACCAAGATTCAGGAAAAGGAAATTCAAAGAGCTGAACCCAACATTGCAACATTGGGAAATATTTTTTCCCTGAAAGCATCAGTGGATTCCAGAAGGGACAGCTGAGAGGCTAAACAGAGAATGGACTCTCTTGTGAGGGTGGTGGGACACAAATTGCAGTCCAGATCCACTGAGGGGGATGCCCCCGGAAGCTTTGAGTTAGAGCCTAAAGAGCTACACAGGAAGACTAAGGTCCAACCAGAAGTGGAACAGTTCTCGTAGAGAATGAAGCCCAGGTTTTAATAATCTCAATTTCTGATAAATTAATGTGATTAGGTATTGCTATTGTCCATAGCCTTATGTCTATGGCAAATGTAAAATTTTCTTTGGGGGAAGATAAAATTATTTTAAGTCTTAAATAATTTTTGCAGTTTTGTACATATACAATGTTTTGCACTTAATCACAAATAACTGGTAGACGCACAGAAGGCAAGACAATGTGAGTGAGAAACAAGAGAAGCAATAGACAATATCACTGGGCTCACAGGGGATTCATATAATGGATGTACATATTTAATATACATATTTAAAACTATGGTAATTATGCTAAATAAGTAAAAGACAATTCAAGAACTTTGACAGAAAGCTGAAAAATATTTAAAAAGAACAAAATAGAAAATCTAGAAATAAAAAAATAACCGAAATTAAGAACTTAATCGATGGATTTAGTAACAAATTAATTATAGCTGAAGAGGAAATTAGTAAATTATAAGGTAAGTCAGAAACAATTACCCAGAATTATGTACAGAAGGAATAAAAGATGGAAAAATGTGTATGAACAAAAGATACATAAGGAATAAAAAGATACATAAGGAATACAGTGAGATGATGTAACATGAATATTCTCTTTCTCTTTTCCATTTCGCTATTACATACAGTTGTCCTGAAGCTAGGAACTTATCCACAGGGCAAAAATTGGAGAATGCTTCTCTAACACAGTTGAAAGAATGATCCAGTGAGAATTAGGTTAGTTAATATTTATGCTAACCCCTTTTTAATAAGTCGTCTGTAATTAGATAAGTGTTAAGTATTTAAAGAAAATTCATAAAAAATTAGAAGTGATATGCTTATCCTAATGTGAGTGAGAATCTTTTTTCCTTTAGGTGCACAGGTAAGGCTTCTGTGCAACGAAAGTAAAAGAAACAAAATGGCAAATATATGTAATAAATGATTAAGACCTAATATAAAAATATTTATGGAGAAAAATATTAAGGAAAGCATTAAGTTAATGGAAAAATGGACAATGGTTATGGTAGTAGAGAAAGATTCCATAAAACAACTTACAAATATTAATCTAAAATTTAAAAATTGGTAAAAAAACCAAACTAAGAATGATATAAACAAAAATGAGGAATTCAATATTGACAAGATGTTGGAGACACTGGCAATATTCCCTTTTTCTGGAGGCACTGTAAATCCCTTCACTCTTTTTCAAAAGTGACTTGGCAATAAATAATGAACCACAGAATTGTAGATTTTTTTCCCTCCAGTAATCATAATTCTAATAATTTTTCCTGTAGTTATAATTGCAAGGAACAAATAAGCTATGTTTAGAGAGATTATCTTAACATCTCTATTTATTATAGGAAGAGAACCTATATTAATAAGGGAGAAAATAAAGCAATTTGCATTTTTCTAATTTAACTATTTTGCAATCATGAGAAAAATTAGTTATAAAGAATGAGAGTATATGTGTATGTATATAGCAAAATAATGTTAAAAGTTTTATCAACAAATACTGTTTATGTAAAACAAGTTCTTTCTTTATCCCAGGGTGTCTGGGATTCTTTGGTGTGGTTTCTTAGGAAAAGGGCCCTGTAAATAAAAGTGGCAAGTTGTCTGACAGCCATATACATTGCATATAAAGATGGGACAGAGGTAGGATAACCACACTGGACAATCCTGTTTAAAAGGGGTAAGAAAGGAGGCAAGTAGCTGTTATTGGTCTATAGCAGTTTTGAAATCAAGCTGGGCACATGTCACCATTTCTACTTACTCTGGGAAGAGGGAATACTCACTCATTCTTGCTCCTTTAGAGTGGTTCCCTGTGGCTCTTGGGTCTTCCTTCAGAGTTGTGGGTCAAACTTCTGAGTCACACTTACTTTTTCATTAAGAAATGGCTTGTGCTTGCATCTGAGTAGCATTCTCAGCTTGATTTCTTTTTGAGATCTCTTTTTCATTTTGAACTGTCTTTGACCCATTTAGCCTAAGCTTTTGAAAAACTTTGTAGGCTTCCTGTATATCAAGTTGTGATCTGCTGCTTTAGACAAAAACCACAGCTCAGGCATCTCATCAGCAGAAAATTATCTCACTGCAGGAAAGAAACTTATTGGCACTTTTGGGACCAGATGCCTATTCCTTGGCCAATTATTGTAATTAAGGGATCAGGTACTTTGTCCATCTTGAGTCCTACAACCTCCTTTTTGTCCAAGGCATGGGCCCCTTGATTGAAAAGCACTACAGATACACATGGAGTGTAGGAGGAAGGTACAATTTGCAAAATGAAATGGATATGGGGAAATTAAATTAATAAATGTACATAATTTTAAGCATGGTTGGACTCAGGCCATGCCTTGTGGCATAAGAGCTGGATTTCTACTTACAGCTGCATAAATTGTTCACCCTAAAATAACACCCTGCCTCGTCAGTGAATGGGGGCTGATGTCCAGCCTGTGCCTTGCATATTAAAACATAGCATGCCTATAATCCTCCCAGAAGTGTCCCTTTAACTGATACCCACAAATGTCCCATAGTAGCCCTGAATGAAGAACCTCTGAGACCTCTCTTCTGTGTCAGTTTAGTGTATGGTGTAATATAAGAGTTTGATTTTATTCTTTTGCATATATATATGTATATCGTTTCCCAACACCATTCATTGAGGAAACTATCTTTTTTCATTGTTTATTATTGGCACCTTTGATGTGATTTCAATCTTCTTAAATTTGTTAAGACTTGTTTTGTGGCCTAATATGTAACCTATCCTGGAGAATGTTCAATGTGCCCTTGCAAAGAATGTTCTGTATATGTCTATTAGATTCAGTTGGTCTATAGTGTTGGTCATGTCTGCTATTTCTTTATTGATTTTTTTTTTTGGTATGGATAATATATCCAATGTTGAAAGTGAGGTATTGAAATTCCTCTGTTTACACTGTTATTGTATTGCTGCCTATTTCTCCCTTCAGTTCTGATAATGTTTGTTTAATATATTTGAGTGTTGTGGTGTTGGGTGCATATGTGTTTACAGTTATTATATTCACTTGATGAAATGATGCCTTTATTGTTACATAATACTCTTCTGTGTCTCTTGTAGCAGTATTTGTGTGTCTCTTGCAGCAGTATTTGACTTAAAGTCTATTTTGTCTGATAAAAATATAGCCACACCTACTCTTTTTGGGTTACCATTTGCATGTAATATCTCTTTCATCTCTCACTTTCAGTCTATGTTTGTGTCCCCTTGAAGTTAAAGTAAGTCTCTTGTAGGCAACATATAGTTGAATATTTTTCTTCAATCCATTCAGCCAATTAAAAGTACTTTTACATTTAAAGTACTTATTGGTAGGTAAGGACTTACTATTGTCATTTTGTTAATTGTTTTCTGACTTTTGTAGTCCCTTTCTTAATCTTTTACTGTCTTCCTTTGTGATTTGATAATTTTTTTTGTAGTGTTATGCATTTATTCTTTTTTCTTTATCTTTTCTGTATCTATTACAGGTTTTTTCTTTGTGATTACCATGAAGCTTACATAAAACACTTGTAGTTTTTTTTTTTTTACCATTTATTTTAGGTTCACAGGTACATATGCAGGTTTTTTTATATAGGTAAACTCATGTTACAGGGTACAGATTATTTTATCACTCAGGTTCTCAGCCTAGTACTCAATAGTTATTTTTTGTTGCTGTTGTTCTTCTCCCTCCTACTACCCTTCACTCTTAAATAGGCTCCAGTATCTTTTGTTACACTCTTAGTGTCCATATGTTCTAATCATTTAGCTCCCACTTATAAATGAGAACATGCAGCATTTGTTTTTCTGTTTCTGCATTAGTTTGCTAAGGACAGTGACCTCCAGCTCCATCCATGTTCCAGCAAAGGACATGATCTCATTCATTTTTATGGCTGTGCAGTACTCTATGGTGTATAGGTACCACATTTTCTTTATCCAGCCTACCATTGATGGGCATTTAGGTTGATTCCATATCTTCGCTATTGTGAATAGTGCTGCGATGAACATACGCGTGCATGTGTCTTTATGATAGAATGATTTATATTCCTTTGGGTATATACCCAGCAATGGGATTGCTGGGTCAAATGGTATTTCTGGTTTTAGCTCTTTGAGGACTCACCACACTGCTTTCCACAATAGTCGAACTAATTTACACTCCTACCAACAGTGTGTAAGCATTCCTTTTTCTCTGCCACCTTGCCAGCGTCTGTTATTTTTTACTTTTTAGTAATAGCCATTCTGACTGATGTGAGACAGTATCTCATTGTGGTTTTGATTTGTATTTCTGTAAGTGATATTGGACTCTTTTTCATATGCTAGTTGGCCACATTTATGTCCTCTTTTGAAAAGTGTCTGCTTACATCCTTTGCTCACTTTTTAATATGGTTGTTTGTTTTTTCTTTTAAATTTGTTTAAGTTCCTTACAGATGCTGGACATTAGACCTTTGTCAAATGCATAGTTTTCAAATATTTTCTGTCATTCTATAGGTTGTCTGTTTACTCTGTTGATTGTTTCTTTTGCTGTGAAGAAGCTCTTAAGTTTAATTAGGTCCCGTTTGTCAATTTTTGTTTTCATTGCAATTGGTTTTGGCATCTTCATCATGAAATCTTTGCCAGGGTCTATGCTCAGACTAGTATTTCCTAGGTTATCTTCCAGGGTTTTTATAGTTTTGTGTTTTATGTCTAAGTCTTTACTCCATCTAGAATTGATACATCTTATGGTGTAAGAAAGGGGCCCATTTCAATCTTCTGCATATGGTTAGCCTGTTATCCAAGCACTGTTTATTGAATATGGAGTCCTTTCCCCATTGCTTCTTTTTGTCAACTTTGTCAAAGATCAGATGATTGTAGGTGTGCAACATTATTTCTGGGCTCTCTGTTTTGTCCCTCTGGGCTACGTGTCTGTTTTTGTACCAGTACCATATGGTTTTCGTTACTATATTTTGTAGTGTAGTTTGAAGCTAGGTAACATAATGCCTTCAGCCTGGTTCTTTTTGCTTAGGATTGCCTTGGGTATTCAGGCTCTTTTTTTGGTTCCATATGAATTTTAAAATATATGTATTTTTCTAGTTCTGTGAAGAATGTCATTGGTAGTTTGATAGGTATAACATTTTTGCTATAGACAGTATGGCCATTTTAATGATACTGATTCTCCCTATCCTTGAGCATGGAATGTTTTTCCATTTGTTAGTGTAATCTCTGATTTCTTTTAGCAGTATTTTGTAATTCTCATTGTAGAGATCTTTCAACTCCCTGGTTAGCTGTACTCTTAGGTATTTTATTCTTTTTGTGGCTATTGTGAATGGGGCTGTTTTCTTGATTTGGCTCTTACCTTGGTCATTGTTGGTGTATAGAAGTACTACTGATTTTTGTACATTGGTTTTGTATCCTCAAACTTTGCAGAAGTTGTTTATGAGACCAAAGAACTTTTGGGCAGAGACTATGGGGTTTTTTACATGTAGAATCATTTTGACTGCAAACAGAGATAGTTTGACTTCCTGTCTTCCTGTTTGGATGCCTTTTCTTTCTTTCTTTCTTTCTTTCTTTTTTTTTTTTAATTTGGCTTAAACATTTAGAGGCTTTATTTTGCCAGTTATTTCTGGAAGTGGTTTAAAAAAACACTTCAACAGGCATACGTTTTCATTGCCACTCTTCCCTTCCCCCCAAATTCTTGTGCTTTTCTTCTGAACCATTATCTTCTCCTTTTTTTTTCTTTTTTTTTAAATTTTATTATTACTATACTTTAAGTTTTAGGGTACATGTGCACAATGTGCAGGTTTGTTACATATGTGTACATGTGTCATGTTGGTGTGCTGCACCCATTAACTCATCATTTAGCATTAGGTTTATCTCCTAATGCTATCCCTCCCCGCTCCCCCGACCCCACAACAGTCCCCGGTGTGTGATGTTCCCCTTCCCGTGTCCATGTGTTCTCATTGTTCAGTTCCCACCTATGAATGAGAACATGTGGTGTTTGGTTTTTTGTCCTTGCGATAGTTTGCTGAGAATGATGGTTTCCAGTTTCATCCATGTCCCTACAAAGGACATGAACTCATCCTTTTTTATGGCTGCATAGTATTCCATGGTGTATATGTGCCACATTTTCTTAATCCAGTCTATCACTGTTGGACATTTGGGTTGGTTCCAAGTCTTTGCTATTGTGAATAGTGCTGCAATAAACATACGTGTGCATGTGTCTTTATAGCGGCATGATTTATAATCCTTTGGGTATATACCCAGTAATGGGATGGCTGGGTCAAATGGTATTTCTAGTTCTAGATCCCTGAGGAATCGCCACACTGACTTCCACAATGGTTGAACTAGTTTACAGTCCCACCAACAGTGTAAAAGTGTTCCTATTTCTCCACATCCTCTCCAGCACCTGTTGTTTCCTGACTTTTTAATGATCACCATTCTAACTGGTGTGAGATGGTATCTCCTTGTGGTTTTCATTTGCATTTCTCTGATGGTCAGTGATGATGAGCATTTTTTTCATGTGTCTTTTGGCTGCATAAATGTCTTCTTTTGAGAAGTGTCTGTTCATATCCTTCGCCCACTTTTTGATGGGGTTGTTTGTTTTTTTCTTGTAAATTTGTTTGAGTTCATTGTAGATTCTGGATATTAGCCCTTTGTCAGACGAGCAGGTTGCAAAAATTTTCTCCCATTCTGTAGGTTGCCTGTTCACTCTGATGGTAGTTTCTTTTGCTGTGCAGAAGCTCTTTAGTTTAATTAGATCCCATTTGTCAATTTTGGCTTCTGTTGCCATTGCTTTTGGTGTTTTAGACATGAAGTCCTTGCCCATGCCTATAGTCCTTAGTGACCTACAAAGAGATTTAGACTCCCACACAATAATAATGGGAGACTTTAACACCCCACTGTCAACATTAGACAGATCAGCGAGACAGAAAGTTAACAAGGATACCCAGGAACTGAACTCAGCTCTGCACCAAGCAGACCTAATAGACATCTACAGAACTCTCCACCCCAAATCAACAGAATATATATTCTTTTCAGCACCACACCACACCTACTCCAAAATTGACCACATAGTTGGAAGTAAAGCACTCCTCAGCAAATGTAAAAGAACAGAAATTATAACAAACTGTCTCTCAGACCACAGTGCAATCAAACTAGAACTCAGGATTAAGAAACTCACTCAAAACCGCTCAACTACATGGAAACTGAACAACCTGCTCCTGAGTGATTACTGGGTACATAACGAAATGAAGGCAGAAATAAAGATGTTCTTTGAAACCAATGAGAACAAAGACACAACATACCAGAATCTCTGGGACACATTCAAAGCAGTGTGTAGAGGGAAATTTATAGCACTAAATGCCCACAACAGAAAGCAGGAACGATCTAAAATTGACACCCTAACATCACAATTAAAAGAACTAGAAAAGCAAGAGCAAACACATTCAAAAGCTAGCAGAAGGCAAGAAATAACTACCATCAGAGCAGAACTGAAGGAAATAGAGACACAAAAAACCCTTCAAAAAATTAATGAATCCAGGAGCTGGTTTTTTGAAAAGATCAATAAAATTGATAGACCACTAGCAAGACTAATAAAGAAGAAAAGAGAGAAGAATCAAATAGACGCAATAAAAAATGATCAAGGGGATAGCACCACCGATCCCACAGAAATACAAACTACCATCAGAGAATACTATAAACACCTCTATGCAAATAAACTAGAAAATCTAGAAGAAATGGATAAGTTCCTTGACACATCCTCCCAAGACTAAACCAGGAAGAAGTTGAATCTCTGAATAGACCAATAACAGGCTCTGAAATTGAGGCAATGATCAATAGCTTACCGACCAAAAAAAGTCCAGGACCAGATGGATTCACAGCTGAATTCTACCAGAGGTACAAGGAGGAGCTGGTACCATTCCTTCTGAAACTATTCCAATCAATAGAAAAAGAGGGAATCCTCCCTAACTCCTTTTATGAGGCCAGCATCATCCTGATACCAAAGCCTGGCAGAGACACAACCAAAAAAGGAATTTTAGACCAATATCCTTGATGAACATTGATGCAAAAATCCTCAATAAAATACTGGCAAACAGAATCCAGCAGCACATCAAAAAGCTTATCCACCATGATCAAGTGGGCTTCACCCCTGGGATGCAAGGCTGGTTCAACATACACAAATCAATAAATGTAATCCAGCATATAAACAGAACCAAAGACGAAAACCACATAATTATCTCAATAGATGCAGAAAAGGCCTTTGACAAAATTCAACAACCCTTCATGCTAAAAACTCTCAATAAATTAGGTATTGATGGGACGTATCTCAAAATAATAAGAGCTATGTATGACGAACCCACAGCCAATATCATACTGAATGGGCAAAAACTGGAAGCATTCCCTTTGAAAACTGGCACAAGACAGGGATGTCCTCTCTCACCACTCCTATTCAACATAGTGTTGGAAGTTCTGGCCAGGGTAATCAGGCAGGAGAAGGAAATAAAGGGTATTCAATTAGGAAAAGAGGAAGTCAAATTGTCCCTGTTTGCAGATGACATGATTGTATATCTAGAAAACCCCATCGTCTCAGCTCAAAATCTCCTCAAGCTGATAAGCAACTTCAGCAGTCTCAGGATACAAAATCAATGTACAAAAATCACAAGCATTCTTATACACCAATAACAGACAAACAGAGAGCCAAATCATGAGTGAACTCCCATTCGCAATTGCTTCAAAGGGAATAAAATACCTAGGAATCCAACTTACAAGGGATGTGAAGGACCTCTTCAAGGAGAACTACAAACCACTGCTCAATGAAATAAAGGAGGATACAAACAAATGGAAGAACATTCCATGCTCATGGGTAGGAAGAATCAATATCGTGAAAATGGCCATACTGCCCAAGGTAATTTATAGATTCAATGCCATCCCCATCAAGCTACCAATGACTTTCTTCACAGAATTGGAAAAAACTACTTTAAAGTTCCTATGGAACCAAAAAAGAGTCCACATCACCAAGTCAATCCTAAGCCAAAAGAACAAAGCTGGAGGCATCACACTACCTGACTTCAAACTATACTACAAGACTACAGGAACCAAAACAGCATGGTACTGGTACCAAAACAGAGATATAGACCAATGGAACAGAACAGAGCCCCCAGAAATAATGCCGCATATCTTCAACTATCTGATCTTTGACAAACCTGACAAAAATAAGAAATGGGGAAAGGATTCCCTATTTAATAAATAGTGCTGGGAAAACTGGATAGTCATATGTAGAAAGCTGAAACTGGATCCCTTCCTTACACCTTATACAAAAATTAATTCAAGATGGGTTAAAGACTTACATGTTAGATCTAAAACCATAAAAACCCTAGAAGAAAACCTAGGCAATACCATTCAGGACATAGGCATGGGCCTTTTCTTTCTTTTACGTGGTTGTTCTGGGTACCACTTCCAGTACTGCATTGAATAAGAGTGATGAGAGTGAGCATCCTTGTCTCATTTCAGTTTTCAATGGGAATGCTTCCAGCTTTTTCCCATTCAGTAAAATGTTGGTTGTGGATTTGTCATAGATGACTCTTATTACTTTGAAGTATGTTCCTTTAATGCCTAGTTTGTTGAGGGTTTTGTTGAAAGCTTTTTCTGCATCTATTAAGATGATAATGTGTTTTTGCCTTTAGTTCTGTTTATGTGATAAATCACATTTATTGATTTGTGCATGTTGAAGCAACCTTGCATCCCGGGGATAAAGCCTACTTGACTGTGGTGGATTAGCTTTTTGATGGGCTGCTGCATTTGGTTTGCTAGTATTTTGTTGAGGACTTTTGCATCTACATTCATCAAGAATATTGGGGCTGGGTGCGGTGGCTCATGCCTATAATCCCTGCACTTTGGGAGGCCGGGACAGGTGGATCACCTGAGGTCGGGAGTTCGAGACCAGCCTGACCAACATGGAGAAATCTCGTCTCTACTAAAAGTATAAAATTAGCTGGGTGTGGTAGTGCATGCCTGTAATCCCAGCTACTTGGGAGAGTCATGAACCCAGGAGGGGAGGTTGCAGTGAGCTGAGATTGTGCCATTGCACTCCAGCTTGGGCAACAAGAATGAAACTCCGTCTCAAAAAAAAAAAAAAAAAAAAAAAAAAAAAAAATTGGCCTGAAGTTTTCTTGTTTCGTTGTGTCTTTGTCAGATTTTGGTATCAGGATGATGATGCTGGCCTCATAGAATGAGTTAGAGAGGATTCTCTCCTCCTCAATTTTTTGGAATAGTTTCAGTAGGAATGGTACCAACTCTTCTTTGTACATCTGGTAGAATTCAGCTATGAATCTGTCTGGTCCAGTGCTTTTTCTGGTTGGTGGGCTTTTTATTATTGATTCAATTTTGGAACCCATTATTGGTCTATTGAGGAATTCAATTTCTTCCTGCTTCCATCTTGGGAGGTTGTATGTTTCCAGGAACTCATCCATTTCTTCTAGGTTTTTTAGTTTGTGTATATTGAGGTGTTCATAGTAGTCTCTGAGAGGTTTCTATATTTCTGTGGGGTCAGTGGTAGTGTTCTCTTTGTATTTCTCATTGTGTTTGTTTGAAGAACGCTCTTATTTGCTTTATTAGTCTAACTAGTCTTCTATCAATCTGATTTTTTCTTCCAAAGAGCAAACTCCCGAATTTGATCATCTTGTATGTTTTTTTTGCATCTCAATTCCCTTCGGTTCAGCTCCGATTTGGTTATTTCTTTTCTCCTGCTAGCTTTGGGATTTGTTTGCTCTTGTTTTTCTAGTTCCTGTAGGTATGATGTTATGTTTTTAATATGAGATCTTTCTAATGTTTCGCTGTGTGTTTAGCACTATAAACTTTTCTCTTAACATGGCTTTAGCTGTGTCCCTGAGAGTCAGATATGTTGTGTTTTTGTTCTCTTTAGTTTTACAGGGTTTCTTTATTTTTACCTTAATTTCATTGTTTATCCAAAGTCAATCAAGAACAGGTTGTTTAACTTACATGTAATTATATAGTTTTGACCAATTTTCTTTTCTTTTTTTTTTTTTTTTTTTGAGACCGAGTCTTGCTCTGTCGCCCAGGCTGGAGTGCAGTGGCGCGATCTTGGCTCACTGCAAGCTCTGCCTCCCGGGTTCACGCCATTCTCCCATCTCAGCCTCCCGAGTAGTTGGGACTACAGGAGCCTGCCACCACGCCCGGCTAATTTTTTTTTGTATTTTTTAGTAGAGACGGGGTTTCACCATGTTAGCAAGGATGGTCTCGATCTCCTGATCTTGTGATCCACCCGCCTTGGCCTCCCAAAGTGCTGGGATTACAGGCTTGAGCCACCGTGCCCGGCCGACCAATTTTCTTAGTGTTGATTTCTATTTTTATTGCCCTGTGGTCTGAGAGTGTGTTTGGTATGATTTTTTAATTTTGCTGATGATCACTTTATGGACAATTCTGTGGTCAATTTTAGAGTATAAGCCACATGCAGATGAGAAGAATGTATATTTTGTTGGTTTTGGGTGGTGAGTTCTGTAGATATCTATTAGGCCCATTTGGTCAAATGTCAAGTTGAGGTCCTGTATTTCTTTTTAGCCTTCTGCCTCAATAACCTGTTTAATACTGTCAGTGGGGTGTTGAAGTCTCTCAGTATTATTATGTGGTTATCTAAATCTCTTCATAGGTCTCTAAGAACTTGTTTTATGATTCTGGGTACTCCTGGGCTGGGTGCATATATGTTTAGGATACTTAGGTCTTATTATTGAATTGAACTCTTTACCATTATGTAATGCTCTTTTCATCTTTTTTTGATCATTATTGGTTTAAAGTCTATTTCATCTGAAATTAGAATAGCAACCTCTGCTTTTTTCTGTTTACTGTTTGCTTGGTAGGTTTCTCTCCATCCTTTTACTTTAAGCTTATGGTGTCATTGCATGTGAGATGGATCTCTTAAAGACAGCGTAGAGTTGGGTTTTGCTTCTTTATCCAACTTGCCACTCTGTGTCTTTTAACTGGGACATTTAGCCAACTTACGTTTAAGGTCAATATTGACGTGTAGATTTGATGCTGCTATCTTATTGTTAGCTGGTTACTATGCAGACTTGATTGTATGGTTGCTTTGGTTGCATTATAGTGTCAGTGGTCTCTGTACTTAAGTGTGTTTTTGTAGTGGCTGGTGAAGGTCTTTTGTTTTCAGATTTAGCACCTTCTTAGGTACCTCTTGTAAGGCAATGGTAATGAATCCCCTTGACATTTGCTTCTCTGAAAATGATCTTATTTCTCCTTCGCTCATGAAGCTTAATTTGTCGGTTTATGAAATTCTTAGTTGTAATTTCTTTTTTTAAGGAATGCTGAGTATAGGCCCCCAATCTCTTCTGGCTTGTAGAGATTCTGCAGAAAAATCCACGGTTAACCTGATGTATTTCCCGTCGCAGGTGACCTGCCTCTTCTCTCTAGGTGCCTTTAATATTTTTTCTTTCATGTTTACCTTGGATAATCTGATGATTATGTGTCTTGGAGATGGTCATTTCTCTGCATTTCCTGAATTTGAATGTTGGTCTCTCTGTCGAGGCTGGGGAAATTTTCCTGGATGATATCCTCAAATACGTTTTCCAAGTTGTTTGTTTTCTCTTCCTCTCTTTCAGGGATGCCAGTGAGTCATAGGTTTTCTCTCTTTACATAATCCCATATTTCTTGTAGTTTTTGTTTATTCTTCTTTATACCTTTTTTCTGACAGTTATTTTTGAGAATCAGTCTTCAAGCTCTAAGATTCTTTCCTCAGGTTGGTCTGTTCTGCTGTTAATACTTGTGATTGTATTATATAATTTCTGTAATGCGTTTTTTGGCTCTATTAGATCAGTTTGGTTTTTTCTTATAAAAGCCATTTCATTTTTCAGCTCCTGGATTGTTTTACTGCAATCCTTAGATTCCTTGAATTGGGTTTTGACTTTCTCCCCAGTCTTGATGATATTCAATCCTATTTATATTCTGAATTCTGGCTCTGTCATTTCATCCATTTCAATCTGTTAAAGAACCCTTGCTGGGGAACCAGTGCCATCATTTGGAGGAAAGAAGACACTCTTGTCTTTTTGAGTTGCCAGAGTTCTCGCACTGGTTCTTTCTCATCTGGGCTGAAGTTCCTTTATCTGTGCTGTAATTTGAGTACAGTCAGTTTTCTGGATGTTTTCAGAGGGCCGAGGCTTTGTGCAGGGTCTTTATTTGTATTAACAGGTGAATTCTTATCTTTGGTTTCACAGGAGGATGTATTAGCAAAACGTTTTTGGTGTTGAAATTTGGGCTGTGATCCAGCAGATGGCGCTTAAGTGTAATGGCCAATTAGGTAGGCTCTTGCTCAGCCATGTGGGTCCTCTGTATTTCCTTGTGTTTGTAGTTGTACTCCCTCTCAGCACTCCCAATGTTTGGGCTCCTCTACTCCTCGATTCTGGCTGCAGATCTCGGCTTGCCACTCCCGGGCTGCACACTGAAGTCCTGAGCCGAGCTCAGGCTTTATGTTCCCTCCACAGCTTGGAGGAAGCAGGGGAAGGGATCTTGGCGGTGGCTGTGGAAGAGGTCCTTTCACTTGTCTCTTGGGGATCCATCCCAGAGAAATGCCGAGCCGCTCCCAATCAGCGGGATTGGCCGAGGGTGAGGTGGCTGGGTTGTGGGCCTAAGCCAAGGGGCCCGGCCTGGTGGTGAACAGGGGGGCCGATGGCTCACAGGAGAGACAGACTGGCCTCTTCTCCTTAGGACGGCTGTGGTGTGCTGGAAGTGTGGGTAAAGCACTCAGGGTTTTTGTTCCTTTCCCAATCTGAAGGCAGCAAGGGCAGGACCGCTGCGGTGGCAGTGAGAGACGGGCTTCTGGTTGTCTCTGGGAGCTCTCTATCTTGGAGATGCGCAGAGCTGCTGCTAATGGGAATGTTCAGCCAGGGGGTGAGACGGCTGCGCTGCTGGCCTGAGCCGGCCCTGCTTGGTGAAGAGTGGGGGCCGAGGGCTCACAGGAAAGGAGACTGGGCCCCTCTCTCTGCGGTGACTGTGGCGTGCTGGAGGCGCCAGTAAAATTTCCAGGCTCTGTTCCTTCTCCAGTCCAAGGGCAGCAAGGGCAGAACCGATGCAGTGGCTGCGACAGAGGGGCTGTCGGTTGCCTTTGGGACCGCCCCCCCTCTCCAGGGAAACTCAGAGCCCCCAGCAAAATGGGTGTGCTCAGCCGGGGGTGGGGCGGCTGCTCTGTGGTCCAGAGCTGGGGGCCCTGCCTGGTGAAGAGTGGGGGTGGGGGCTCTCAGGGAAGAGAGACTGGGCTTCTCTCTGCATGGTGGCTGCCATGCGCTCGCTCGAGGTTCCAGAGTAGCGAGCAGGCCCTTTGTTCCTTCCCTAGTTCAGGCTGGTCGTGCGGGGGCCCAGGTTGGGAGGCCCTGCCCAGTGAGGAGGAGCAAGGGCTGTCACCCCATGGAAAACAGTCTGGCAGCTTTTCCACGAAGCGCTGCTGTGCTGGAGGCCTGTCTTAGTTCCTAATCACAGCTTCCCTCAGGAACCTGGGGGGCAACAGGAGAGAGGATGGCAGAGCAGCAAAAATGGTGGCCTGCCTGCATCCTCTAGGAGCCGTGGCCCAGGGAAGTGGAGAGTTGCCCCCCACCTAAGAGTTAGGCGGGGCTGGCTGCGCTAGGGTCCCAGGCCAGTGGGTCTTGTCCAGTGAGGTGCAGTGGTGCGAGGCTCAAACTCCTGGGCTCACACAATTCTCCTGCCTCGGCCTAAGTGCTGGGATTACAGGCATTAGCCACTGCGCACTCTACCTTTTTTTTTTTTTTTCTTATTTTTTCTTCCAAACAGGATTTTGAGAGCCAAAAGAAAGGAACTGAAAGAATCTAGGCACATTATACTATAGCTATATAATTAGCAAGAAACTTGAGGAAGAATGAGATTGCCTCATCTGTGGCCTTGGGGAGAGGAGAGGAGGACATCTGGGTTATGGGATTAGAGTTTACAGGAGATTAGAGTTATGGGGTGATAAGCCCTCTGCTGGAGGGTGGAGAGAAATGAGGTGGGTATCAGGAACCTGGTGAGTTTCACTGGTGGCTGTCCTGAGGCAGCAAATGGGAGCCAAGCTGAAGCTTATAGAGAATTCACCCATCAAAGGTGGACCATGTGCCATGTGTGGATTGTGCAGTGGGCCACCTGCCCACACACCAACACTGACAAGCTCTATCAAAATTGTCCAGTCTGTACATTTCAAGAGTTCAGTGTACTTCTCTTCCTGTTTTTCCCCTCTTCTCTTCAAATGCAAGGAAAGGGTAATCTTAAGATTCAGAAGAGTGATTTGTTTTTCCCCGCGTAGTGAGCAGTTTTCTCGCCCCCAACTAATAAACCATCTATTCTTTTCCCATTAAGCAATATATATCACATAAAAATTTCATTTAGAAATGAGCCTGTCTCTGGCAGATTCACCATTTTAATAAGAGGCCCTAAACTTTTCCATGCTTTCCATGAAAGCTAAAGGTCATTAGCACAGAAGGAAAAGAAAGAGCTGTGAAACATATCCATACTCTGTCAATGACCTGAGGTGGGGTAGGCAACTGCAACTGCAAGACTCATCAATTGAACATATGTAGGTTTTTAGTATCTAGTAGATTACACAAAACACATACAGGACTTTGTAAATTTGAAGGGAGAAGGTTGGAGAATATGGCAAAGGAGGATCATATCCGTACTAGTCAGCTAGGAAAAACAAGCTGGGAAAAAATGAGAACAGAGTAGATGAATTGCATAGGAATTTCTGAAATATTCTAAGAATGCCATGGATTAAATAGGATTTTATGAACTTGCCTGGGAAGCTAATGATCGTTTCTATGAGAAAATGTATTTCACTTTTCAACTCAGGATATCTGGAACATATCTCTCTTTGTCACAGTTCCAGAAGAATTCCCAGGAATTTAGCTTTCCCTTTACTCTAATCTCAGAAGGAGCTATACCCTCTTTGAAGCTCCATAGAGAGAAATAGGAACAAACTTACCCAAAACACACGGTGGGTATGAGTGCTGATTTTTATCCCCATGGAGAAAGGGAATTTTACAGCAATGAGCATAGGGTCTCTGGTGAAAGGTCATATCCATACATATCTTTATAGAAAAAAAAAAAGAAGGCTTGGAAATAGTGAGAACAAAGCCCAGAGCCCAGGGCTTGGTGGGAAAGCAGGCCCTGGCTCCCCTTCCTGCATGTGAGTTTTGACTTCTTCCTGTGCTGGTCAGGGCTGCAAATGGCTGATAATATCACTGAAGCCTGGACTATCTTCAAAGCCCGACTGGCACAAAATGACATATTAATGTAGTATCTCATTTCCTTTGCATTCTGGGGACAAGTGGGATTGGCTCGATGCCCAGGGATATCCTGTGAACTCATGGAATAGGACTGGGCTAAGCCTGGCTAGCACCTGACAGATCCTGTCTATGGAACTAGGGACATTTTTTCTCACTGCTTGAATTGGTTGGAACATAAAACTAAGATGGCATTTGATCTGTCTTGCAAAGATTTGGTTCAGAAAAATCTTACAAATATGCTGATAGTAACTAAAATTTTCTCTGTATCTGTTGCTTAGATGCAATAATTATGTGTTGAAAATTGTATATATATCATATTTATATACTTTAGCACCTAGAAATGGAAGTATTTAGTGTTATGGAAAAACAGATGGATAGATGAATAAGCTCTCTCTCTCCTCTATTTTTCTTTCCCCATTTTATACTTTTTAAAAGTTAATTTAATAGGTAGATTAAAGACATCTTTAAATGACTGTAAAAATAAAGTTCATGTTTAGACAAATTTCCCAGTTGGAATTCTCTGTTTAAAACACTCTGTTTTCATGACCTGCACTGTTTATTTTACATTCAGAGATGTGAGCACATGGGAACCATTTGCAGAAAATGTCTCTGTTTACTTCTAAAACTGATATAATAGAGAAGCAGTGGGTAGAGGTTCAACCAGCTGACTTTCTAAAGCTAGCTGTATAATCTTTCTTTTTATTACTACTGACATGCATTTATGAAAAGAAAATGGAAGTTACGGAGTGTAATGAAGAGATAAATTCAGGCTATCTCTGAAAGTCTATGTAACACCCAGAATTTACAGAAATAAGGAAGTTCATAGTGATCCTTTGTGGTTGAAGTCTGGTAAGAAATGCTCAATGCCATTTTACCTCTTTGGACTGACAAATAATAATTGATTATAAAATAAAATGGACAGTCCCAGTTTGGACTGTCAGCACATCTACTACCAACAGTAGATTGCAAGAGCCTTCCAACTCATCTCTCTACACTCAATTTCTCCCCCCACACTCAATCCATCCTACAGCCTGCTGCCAGAGTGATCTTTAACACTGACCATAGCTTTCCCTGTCTTAAAATGTTGTAATGTTTTTTCCCTGTTGGTTTTGGGAGAGGTGAAAACTTGAGGTCTGTTGGTTAAAACAAGCTGAAGCTAGTTTACTTAAAAAATGTATATATGTGTGCGTAGTTTACTTAAAAAATTGTGTGTGTGTGTGTGTGTGTGTGTGTGTGTGTGTAATACACACAGACACACTTTTTCCTCCATAAACTGTGAGCCTGGAAAAACATGTAATAGTTGCCAACTGGGAAATTTGACAGGAAATCTAGATAGCCTGCTCTTATTAAAAACAAACAAACAAACAAAAAACCCAGAAGCTCTGGTAATGCCAGCCTTACATTTTTGCATAAGAATAATTACATTGTTCTCTTTGGAAGGACATGATTTCCCCTGTTTTTCACAGGATTCTATACTTTCTATTCTTCTTCTCATTCATATGATCTCATTTTGCTAATTTCCATGATCTATTTGGTATTTACAGGTATTTAAGTGTTTAACTCTTGGACTGTGGGCTCAAGTCCAGGTCCTTAGATTTGTGTATAAGAACCATCTGGTTTACATTAACTTTTTAAGGCTCATTTCTCACATCTTCTCCTCTTTAATTTTATTCTCCAAAAATAAGGTTGTCCTAATACACTATGTGATTTTTACTATTTCTAGGTCTTTCTATCTATCTGAAAAGGCTTCTCTATTTCCTAAATTATTTCTTCCCTCTTGAATGTGTTTCCTGATTTCCTTAGCGTTAGACATTCTTTCTTGGTATATATTTCTTGATACTAAAAATACTGTACTTTCATTATTGATTGTATTACTCTATATTTTACTTATTTGTATAAAATAAGGAGACACTTTCTTTTATATGAGCAGCAGGTGTAAAATTTCTTGTGGGGAAATCCAAGCCTTTGAAGAGGAGTAGCTTTGACCAGCTTGTTCAGGAGCTGAAGTGGAGGCCTCCAGGCTGAGGTGGGAGCTGTCCTGGGACTCAGAGAACCAGAGGAACCTCTGCATGAGTTACTGTTATGGAGGCAAACAGGAGGCTATGGACTGGGGCTGGAAGGAAAATTGAAGGACACAGAGAAGAGACTTAGGAGACTTGGGAGGAGAGAATTTTTTTTTTTTTTTTTTTTTTTTTTTTTTGAGACAGTCTCACTCTTTTGCCCAGGCTGGAGTGCAGTGGCACAATCCCAGCTCACTGCAGCCTCAACCTCCTGTGCTCAAGGGATCCTCCCACTTTAGCCTCTGTAGTAGCTGGGACTACAGCCACGGATCACCATGCCTGGCTAATTTTTTTGTATTTTTTTGTAGCAATGGGTTTTTGCCATGTTGTCTAGGCTAGTCTGGAACTCCTGGGCTCAAGCGATTTGCCTGTCTTTGCCTCCCAAAGTTTTGGGATTCCAGGCATGAGCCACTATGCCTAGCCACAAGAACTTTCAAATGGAGGATTTTAAAAGTAAACACCACCAGAAGAAGCATTAGTTGAAAAGCATTAAAAGAGACTGACCCTGGAGAATGGAGTAGGAATAGAAAGCAGGTAGGGTGAGGCAATTGCTTTTCACTGTAAGCTGTTTATAGTTTTTGAATTTCAAAACTCAAGTGCATGTAATAGTTTGATAAGTGATTTAAACATTACTTTTAGGAAAACCTAAATGTAACAATTCATTGCGTGTAATGTGAAACATGTGCATGGTGTAATAAATCACCAAATTTGGAGTGATTGTTTTTTTCACGAAAACCAGTGAAGAAGCTGATATCTGAGGACTGGCTGATGTGAGACCAGAAGTGTCAGCTTGTGAAGGTACGAAAGCAGCTAATATCTTAGCCACATTTGTATTTTTCTAAATGCACTCTTAAAAAAATTATCAAACTAGTACATGCCCTGGATTTAAAAAATTACAGAAGGCTGGCCGGGCATGGTGGCTCATGCTTGTAATCCCAGCACTTTGGGAGGCTGGGATGGGCGGATCACCTGAGGTCATGAGTTCGAGACCACCCTGGCCAACATGGTGAAACCCCGTCTCTACTAAAAACACAAAAAATTAGCTAGACTTGGTGGTGGGTGCCTGTAATCCCAGCTACTCGGGAGGCTGAGGCAGGAGAATCGCTTGAACCCAGGAGGCTGAGGCAGGAGAATCACTTGAACCCAGGAGGCGGAGGTTGCAGTGAGCTGAGATTGTGCCATTGTACTCCAGCCTGGGCAACAAGAGCAAAACTCTGTCTCAGAAAAAAAAAAAAAATTACAGAAGGCTTTAAATTAAAGAATCACAGTCCCTCTCACCCCCTCTGCGACTGTTTTCCAGCTACAGTCTCATCCTCTAGGGTCAACTTCTTTTAATTCTTTCAAACTTACTCTATATTGAGCTCTTCTGGTTAACTTTATATCTCCAAATAATATGCTAAGGTTACTGAGGCAGATTATATTTTCTAAAGATCATCACAACAATACCTCCTTTTTCCACATAACTCTCTAGAAACTGGCTTTTCTCCTATCAAGAGGTAGAGTATTTGCCCTTCCTTTGAACCTTGGAGACAGCCTTTTTGACTGTCTTGGCCAATAGACTATTGTAGAAGTGATGTTATATGACTTCCAAGGCTAGGTCCTAAAAATGTCATGAGCTTCTGCCTTATTTTTTTTTTGAGATTTTTGTCCTTGGCACTTAGCCACCTTGCTGTGAGGAAGCCTAACACACAAGTAGAGTGATCCAGGTTGAGGGAGCTGAGCCTTTGGCCCTCAGCTCTGCAGCCCTAACTGAGTTACCAGTTCACATTGAGCATCAGCTTGTCATACATGTGCATTAAACATTTTATTTTATTTTTTATTTTTCTTTGAGACAGAGTCTCACCCTGTCACCCAGGCTGGAATGCAGGCACGTGTTCTTGACTCACTGCCACCTCCGCCTCCCAGGCTTAAGCGATTCTCGCATCTCAGCCTCCTGAAGAGCTGGGATTATAGGCTTGCGCCCTGATGCCTGGCTAATTTTTTTATTTTTAGTAGAGATGGGGTTTTGCCATGTTGGCCAGGCTGATCTTGAACTCCTGACCTCAAGTGATCTGCCCCCTCGGCCTCCCAAAGTGCTGGGATTACAGGCGTGAGCCACCATGCCTGGCCTACCTGTGCATGAAACATTTAAAACATGCATTGTTCCAGATCCAGTTTGATCGATATCAGTTGATGATTCCTGGAAATAAGCTCCTGCCAAATCCTGCCTAAATGGCAAATTTATGAGCAAAATGATTCGTTGCTGTTGTTTTAATCTACAGATAAGTTACTATTTCTTGATTTATTGGCTTGAGGGTTTATCTCTTACTGCTGTGCTAGATTGATTTAGTGTCCTTATAGATATTTTTTATTAGTCTATTGTACCTTCTTGTAGAGTGTTCTTTCATCTTTCTGTTTTCTATTATCTTTTTTTGTGACTACACCTGATAGGATGTTTGACTTCTTGAATTGATCTGAAATGTCTCTTGTTTTTTTCTCTACATTTTTTTTGTTTTTTTCTATGGAAGATTTTCTCAACTTTATTTTCCAATTCTTCTATTGACTATTGTGGTAGGCTAAATAATGGCACCCAAAGGTATCTATTCTTAATCCCTGGAACCCATAAATATTACCTTATATGGCAAAAGGGAGACTACTCCCTTATAAAGCAAAAGGTGTGATTAAATTAAGGACTATGAGATGGAGAGATTACCCTGGATTATCCAGGTGGGCCTAAGGCAATCACAAGTATCCATAGAAGAGAAGGCCATATTATGAAAGTGCTATAATTTGGATATGGTTTATCCTCACCAAAACTAATATTGAAATTTGATTCCCAATGTGGTGGTACTGGAGGCGGGGCCTAGTGGGAGGTATTTGGGTCATGAGGGTGGATCCCTCATGAATGGGTTGGTGCTGTTCTCACAGCAGTGAGTTCTTGTTCTGATGAGACTGGATTAGTTCTCTTGAGAATTGATTAGTTCCCTCAGGAGCAAGTTGTTATATTATAAAGTGAGGTTCCTCCTCCTGTTTGGTCCTCTCTCTTTGCATGTGTTAACTTCTGCTTTGGCCTTCTCTGCCGTGTTATGATGCAGCATAAAAGAAGCACTTCTGGCTTTGTCAGAAACCAAGGCCATACCCTTGAACTTCCCAGCCTGCAGAATCACAAGCTAAATACACCTTTTTTCTTTATATATTATCCAGTCTCAGGTATTCTGTTATAGCAACACAAAATGGATTAAGACACTTGCTGAACCTTAATTTTAGCTCAGCGATACTGATTTTAAACTTTGGGCCTCTAGAACTATGAGAGAATAAACTTCCATCATTTTAAATCATCAAGATTGTGGTAATATATTACACAAGCCATAGGAAACTGTTATAGATGGCAAAAGAACACATGAAAAGATACTCAACATTGTTACTCTTGGGAGAAGTGCAAATTAAAACCACAATGAGATATCACTTTACATCTATTCGAATGGCTAACATTGAAAAAATAAACTGAACAGTGTTCATCATATACTATTTTTAAATGAAAATGGGATATGCAAACATATTTTCTTATATTTGCATGAAAATTCTAGAATAATAGTCAAGAAATTAATAAGAAGTGTTACCTTTGGGGTGGAAGTGGGTGGGAAACAGGGAGAGAGAGAGTTTGACTTTTTATATTATTTTATTTTTAAATTCTGAACATGTGCACATATTTGATTTCTTAAAAATGAAGACTTACACAATAGAAAATTAGTTCTGGGTGCCTGTGAGTGAGGCTTTTTGACCGGTAGGTTTCATATTAAAGGGCATGGCCAGCGAGACTGCTGCTAAGCTGGGGGATCCCTAAGTTCCAGAAGAGATTTGTTGAGGGGCAACAACATTGACATTGTCTATTCTGGTTCTTCCCAGATGGTTCAGTCTTATTTCACTGGAGATAAGTCAGTCTTTCTCCTGGTGGTGGAGGTGTGGGGGTTGTGTGACTGCTAAACGTTCTGGTCAAGGAGGTAGGGACAAAGAGAAAACCAACGTATGCACTGTCAGCCAATTCCAGCGTCCAGCCCTGTCTCTTTCTCTCACCCTCCATGGTAATCAGTGTTTCTGAGTTTGTAGACCTTCTGGGGGCTCTGCTGGGCAGACCTTCCATCCTTATCCTTAGCCCTCTGATGTGGTTTGTCTCTGTGTTCCCACCCAAATCTCATCTTGAATTGTAATCCTCGTGTGTCAGGGGAGGGACCTAGTGGGAGGTGATTGGATAATGGGGGCGGTCTTCCCCATGCTGTTCTCATGATGGTGAGTTCTCACCAGATCTGATGGTTTAAAAATGTGTGTCAGTTTCCTCCCTCTCTGTCTCTCTTGCTGCCTTGTGAAGAAGGTGCTTGCTTCTCCTTTGTCTTCCATAATGATTGTAAATTTCCTGAGGCTTCCCTAGTTATGCAGAACTGTGAGTCAATTAAACCTCTTTTCTTAAAAAATTATGCAGCCTCAGGTAGTTCTTTATAGCAGTGTAAAAACAGACTAATACAGAAAATTGGTACGAGGAATGGGATACTGCTATAAAGACACCTGAAAATGTGGAAGCAACTTTGGAACTGGGTAACGGACAGATGTTGGAAGAGTTCGAAGGCCTCAGAAGAGGACAGGAAGATGTAGGAAAGTTTGGAACTTCCTAGAAACTTGTTGAATGGTTTTGACCAAAATGCTGATAGTGATATGGACAATGAAGTCCAGGCTGAGGTGGTCTCAGATGGAGATGAAGAACTTATTGGGAACTGGAGCAAAGGTCACTCTTGCTGCTTTGACAAAGAGACTGGTGGTATTTTGCCCCTGCACTGGAGATCTTTCAAATTTTAAACTTGAAAGAGATGACTTAGTATATCTGGCAGAAGAAACGTCAAAGCAGCAAAGCATTCAGGAGGTGCCTGGCTGTTTCTGAAAGTTTACAGTCATATGCATTCACAAAGAGATGGTCTGAAATTGGAACTTATGTTGAAAAGGGAAGCAGCGCATAAAAGCTTGGAAAATTTGCAGCCTCACCATGTGGTAGAAAATAAAAACCCATTTTTCTGGGGAGAAATTTAAGCCATCTGGCTGCCAAAATTTGCATATGCAACGAGGAGCTGAGTGGTAATATCCAAGACAATGGGGAAAATGTCTCCACAGCATGTCAGAGACCTTTGTGCTAGCCCCTCCCATCACAGGCCTAGAGGCCTAGGAGGGAAAATTGGTTTCTTGGACCAGACCCAGGGCCCCACTGCTCTGTGCAGCATGAGGACATGGCACTCTGTGTCCCAGCTACTCCAGCTCCAGCCATGGCAAAAATGACCAAGGTACAGCTTGGGCTGTTGCTTCAAATGGTGCAAGCCCCAAGTTTCTGCAGCCTCCACATGGTGTTGGGCCTGTGGGTGTGCAGAAGGCAGGAATTTAGGAGCCTTTGCCTAGATTTTAGAGGATGTATGGAAATGCCTGGATGTCCAGGCACAAGTCTGTTGCAGGGGTGGAGCCCTCATGAAGACCCTCTACTAGGGCAGCACAGAGGGGAAATGTGGGGTTGGAGCCCCCACACAGAGTCTGCACTAGGCACTGCCTAGTGGAGCTGTGAAAAGAGGGCCACCATCCTCCAGACCCAAGAATGGTAGATTCATTGACAGCTTGCACCATGTGCCTTGAGGAACCACAGGCACTCAATGCCAGCCAGTGAAAACAGCCATGGAGGCTGTACTCTGCAGAGCCACAGAGGCAGAGCTACCCAAAGCTGTGGGAGCCCACCCCTTGCATCAGCATGCCCTCAATGTGAGACATGGAGTCAAAGGAGATTATTTTGGAGCTTTAAGATTCATTGACTCTTCTGCTGGGTTTTGGACTTGCACGGGTTCTGTAGCCCCTTTGTTTTGGCCAATTTCTCCCATTTGGAATGAGAACATTTACCCAAAGCCCATCACCTCATTGTATCTTGGAAGTAACCAATTTGTTTTTGATTTTACAGGCTCATAAGTGGAAGGGATTTACCTTGTCTCAGATGAGACTTTGGACTTGGACTTTTGTGTTAATGCTGGAATGAGTTAAGACTTTGGGAGACTGTTGAGAAGGCATGATTGTGTTTTAAAATGTGAGGACATGAGATTTGGGAGGGACTGGGGCAGAATGACATGGTTTGCTCTGTGTCCACCCAAGTCTCATCTCAAATTGTAATCCCCATGTGTTGGGGGAGGGACCTGGTTGGAGGTGATTGGATCATGGGGGTGGTTTCCCAATTCTTATGATAGTGAGTGAGTTCTTATGAGATTTGGTGGTTTAAAACTGTGTGGCACCTGCCTCCTGCCTTCTCTGGTCGCCTTGTGAAGAAGGTGCTTGCTTCTCTGTTATGGTTTGGCTGTGTCCCCAACAAAATCTCATCTTGAATTTTAACTCCCACAATTCTCATGTGTCGTGGGAGGAACCCAGTTGTTGGGGGGAGGGGGCGGTGATTGAATTATGGGAGTGGGTCTTTCCTGTGTTTTTCTCGTGATGGTGAATGAGTCTCATGAGATCTGATGGTTTTAAAAACGGTAATTTCCCTGCACAAGCTCTCTTTTTGCCTGCTGCCATCCA